>NC_000005.10:45170849-45803374 GCF_000001405.40 Homo sapiens
ATTTATAAAATAGATGAAGAGAGAAAGAAGAAATAAGCAACTCCTGAGAAATACTAAAGTGAATTTAATTGGATTCAGAGTGACAAAAGAGAAAAAGAGAGAGCCAGAGTATTGTATAATTCTTGAAGAGACACAGGATTATCAGCTGGTTCTTTGCCCTGATGCTCTGTTTAAGGAGTGTCTGAATAAACTGGCAAGTTTTGGAGAAACCTTATGTGTTGTTCCCATTAAAAAGATTACCAATTATTAATTATCAACCTTTGAGCATGTAATTTCCATTTGTCTGACTAAATAAATGATTTGAGACCAAGTTTATTCCATGATATCATTTTTTCCAAAAAAATTGAATTAGCACATCTTTGTCATTCTAAGCCTGGGCAACAAGAGCAAAATTCCATCTCAAAAAAAAATTTTTTTTAAGTGTTTTAAGTTCTTGAAAAATTAGTTGTATATATCTCTTTATTTAGGACAAAATTTTAGTTTTTAAAAGTTGATCCTTCGCCTTAGTACCTGCAAATTTAAGAATTTATAAGTTATATATTAATGGTCACAGTTTCAGACTCTGGATATATTGAATGATTCCTCCCTTTATAAAAGTGAAGGAAAAAATGTAAAAGAATATTTGTGTTTGACACATATGTCTTAAGCCATCAGTCATGAGTACACTGTTGTTACCCCCAGGCCAAACGAACAAAGAGAAAAATCCCCAGCAATAAAACAATGTTTCTTTGGGTCATCCCCATCCTGTAGAACTACAAGTAGTGAAGCTCTACCTAAATTTTCAAATTGTTTCCTCTGCCCTCCCAGGATGGGGAGAGAGAAAGAGGAAGATCCTAGAATGAGTCACCAAATAAATTATTTGAGATCCCAGCAGGAATCTAGGCTTTTAGTATCCAAAGGCAGTGTATAAATATTGCAAGTACTACTTTCTAGCCAGAAGTTCACACTGTTGTCCAAACAATGTCTACTCTGTCTCCACCCGAGGCAATAGGGAGGCTAGGGAGAGCTCACTACTTCCTCCCTCCCTCCCCACAGGCTTCAGACTCCTTCTCTTTACCTCTCCCAACTCCAGAGGTTCTATCTTCCCTATTATTGTGGTAGATTCCATGCTGGTCTTATACTTCATGGGGGCATTACTCTTATTTATCACAGAACTGCCTATCACCACATCAAGAAGTAGAGTCTTTTGTCTCCTTCCTCATTGTGCATTGGACAGAGCCTCATGAAGACTGCTCATTAACTCCAGATGGAATTTTAGTCTCTGTCCTCCAAGGCATTTGATTTGCAAATTCATCCCCATAATTTTTCTCTTTGGAGAGGTTTTGCTATATTCAGAATGCTGAAGAAATCATAAGAAATATAATCCAGTAACATAGATAATTTTATTGATAGTTTTGAAGATTGATATTCTGAATAAAAATTAGTTAATGCTAATTTGGGACTCTGAAATTCATGAAAGATGTTTTTAATTCTGATTTCTCTTGATTATCTATTCCTTGGAGACATTAATTCAAACAATGCAGTGGAAACAAATACACATGATCATTATATTTATGTTTAGTTTCTGCATAAATTACTTCTCTAATAAGAAAAGAGCCTCCTTTTTCCTTAAACAGTACACTCTTTTAGCATTCCTGCTTAGACTAATGATTCCCCCTAAGGCCTACAAATAATTAATTTTTATTTTATCAAACTACTCTAATGTGATTGTTTATTTTCTCAAGAATGAGGTTTTTCTTTTCTTGGCAGATATATATTACATTTAGCAGTTCTCCTAGCTGTTTTTTAAAGACACAAGAACACACATTTAGCAAGAAGAAATTAGAAACAAAAAGTGTCCAATTAAGTGCTTTCATTTACACAAACAATTTCCCCACACTGCAAAGTCAAATAACATGTCTTAAAGAGAAAATAGAAACGTTGAAACTACTGAGTCACAGTACAAGTACACTTGGAACTGTTTTATTTATTTATTTATTTATTTATTTATTTATTTATTTATTTATTTATTTTTGAGATGGAGTCTCGCTCTGTTGCCCAGGCTGGATGGAGTGCAGTGGCACTATCTCGGCTCAATGCAAGCTCCGCCTCCCGGGTTCGCGCCATTCTCCCGCCTCAGCCTCCAGAGTAGCTGGGACTACAGGCGCTCGCCACCATGCCCGCCTAATTTTTTGTATTTTTAGTAGAGACGGGGTTTCACCATGTTAGCCAGGATGGTCTCGATCTCCTGACCTCATGATCTGCCTGCCTTGGCCTCCCAAAGTGCTGGGATTACAGGCGTGAGCCACAGCTCCCGGCCGGAACTGTTTGATTATTAAACTAGTGATGACATCTATACTTTCTTGACAAAATGGAAAGAAAGGATTCTGTTTGTCTATAACTTAAAATATATTAAACAAGTTTCATACCAAATATACTTTCTAATAGATAGTCTTAAGGTTTCTTCGAGTTTGGGAAATAAAGGAGAAACATGGAGAACACCTTTATAATTTTTTTCTCACCTCATCCACCTCTTTTTATCCAGTGAATGATAACAAAACATATGGAAAGGAAAAGGATTTAAAATATGGTTTTTAATTTTTGGCTCAAAGTATGAGAGCCTTACATCATTCTAAGTCTGAGCATCACAAATTAAGGAAAATAAATTTATCATGGAATTGTACATTGGAAGTGGTCTGTGAAGCAACAAGAATTGAGTAACGTATCCCTACCTCCCAGTTTTCACATAGATCTAATGAGACATATGAAGAACCGGGTGTTCTGCAAATTGTTGGAAATTTTTGCAACATTGAGTTCATTTCCCACTGTATAGCCTGTCTATCACTTGGGTGCGATTGAACCTATTGCAAGCTCTAGTGATTGATATTTCAAATAGGTCTAAGATAATAAATCCATGCAATCTCCTGCCTATATTGTTTGATTCTGTGTGGAAAGGTAATCAAAGTTGGTCTAGAGTGAAACATAAGATTTGAAAATTAGTGTAAGGGATGCACTCTCACCTACTGGAGGTGAATAAGCAAGAATAGCAAGGTGAAGAGTGGGTCACACTTGCTACTTGGAGGCATCTTACAAACATCTTGGTAAAAAACGGATGCTATTAACAGTGAAGAAGGGAGGCAGAAAGAAATACAATTCTTGGTGACAAGGTTAGTCTGGTTAAGCCTTTCTCCTACATGCAAACTTCTGACTATTTAGTTGTATGAGTCAATAAATTTTTTTGTTGCTTAATACATTTTGTGGTTCTTGCTCTGTTACTTGCAGATGATGCATCTTTACTGTACACTGAGTTTAGCATCCTAATTGGAGGATGCGTTCCCAGGGTGAAGGTTTTATCCTTTTTCATCTGTTTGTGGGGTAACCCCATCCTATAAACTTCTACCTATTTAATAACTCCTGTATTAGTGGAGAGTGTGTTTTTTTTTTGTTTAGTAATATAGATGACATTACTCAGCTTACTAATTTTAATTGATGGCTTTAGCTAACATGCTTTTCCGATACTATTTTAGTAACTTTCAGGGGAATGCATATAAAATATATATCATATATAATATACGTATATAATTACCATACAGCATAATATATAATATATGATATAGTATATAACATATAATGTAAAATATCTAATATCTATATATTCTCTCTATATATAGACACACAAACACACAAAATTTTACTTGGATATAAACTGTTTTTCTTTTTTCTCAATCAACAATTTCTATTCTTCCTATTTTCCAGGTATATGCATATCTTTAGTTCTTACAGATGCTTAGTATTTAATTAAGAATATACATACATACATATATTATTTTGTATATTATTTTATATATTTGTATATTGTTCTGAATATTAAATATACATATATTTATGTTCTTTTTCCATAAAGGACATTAGTGAGACAATTGGTGAAATTTTTGAGTAAGGTATGTAGATTAGAAATAATATTGTATCAATGTGATATCCTGATTTTGTTGATTTTACTATCATGTAAAAGAATGTCCTCGGTTTTTGGAAATATACACTGACATACCGAGGAATTAAAAGCTCTGCCTTAGGCTTAGGAAATAGGGAATGGTCCCTTTCTTTATTTCTTCTCCTCATTCTTTTCTTGTCCACTTAAGAAGCTATCACTGTCTCTTCCACACATGAAGCATGAGAGGAACAGAATTAAGGGGACAACAAAGTTTTTCTTAACTGGTACCTGTGTAATTTGCATTGGTGCTTTCTGGGCTTGGTGGTTTCAAGAGAGAACCAGTGCTTTTATTGCTTCACTAGAAACCCTCTTTGGGACCATTTAATTGTATTTCTCAAGATGCTAGCCATGCATTTTCATCCAGCTGGCTAATTCCATTTCTTTCTTCAGTTTCTGGGAATTCAGTACTTCAACCTATATACTAGGGTTACAACTCACTTCCAAGCATTACTCTAGGGCAAGGTTCAATGTGATCTTCTGTGAGACTCAGATTTGGTCCTGAGAAATACGAATACATTCTTGGAACTGATAAATTTCAGAATCTAGAATGTTCCCAGTGCAGCTACCTATCCTCATTCAGAGCATCTAGCAAGTTTCTTTTCCAATTGAGACTTTTCAAGGTATGGAATAGAGTTCAGGGCACAAAGTTCTTGCAAGTATCCTCTTAGTTGGCCTTTATTCGCTCTCTCCATGGTGGGGAGGTAAGAAGAAAATGCCCCAACACATTTTTTTCCCAAATTAATTGCCTTCTTCAGACCTTTCAGTACTAACTCTTTTTGAGATGAGTGCTTGATTTACGAACTCGTAAAGAGTGTTCTGCCTTGTCTTTTACAATTACTGCATAAGATATCTACCACATGTCATTGAAATGTGAGAATATTCACCACGTATTTTTTATTTTTTGATGGTGTTCGGTCACCACAGCTAGAACTAAGACGGAAAAAAATTCACTTTAACATCCTGTTGTAAGTGTTACAATAATTCGGATCTGAAAAAGCAGCAGAATCCACATGCTGAAGTTGTACATGTGTTGGAAGATGACCTAAAGCAGTTATTCTAAATTAACATACTCATTTTCAATATTTAAGTGCATATTGTTTATATTATGTCTCTTGAGATATGGTATTTGTTCTGTTTTTGTTGTTGTTTCCGATGCTGAGAAATACTGCTTTATTAGTTTCTTTGAAACTTTCTCATTTACCAAAAGCTAACATGAATGCATACATTGATTAGATTTATATCCTTAAACTTATGTGGATGGTGGGCTAAAAAATAACTATCCTTTTTAATTTATAAGCTGAAATCACCAAAAAATTATTCTATTTATACTAAAGATTATTATAATCAATAATTATGATGTTATTATTTAACAGATCTTTTCCCCCTGGTGTTGCTATAATTGACAAAAAGTATGTATGTTTGGAGTATACAACAAGATTTTTTTAATATGTCTACATTTTGAATGGATTAAATCAAAGTGAATTAACATGTTCATCACTTCACATACTTTGAATTTTGGTAGTGACATTTACCATCTATTCTCTCAGCAATTTTCAAGTATACAATACCTTCTTATTAACTATAGTCATCATGCTTCACAATAGAATCCTAGAACATATTCATCCTATTGAACTGAAACTTTGTACTCTTTGACTAACATCTTTCATATCCTCCTCCTTCCCCTGCCCCAGCTCCTTGCAATCACCATTCTACTTTCTGCCTCTGTAAGTTCAGTGTTTTTAGTTTCCACATGTCAGTGAGATAACGCAGTATTTTTCTTTCTGTGCCTGTCTTACTTCACTTAGTACAATATCCACTAGGTTGATTCACGTTGTCTCAAAGGATAAGATTTCCTTCTTTTTCAGAATGATTAGTTTCGTACTGTGTGTCTATATCGCATTTTTTAAATCCATTCATCTGCGCATGGACATTTAGGTTGTTTCCATATCTTTGCTATGGTTAATAATGCTGCAATGAACATGGGTGTACCGATATCTCTTTCACACCCAGATTTCATTTTTAAAAATATATACCCAGAAGTGTGATTGCTGGAGCTCATGGTAGTTCTATTTTCAACTTTTTTAGGAACCCCATACTGTTTTCCATAATGGCTGTACTAATTTATATTCCCACCAAAAATGTATAGTGGTTTTCTTTTCTCTACATCCTCTCCAACACTTGCCTTTTATCTTTTTGACAACAGCTATTCTAACAGGTGTGAGGTAATCTCTCATTGTGATTTTAATTTGTATTTCCCTGATGATTAGTGATGTTGAACATTTTTTCATATACTGATTGGCCATTTGCATGTCTTCTTTTGATAAATTTCTATTCAGATCCTCTGCCCATTTTTATTTTTATTTTTTATTTATTTATTTATTTATTTATTTTTTAATTTATTTTAAATTGGCTTATTTTCTTGCAATGGAGTTGAGTTCCTTATATATGTTGCATATTAACTCCTTATCAGATGAACAGTTTGCAAATGTTTTATCCCATTCCATAAGTTATGTCTTTCCTCTGTTGATTGTTTTCATGTGAAACACAGATGAAGACAGAGTCTCTGATGAGCATCAATAGCCAAAGATAAAGACTCAGAAGCATAGATCCAGAAGCACTGGAAAGGAAACCAATCAGAAAAATAAAATATTTGACCTGTTATAGATTAATTTTTTATTTTTCTTTTTAAATAATGTAGACTCACAAGAAGTTGCCAAGATAGAACAGAGAGGATCTATGTACCCTTCATACACAGTTTCTCTATTGGTTCCATCTTATGGAACTGTAGTACAATATCAAAATGGAACACTGAAATTGGAATATATTGTATTTTATAACATATATAGATTCATGTGACCTTCACAGCAGTTAAGATGCAGAACTAGTCTATGATCACAAAGATCTATCTTTTGTTTCTCCTTTATAGTCATACCTAATCTTCTATGCACTACCCACCCCCAACATCCCCAAATTCTGGCAACCACCAATTGGTTCTCTATCTCTGACTTACTGAAAATGTTATATAGGAATCATACAGTATGTGATCTTTTTATATTTTTTTAATTCAGTATTACTGAGTAACTTTTCATGGTACTGACATACTACAATTTAACTATTCACCACTTACAGTACAGTTTGGTGAGCTTTCTATTTTTGGCTATTACAAATAAACTGTTATTTTGTATAAGTTGTTGTACAGACATAAGTTTTCGTTGTTATGAGGCAAATGTCCAGTAGTGTGATTGATGGGTCTTACAGTAAATATATGTTTATTACTATAATAAACTACCAAACTAATTTCCAGAGTAGCTAGATCACTTTACATGTACATTGGCAACGTATGAGAAATTCAATTTCTTTACATCTTCACCAGAATTCAGTATTGTCACTTTTTAAATTTTTGTTGTTCTAATAGTGTGCAATAATATCTTGTTATGGTTTTAGTCGTATTTACTTAATGGCCAGTGATGTTGAAGATCTTTTCATGTGCTGATTTTTCATCTGTACATTTTCTTTGGTGAAGTGTGTCTCCTTGCTTATTGATCATTTTCAATTTGAAATGTTATATTTTTAACTGTTGAACATTGATAGTTTTCTATAGATTCTAAATATGAGTCCTTTATCAGATACATGTTTGCAAATATTTTCTCCAAGTCTGTAGATTGTTTTTTAAATCCTCTTAACCAGGTTTTTGCAAAGAAGACATTTTAAAATAATTTTTGAGTAAGTTCAATTTATCATCATAGAGGAATGGTACTTTACTTCTGTGGTCTTCCAAACAAAAACACATTACCCCATTCTGATCATAGAAACATACCCAGTAAGTTCAAATTGAGAAACTTTCTATAAAATATGTGACTTGTATCTTTCAATACTGTCATGGCCTTCAGAAACAAGGAAAGTCTGTGAAACTGTTATAGTCAATGGGAATCTAAGAAAACATATACATCGAATATAATGTGGTGTCCTGGATGGGATTCGGAACAAGAAAAGTGATAGCAGATAAAAACTCAAGAGATTCAAATAAAACATGGACTTGAATTAATAAGAATACATCAATATCTGTTCATTGTTTATTATGACAAATGTATCATACTAATCAGACACATTTGATTAACAGGAAAAACGAGGTGTGAGATATAGAGAAGAAACTCTGTACTATTTAGAAATAATTCTGTAAATCTAAAACTATTGTAAAAATTAAGAGTTCACTTAAAAAAATAGAAAATAACTGTGGTTTAAAGGTTAAGGAAATTACTCAGTGCCACGAAGATAAGAAAACAAATAGAGTTGGGATTTGAATACACTACTCAAGAACTAGACCCTTTATGATTTAACCAGGATTCTATATGACAGATTTCATACACCTGTGTCCTTCTGTGACTCATGTAGAATCACAACTAACTGAATTCAAAAAACTAACAATACTGCACTGCATGAATCTACTTATCAGAAAAGAGCGATTTTTGTAACCATCTACAGTATAAACCTTTCATTGTGCCTCCAAAAATTACTTGAATAAGAAAATCACACACACACACACACACACACACACAGGCCAACTATCAAAAACATCAAAATGTGAGTAGGAAGTAAGAAATATTTGCAGATTTTTTTTGTCATAACATTAATTCAATATTTCTACCAGTGGAAGTAGATGAGAAATGAATATATCTCTTTTCAGTTTGAATTAAGGGATAATCTTGTCATTCTTTCTTAATGGAGGTTGAACAAATATTTAAAGAATATTGGCTAATGACTGCAAATTATTAACTGTACTAGGCACCACATCATGATTCTCACTGGGAATTTTCACTTCTTTTGTTCCACTCTGGTTCTAAGCAAACTCCTGCAATGCTCAATTTCATTAATTATCTTGCCCTTCAGGCACAAAATAAGATTAGGCTATTTCTCCTTTCTCTTTTCTTTCCTCTCTACCCTCCCTCTCTTCATTGTATTAAATCCCACACAAACACCCCTTACACATTCCCTTTATTAAAACCAACAATTAGCAAAACAGCAGTGGAAAAGCCCTGATAAACCAATTAACACTTGAGTGTAAATTGCTGACAAAGGCTGAAATGTGTTAGGCAGTCAGAAATACTTGCATGTTAATAAAGGACAGAGCTTTCTCCCCAAGAGTAAAATTTTAATGGAGGAATTTTGTAATAGGGAAATAGGGACACTTTTGGAGTTAGGACCTGTCTAGGTTTCCCTCTAGTTCTGTCCAATTCAACAGACATGTATTGAGCAACAAATGTGTGACAGCATTTGATCATTCAGAGATATATAAGACACAGCTTATATAGGCTTCCAGCAACATGTAACTTAATGAACAAAGTAGCTATAAACAAACATAAAAATTGTCCTAAAAAGTAGAGAAATACAAGAGGTTGTGAAATTATGGACAAGGGCAACTAATCAGTCTTGGAAATCAAAGTAAACTTCCCAGAGAAGGCAATATTTGTAAAATAAATATCAATTAGCAAATAGTACTGGAGTGGGAGAGGGGGAAAAAGGAAGAAAGCCAACCTTGCATTCCTGGGATAAACTCCATTTGTACATGATATATTATCATTTTTATATATTATTAGATAGCCTTTGCTAAAATTTTATAAATTTTTTCATCTATAGTCATTGTTAGTTGTGGCAAAGCCATACGGGTTTGAAGCAACCTCAATTCTTTCCTCATCAGAAGAAAGAATTCCACCAAGGGGCATGAGACAGCATGAGAGATCAAGGCAAGTTTTAGAGCAGGAGTGAAACTTTATTAAAAAGTTTAGAGCAGGAACAAAGAGAAGTAAAGTGTACTTGGAAGAGGGCCAAGCAGGCAACTTGAGAGATCAAGTGTGCTGTTTGATCTTTGACTTGGGATTTTATATGTTGGCATGCTTCTAGAAGGTTGCGTTCCTTCTCCCCTGATTCTTTGCTTGGGGCGGGCTGTCCGCATGCACAGTGGCCCACCAGCACTTGGGGCGGGGGTTCATATGTGTAGTGTGTTTACTGAAGTTGCAGGCATACTCACTTCAGATGTTTTTCACTTCCCAGTTCAGTGTTCCTAGAGGAAGTTCATATAACCATTAAATTCTGGCATTTTACCTCTTAGTGTGCATGCTTGATCCCACTCACCCAACTCCCATCGTCTTATTGGGAAGCTGGTCATCAGTTTCAGGTTTTTCTATTGGGAGACCGCCTTTCCCTGGTGCCGGCTGAGACCAATTATTATTTTAGAGAGACAGATAGCTGCCTGATTGTCACCTGATAGTGACATTGCTGGTGTGTGTCAGTGGTGGGGGAGCCCTCCCTGTCCTGCTTATGTCTGACTGGCTACCTACTGTAACAGTCATGACAGATACTGGCCTGTAATTTTCTTTCTTTTTTTTTAATGTTTCTGTCAAATTTTGGTATCTCAGTGTTACTTGTCTAATAGTCGTTGCTTTAGAGTTTGTAGTTTACATTACTTTACCACAATCTGCCTTCAAGCATTGCCCCACTTCACATACTTCAGGGCTATAGCAAAGATCAAATGCATTCATACTTATAAGACATTTTGTACAAGACCTGACACATCTTGTCATAAGTGCCCTTGTTTGTTAATAAATAAATAATTTTAAAAATCATTTGCCACCATAGAAAGTAAGATTCAGGAAGGAGGTATCTTTCTTCGTTTTGTTTGATATTACATTCCTAAAGCCTAAGCCATTTTGTTGAATAATTTTATCCAGTGGTCTGGTTTCTAAGACACTGACAAGACCCAAGTGCTTAGGGAAAAATTTATTTTATAATTCCTTTATTTGGGTTCTTACTATCACTTATCATATAGTGATGTGGTGAAAAATGGACTTAGTCCTGTCTCCAACCTGAGAAACTTGTTGTTTAAGAAAACTGGAAGCTATAGAGAAGCTTATTCTGTAAAAGAGGAGTTCTTTTTCTTGGCATGCTTTTCCTTGGGTTTGTCTTTCCTTGGATTCAGCTTTCCTTACCTTTAAATATAGAGCTTGAAATAAGAGTGTATGCCAAGGCAAAAGGGTTTATTTTTGTGTAGTCCCCAAGTCTTTCTACTGTAATGCAGAGGACTCTGCAGTGTCATGCGCACGAGCTAAGTGACTCAAGTTCTAGTTCATTTTAAAAGATTACTTTCCTTATCTTTTCCTCCTGCCCTCCAGCCCCCACCTTCCCACCAGGACTTCGGCTGATGATAAACATATTCTTGTTACCTGAAATAAACCTTTCAGGAGTCAGGGAAATCAATTTGCTTCTGAAAAGTGATATAGTTTACGCCTTAGGTCACGGAGAAGCAGACACTGACAGTCTGTAGGTAAGCCAGTTTTTCAGTATAATTTTAATTACCAAAACTCACTCAAGCATGCTCTACTTATTCTCTGCTAGTGGACACAAGGCAAGAGATTGATATCATAGATCCTTTCCAATTCTAGTTTTTGGAAGGAAGAAAGGAAGGAAGGAAGGAAGGGAAGGAGGGAGGGAGGGAGGGTAGAAAGGGAGGGAGGGAAGGAGGTCAGGAAAAACGCAGAGGGGAAGCATGACTACAACAGCTATAATTTACTTTATAATTTAAAAAAGGTAAATGGTAAATTATAAGCTCAGATACTCTTGCAGTTCAGCTGTTAGTCATTTTTAAATTCTTATGAGTCCAAATATAGTTAACTGATAACAGATTGTCAGCATGTACAATTTTACTCTTAATCTTGCAACTTGGGCTTCTTTCCAGAGGTCTCATATTTTTAAAATATTATACATAGATGACTTGAAGAATGTGTTTGACTAAACATAATAACATTTTCAAGGGGACCAACCAGGTGAGTTTAGTACATTCTCAAAATTTAACTCACTTTTATCATAGAGTGAACCTGTTGAGGGAAGGGTGTGTGTGTGTGTGTGTGTGTGTGTGTGTGTGTGTGTGTGTGTTTTGACTTTTGGAAACAATTCTCATTACCAATTATCATTACCTTATTTAAGCCATAGTTATTTTTCATCACTCATCTCTCAGAATCCATAAACTAAATATTGAGATTACGGCCCATGACCTTATGGTAACTTACTTTCTGTTCTGCCAGCATCCTGCGTTTAGAACATTACTCTCATTCGTGTAAGTACCACTTTCCTAAGCCAAGACTTCCATTAGGTTCAGATTAATGGAACTAATAAGCATCTTGTGCCTGTGTTTAAAAACCTTCCCCCACCCTGTCATTTGTACTCCCCCTTCGTGATCTGTCATTATGATGCAGTCAACTCTGAGATAATGGATGTCCAGCCAAGTTTAGAAATCCTATCAGGACTGATTCTCCTTTCTTTCCTCCACTTCATCCCATTGGCCCTCACCCCCTACAAAAGCATTTATGCTTGTGACTTTTGATTAATTGAATAAATAATCCTTTAAGAACTACTCAGGAAGAGATATAACACTTATTTAAAAGTTGCAAGCATGTCCTTAATTTACTCATCTTCCTGGCTATTCTCAAATCCTTCCTGTCTTATAGTTGGACACACTAATGAGAAAAACAGTTACTACTTCCTCCCAGAATAAGCCTAATTAGGAAGTTTACAAGATTAATTGTAAGGAATTGCAAAAAGGGCTTGTCCTAGAAATGATCAAGAATTTGTGAGATAAATACATTCTTTTGATTTATACTCCATTGAGACCTTAAAGTTACTTTGTCCACCTCTTAGCTTTAGTATCTATGGGCATAAGCTTCACTTTAAAAAGCAGTAAATTAGACAGCAATTGTACATTGTTGAACTAATTATGTGATCTGATCTAACACAGTTAGAGTAAGCACTTTCTGAAAATGGCATGCAAATGTACAGCAATTCATTAAAAAGTCATATAAACTAACTTTTGAATACATAACCCAATTATTCTGGAAATAACTAAGCAACCTTATAATTTTGCTTTTTTCAAGTCTTTCTCAAAATATCTCCTTCCTTGCCTGTTTAGATATCAAAAGGTTCCTGTAAAAACTCTGCTTTCTCCAAAATGAAGAATCCAGACTAGGCCAACAACTGTCTTGGAATCTTTCCATGAACTCCTGATTTCTGGATCTAGTTATTTCTCTGACAGAACTCGGGTGCCGGAATGATACAAGGGGAAATAAGAATAGAAAAGCAAAGTGGTCCTGTTAATACTTAAACAATTATTGCCAGTTCTTACTTGCTCTCCCTCTCACTATAAAAACTCCTGGAACTAGTACTTACCTAAAAGGCTAAGCTGTGTTTAGGTTCAGAGTAAAATGGAGGAAATTTAATAATTATGAAGCATGACATTTTATTGACTATCTATTCCTGCAGGTTCTTATCACTCTACCAATCTCTAATCTCTTCCACTTTTCTTCCACTTACTTAAAATCTTAATGTGAATTAAGGGTCAGTAAGAAACAGTTCAGAACTTAACCTACAGAGAGTAGTGTTACCTAATTAATGCGTGGCTAAACATCTCATTGCTTTGTTTGTGTTACAGCTTATTGGGAGGAGGGTATATTGTTCATAGTACTGGCATGGTGTAGGTAATTAAGAAATATATGTGTTGGGCTGGGTGCTGTGGCTCAGGCCTGTAATCCCCACACTTTGGGAGGCCGAGGTGAGTGGATCACCTGAGGACAGGAATTTGAGACCAACCTGGCCAACATGGTGAAACCCTGTCTCTACTGAAAATACAAAAAATTAGCCGGGCGGGGTGAAGGGCACCTGTAATTCCAGCTACTCAAGAGGCTGAGGCAGGAGAACTGCTTGAACCCGGGAAGAGGGAAGTGGGAAGCGGAGATTGCAGTGAGCCGAGATCATGCCATTGCACTCCAGCCTGGGCAACAGCAAAACTGTCTCAAAAAAAAAAAAAAAAGAAAAAAGAAAAAAAAATATGTTTAATTGACTAGTGAAAAATATGGAGGATCAATTGGACTTAGCAGAGTGAAGGATATAATATTTTCTGTTTATTTTTCTACCTCATGTCCTTATAAGTACTGCTTGGCCTTTATGAAGTAAGAAGCTTATAGCAGCACAGTTGTCCCTTGGAATCTGTGGAGGATTGGTTCCAGGACCCCTGCAGATACCAAAATCCATGGATGCTCAAGTCTATTATATAAAATCTCACAGTATTTGCATTTTATGTCCATCTTCCTATGAAATTTAAATCATATCTAGGTTACTTATGCAAGTAATACAATATCAAGGCTATGTAAATAATTGTTATACTATATTGCTTTTTATTTGCATTTTTTGTATTGTAATTTTTATTGTTTTTTTCCAAGTATTTTTGATCTAATTATGGTTGGTTGAAGTCCCGAATGTGGGGACCCACAAATACAGAAGGCCGACTGTACACAGTCAGAATGAAACACAATGCACTGGGTTTCTCTGCAGGCTCTAGATATTTCAAACAACATTAACAGTACGAAGGAAGAAAAATGTATTGTGGTGGAAAGTAAATCAAGTTAGCCTGATGTCTCTTTGTGCTGTGAAATGTTTTCCATTATTCTACTTATACATTATGGCTTATATATATTTCGTATATTAGTTTCAAGGTTGCTTTAATTTTTAGAGCAGGAAGTGATAAAATGAAGAATAGCTAATTTCAAATTTTCCTTTAGCTTACTGAAGGTAAAAGCACAATACTGAGTTTATAATGTCAGGACTATAATTGTATTATTGGCAATCTGAAGATGTACACTCAAGTTTTATCAAACTATCTGTTAGGCCTCTGACCAGACTTTTTAAAAAAATGCCATCCATTTGTAAATCAATTAAATTAATGGCTCAGAATGTCTTATGAATACTTGGCAGTGCTTTTATGAACACCCAAGGATAAATATTTTTAAAAACATTATTTTCAAATATAAACACATTAATAACTCCTGTAATATTAGAGGGCCTTCTATTTAAGCTAAAAATATCAAGAAATCAAGTCCACAGATAATGTATATTTTTATTTTGAAGTGAGAGGATGTAACAATAAAAAATTCCCATCTCCCTTTTATTACTCGAGTTGCTTATAGTTCAGTGTAGACTTTTGTCAATTCTGTGTGCATAATTTCAAACCAGTTTGATTTTTCTCTAGGAATTTTTTTTGTCCCAAGCTGCCTGCCTGGATGTGAAATTATACATTGCATCTGATGAAAGATTCATGATTTCTATCTAAACTATTTTGTCTGGTTAGAACAGAATTCTCCTAGTTTTATACTTCTATTAGTTCATTGGGCTCACGGAGTTGCCTTATGAGATTAGCAATAGACACTTCCTAATATTTTAAAATGCAGATTTTTCTGGCAATCCAAGAATGAGAACCTAAAATAGATTAGATTTTTCTATGACCCCATGAAATGTTGGACCACACAAAGAACCACACTGTGAACCTCAACTTGCTACACCACTTTCTAAATAAGAGGTATAGCTGTCATTTTATCATTTAATCTCCTACTTTTCCTCTGTATTTCCTTACTCAATTTGCATATGTATTGGCTTGAATATTTAGTTCACCTGCAGACCATATTCAATATTAAGGGTTTCTCAGTTTTACATCAGTCACAAGAAACCATTCTGCAGATTAAAACCTTCCAATGTGTATATATAATAGGTATTATCATAAGCAATTGATGTGTTATTTGTAAAGATGGTTCTGGTTCCTTGCATTTGTTTCAACTTTTAGGTCTTAGTAGTGGTTCTTTGTGTTTGCAGATGCACTATTAAGGTCGTAAAGACATGCAGGAGAATGAGATGGGAAACTGTGTCTTCTTTATTCTCAATCTCATACTTTTTTCTCTCTTGGCAAACTTCAGTTCAAGTCTCTTCAAAGAGACTATCAGTATTGATTATCAGTATCACTTTTAAAGTTTCAAACTATCCATTTTCCAGCTCTTTCCCTAGAATTTCTGATTCAGTGGGTTTGGAATGAAGCTTGAAATTATGAAGACCAGAACTGTCTTAGATTTGCTCATCATGAGATTTTCAGTCATGGTATTCTCAGTCCTCGGCACAGTGGTTGTTGAATAAATGTTTGAAATAAATTAATGAAAGAGAAATTGCTGTATTTAGCTACTCATCAAGTGTTTTGCCTACCATTTTTCCAGTTATTTAAAAATCAAGTGAAATACAAAGAAAACAGTTTGATATGACCAGTGTCTTGGCCTTGGGGTAGCTACCCACATTAAATGATTAAGCAACATCTAAAGGTAGAATTCAGTTAATTATCAAAATACTGAGGGAAAGTGCTACATCTGTTCAGATAAAAAGAAAATTTAAAAGGACAGAAAAATTACACTCATTTATTAGTATGTTATTATTGAGTACCTATTTGTGAGGCTCATTGTGGGGAATCAGAGATGAATAAGACAAAGTCCCTGATCTTTAGAAATTCTTAAGCTAGTGTAAGATAAGCATTTAAAGAAATCAATAATGCTATGACATCAAAAATATTTTATGGGAATTCAGAGAAGACAGTGATTCTTTATGTGTGTGGTGATGGTGGTGGTGCTTAAGGAAAGATTCATAGAGGAGGCAGAGCTAGAGATGAGTCACGTTATTTTTAGTGGCACAAGGTCACTTGTACTTCAATATTGCTAGTCCTCAGATACTGGGTAATTTTACCCACAAACAAAAATTTTCCTCTGCTCTAAAGCTGGGGTAAAGCTGATGGATTTAGAAGGTGACTTAAGCATTGTTATTCTTGGTGTTATAGATTTAGAAGTGTCAGAGGTAGGGACCCAATATTCCAAAGTGCTATACATAAATAAGTTATTGCATCACCTCTAAAGATTTTTTGGAGTATAGTTTTAATTCAATTGTAAACAGGGTCATTCCATTTTGAAAGGGATTTGTAATGCTCAGGTTGTGTCTTAACATAATTCATT
The DNA here is from genome assembly GCF_000001405.40 of Homo sapiens. Classification (NCBI taxonomy): domain Eukaryota; kingdom Metazoa; phylum Chordata; class Mammalia; order Primates; family Hominidae; genus Homo; species Homo sapiens. The sequence goes on from NC_000005.10 coordinate 45,187,677, forward strand.
GCTAATTGAGAAAGTAAGATATTTAGTTGATCAGCGAATTATGTGACAATCAATAATTATGAGGCGAGGGAATGTATTCCAAGACTATATTGAAATAATGGAACTTAATGGAACTTCAACAAGTTAGGGGAAACTATATCTTTATACATAGGAAAGAACTAATCCTGCTGTTTTTAGTTGGTGCTATGGCATACACTTTCAGAATATTATTTTTAAAGCCCTTAATTTATCATTCTAAAATTCCAGTACTAAAAACTCAGTCAGCCTAACTCCCCATGCAGGATGGCCTTCATACGATACAAGGAATAATACAAGTGTACCCTGACAAGTGTCATGCTAGTTGGGGACTGGATTGAAGAGAGAAAGAGCATGTCACCTCAGAAGTAGAAATACTTTCAAAATGGAATTCATTATGAAAATATTAGCATTGTGTATGTGTGAGGGATGCTCTATGGAACAGCGAGAATGCATTACTTTATTTGCAAATTTATCATATTAATTATATTGATATAGTCTATTTTCCTCAAGACAGCTTGCCCAGTCTTGAATGAAAGCAGAATATTTACTTAGCATGTTTTATTCTTATTTTGTACTCTTGTTCTTATTCTAATTTTCTTAGAACATTAGATAGCAGAAATAAATTAAAGTAAGTTAAGAATGCTTGACATGGACACAGGTTATCAAGGGAGGCTCTTGAGTATTTCTGAATATTTTAAAGAATAAGATTGGCTGATACATACAGAGTGTGACAGAAGATTATGCAGACTGCATAGGTCCACTGACATAATGTTGGGAGGTTGTGTTAAAGTAAGCTGACAGGGTTCACATTTTATTCTGTAGGTAAGTGGGGAGTGAATGAATGTTTCTGATGAGGGATGTGATATGATTGAAGCTGCACTTTAATTGTATCATTTTTATTAAGACAATAATATTAATAAATATCTATCTTATTTTATATAATTTTTCAGATTATTATAATAAACGATTCTTTAAATAACACCTAAGAAACCATCACAATTAAATATTTCTGAAGTTCCATTACAATCATTTAAATATAGCCTTATTGGCAGTAATGAAGAGTTGAAGTTTTCAAATAAGATCTCTAATATCTAAGCTATAGAGACCTGTTGGAAAATGTACTTCTAAGGTAATCAAAACTATGCTATAGCCTGTTTTTTACCCCTATATTCTGACTTTTCCCAGTTTTAGATTAGGATTTATTTTTCTTATATGAAGCCTCAAGTTATTTAGGAAGAATAATAGTAGTCCTACACTAAAGGGAAAAGAAGTTAAATGTGAATCACTTTGAGGCAGAAAGAAATGGTTGTATTATTTAGTAATGATGCTTTGTTCTGCCTTGTAGCACTTGTAATGAGCATATACTGATTTCCCCCACAAATGTAGGCCATTTTTGCTCCCATAAAATATAGCCTTACAGGGATAAGAATTGCAGAGGCCATAGCAGGGAAATGAAATTCAGAAGTGGCCATATAGTTCTGCTTCCTGCAGAACTATAACCCCAGAGTGCACATTAGGAGCCTGCTGATGCTAGGGTTGTGTTTGTGCATACAAAGCACACTGGTGTGCTATGAAATAATCTGAGAAATTACTTCCATCTGCACAGCCACTTTTAAAAAATCAATATTTGTTTAACTTTTAACAGGAAAGCTTGAAGAGAAAATTTGAGGCAGAAAATTATTATTACTTTATTTTCAAGTTAAAACTAGAGGGGGGAAATGCTTTTCTTTAATTGTGGTATTTTGAGGTCATATTTGAAACAATGTGGTCAAGAGAGAGGACAGCTGTAGATTCTCTCTAAAATAAAGGAATGATATTAATCACGTGGAATCATGGTATGAGAATGAACATGATCTGCAACAGCTGTTGTTCCTTCAGCAAACGACTTCAGTGCCCTTAGTGTGGTACCTTGGGATGGAAAGTTGCCATTAGAACCATTACTCTCAAGGTGAGGGAAGTGCCTGTTTCAATTGTTAGCACTAAGTAGGTCAGATATCCATCTCTACCGCGAAAGCCACAAAAAGAAAAGTGAAGAACTGGATAATCATGGCTTGTTCAAACTGCATAGGCTTTTATCTAAATAGGAAAAGGAAAATTGGCAGGCTAAGTGCTTTGCTTGTTTTATGATGTAACTTTTAAACATGGATGGATCTTGTCTCTTCTCAGAGAGAGACGGAATGAAAGTGAGAATCTTAATATCAGTTTCTGATATAAATGAATGGAGCACACAAGAAAGTGCACCCCTATATTTGGCAATAATATTTTGACCTTGGGAATTTCCAACATGGATAGGTGACTCATGATATAGCAACTTAAATGTGTTAATAAGTCAGATCAGTTTCTTTAATAAATAAATTGATCAAACATATATCAATTATTAGGGCATATCTGAGATGTCAAATATTTTTAATGTAATACAAGTAGTTTGAAAGTGCTATTTTCATTATACAGTTAATCAATTGATTATTTCCTCATATAACAAAAACAGTTCTATGCATATTAGCATTCAGTAACAGGTGCAAGGAAATGAAAGTAAATATGTAGAGAATTTATATTAACTGCAGTGCTAACTACATGTCCTGAACTACAGAGAAATATAACAAATCCACTGTTTCTCTATAATAATATTTAAAAACACAGAAAAACAAAAACAAAAAAAGGCAAAATCAATAGTTAAAAGGAAATTCACCAAATTGGAAAATCAGAAAGGGAAATTGAAGTATCCTGAAACTTGGCTGGAAGTGATGTATGTAGGATACTTGGTCAGTAACAACATATTTGCCAGAAAGACAGTGGACTTAATGAAAAGGATGCTTTCAACTTACAGAACAACCTTATTTTAAGAGTGCAGTTGAGTTCACCAAACATTGTTATTGATAAAAACATTAGGCACATACTGCCTTTGACTGACGGTATTGTTCTGTACTTTGCTTTTAATTTTAAAATATAAAGTCATTTGTATACTCTTTGCCAGAAAGTTGTCATGGTTAAGAACATAAACTGGAGCAGACTCCTTGGATTCCAATTCTTTTTTGGTCCTTAGAATCTGGTACCTTTAGTCAAGCCTTAATTTTCCCATGCTTTGGTGTCTTCATCAGTATGATAGAGAAAATAGCACCTTCGTCATTGTTATGATGATTAAATGAGATAAATGTGAAGCACATGAAACAGTGCTTGGAACATGATGATTGTCCAGAAAGGTTTAACAATTATTATTCATAGGCCCCATGTTCTAAAAGTGAGTTGTATGAGTCAGGTTGTAAAGTTCTTATTCTGGGACTTAGGAAAAACATACTAATCTATCTAACATCTTATTTTCTTCATCCCTTAAAGGTGGATTACAGCTGTGTTGTCCAATATGATAGTCACAGTAAAATGTGACTACTGAACACTTGCAATGTGGCTGTTTTGAATATGGTATGCCGCAAGTATAAAATGCATACCTGATTCTGAGGACTCACTACCCTCCATAAAGTACTTCTTTAATATTTTTATATTTGTTGCATGTTGAAATGATAATATTTTGTCTATTTTAATTAAATAAAATAGATTTTGAAAATTAATTTTATCTTTAGCCTTTTTACTTGTATTAATATGGCTGCCAGGAAATTCAAAATTAAATATGTGGTTAATATCATATGTGGTTTGTATCATATCTCTATCTGGACAGCACTGGTTTGGAGAATCTCAAAGTCTTTCTATCTCCAATGTCCTAGAACTCTATGATCCTACTTTGAAATTAAGAGGTATTAGTCACATATTTTTCTAAATATGGCAGAAAAGCCAAGAGGGCTAAATGTAAGTGTTCTTTACAATCACTCCTATCTCAGGTTTTCTGTTTGAAATTTTAGGAAATTCAGAGTTTGTGAAATTACCAGCCCAATCTTAAAGCTAGAAGTGTCAGGTTTCGATTTCCAGAATCTCCCACTTTTTTCACATCTGTAAGACAGGCATTTGTAAAAATGGTTTTCAAAGTTTCAATCAGCCACATTTCTTTTGGTAGAAGAGTACATCAATACCATCATACTATGTTCTCCTTAAGGAAAAAGTTTGTTGCTTATGTGTAAGTAAATTTCATTAGAAATATTCAGCATATAGGAAAGTTCTACTTAGTAAAGACACCTTGATCCTGTATAGCTTCTTGAAGAGCAAGATAACACTCTTTACCACACTTGTTTCCTGAAGCTATAATAATCCAACTCTGGAGTGAAACTTCAGTTGACTAGAGAATTAATCTATTAACAGGATAGATATCAAGAGGAGGCTGATAATATTAGTGCATGCTACTTTTAAATGCCCCTTTTCTCTTTCAACCTGGCAAATACCTTGATAGCTCCCAACATCCAGTTTTAGCATTCATCCAACAGTTGTTTATTGAGAAACTGCATCATATCATGGACTAAGAATCATTGTTTCTCTCTTTACCTACTCTACCTCAACATCTAAGCCATTAGCCAGTCCTGTCAATTCTAAAAAGTTCCTAAAACCTACCCCAGGTCTACACTCTTCCTTTTATTCTAACTTCTACTAACCTAGACCCAATCACTATCATTTCATACATGCAATTAAATTCTTCACACTGCTTCCAATATTACCTTTCTACATTCTCCACAAAGAAACAGTGGTAAAGTCACTTAAAAATGAAAATTAAATCATTTGCTCCCTTGCCTAAAACTACTCATCTACCTTCAAATAAAATGTCAGCTCCTAATCTTGATCTGACTTTCTATGGTCTGGCCCGTATTTCCTTCCTTGTGCTGATTATGTGATACTTCCCTTGTCATTCAAGTTTTAACTCAAACTTCACAAGCCCTTCTTGGTCACATTATGCAGAGGTGTTTCTCAGTCACTGTCACAAAATGCTTTTATAATTCAATTACGGAAATTATCACAAGCTGTCAATCAGCCACATTTCTTTTGATAGAAGAGTACATCAATACCATCATACTGTGTTCTCCTTAAGGAAAAAGTGTGTTGCTTATGTGGCAGTAAATTTCATTAAAAAAATTCAGTAGATTGGAAGATTCTACTTAGCAAAGACACTGATTTGTAACCTTGATGTCTCATCTCCTCAAGCTGATTTTAAAAGATTTTACAGTAAGAACCAAATGCATATATTAGAAAATATATAACATACATTTTTCCTCTCTCAACTAGAATTAAATTGCCTGGAACTAAAAATCTGGCATATTTTGTTCAAAGTCATAAGTCAGTGCCTAAAGTAATGCCTGACATGTAAGTAGGAATTCAGTAAAGGCTGTTGACTGAATATTGAATGCTACTTCAGTCTTTTGTCTTTTCAATTGTCATACTCCCTTTCATCTCCACTTCCATAGAAAAGATTCTTTCTTTTTTATCTAGAATTTTTCAGTAGCTCTGTCTTTATTGTAAGCCCTTCAAAGTCAATCTTGGCATTATTGCCAAATTCTTATTCTAAAAAACCATGTTTTTAAGTCACTACCGCCTTTACCATAGATCAATAATCCTTCAGTGGATACAGGAAAAGTTAAGCTTGCCTACATAGCACAAAATAACTGTGAATATACTCTCCCCAAATTCTTTTTCTTCCTTGTCTACTTGCCAAATTTGTTATCTTTACTGACATTTGAGATTCAGCTTCATATGGTAATTATGCTGTCAAAACTTTTCTAACTTCTGGTATAGATTTTGGTTCAATCTTTCTTTAGTGGCATGAAGCATTATGGATATCTCCATCACATAGTGTACATATTGTGTTTATATTGTGCTTATTTCATATATAGTTTTATCTCATTCCCCAGATTATATTCTGGATATTTTCTATAGTTTTATTTGACTTGCTAAAATATTGTCTTAAGATTAGGGGCCATATCTTCTGCTTTTTTGGTAGATAACTGTCTTTTAGTTTCTATGTTTAGATTACATTTTAACATTAGATGAACATGGCCTGAATTCGTCTTCCTAGTTCCAACCTAGCGACATACTCTATGGTCTGTAACCATCTTATTTTCTTCATGGGAAAGATGGAGGTGCTATCTTATGATAATGTTGAGAGAATTACATGAGTCAAAAGACATGAAGTATAGTACTTAAAATTAGATTTTGTTCCTGTCTTTACTAATGATGAGTAACATGCATAATTCATCAAGCAAGACGTCATTTTATTAACACAAAATTTGATTGCGATATAGTTGTATAAAAGTCCTGATTATACTTGGGTTTTCATACTGGATACTGACCAAGAGAGTCAAACCTTTCCTTGGCTGCAGCTTTTCTGGTTTTTGTCTCTCTGGCTTCTTTGGATCTACTGAAGCAATGACTTATCACAGCAGATCAAAATACTTAAAATTAGAAAAAGATAACAAGGCAGATCATAAAATATTTTTCTTAAATGATTTGCTGAATATGGTTTATGCCAAAAGAGGACCATTTTATCAACATTAAGAAGCTGTATAATCATAAATTATTTGAAAAATGAAATCAAGTATATTTTATAAATATTTTTAAGGTGAAGTCTATGCTGACCATTTCAATTTTTCAAATCAACTAACGCACTGCTTATTTTGGCAAATTTATGACTTTTATGATTTAAGTAATGGAATATGTACATTATCTGAAATATCATAGACTATGGAAGATTTGTTCAACTGGCATTTAATCCACTTATTAACTCAAATTATGAATTTTCTTGGGTACTGTGTGCAATCAGGACTGGAAGCTTTACTTATCTTTTAAAATGCACTTATTCTGAACTTGATAAAAAGTAAAATAAACTTGGAAATAAAAATGGCAAACACCTTTATTTCAGAGTCCTATATGTATTCTTCCTCTCAAATAAAAGAAAATTTATTCTCTAAACTAGTTACCCAGATTTCATTGTCATGCCCGTCCTACAGACTAAACCGAAATCACACTCTGTACACCTTTAATTTCATCTTTTTTTATATAATATTTCCACTGAAATAAAATGGTTGTAAACATAATTTTTCACTGAATACACACAGTATGCTCAAAAGCCTATTTACAAAGCCTAAGGCTGGATCAGCCCTTACTAACCTGCAGACATTGCAGACATACTTAGAGATGCTGAGAGCTTTCTGGCCTGTATTACCAAGAAATATATTAATCAGAGTTTATTCTTTCTAAAATAACAAAACAAAAAAACCCCATAAAACAAAACAAACAAACAAACAAAAAAACAAAAAAGCAAGACTCCCTGTTATGTCTGGACAGTCCACCAGCAAGACTTGTCTCCTCAGGACATAAAATCCCAGTGCACATAAATTAACAACAGTGCCCAGAACTAGAATGAAGATATGGTTTAATTTCTGAAAGATGCCAGTATTTGAGTGAATAGGCTCCTATAAAGTGCTAAAAGCATATGATTAGCATCACATACTAACAAAAAGAAAGATGAAATAGTAAGCATGGTGTAGCTCAGGCCTTTGAGACCATTCAAATCTACAATACGCCTGTACTGGGGATCAGCTGCACCATCTGGATCTGTAAAATGCATAGGCCAGTTACAGAGTATTTCAAAATAAGATCTTCTAATTTTAGAATCTTGTTCTAAAATAGCAATTTGTGAAGATATCCAGCTGGAGACATCCAATGACTTTCAACTTAAATGAGCAGTTTGGCTATGACATCAAAAAGCAAGTTAACTCAAATTGTTTCCCAAATCTTTGTTGTATCAAATGGCCTTGATATTGTTAAGAATTATATATAGTTTAGATGGACAATGTCATATCACTTTTAAAGATGGATTCTCTTCTGCACATGCCTGTTTTCCATTTGCACAAACACACTCAGATGGTTCTCTAGAATCATGGCAAACATAAAAAATGCTTTGGCAGCAATCTCCCATCAGTAATGAGTTTCTCTTTATGCCTTTTATTGAAAAAGGGTCTTCTTGCTGCTTTGAATGAGCCGAGAAATTAGCTCATGACCTTTTCTAATAGCTGTGCTAGCTAAAAACTAATAGGACATATGGAAATGAAAGCCTCATTACTTCCTTAAAGCTCCTTGGTGTGCATCTTTATAATTTACTCACTGAGAAAGACTGAAATTGAAATTCTTAAAAGATTATTCTTTTAATTAATCCCAAGATATGCCAAGTCTGGTTTCTAGAGCCATTATCATTTTAGACAATTGTACTTAATTCCATAGTAAGTCAATGACTGTTATTCACACTTGATGAAGGCTTTGGAGAAATAATACAAATGATATAATAATATATGTAATATATCACATATAACTATAATAATAGTATATAAATATTTTAAACACACACACAAAACTATATCTAGTTTGCTTATAGGGAAATTTTTAACCTAAAATTTTTTTCATTTGCAGAGAACACTTTCAAGTAATATGGATGTGAAGGCAAATGGTGCTGACTGCTGTCATTACATAAGTTGATAATTTTCACATTGGTTAATAACACATAATGATAGTGATCATCAGGGCCACAGATGGATACTTATCCACATCAGGAAACACAACTGAGTTTAATTTAACTATATAGGGAGTGAATACCAGGGAAACCCATTTCCCCAGGAGAATTGGGAGGTGGGTAAGTAACTTTTGTATGTGATTACTGAAAAGCATTTATTATCTGGCATGTTTGTGGTAATTGATTTTTTTTATATTTAGTCGCTCTACAGACACAGAGAAATGTACTTTACATTTTTACTTTGAAACGAATACAGAATATTCATCTCAAAGTGAGCCGTACAATGTTGTGGAAACAACAAGACAAACTAAAAGATTGTGAATAAAAATAATCTTTAATCACCATATTTCTGTTGAAGTTTACTTGGTTTCTGAGAAAAGTATTTCTTTTCTTATTTCGCTGAGGAAGACAGCAAAGGAAAAAAATGTAGAGATCGTGTTTTATATAATGTAGCTTTTTGGAAGTCTGAGACGCTTTTTTTTTTTTTTTTGAGACAGAGTCTCGCTCTGTCGCCCAGGCTGAAGTGCTGTCACGCAATCTCGGCTCACTGCAAGCTCCGCCTCCCGGGTTCACGCCATTCTCCTGCCTCAGCCTCCAGAGCAGCTGGGACTACAGGCGACCGCCACCACGCCTGGCTAATTTTTTTTTTTGTACTTTTTAGTAGAGACGGAGTTTCACCGTGTTAGCCAGGATGGTCTCGATCTCTTGACCTTGTGATCCGCCCACCTCGGCCTCCCAAAGTGCTGGGATTACAGGCGTGAGCCACCGCGCCCAGTTGTCTGAGACACTTTTTTAAAGAAGCTTTCAACATTGAAGACATTCATCATAAAGGACACCTAAGTTTACTTTCACAACATAAGCTTGTGCAGCTGAGTATTAGCAATATTGTACATTAATGCTCAATTTGGTAGAAAGCAGCAGTGGTGACATGATATTGGAGGTGATTATTCTTTATTCAATCCTCATATTACCTTTCCTACCTCATTGCAACTCTGCTACCACATGAAACCTGTTGTCTGTCTAAACCAGAGACTTGAGACGTTCTGAGCATGTTACTTTCCATGATTTGGTTTGTGCTGTTTCTTCTACAGGTGGCTTGCTTCTAGTTCTAATTGCTAATTTCAATCCCAACAATTCTTCAAATGTTTCACAAACCTAGCTCTTGGTTCTTTGTCCCTAGACTAAATTTTATGAAAGGAAGCTGAGAGACAAAAAAAAAATGTAGAAGTCTAGCTTTCAAATAATTATTCATATCTTCATTCCTCCTTCACTCAGAAAAAAAAAAAGCCGCAGCAAGTATTAAAAAAAATAAAATCATCAGGTTACCAGGATGTAAGCTAGTCTGTTCATAAGGAAAAAAGAAAACCTATATCAGTCTCTTCACATGCTCATATGTCTGCAAATGTTACCATATATCTTCAGAAAGCATATTTTAGAAGTCAGGAACAGATTTTTTTTTATGAACAAGTTAACACCTTTCAGAAAAAAGGCTCAAGGCTTCATAAATTTGGGAGCTTATAATAAGACAAGGTTGTCCTGTTTCTTGTTGTTGTTAGTGTTTACTTTATCTCAAAAAACAACTATTGTTTTTTATTTGCTTGTTTTTACTGTGGTATTTGATATACTTAGCCATATTGGAGGCAGAGAAGTCACTTTAGCTTGCTCAATGTCTAGAGCTTTTCTTATTTTATTAACCTTTTGAAATTAATCATGATGACTGATATTTTCATTGATTTTTTGAATATTGTTTTACCCTGATTAAAGTTCTTGAAATGGCAATATGGTACTTTTTTAAAGAGTTACCCAAAGAGTTCATGACCAAATTTTGCACTCTGGCATGGCTGATGTGTGCTAATGGGATGACAGATTGATGAGAGGTATTAATCAGTAGCTGGGCATAAACTGGTGGAGACGATAATGGAATGCACTAGTGCAACTGAGGTAGAAAAAAAGAATCACATAGTACGAATATATACTCTAAGGAAGCAATTATCCTTTGAGGTTCTGATCAAAGCTTCCAGAAATAGCTTTCTATGTTTTGCTTTGTACCACACATCTCTACCATCCTGGCCATAACTGGTGTGATTGAGCACTACTCCCTTCTCCAAAGACAGGCTGACCCGTGGCTTCTTACAGTAAACTTTTTTAGTGGAAGTTTTCACTACCGATTGGTAACTATGAAGCAAATAAGTCATTTATCTTTTGCACCTTTTTTGATTAAAAACCGCAGTGAGACCAAGGCAGAAGAGTGTCCTAGCAAAGAGATACAAAAAATCATGAAGCTTTGGAAATCATGAATGAGTAAAAATATGAAGCTGAGCGAAAGTAAGACAAGTTATTTAGAAGTGGCCGGAAGAGTATAAACCATAGAGACTCTTGAGTCATTGTGTCTCCATGAAAGCGGAGCGTTAGTGCAAAGACCTGCTGAGGCACATTCTGTACTGATACATGGCCTTTCATACCTGGGAAGTGTGGGAGTGAAGCCATTGCCATGATACTTTTACTTCCATAAATATTCTTATCCATTAACTTCATGTGCTCTGATCCTCTCTTCTCTGTCACCTTAAGGAATTAATGAAAAGGCAGGGTGTGGTGGCACACACCTGTAATCCCAGCACCTTGAGAGGCTGAGGTGGGCAGATCATGAGGTCAGGAGATCGAGATCATCTTGACCAACATGGTGAAACCCTGTCTCTACTAAAATACAAAAATTAGCCGGGCATGGTGGCACGTGCCTGTAGTCCCAGCTACTTGGGAGGCTGAGACAGGGGAATTGCTTGAACCTGGGAGACAGAGGTTGCAGTGAGCCAAGATCGTGCCACTGCTCTCCAGCTTGGCGACGGGGTGAGACTCCATTTCAAAAAATAATAATAAATAATAATAATAAATAAATAAAAAGAATTGATGATAAAAACAAAATTTAATTTAATCTAACAATGTTAAACTTCTGCACTGGATCTGTGATAAAGTACCATTCTATCAGTCTGTATACTTATTTAATGAACAGCTGTTTACTCACTCATTCAATTATAACCACTGAATCACTCAATAATGAAAAGGCTACTGAATGGCATAAGCAGATATAGGTTAAAGGTTTCAGTTTTTGTACTTGAGGTATAGAACACAGACAAGGAAATAGATATATAACCGTGGGAAACTGTAGTATGTTGAAAGTTGACATAGACTGTTATGAGAATACATGCAATGGGACACAAGCCCTTCTGAGGAGTGATGGAAGCATTTCTGAACCAGAGGACACTGAACTTACCTTTAAATGACATACAGTGGTCACTCAGTTGAAAAAGGAAAGTAAATGATTTCAAGGAGAGAGACTGCTGTAGAACATAACAGAGATGACAGCATGGCATGATTAAGAAATGGCAAGGAATTTTACTGCTGCGAAGAAAAAGATGCAAGAAAGTTTGAATGGCAAGAAATAAGGCTTGATAGGCAGTGAAGAGCCATGGATGACAATCATTTATGTCATCCTCATGAGAAACCAGAAATAAGCACAAGAAAGATTGGTTCTTATATAGGAACACTTCTTTACATTGTGCATTAAGAAAAAGACATTACTAACTTAACTAGCAACAAGTTAAAGCCAAAGTTTTGCAGATATTGTGAAATATTACACCATCTTGTGAAAAATATTAGACATTTGACTTAATCTAATGGAAATGTTTATAAGTTGTTACTTAAAAAATATGTTTTAAAGAATGCAAAATTTATAAATACTTAAGATTAGAGCATTTTTCAACCATTCAAAGCATCTAGATCTGCAATGTTTCACAGTGGTCCATCTTTCCAGAGAAGGCCTATATTTGGCTTCAGGGAACCCATCCATCAATGTGTTCACAGTTTGTAGGCAAAGATGTGCATTATGGGGGCTCATTATAATATCATTGGTGTTCATTGCCCTCAGCAAGACTAAGAACCAGACTGGGTTCAATATTCCATCTTCTCCTCATCTTTCACAGCCCTTCAAATGTTCTAGAATCCACTTACACAAGAGGCAGCCCATTTGATTCTTCAGCGACACTGATTACTAGGAAATCTTAGATTTGTCCTTTTGCATTTAATTTGTGTGAAAACATTGACCTCATCCATGACTCAGTAGGGGTTCTCAAATCTTAAGAACCCCTGTGGCTGGGTGCAGTGGCTCATGCTTGTAATCCTAGCAGTTTGGGAGGCCAAGGCAGGTGGATCACCTGAGATCAGGAGTTCAAGACCAGCCTGGCCAACATGGTGAAACCCCATCTCTACTAAAAATACAAAAAATTAGCTGGGTGTGGAGGCAGATGCCTGTAATCCCAGCTACTTGGGAGGCTGAGACAGGAGAATCACTTGAACCCTAGAGGCGGAGGTTGCAGTGAGCCGAGATTGTGCCATTGCAGCCCAGCCTGGGCAACAACAGCGAGACTCTGTCTCAAAAAAAAAAAAAATAAAAAATAAAAAGGAAACCAAACCTCTGCTTAATTTTTTATCTTACTGTTTTGATATCTTTGTATCTCAAGTGTGCAGAATTAGGTTATCTTCCCCTCAATCCTTGGCACATTATTATCATCAATTGGTGCAAAGGTCCTCCACTCTTTATTGTTTATTTTGATATGTTTCTCCTTTAGCCCTATGCCCATTTCTCCCACTTCCATATTCATTCTCATTCTTAGCTTTTGATTGCCATTATAATTTTATCATGTATCATATTACTTCACTGTCTCCTTTAAGTTAATACATGATATTTCATATAATACTATGATATACTCATATAATATATGATGATAGGTATTCGTAATAATAATGGAGGGCTCCCATTATGTACAAATCCCAGATTACTTAACTTTTATCCTAAAGATAAATATTAAAGTTGTCACTACTTCTTGCTACAGTGAGGTTACCTGTAGATATGGGTGATAGGTTTTCTCCTGGATGTGGTATTGTTGAGACAAAAAGTATATGCATAGGGGGTGTGGACTAATTACTGATGCTTTTCTCTCCAGAATGGGTGCACCGTTCATTCTCCTGCCTGTTGTCAACTTTTAAGCTGTGGTTGAGTGTATACTTTATTAAAGTACAATCATGAATTCTACCAAAAGGTATAAGGCATGACATTTAACCTGAAGACCTTACAAATTATTCTTTGCACAGAGACCTGAGGGAATGACTATATAATATATAGAAGACAAGATAGAAACATAGAAGCGGGTGGGCACATTATAACAGGAGGGGCAAATCTGACCCATTCTATTTTTGTAAATAAAACTTTATTTTAACATAGTCACACCCATTCATTTGTTACTTGTGGCTGCTTTTGTAGTACAATGGTGAGAGTTGAGTAAGTTGGGGCAGAGAATGTTTGACCCACAAAGTTGAAAATATTTACCTTTTTTTTTTTAATAAGTTTGCTGACCCTGCATATGTGAATACAAAATATCCTCTATTAATCATATGCTAGAGTCCTCCACCCAGAAACTACTCCGAGAAAAATTATTTGCCAATGATTTTATTTCAAAACAGCAATGGTAAATATTTATGTATCACCCTATAATTTACAATGTTATTTTTATATTCTAGTTTCCTTAGGTAAATCATTCATGCCATTTTTATGCCAATTTATTTTTGTATGTATTATGAGCCAGGCATATTGCTTGACACTACAGAGTCTTTAGTCCACTGCTAGTAACCAGAGATAAAAAACACATTCTATTAATCTCAATTCTTCTACATCTAAGTCAATCTCCTCTTGTTCTCTCCTCAGTACAAATGGAAAACTTCTGAGTCCTGAAGAGATCACAGGAGTGCTGTTAAGCACTCCTCATTTTCTTAAGCATCAAAGCTTTACGATACCTAGAATTAGATATTAGACTGATATTCTCTCACTTACAGTATGAAATTCAAAAAGCACTGAAAGAAATACTTTTGCTTACTCAGTGAAGAGCAAAAAACCTAAGCTGATCTGAAATGATGTAAGGCTATTCATAGACTTTGTTTATCCCATCTGTTGTAAAGGTCCATATATTCCACTTCATATATATATTTGATTGTAGGGTACTACCCATGACACATTAGTTAAGGCAAATACACATTATATCTCTTTTTAAAGTCTGAAATATTCTGAATTCTAAAACAAAATCCAGTTCCAAACTTTTTGAACATTGAGATGTGACTTGTTGATGCAGGAAAGGGAGCCAAAGTAGAAATTACTTTACACTTTTGAGCTGTGTAGGGCAGGAGGCAGCACGGTGCCCTCCCTTCCTCCACGCTGACCACTCTCCCCCACTTTACCCAACACACACCCCTACAAACACACATCCATACACACCAAAGGGAAATCTTGACAAATAAATGGTAAATGTAAGATTTAGAGTGAGAACTGATCACCGGTTTGAGGATGATGAGATCAACCTTTGAAATCCACTAGAACTTTCCTAATGTTTCTTAATAAGAGTGGAAAAAAATTGCTTACTATATGCTAGGTACTATGCCGTATCCCAAGCAGTTGCAGATGTGTGTCTCCAGCTGGAATTCCTTCACAGTGTTTAAGACTAGGACTAGTTATCCAAACATATACTGGACTATATACTATATAAAAGAAAGATCACCTGATTGAGAGTCAGGAAAGCTTAATTAACCTGTGATTTGCCACTGACTAGCTATGTGATTTAGCAGTCCCTATACGCTCCTTATATGTCTTGATTTTAGTTGTCAAATTCATCTATTCACTCATCCCCCAAAAATGTATTGAGTACAATAGTCTACCATATAATGATGGATTTGTGTTGTATGAACTCCAAAGCTTTTTCTAGCTCCAACATTCTCATGTTGAAAGAATTGCTTGGTGAACCATGATATAACTACCACTGAGAATTCTTTTTTTTTTTTTTTTTTGAGATGGAGTCTCTCTGTCTGTCTCTACTGTTCAGGTTGGAGTGCAGTGGTGCAATCCCAGCTCACTGCAACCTCCCCTTCCCGGGTTCAAGTGATTCTCCTGCCTCAGCTTCCTGAGTAGCTGGGATTACAAACACCTGCCACCACACCCAGCTAAATTTTGTATTTTTAGTAGAGACGGGATTTCATCATGTTGGCCAGGCTGCTCTGAAACTTCTGACCTCAGGTGATCTGCCTGCCTCGGCCTCCCAAAGTGCTGGGATTACAGGCGTGAGCCACCTAGAATCTTTAATGAATAGTTTACTATATTTGTTTCATCATGTATTATATGTGTATGTATACATATGTATACACATACATACATATGTATACACACATACATGCACATACAAACCTATACCTATATATAGACACACCCTTGTAACTACACACACACACACACACACACACACACGTATGTACCTATCTATTCTTCTATTTATACACCTTTCCATCTTACTATTTTTATGTCATCCTATTAATTTTGTAAGGTATGGATTGTAATTAAAATAAGAATGTTCTAACTTGCTTCACTGCCTCCTTTAAGTTAAATAATCAGCTCCTTATATATACAAATATATAAGCTATTTAAGAAAAGCATCACAGGAGTGACAGATTATAGCTCCTTCTAAGAAAATCAAGAACTGGGGAGATTGGGAAATAGTAGAGGGCAAGAGGACAGTTCACCTGAAACAGCATTAGTCAGCAAGGGGAAAAAAATTGTATATACATATATACACAGAGGCAGAAATTGTATATACAAATATATTATATATATAAAAACATATATACATGTATATATGTATATGTATAATTATATGCATATATTTATATAATTATGTTTCTATATTTATGTATATATGTGCATATATATTTAAAATTCAAGAGAGCTTAAATAACGTGACATCAAGATACTTTTACCTTGTTTTGCCATGACCTTTATATTTAAAATGAGTTGACATATAGTGCTTCAAAAAGCAGTCTCTGGGACATAAGACCTAATTTTACACTCACGATTCATACACGGTCTCCTTGTCCACTACCCACTCACAATTTGTCTTACATCCATATTTAGCTCTTCAGGGGTTTCTCTAAATAGCTTTCTAAGATCATATCAACTAATCAATACCCATTTGAGGTAGGCTCATTACCATTTCTACACTTGAGGAAACAAGTGTAAAAAGGTCAAGTACAGACATAGCCAAGGTCACCTCACTTGAAACTAAAAGAGAACCTTTTATATTTGTTCCATTGGTATGCTTCTATAATCTCTGTTTTAAATATACATGTGCCTTACTGAGAAAGAGTTAAAATTCAGAGTTTAACCAAACATTCTTAGCATATGATCTATGATAGCTGAGGCCTCAGACAATTTAAGAAGTTGGGAAAAGAGACTCTGAAACATGTTCTTAGGAACCTAAGATAGAACCTTCAAAAGTTTCAGATATGTGAACTGAATAACCGGAATATATTCAACATTTTTCTGCCATCCTTTGAAAACTCTTCTTTCTACTTTTGAAGTACTCCCAACTACATAGTAGTTGGCAGAGCTCATCTCTTTTTATATTGCCTGAAATAGCAATATTCATTTTCCAGCTGCAAGGGCAGC
This sequence comes from Homo sapiens, assembly GCF_000001405.40. Lineage (NCBI taxonomy): Eukaryota > Metazoa > Chordata > Mammalia > Primates > Hominidae > Homo > Homo sapiens. The sequence goes on from NC_000005.10 coordinate 45,204,662, forward strand.
TCAGGTGTGGCACATAAGCTGGGTATAGCCAATCAAGTGCATCCATTTCGGATGTTGAAATCCAGATATTGAACAAATAATTATGTAAACAAATGGTTATGGAGACTAATTTCTAGTGATGGTGGTAGTGGTATTTGCAAGCAGTTGCTAGGGTGTAATAGTTAAGACTGTACTTAAGTATCGTCTTCTGTACTTAAGACAGTGTCTAGAGATGGTGGAATTGGTTGAATAAACCATATCGTTCTGTGGCAAGGACAGCAATGTCATCACACAAGTTCTCAGGCATGTTTTTGGCCAAGGAACAGATATTTAACTAACCCTCTTTTGTTCCTTACCATTTTCTGAGCCTGTTTTTTCTTCTTTTCTCTTGATCTTATAAGCTACTTAATATCTCTCTTATAAATCCATATTTATAATCTACTTAAATCAACTTGAGTAAGTTTTTGTTCAATATATTAAGAATTCTGATTGACAAAATAATTGAAATAAGTAGTAGTTTCAGATGCAAATCTTCAGAAATATGGTATATTAGTATTCTGTGGCTGCCATGAGAAATTGACAAAAATTTAGCAACTTAAAATAACATTCATGTATTATCTCATAATTCTGTAGGTCAGAACCACTGGTACAGTGTGGCTCAGCTGGGCCTCTCCTTAGAGTTTCACAATGCTGAAATAAAAGGGTTGGCAGCACAGCCTTCATTTCTGGAGGCTCTGGACAAGAATCTGCTTCCAAGCTCATTCAGGTTATTGACTCGAGTTCAGTTTCTTGAGGTTGTGGGACTGAGATTCCCATTTGCTTACTGGCTGTCTACCTGAGACTGGTCTTTGCTCTTAGTAGCATCTGCATTCCTTCTCTTGCTTTCCATGTGGTTAATCTGCATTAACCATCTGCATAATCTGCTCTTTAAAATAAAAACAGCACCCATTTACATTTGCCAGAAGCCCTGCTGGGCTGAGATCAGAGACCCCCCGTTGTTTGGTGTTCAGAGATAAACCGGACCTGCTGGTTATTCCGTAAGCATGCAGGTCTCCTGAGCTACTCCCTATGGTTCCTTCCCCCTCTCTCTTACTACTGCCTTTGTGTGTTGAATATACTTACATGGTTGTTGGTGTGTGAAAGTCTCACAATAAACCATGAATTTGTAAGCATTTAATTGGTCACTGAGTCATCATGAAAATTCCTGGCCCAGGTGGGAGTTAGCACAACTAGGCCTATTCAAACCTGACACAAAAGGCCTGGAGGGGAGAAATTAAAGTACAATTGTAGGCCTCTCCTCCTATATGTGAAGTAGTATCATAGGAGGACGAGCCGCAGACAAAACCTCTCAGACACCGAGTTGTAGAAGGAAGGGCTTTATTCAGCTGGGAGCATTGGCAAGCTACTGCCTTAAAATCCAAGCTCCCCGAGTGCACAATTTTTGTCCCTTTTAAGGGCTCACAATTAGGGAAGAGAGAGATCCTCTCATATTGTTTTATATTGTTTTATACTCAGTACCTGTTTTAAAAAAAACACACAAAAAAACAAAAAACAAGGAAGTAAAATCAAAGTCAGGCAGCCCCGTGCCAGGCCTGAAACCAAGCCTGGGACTGCCTGGCCTAAACCCAGTAATTAAAAATCAACTCATAACTTAGAAACCGATGTTATTCATACATTTCAGACATTATATAGAAGAACATTGTGAAACTCCCTGCTCTGTTCTGTTCCACTCTGACCACCGGTGCATGCAGCCCCTGTCATGTACCCCCTGCTTGCTCAAATCAAACACGACCCTTTCATGTGAAATCCTTAGAGTTGTGAACCCTTAAAAGGGACAGGAATTGCTCACTCGAGGAGCTTGGATTTTAAGACAGTAGTTTGCCAATGCTCCCAGCTGAATAAAGCCCTTCCTTCTACAGCTCGGTGTCTGAAAAGTTTTGTCTGCAGCTCATCCTGCTTCATTTCTTTGCTGCCTGACCGGGAAGCAAGGTGACTGACGGAGAGCTGAGGCAGCCCCTTAGGCGTCTTAAGCCTGCCCTGTGGAGTGTCCTTGTGGGGTACTCCGGCCAGCCTGAGTGACGTGATCCAAAGAGAGCTCCCAGGTAGGCAACTGCCCCGGAGGAACGCCTCGCCAGAGCAGCGTGTAGCAGGCCCCTGTGGAGGATTAACATAGTGGCTGAACGCCAGTTAGGAACTGGCACTTACAGTCCAGATATCTGAAACTTGGGAAGACTAGTCTTTGGAACTTACCCCACTCCATCTGAGTGGAAGCGTGGCCTGATCACCCATGGCGTGCCTGCATTGGCACTTTTGTTCTGGTTTTGACTTGGCTTGACTTGGTAAGACTAGTCTTTGGAACTTGCCCCGCTCCATCTGAGTGGAAGCATGGCCTGATCACCCAGGCATGCCTGTATTCGCACTTTTGTTCTGGTTTTGACTTGACTTGAATTGCTGGATGTTTTGGTTTTGACTTGGCTTGAATTTTTTGGTACTCAGATTTTGAATTTCATGATTTTAATTTGGTATAAATGGTAAAAGTGTGTGTATGCCCTTTTTACCTGTTTTTTGTTTTGTGGTGTACGTGTGGTGTGAGCGTGGTATTTTGTCTCGAAGCAGCATGGGTCAGGCACAAATAAGCCCACCCCACTAGGAACTATGTTGAAAAATTTCAAGAAAAAATTTAAGGGAGATTATGGTGTTACTATGACACCAGGAAAACTTAGAACTTTGTGTGAAATAGACTGGCCAGCATTAGAGGTGGGTTGGCCATCAGAAGGAAGTCTGGGCAGGTCCCTTGTTTCAAAGGTATGACACAAGGTAACCTGTAAGCCAAGGCACCCAGACCAGTTTCTGTATATAGACTGTTACAGCTGGTTTTAGACCCCATTCCCCACCACAGTAGTTAAGAGAACAGCAGCAGAGAGAAAAAGAGACCATCTATACCAATTCCAAGTTAATTTAGACTAAACAAGGTCTTATTAATAGCAAAGGATAATTGAAATCCCAAACTTACAAGGTTTTCAACAAAAGTGAAGTTTGCTGAAAGTTAACAGTTTAAGCAAGTTTTAAAACATTAATTGTAAAAAAAAATTCTCTTTGTAAACATATCAGCTAAAGTTAAAAAGGTATCATCCAGTTTTTCTGTGGACTGGACATTAAAGTAAAAATGCAACAAGTTTTTCTTAAAGCATAAACCTGCTCTTTAACAAAAATTATAAAAGGTTAAAAAGAGTCTATAAAATCTTACCTTAGGGTCAAACATAAAAAATTGGATACATACGTCTACAAGGTTTTATTATAATTAAATTTAACATTAATAACACACTAATATAAAGGTAAAATTTAACTTATCTGGTATAAAAATCATACAAAAAGCATTTTTAAATATAAAATGGTGTTTAGCTTTATTTGGTCTAAAAACTAATAAAAATAGGTGCTAAAAGAAACATTCATTTTACTAGAGGATCATAGAAGTTGAAGACTTAAAAGAAACTTCGGCAATTAAGACAGCATACCAAGATGCAAATGCCTGGTTGAAATCGATCAAATATTCCATCTAAACATTAAATAAAAGCAATTGTTATGCTTGTGCACATGGCAGGCCAGAGGCCCTGATTGTCCCCCTTCCACTAAGGTGGTCCTCCTGTCGACCAGGGGTGGGATGCATGGTAGCTCTTTTCCAGGATTCTACAGCCTGGACTAATAAGTCATGCCAAGCTCTCTCTGCTATATCCCGAAGTCCCTGCGGGTCAGCCCCCGAGGGCCATCCAGTTTCCGTATCCCAACACTAAGTTCACTTTGTGTCTCTCATGGCAGGGAGGAGACTTAGCATTCCTTGGAGACCTGAAGGGAGGCAGTAAGTTTACGCATTTTCAAGAGCTTATCAATCAGTCAGCTCTTGTTTCTTTTAATGGTTTGACATCAGAGGTGGGATCTAAAGTAGACCTCCAGTGACTTCCAGGAGCACTGAGTGACCAAACAAATATACCCACCAGGTCCCATTGGGGAGATTTAGCTCTCTCAGCAACTGGGGTCATAGGTGAGTGCTTGCTTGGATTCAAGCTCCCCACAAATTTGTGCTTTGAGCAATCAAATTTATTTGTGCAATGATTTAATGAACTGCTTCCAGGATCAAATTGGATTGGATAATTAGCTGGACTGGATTTAGAGGCCTCAGGTAGGTAACTTTTGAAAATGGATTGTTCCAAATCTGAAAAGTATGGGACTCTAGAAAGGTGGGACTTGACTTTCTGGAATACCAACTAATTTTATATACAAAATATATGGGCTTCAGTACCTGTGTACTTTGGGAAAAATGGTTAATCTTACTAAAGACAACTCATTAGAATTACAGTGACCACAGTAGGGAAATTTTAACCTAGATTAAAATTATTCACTTGTGAGATGCATTTGAAAATTAAGCATCAAAAATGCCACAAAAGTAATGGGATGTAGTTTTTAATTGGTATAGCATAGGCATCAAAGATTTAATGAATCAAAGATTGACTCTTCAAAATGATCCTTTCAGAAGGCAAATGAAATATTAGTCAAAAGTGTTAGCCATCTGGGCATAAAATCTTGTTCCATTGATCAGAAAAACAATTTGGATCCAGATATTCTTTAATAAGTTGGTGAATTTACATTACAGTACCTGGAACATGGCTAAATTTTTAAAGTGAGAGCTATAAGATTTGTTTCTGTTTATATGTTTATGCATGTCTGTATGTTTAATATATATGTATAGTACTTTTTTCTATCCCCTGATGATATTGCCAAATTAATTTATAAAGGAGCTCTATTTAATTGGTTTTAAGAAAAATATATGCTTATATAAATCAAGTATTCTCTCAGCAAAATAAGAACTCAAATGCTTTTCAAATTCATGTGAATTGAATTATCTTTGATAAATATTGCTGGTATAATTAAAACAGGCTAGTCTTAGAGTTGTCAGTATTAAATATAATCCAAACACACACCTTTTATCTCTATTAGATGTTTAAGACCATAAAATTGTAAGTTTGTCTATTACTTCATGTATATCAAGCACAGCATAAAATTTAAAAAAAAGTATTTAAATTTTTGATCTTGCTTTCATGATGACAGCCTAACATACACATGCAGTAAAAATAGTTAACAAGGAAATAATCTGATGCTAGCTAACTTTGTTTTGTATCAGTGTGCCTACTTAAAAATAGCTTCCCAAATAAATTTGGAAACTTAAACCTTTAGAGTTTTGCTAAATTAAGTTAAAATATGGATATTCGTTGAATACCTGGGTCATTTCCAAAAAAAGGAAAATACTGAAACATTAATTGCTAAATATAAGTTTAAGTTTATATAGTTTTGGCATCTTATTTTCAATATGGCATAGAGAAGCTAAATATATCTGGGTCTATTAATAAATATTAAAAATTAAACTTTGAGGTAGCCATATATTTCTGGAAATCATGACATGGTGTTTATCTACAGTATGCTGATTCACAATTGCTAAGATTCAGATTCTAATTAATATATTGTAATTAAAACTAGAATAATAAGAGAGACAACTCCTTATGAGGGGAAAGTATAACATGTTTTTGGTAGGTAATGCTTACATAAAATATGTGTTTTTGTTACAGGAAAAAGACAGTAATTTTTGTCCTATAATAGTATGACTGAGTGATTCAAAGTAAGAGGAAAAAAAGTGTAGAATAAATAACTGAAGGGATAAAAGAAGGTTTAAAGTTTTATGGAAGGTAAATCTTGTGAAAGGAATTGATGTGATCAAGCTGGCTAAGATTAGAAAGAAATTATTTGTAAATTTTCCCTAGACACGGAGCATTAATATTAAAAGCACACTGATGCAAAACTAGAATTTTTTTCTCTGTTAAAACAACAAGTTTTTTTAAGAGTATTGGTCTGCTCTTAATAGGAAACTGTGGAAGGTTTTCTTTAGCTTTTGGGTAATTAGCCGAGGAAAAAAAGATTCTTTGTTTTACGAAAATAATTTCCTTTGCTTTCAGTTGTCTTTATTATATTTTTGATTTCTTAAGAAAACTGCGTTCTTTCTATTGATGAGGTAAGGTTTCTTATGCAACTATATAACTTTCTGTATTGGCTTTTGAAGTCTATAAATTACCACTGGTTAGGTGAATGACTATTATTTCACAGTGACCTGTTACCCTATTTTGATCAAGTGTTTTAAAGTTTTTATGTTTTGACAAACTTTTCAATATAAAACTCTAAATTAAGTCTTTTTCTTTGGTCTAGAATTAACTTTGATATATTTCAGGTGCATCCTTAGAACACTCAAAATGATATCTCTTCTAATAAAAATACAAATATAACCCAATTGGGTTTTTTTGATACATTAAATTCTATAGGGAATGTCATCAAATAATAAGTAATACTAAACTTTCTCTGAGTTATATTTGCATAGTTGTATTAAAATATGTGTTCCAGATATTATATGAAATTCATATATATCTTACAGTCCTGGTATAATGTTATCAGTCATAATTCTAATTATCTTAAAATATTGTATGCAACAGAAATACACAAATTTCCTTGTCAATTACATCATTATTGTATCATTATTGTAATGAACTCTCATCAGATCTTTTTATCATGACCATTTAAAGTCTTGTCATTCAGAGATAAATAATTGTTTACTCTGGTACTTTACTGAAAGCTATTGTAGGTAAGCTCTGTAAGCCTAAAGTGTTTCATCACTGAGGATATTCATAGAAAGGACTCTAACAAGCACACATTTCTGATATCTTTAAGATCATACCATTGGACTGGATAAGAATTCCCAGAGATCTAATGAAGAAACCGATTTGTTCCATAAAACTACTAACCCAAAATCAATAAGAATTAATTGAATACTAAGGAAATGCCAGATTTTTCATGCTAACTCAGCCAGTACCAAAATTGTTAAGATATGAAATTTGAATGAACTGTATAAGATTAACCCAAGACAAATAACCTATGATAATGTATTTAATAAGAAGTACTATGTGCCTAAATTGGAGAAGCAAAGCTGGTGTTTAAAAGGATATAAATGCAATGGTAAGCATTGACCCATGGAGAGCCTAGACAGCCACTCAGTCCTTCTTGTGTCCTTAAAGCTCCTATTATTAAAAGTTCTGCACTGTACGACTCATAATGGAAGAGGTAAAAATTACAGAATTTATGAAAAAATATTGACGGATGGCTGTTCTAAAATTGCTAAGATCATTTATAGTCAATATTTCATTCATCAAACTAATAATTTCCGTAAGACAATAAAAATCTCAGATGGCACATTTCCAGCACCTACTGGATCATTTGAACTTTTACAGATGGGTTTTATTTAACTGCCACCTTCAATGCATGCTATTTAGTTGTATAAGCATCCTCATGCAGAAAGGGTGATGCTGCAATAGTAGTTAACAGGTTATTGGAAAATGCGTTTTGTTTATGGGGAGTTGCTGGAGGAATCTCTGGCAATGGAGGTACTCATTTCACTGGACAGGTTGTAAAACAGTTAGATAAGGTATTACAAACCCAATAGTATTAGGCAAAGCTTACTGAATCAATTGGATTGCTCCAAAGGTATTACTGATTTATGGCAATCAGATCCACTTCCACTGGAAAACATAGATTTCCTTATAAAAGAATTGTGGTTAGGCATATGCCCCTAATAATAGAAACTCATGTATTTCATACTCACATAAGCTCTAACATGATTCAATATTTCAGGTTTTAATGCATTATGCCAAAGTATATTTTCACCAGGTATAAGAAGATCTTCATGACTCACCAATTTACAACCAGACCTTTCATGATCCAGAACCCAGACAATGAGTTTTTGAAAGCAACTCAAATGCAAAGTCAAGAGACTGCCCTTGAACAACTTTGGAAGGCACTATACCAAGTTCTTCTTACCACCCATACAGCAATAAAACTTCACGGCTTGGATCCACTCCTTTCAGCCCAGGAGGGCCCCTCCAGACTCTTGGGACTGTATACTCACCAGAGGTCTCAAGGTAAAATTGCCCAGAAAAGTTTCTCCTCAGAAGGGGATGTCATCCTAGACATGGACAGCTTTCTGAAGATTATGGATTAAGATTTTTCCCCTCTTATGAAATCTTTGTCCCTTTTCCTCTCTTTCCTGTGTTTCTTTTCTGTTTATACATGAGAAAATAATGTAATAATTAAGATTTTATGATTAGTAGGTTCCGGGGGAACTTAATTAAATATTGGATATGTCACATTAGACCTAAATCCTTACATGATCTTAGAGACTTTCTGGCTCACTCTTTAACAAATTTAATTGATCTTTCAAGTGCAATATCTGGTTCTTTCTATAAAGTTAAGCTTTTACATGCACACATTTGGATTCCTTGTTTAAAACTAGCAGTAGGCAAAACATATAGTGAGGATTTTACAGCTAAATTTTGCCAGAAATTTAGTAAGAAAACCAAAAGAAAGATAATTTGTTTGTGAACAGATGTATAACCCAAATCCCTTGATTGCGCATAGCCTGAAACCATGCAATGATTCAATAATGGAGCCTTAGATAAATATTACTAGCGCTTCCCTACTGATAACCCTGAATGCACAAGGCATCCCACAGGGAATAGTCTGTTGTGCCCCTTCAAGATATATTTTTATCTGTGAAGGATTTAATGATCAACCATACGTGTGGGCAACTCTGTCTTAATAAATGGAAAACAAGGCTCAGTGTAGATTAGGGATTCTAAAAGTACCTTTGTCACACCAAAACAACTTGGAAAAGGAACACTTCTTAATTTGCACTATGGAATAAAGATGTTTTGCCAACAGGCATAAATTCCTGTAAATGGGTATCTTTTGTTAGAATGCTTTTTCTATGGCTTGGCACAAACTTTAGCTATAGCACTGACTCTACTGAAAATGCTACAGTTGCCCAGCAGACGTCTTAAACTTCTCCGGATAGAGTTGTTTCAGGTAATAAGATTCCTTTGGACTATCTGTTGGCTTAGCAGTGGGTATTGTGTGTGATAGCTAATTCTTATTGTTGTATTTGGAAAAATTTGTCTGATATAATAGAAACTCAGTTGCAAGAAATCAACAAACTACTTGGTTAAAACAAGTAGATTCCTCTTCTGGATCATTTTTTATGTATTTGATTTTGATAGGTTCAATTTCTGTAGGCTCCTATTAAGAAGTATACTTTAGTATCTTCATATTATCCTTTTGATAGCCCTCATAATAGTCTCCCTGTTACACTGCTTTCTCTCAAGAGTCTTAAATGCTCTAATGCAGCCATCTGTTATACATCAAATTGTCTTACTACAGTTAGAATAATGAAAACATAAAGGGATTATAAAAATCATCCAACTGACCTAATGTTATGAATTGTTAATTTAATGCTGAGACCAAACATGTCCGATACAATAACAGAGAGTGTCATCAATGCACAAATATTTGGTCACTCTCTTAAAGTTGAGAGGTGGAACAAAACAGAGAAATTGTTAAATCATACTAAATTTGGCCTGAGGTTGCCTCCATACTTTGATTTGAATTCCTTTGTAGTGAATTGCAACCTAATTTAGTATGTAAACGAACTACAACCTAACCAGGTGTATATTTTTGTACAAGTAGCTGTGTCTCAGCCAATCGTAGCAGCCAACCTTCAGCCAACCACAGGCTGACAACTGATTGCATCATGCCCAAATAAGCCAAATGCCCAGCTGGAGCCAATCAAGATGTTTCTGTACTTCCTGTCTATAAATACTGCCTGTCCACATTGCTGGGTGGAGCTTGCTGGAAGTCTGATTATTCTTTGCTCAAATGAACTCTGCTAAATTTAATTTGCCTCAGGTGTTTTTTATTTTTTATTTCTTTATAGCAAAAGGCAGAAAAATTCGAAGACAGAAATAGGAAGAACAAGGGCAACAAGAAGAAAAGAGTAACTAATATAATGGATATTAATCCAACTACATCAATAATTTTAAACAACAGTGGACTAAATGCACCAATTAAAAGACAGAAATTGTCAAAGTGGAACAAAATCCACAAATCAGTAACTGTAGGTTGTTTATAAGAAACCCACTTTAAATGTAAATGCACATAGAGATTAAAAGTAAAGGAATGGAGAAATGTATACCATGGCAAAGCTAATAAAAAGAGAACAAGAGGAGCAATATTAGTTATTAGAGATAAAGAGGAGCCTTACATACTCATAAAGAAGTCAATTCTACATAAGACATAAAAATCCTCAATGTAAATTCACCTAACAACAGAGCATCAAAATATATGAAGCAAAAACTGATAGAACTGCAGGAATAAATAAATTAACCCACTATTATAGTTGGAGACTTCAATGCCTCTCTCTCAGAAATGGACAGATCCAAGAAATGATGAAGGGCATAGTTGAACTCATCATCATCATCATCATCAATTAACTGTATATAATGGGCATCTATTGTCTACTCAATCCAATAACAGCAGAATACGTGTTAGTCTCAAGCCCACATGGAACATTCACCAAGATAGACCACATTCCAGGCCATAAAATACATTTAACAAATTTAATAGAATAGAAATTATACAGTCTCTGCTCTCAGACAACAATGAAATTAAACTAGAAATCAATAATAAAAAGATATCTTAAAATGCCAAAATATTGGCGAATAAACAACACTCTTATAAATAACATATAGATCAAGGAATAAATCTCCAGAGAAATTTAAACATCTTTTGAGCAAATTAAACATGAAAACACAACTTATCAAAATTTTTGGGATGTGGGGAAAGTAGTACCTAGAAGGAAATTTATAGCATGGAATACATATATTAGAAAAGAAGAAAGATCTAAAATCAATCTTCTAAACTTCCACCTTAGGAAAATATACAGGGAAGAACAAATTAAATCCAAAGTAATCAGAAGAAAGGAAATAAGGAGAATAAGAAATCAATGAAATAGAAAATAGACAATTAATAGAGAAAATCAATAAAACCAAAGGTGGTTCTTCAAAAAAATTAATAAAATTGATAAGCCTCTTGCTAGGCTAACTAATTTTAAAAGGGAAGGCACAAATTTCTAATATCAGAAGTGAGAGAAGAAATATCATTATACACCTCATGTACATTAAAATGGTTATAATACTATGTACAACTTATGCCCACAAATTTGATAATCTACATGAAATGAACGAATTTTTTTGAAAGACATAATATGCTACAACTCATAAGACCATCTGAATAGGCCTATATTTATGAAATAAATTTAATCAATAATTAATAACCTTCCTAAAGAGAAAGCACCAGGCCCAGATAAGTTCACTGGTGAACTGTGCCAAACATTTAAGGAAGAAATCATACCAATTTGCTATAATGTCTTTCAGAATATAGAAGACAAAAGAATGCTTCCTGCCTCATTCTACTAAGCTAACATTACCTTAATACCAAAACTATACAAAGAAATTAAAAGAAAGGAGAACTACAGACTGATATCTTTCATAAACACAGGTGCAAAAATCCTCAAAAAATTAGCAAATCCATGCCAACAATTTATAATAATTATATGCCACAGCCAAGTGGAATTTATCCCAGGTATGCAAAGCTAGCTCAACATTAAAAAATAAATTAATGTAATTCATTACATCAACAGGCTAAAGAGGAAAAATCACATGATCATATTTAATTGATGCAGAAATTACATTTGGAAAAAAAATCCAACACCTAATCATAACAAAAACTCTCAGCTAGCTAAGAATAGAGAGGAACTTCCTTAACCTGACCAAAAAGTATCTACAAAAAGCCTACAGCTAATATTATACTTAAGGGTGAGAAACTAGAAACTTTCCCACTAAGGTCAAGAACAAGACAAGGCTGTTGCCTCTTAGCAGCCCTTTTAAATTAGCTAATGGTAGTAAAACCACAGGCTGCCAACTGATTGGTACTAGGATGCCTAGTACTAGGATGCCTAGTACTAGGCATCCTAGCTAATGAGATAAAATAAGAAAAGAACATAAAAGGTATACGAATTGGGAAAGAGGAAGTAAAATTATCTTTGTTCACAGAGGAAGTGATAATCTATGTAGAAAATCCAAAAGAATAAATTTTTTAAAAATCCTGGAACTAATAATCATAGCAAGATAGCAAAATATATGATTAATATACAAAGTTTAGTCACCTTCCTATATACGAGCAATGAACAAACAGAATTTCAAATTAAAAATATTAATACTGGCCTGGCGCGGTGGCTCATGCCTGTAATCCCAGCACTCAATCCCAGCACTTTGGGAGACCGAGGTGGGCAAATCAGGAAGTTAGGAGATCAAGACCATCCTGGCCAACACGGTGAAACCCTGTCTCTACTAAACTACAAAAAATTTGCCGGGCATAATGGTGCATGCCTGTAGTCCTAGCTACTCAGAGACTGAAGCAGGAGAATCGCTTGATCCCAGGAGGCAGAGGTTGCAGTGAGCCAAGATTGCACCACTGCACTCCAGCCTGGCAATAGAGCAAGACTCCGTCTCAAAAAAAAAAAAATAATAATAAAATAATATATATATATATATATATATATATGTGTGTAGGCCTATATATATATATGTGTGTGTGTGTGTGTGTGTGTATATATATATACTTTGTTTTTTTTTGAAATCAGGCAGTTTCAGTCCTCCAACTTTGTTCTTCTCTTTTAATATTGGATTGGCTATTTGGGGTCTTTTGCCTCTCCATGTAAACTTTAGAATCAGCTTGTCTGTATCTAAAAAATATTTTCGAGGGATCTTGATTGGAATTTTATTTTTTTATATATATTTATATATATATATTTATATTTATATATATATATACACAGGCATCCCTCAAAACTGAAATACTTAGATATAAATCTAACAAAATATGTAAAAGATTTATGTAAGGAAAACTACAAAACTCTGATGAAATAAATCAAAGGAGAATTAAATGCATTGAGATACATTCTATGTTCATGAATAGGAAGTCAATATTTTCAAGATGCCACTTTTTCCTGACTTGATCTATAGATCCAATAAAATTCCAATCAAAATCCCTCAAAAATATTTTTTAGACATGGACAAGCTGATTCTAAAGTTTACATGGAGAGGCAAAAGACCCCAAATAGCCAATCCAGAATTAAAAGAGAAGAACAAAGTTGGAGAACTGAAACTACCTGATTTCAATACATACTCTAAAGCTACCCTAATCAAGGCAGTGTGGTATTAGTAAAATAACAGACAAATAGATCAATGAAAAATACAGAGTCTAGAAATACACTCACGTAAATATAATCAACCGATAATTGACCAAGGAACAAAGGCGATGCAATGAAGCAAAGACAGCCTTTTCAACAAATGGTTGGACATCCACATGCAAAAAAAAAAAAAAAAAGAGGAAATCTAGACATAGACCTTACTTCCTTCACATAAATTCACTGAAAGTGGATCAGAAACCAAAATGTACAACACAAAACTATAAAACTCATAGAAAATAATGGGAGGATTTGTAAATGATCTTGGGTTTGGTGGTGACATTTTACATACAACATCAAAAGCATGATCCATGAAAGAACTGCTAAGTTAGATGCCATTAATATTAAAATTTCTTACTCTATGAAAGATACTGTCAAGAAAATAAAAAGACAAATCACTAACTGAGAGAAAATATCTTTAAAAGACACATCTGATAAAGAACTGTTTTTCAAAATATACAAAAAAACTGTTAAAACTCAACAAGAAGCAACCCAATTTTTAAAATTGGCCAAAGACCTTAATAGACACTTCATCGAAAAAGATATGCAGATGGTTAAGGAGCACATGAAAAGATGCTCCACATTATCATCCATGTCATCAGAGAAATGTGAACAAAAACAATAATGAAATATCACTACATACCTATTAGCAAATGAGATTCTACTACACACCCATGGCCAAAATCCAGAACACTGAAACCACCAAACGCTGAAGAGAACGCCGACTTTCATATGTTGCTGGTGGGAATGCAACACTGTACAACCACTTTGGAAGACAGTTTGTCAGCTTCTTAACAAACTAAACATACTTACCATACAACCCAACAATTGTGTTCTTTAGTATTGATCCAAAGCAGCTGATAACTTGTGTCCACACAAAAACTTGCATACAAATGTTTATAGTAGCTTTATTTATAATTGACCAAACTTGGAAATAACCAAAATATACTTCAGTAGGCAAGTGGATAAACTGTGGTACATCCAGGTAATTCAATATTATTCAGAGCTAAAAATAAATGAGCTATGAAGCCATGAAAAGACATGGAGGAAACAAATGCATATTACTAAGTGAGAGAAGCCAATCGGGAAAGGCTACATATTGTATTATTCCAAATATATGACGTTCTGGAGAAGGCAAAACCATAAAGACAGTAAAAATATCAGTGATTTCCCGAGGTCTGGGGCAGGAAGAGGGCAGGAAGGATGAATGGGCAGAACTCAGAGGATTTTTAGGGCAGTGAAATTGCTCTGTATGATACCTGTATTAGTCTGTTCTCACAATGTTATAATGAACTACCTGAGACTGCATAATTTATAAGGAAAAGAGCTTTAATTGGCTCACAATTCTACAGGCGGTACAGGAGGCATGGCTGGGGAGGCCTCAAGAAACTTACAATCATGATGGAAGATGAAGGGGAAGCCATCAAGTCTTACATGGTGGGTGCAGGAGGAAGAGAGAAAGAGAGAGAAGGGGGAAGTGCTATGCACTTTCAAACAACCAGATTTCGTGAGACTCTATTCTATCATGAGAACAGCAAGGGGGAAGTCCACTCCCATGACTCAGTCACCTCCCACGAGGACCCTCCTCCAACACTAGAGATAGCAATTTGACATGGGATTTGGGTGGAGACACAGAGCCAAACTATATCAATACCATAACAGTGGGTACATGTCATTAAAATTTGTCCAAACCCATAGAATGTACAATACCATGAGTGAACCTTAATGTAAACTATGGACTCTGGTTGATAATGATGCATTAGTATAGGTTCAATCATAACAAATACACCACTCTGTGGGGGGTGTTGATGATGTGGGAGGCTGTGTCTGTATGTGGGTAGTGGGGCTGGGAAATCTCTGTACCTTCTGCTCAACATTGCAGTGAACCTTGAACTGGTCCAAATAAAGTCCAGTAAAAAATAAGAAAAATCAAAAGAACTTTCTCATCTCAGTGTAATGGAGCAATGAAGGGACTTTTTATCCTTAATGATATCCCAAGTCTCTTTATTGTCAATAGTTCCTTTTGTTGCTATCAATCATCACAGACAAAGGGGAAGTTTGATTCTTGGCTATATTTCCAAATCTTCTTATTTCCATTTCTATTCTCTCCTATTTTCTTCCTGAGGCAGGTACATTTGACTCCAGCTACTTTACTGGAGTATAAGCAAATAAAAATGCCATCAGATTTGGGTAAGCAAATTACAGACACATTGCATTTGTTGGCAATTATTTATCTGCCTAATCCACTGCTATTTCCTTAGAACCTGTGGTACCATTGAGAGTGGTTAACCCTGTTCAAGTAATATTGAATGATCAATGAATCTGAGATAATGTAGTTTATATATTTCTCAATATGTAGCTTCTTTCAAGTCCTGTGAATTTCTGATTTTAGTTCTCTCTTTGGCAAAAAGAAGTAAACATGCATTTTGGATTTAAATATTGAAATTTAATGTAGTAGCTATGTGATCCTGGATGAATTGCCTAACTTCCCCTAAGTCACAGTTTCCTCACTGTAGAGACCACAATAATTGTCCAGAAGTTGGAAGAGTAGAAGAGTATCATTTGCTTAAATGCCATGGCAACCATGGATAAAAACAACAATCATGTTTCCTTTACAGATATTCCTCAGTATTTCCTCTTTTTTTTTTTTTTCTTCTCTGGTCCATGAGACGGAGGAAGAGAAATCTTTATCCTCATTCTCTTGAGCTACTAAGACAAGATCTTGCCAATTTCTAACTCTCTTGAGCTGATAGGCCTACTGTACTCTTCAGGTTTCTTCAAATGTCACAACTTTCCATCTATTTTCCAGTGGCTCCCTTCCTGTCCTGGTATAGGTTACCATTGAGGACACTCTTATTTTTAAACTTAGACACTCAGAAGATTTATTTCAGTATAGAATTAATAGGAACCAGAAGGTTGTTATGGTTTCTAGTAAAAGTAAACTAATAATTAATTCCAGTGGCTCCTTTTGTGCACTGCCTTCTGTCTTCTGACTCAACCTGATAGATATATATATATATATATATATATATATATATATATATATATATACATATATATTTTTTTTTTTTTTTTTGCCTCCTCAGAAGAAAGAATTCGACTCAGGAGCATAAGACAGAGGAACGACCAAGGCAAGTTCAGAGCAGGAGTGGAAGTTTATTAAAAAGCTTTAGAGCAGTAAGGACAAAAAGGAAAGGAAAGAGAAGGAAGGACTTGGAAGAGGGCCAAGTGGGCGACTTGAGAAACCAACTGAACCTCAGCCTGATCTTGATCTAACAATCTGCCAAGTCCTTTTACTTTGCACCTGGATCCAACTTTTCTCTGTACGTAGTTATTTTGCTTCATTGTAGACTTATGAAATAGCTCTTTTCAGTTCTTCAGAATGGAATGTACATTCATTTATAAGCACATATTTTGCAGTTTAAGGTAATTAGAGAATGACAAAGGGAATCACTTATTTTTTTTAAAGCTGAAGTTTTCTAAATTGTGTTATTTGAAGGTACAAAAATTGGAGCTCACAAAATGAAGGAAGGTAGAGAGAGAGAGAGAGAATGCAAGTAAGAGAACATATTAAGAACACAAAGAAAAGAATATGGCCTAGTTACTTCAAGGGCACCCATTATTAGAGAGGAGGAGATTGGGGATCCAAGAATAAAAAGATAAAAACCTATTGCAGTTATAGCAAGATTAATATTTCTGCATGTCTTTTGATTCCTGCTTGAAAGGCTGCATAAATAACTCCTAACTTTTAAGCCTGAGGGTTTTGGCCAATGGGGTTTGACTCTGTGAGGCAAATATCAAGGATATTGTGGCTGTTATTGAAGAAACTCATAGGAGATATATCTACATCAAGAGTTGCATGGCAGGGAAGCTTAAAATAATTTGTTTGCACAGAAGTAGATTTTGAATAATATGACATTTTGGTATATTATAACATTAAAGGATAAACTTACAAATGTCAATGAAATATTTCACTGGCTTTTCTGTCAAGCATAATTAATCATAAAAGATTTTTAACTGAAATGAAAATGCTCAATTCTAATAAATAAATATCCGGTACCCAGCTCTATTGTCTTTTTGCTTAAGGCATTGTCTACCACCTACCTACTACACCCTGAGTGTCTGTTAAAAATGTAGATTTCTAGGCTCTACAGACGTCCCACAGAATCACTGACCTAACACATAAGAAAAAAAAAGATTCTTAAATTAAGGTAGTGCTTGACTACCTTATTTTCAAAGTACCCCAAAGACCTCAGATTGCCTGTTGAAACAAGAATGCTACATTTGGTTTAGCTATTTTTAGTTTAGAGGATGAGCAAAACATCCTATTCTAGCCATAATTATGTTAGCAGGTGTGCACCAGATAATCAACTTGACTAAATATCCATCTTGGGTTCATACAGGCAGGATGAACATAATTAAAGTTAAAACTGCCAGCCTTCACTATTGGGGAAGAAATGCTACAGGATACAGTGGACTATTAAAGCAATATTTTTCTGAGGAAGATCTACTTATTTTTCTCATTAGTTTTAGTTTGAAGTGACACTTCATAGGCATAGAGTGGCAGCCTACATTCGGATGTAGTTATACAGGCTTAGTGTAAAGATTCAGGTCCCTAATGAGACAAAGAACATTATTAGGTACTCTGAGTGTGGGAAGATTACAGGAAATTAAAAATCGAGTATTCTAGTTTATAATTCTGCCCTTTTGGGCTAATGGGAGTAAGTTCCCTTTCTGATACTTAAAGACAGAAATCTCTTCTCTACCATTCTTGTCCAAATTTCCAAGTGAGACAGTCCCAGTCATGACAAGCTTTTTCTTACAACATGGCTTTCAGTTACTCAATGAATATTTATTGAGCACCAATGCTCCAGGCAGTAGAGAACAAGAGAAAACAGTACAGAACAAGAAAAAAAATCTTGTTTGGTGCTTACATTTAGGGAAGACACACCATTTCTGGTTGCTCCACCCTCATAGTCTGATTAGAAAGCAACATGCTAATGATAACACTTCCCTTATTCTGGACATATACTTCTATTAATTATTAGGTTGTTACTTTTACTGGAAACCATACCAACCTTCTGGTTCCTATTAATTCTACAGTGAAGTAAAACTTCTGAGTGTCTAGGTCTAAAAATAAGAGTGTCCTTAATGGTAACCTATACCAGGACAGGGTAGACTAACATACGCTGGGAACTAGACTCTCCCACTAAGAAAAATAACAATAATGACTATGGGTATTGGCCAAGTAATACATGCTAAGAGAGAGTACAGTATACTCTGAATTGAGTGGTTTCCAAAGTGTCTCAGGCACGGATCATTTGATTTCAAGTACAGAACCCACTCAATGCAGCTTAGGAAATTAAAGGTGAATTTGTTAGAAGGATGAAGCTATGTCTCACAGAGCAAAACTTTCATAAGGTACTACATTTTGAAACTAGAAAGACAGCAAACCCGCTGTCTAGTCTATGTTGTGTGTGTGTGTGTACTTGCCTCATTATGTCTGCACATGAACATCCTTTGCTTTACTAAATCCTGCATGTAACTTTTACATTTCCAGGTCACCCTCAACAACATCAGTCATCATCATTATCATAATCATTACAAGATTAACAACAGCAACTGCATCAGTAACAACGGCATCTGCATCTATCATTTCTTTTTTTTCATCTGTTACAATGAAGTACATCACCTATCATAAATTAGTTCTACTGACCCTCATATTTCCATCTCCCTTCACTTTTTGAAAGACTATTTTTCTTCTCAGTTATCTCTATTCTTCTGCACTATCAATCTTTCCTGAGTCGATTTTAGCAAGCAATATAACAATCCACTCAAATATTATAATACATTATATATAACGGTAAAAGAACATGTTGTACTGTTCTTTTGAAAATTTCATAAGTAAATGGGGAAGAAAGTAAAGTTTACAAATTTAAAAAGAAAATAAATTCTAAAGATAAACTCAGGAAATCCCACTGAGAGCCAGAAAACTTGAACATTCAATCTAAGGAATAATTTATGCATTGCAATTTCATCTTATCTCATTGTGGTATTATTAATGCCTTGAAGATACTTCTCTGCAGTTATATTACAGGAAACAGTGACAAGACTGTTAAGCTATAATCATAAATGTAAAACAAATTTTTCTGAAGTCTTAAGGCAATAATAACTTGTATATCTATAAAATTACAAAAAAATTTACAAGTTGGTCAATTTCATTTAATATTAATGCCAGAAAAATATCTCAATTATTTTTCAAAATAGTGTACATTACATACCAGAATTGTGCCTTTGAAATGTATTTGAACTCTTCCAAAGAAAAAAATCCAAACTTAATTATGTCTTCTGAAGCTGATTTTTGTCATATAACACATGATATATAATAAGTTGGAATATAATATCCTCTATTTCACAAGATTGCTGCAAAAATACAATGAGATATACTGGTTTATATATCTTTAAAAGAGATAATATGTAAAGTGTCTTATATGGTTTCTGAAATACAGCATGTATTTTAAAATGTTAGCTTCATTTCTTATTCTCTCCTCACCTTTTTATTTTTTTAAAAACAACCTTGCAGGTGTGGGAGTATTAGCAACCCAATTAAGTATATACTTTGATGGAGATAGAACTGTGTAATGATTTCTGCTTTTTTTTTCTTTTTAAGACTTGCTCTGTCTTTTTAAGTCTTGCTCTGTCACCCAGGGCTGGATTACAGTGGCCTGATTTCGGCTCACTGCAACCTCTGCCTCCCGGGTTCCAGCAATTTTCCTGCCTCAGCCTCCTAAGTAGCTGGAATTACAGGAATGTGCCACCACGCCTGGCTAATTTTTTGTGTGTTTTTTGTAGACACGGGGTTTTGCCATACTGGCCAGGCTGGTCTTGAACTCTTGGCCTCAAATGATCCGCCCGCCTCGGCCACCCAAAGTACTGGGATTACAGGAGTGAGCATGTCTTGATTTCTTAACTAGAATGCTTTCTTCAATCTCTTCATTTGAATTGAGCCATGTTTTCCTCTCAAAGCTAAAACACTGAGATCTTACCTTGTTCCTGTTAGGTTAGGTAGCCTTCCTACATATTTTGTTCCCTGATTGCTTTAATTGTAAGTATGCCAGTCTGTCTTCTGTACTAGAATACAAAACCTTCAAGGATAAGATGACATTCCCATTTTCTGACCTAACTTACTGGATCCTAAACAAAAGTGTATTGCTTGAACAGCTGTATTGAATGGTGACTACTATTTCATCCACTTTTGATTTTGTTTCCTCCTGACTGGCTAAACAGTTTGGGTAAGGGCATTTTCAATTGCAAGTAACAGAACCCCAACAAGAACTAGTTTAAATCGAACAGAGGAATTTTCTGATTTAGAACAAAACTCCACTAAGCAGTCAAGGTGGCCCTGGTCTTAAGCAAACTTTGAATCATGGATGGTTAGACTGTCAAAAAAGACCTACTCACTCTTGCAGGGTCTTGTTATTACTTCTTTGTATTGAAGTTTCATTAATTTTTTCTTGCAGATGGTTTTCCATGGCATAGGACACATGGGTTTAGAAACTTTTGTACTCATATGCTGCTGAGAGGTGACAACTTGCTAGGTGATAACGTGCTAGCAGCCCTCGCTCACTCTCCATGACTCCAAGGCCTCGTCGTCCACTCTGGCTGCGTTTGAGGGGCCCTTCATCCCGCCACTGGCCTCTGGGAGCCACTCTCTGGACTGGCCGAGGACGGAGCTGGCTCCCTCTGCTTGCGGGGAGGTGTGGAGGAAGAGGCGCGGGCGGGAACTGGGGCTGCGTGCAGCGCTCCCAGGCCAGCGTGAGTTCCGGGTGCTCGCGGGCTGAGCGGCCCCCTGCTGGCGGCCCAGGGAGTGAGGCGCTTAGCACCCGGGCCAGCAGCTGTGGAGGGTGCGCTGGGTCCTCCAGCACTGCCGGCCTGCCCATGCCATGCTCGAATTCTCACAGGGCTTCAGCTGCCTCCCCACAGGGCAGGGCTGGGGACCTGCTTGGGACTTGCAGCCAGCCATGCGGGAGCACCCTTCCTTGGGCTCCCATGCGGCCTGATCCTCCCAGACGGGCACTGCCCCCTGCTCCGCCCCAGCCCATTGACTGCCCAAAGGCTAAGGAGTTCTAGCATAGCGGGCAGCTCCACTGGCCGCCCAGGCATGGGCTCCACTAGGCAAAGGGTGTGGACTTGGAGAACTTTTATGTCTAGCTAAAGGATTGTAAATGCACCAATCAGCACTCTGCGTCTAGCTAAAAGTTTGTAAATGCACCAATCAGCACTCTGTCAAAACAGACCAATCAGTGCTCTGTAAAATGGACCAATCAGCTGTCTGTAAAATGTACCTATTGGCGGGGGCGGGGGGGGGGGGGGTGGTCAGAGAGGGGAATAAAAGCAGTCCACCCAAGCCAACTGACAGGACCGGCTCAGATGTCTTTACTTGCTGTGTAAGTGTTGTTCTTTGGCTGTTAGCAATAAATCTTGTTGCTGCTCACTCTTGGGTCTGCGCCGACTTTGTGAGCTGTAACACTCACTGCCAAGGTCTGCAGCTTCACTCCTGAAGCCGGCTAGACCACGAGCCCACCAGAAGGAAGAAACTCTGGACACATCTAAACATCTGAAGGAACAAACTCCCGACACACTATGTTTAAGAACTGTAACACTCACCGTGAGGGTCTGCGGCTTCATTGTTGAAGTCAGCAAGTTGGAGAACCCACCAATTCCGGTCACACTACCAGTGTGGTAGCCTAAGGTAGAGTGTGTCTCTTTCATTCCAGTGGAAAATGTTATGAGTAAGAAGTCATACTGACCAGCTTGGTGTACCCCTTGGATCAGATGTCGTAGCTGGGAAAGTGAGATTATATCAGTTAGCATTTGTGTAAAACAAATGACCCTAAATTTTAGTCAATTAAATAGAAACCATCTCTTTAGAATACAGTTCTATAGGGTGGCAGTTTCAACTGGGTTTGGGTGGCTCTTCTAGTTTTGGGCGGGCTTGTTTATATAGTCATGATTAACTGCCAAGTCAGCTGGAAGCTAGCTGGTCTAGAAAGGCCTCAAGTGGGATGTCATGTCTCTGCTTAATATGCTTTATCATTTTTTTAGCAGGTTATTTTGGTTTTCATATATTGTCGCTGGACAGGGTTCCAAAAGAGAAACAGAGACTGCAAGTACTCAAAGACTTTTGAAGTCTGGGCTTGTATCTTGCCTCTCCTGACTCCCACTGCATTTTATTGGCCAAAGAAATTCAAAAGATTAAAGAGAAGAAATAAGAGACTCTGAATTTTTAATGGTAGGACTTGGGAAATGGAGCAGTTACAGGTAAAAGGGAATGATTATGGCCATCTATGTAGTCTATCATATAGGTACCATGCTAAAGTTTGAATAACATATTACTCGTATCTGCAGAGGTAAAGGTGACTATCAGAAGAAATATTATAGCACATACATGGTCATTGGAATAATTGTTTTAGCTTCACATTTACTTTTGTTTCTGTAATCTATGCAGTTCTACTCATTGATCAACAAATATAACTTGGACTTTCTTGCTTTCATATTGTTCTTTGCCTAATTGTCCTTGTTTCTGATGTGTCAAGATCTCTGACACCTTTCAACTTTAAATCCAGTTTGATTCGTTGTCAATGGACAATCCTCCACCTCTGAGAAGCTTTCTATGATTACTTCAGATGAAGGTAAATTTTCTCCATAGGATTGTAGCAATGGTTCTTAATTTAGGCTATACATTAGAAATATTGTAGTGATCTTTAAAAATTTCAATGCCCAGACCATACCTGAGACCAACTGAGCCAGAATCTCTGGGAGAGGGATCTTAGCATCAGTTCCCGTGGTGATTTTAACATATAGCCAAGGTTGAGATCCAGTGTTTTATAATAGTTTCTGATAAAATTAGGGTTACAGTGAGTTTTTTTCTATATTATAAACTCTTTTGAGGGCAGGGACCTACCTAATACAGTGTGTCATGCATAATTGGCACTCAATATAGAGTTGCTGATAAAGTGCTATGGACTGAATGCTTTTCTCTCTCCAAAGTTCATATCTTAAAACCCTATCTCCTAATGTGAGGGTATGAGTAGGTGGGGTCTTTGGGAGGTAATTAGGATTAGATGAGGACCTGAAGGTGGAGCCCTCGCGGAGGGGATTAGTATTGTTAGAAGACTCTCAAGAGAACTTGCTTTCTCTCTTTTGCCTTGTGAGGACTCAGCAAGAACTAGGCACTCTGCAACCCAGAAGAGAGTTCTCGCCAGAAACCAATCATGCTGGCACTTGGATCTAGGACTTCAAGCTTCCAGAAATTTGTGGAATAAGTTTCTGCTGTTTATAAGCCACCAAGTCTATGATAATGTGTCAGAGGACTGAGCTAAGACATAAAGTGAGCTAGAGTTAAGATTTAAGATCTATTTGTTACAATAAAATTCAAAATAGTCGTATAAATGTTTAAATGCAACATCTCAAAAATCGTAACATGTTCTTACATTTAGAGAATTAGTACAGAAATATTAAGTCAACAAAATTTCTAACATTAAATTGATGTCTACTTGTTATGTTGATTTGCAAACATTTTTTTCCACATGGATATATTTCCTTTTGTCTACCCAACTAATTGTTATTGCATTACAGGAAATCTTTTATTTATTTTGTATTTCTCTGTAAACACCTCCCTACCTTGTCTAGTATAGTGTCAATTATTTCATGCTTTTATTAATGTAATGGCAAAGTCATTTTAATGGCCAGAATATAAAGAATTATAAATAACACCTCCATAGAATTAAGATTTGATTGTTGCAATGGCAATATGGATGACTTTTAGAAAAATGTGTTGTATATGCCATCAGACATTAAAAAAAGTTAGCTAAGCTGCAAATCAATTTTTACATGCAAATATAACATATTAATAACAGCAGTAGATGAAAAAAGGATTGGCTTGAATCGCTAAGTCATTTCACACATTGATACCAGAGTAAAATACTTCAAAATTGTTCTTACTGAACATTCTTCTTTTCCTCCCACATACACAGAAGAAGAAAAATATCACTATACCATTAATGTCTTTTACATACCTATACGCAATCTGAACTTTCTCAGAGGAACAATGAACAAAATAATTTTTCTATTTCTTTGGAACATATTTACTTAACATGAAAGATCTTGTGCCTTTGCATTGGGCGTTCATTTCCTCTATAGCTAAAGGGTAAATGATGGATAGGAGAATAAAGAGGGACAAATATAAGGTCTGCTAATATGGTAATGTCTGTAGGTGGTGTACGTGTTTATACATATTTGACCTGCACTTTAACAAGACATGAATTTATCACTCAAAAACACTACCCTGCTCCCATCTTCCTCAAAGTGAAAAAGAAAAGAAACAAAGAATGTTAGATACATCTAATAAAAGGACAAAATAGGCCTGATGCCCTCGAAACAAAAAAACTGTTCTCACTTACAAAGGCCTTGAAGTTCAAGCAGTGGCTTCAACATATATGAAAACTTGATTCAAACCCTTCACATTTGGTAACAGTAATGAGGAAGATAATCTTCTGCCGAGACTTGTCCACCTAAACTCAGGAAAAGATGGGTAAAGTGGCACTATATATTACAATAAATATTTGGCATGCTATTTTCCTATCTCCTTTGACTTTTCTATTGCTTTTGACTGATTAGTGACCAATGAAATGAATAGACTTAGCATGATTGATGGGAAGCAATATGGTGACTCAAGAAAATCAACTGTTTTAGGAAGGCATTGCACTTTTTATTGTGTGTGAGAGAGAAAAGAAAGACATGAATTTTGAGTTTTTTCAGTCATCTCTGCTTACCCTCAAAGGAGATTTACTGCTATTACAGAATAAAGATAATCTGTGATGGTGGAAAAATAAAAGACTGTCTGCATAGGTTTTACTTTGGAAAGGGTTTTTGCTCAAAGAGCTTATCTTGAAGTAGAGAAAGCAGATTAAAAAAAAATGATATGAAGCTGGTAACACTAGTTGAATTGTAGAATGTATAAGTTTAAAGGAAAGGAAATGTGAGTATGATTTTCATATTTATGGTTTGGGTACTGCTGTGGTCTGAATGTATGTGTCTCCCCAGAATTCATATGTTGAAACCTAACCCCCAAGGTGATGATATTAAGCAGTGGGACCTGTGAGAAGTGATTAAGTCATAAGGACTCTGCCCTCATGAATGTGATTATCACCCTTATCAAAAAGACTGGAGGGAGCCTTTTTGCCTTCTGTCATGAGGGGAAACAACTAGAAGGCACTGTCCATTAGCAATGAACCCTAAACAGATGCTGAATCTGCTGATGCCTTGATCTTGGACTTCCCAGCCTCCTCCTGAACTGTAAGAAATACATTCCTGTTGTTTATAAGTTTCCCGGTCTAAGGTATTTTCTTATAGCAGCCCCAAATGACTAAGGCAGGTACCTAGGCCATGGTGATACTAAAATATAAAACACAGGAGGAGCAATAAGTTTGGAGGTAAAAATATAGAGGTCAATTTTGGACATATTTGAGTAATTAGGAAATATCCACATGACGAAAGCAGGTAGATGGATGTATCTGGAATTCAGAAGAGGAGATTTTCAGGAGGTAGAGAATTGAGTGTCTTCAGTGTATTCACAAATAACACTTGGATACTGTTGGCTATGTGTTGTTCATTGTTATAAGCATTCACACTTAGATGGCAAGTCATTTAATACTTCCAGGAACGTTATGAGGGTGTTGCATTCTTGTGTTCATTATCTCCATTCTGTAGATGAGGAAATTTAGGCTCAGAAAGGTTGAATAACTTGCTAAAATGACCCAGGTAGGAAGTGATGGAGCTACTATTCTAAAGACGACACACACCCTGGCTCCAGAGTCCAAACTCTTAACCACTGTTCTATACTGCTTCACATAAAATAAGTAGATTCGGTCAGGGATTGTCAAAGAGTGTGAAAAGGGATGGATTTAAGACAACCTCAAGAGGATAGAAACACCAAAGATGTCTAACTAAATGGCTTTCTATTCAGTCACCACTTCCTTATATTTTGACTTTTCCCTCTGTGCTTAACATTTTGAAATACGTAACTTGTTCCTCTTGAAGACGTTTTAATCTAGTCAGAGAGACGTGTAAGTACATAAACTCATCCATGAACAATACAACCCACTTTATCCATGCATACAGTGCAGTGTAGATTTTAAATTAAGCATTAAGGGATGGAATTAACAATATTAGATGGAGCTACTGAAGATATTTAACGGAATAGCACTCCCCGAAGTGGGAGCTGTAGAAGGTGTCAAGAGCCAGAGAATGAAGGTCCTTATGTGCCTTGATAAGGAGTTCGAACTTGCTACTGATAGTGATCAGAGGCCTTTGAAGAATGTTAAGATTAGGGCCGACTTGAGGAATGAGGAAAAATATAGTGAGGATGATAAGAGTAGAGGTTGTGAGAATCATAATTAAAAAAAAGGGGGTTAGCTTGTGGGGAGTGGTTTTATTTGGGGCAGAGAAGGCAATAGATTTCTATTAGGTATTTTAAGATAAATCTGAAGAGAGATGGCAAAATCACAGTGTTTTCTTGTGAGATTTTCCCAAGACCCCAAGAATTACCTTCAGCCATCATATGAATTTGCAAACAAATGGTAAAATTAAAAGATATGGGAGGGGTTGGGGTCTTCAAACATTTAGACGGTGGATAAATTTGCATATCTCTTTGGACTTATCTTCCCCATCTTTCCCAGTGTTCCACTGGAATGGGAAGATCCAGTTATGCCAACTTCTTTAGAACAGGTACTTTTCTCTGTTCAAAGATAAGAAAAGAGGAAAATAACAACTGTAAAGCATCAACTCTGGGCATTTGAGGCAGCCAATTCAATTTGAATTGAATAGAACACTAACAAATTACTGAAGGGATGTGCAACCTAAGTTTCCTACATCAGTTTTGCCTAAGGCTATTCCTCAATAGGAGGCTCACAAAAACACAGGCCACTGCTGTTAGAGAAAGCTAATTTACAAATTATTCTCACTGATTGGTTAATTAATTTATAAGCATTGGTGGAGACTGTGCTCAGTTTGAGTTGATCACTGATGAGATACAGAAGCAACACGCAGGTTGAAAAGTTATAGTTTGCCTGGCACAGCTCCAGTTTATGCTTGTTCTCCCAAGACAAACATTAATAGAGACCCCTTTCACTTTCAAATGTTTTCTGACTTGGACATTCAATTATACGGTTTTATTAGTTTTTATGCTGCTGATATAGACATACCCAAAACTAAGAACAAAAAGAGGTTTAATTGGACTTACAGTTCTACATGGCTGGGAAGCCTCAGAATCAGGCCAGGAGGAGAAAGGCACCTCTTACATGGCAGCAGCAAGAGAAAAATGAGGAAGAAGCAAAAGCAGAAACCCCTGATAAAACCATCAGATCTTGTGAGACTTATTCACTATCATGAGAATAGCACAGGAAAGACTGGCCCACATGATTCAATTCTCTCCCCCTGGGTCCCTTCCACACGTGGGAATTCTGGGAGATAAAATTAAAGTTGAGATTTGGGTGGGGACACAGCAAAATCATATCATTCTGCCCCTGACCCTGCCAAATCTCATGCCCTCACATTTCAACACCAATCATGCCTTCCCAACAGCACCACAAAGTCTTAACTCATTTCAGCATTAAGCCAAAAGTCCACAGTCCAAAGTCCCATTTGAAACAACGCAAGTCTCTTCCACTTATGAGCCTGTAAAATCAAAAGCAAGCTAGTTGCTTCCCAGATACAATGGGGGTAAGGCATTGGGTAAATACAGCCATTTCAAATGGGATAAATTGCTCAAAATACAGGGGATACAGGGCCCATGCAAGTCCAAAATCCAGCAGGGCAGTCAAAGCTCCAAAATGATCTCCTTTGACTCCGTGCCTCACATCCAGGTCACGATGCAAGAGGTGGGTTCCCATGGTCTTGGGCAGCTCTGCCCCTGTGGATTTGCAGGAGACAGTCTCCCTCCTGGCTGCTTTCATGGGCTGGCGCTGAGTGTCTGCAGCTTTTCCAGGTGCATGTTGCAAGCTGTAGGTAGATCTACCATTCTGGGGTCTGGAGGATGGTGGTCCTCTTCTTACAGCTTCACAAGGCAGTGCGCCATTAGGGACTCTGGAGGCTCCAACCCTGCATTTCCTTTCCATACTGCCCTAGAAGAGGTTCTCCATGATGGCCTCCCCCCTGCAGCAAACTTTTACCTGGGCATCCAGGTGTTTCCATACATCGTCTAAATCTAGGTGGAGGTTCACAAACCTCAATTTGTGACTTCTGTGCACCTGTAGGCTCAACACCACATGGAAGATGCCAAGGCTTGGGGCTTCTACCTTCTGAAGCCACAGCCTGAGCTCTCTGTTGGTCCCTTTCAGCCATGGCTGGAGCAGCTGGGACATAGGATAGTCCCTAGGCTACAGACAGCACAGGGACCCTAAGCCCAGGCCACAAAACCACTTTTTCCTCCTAGGCCTCCTGGCCTGTGATGGGAGGGGCTGCCATGAAGTTCTCTGACATGGCCTGGAGACATTTTCTTCATGGTCTTGGGGATTAACATTAGGCTTCTCATTACTTATGCAAATTTCTGAAGCCAGCTTCACTTTCTCCTCAAAACAAAAAACAAAACAAAACAAAAAAACAGTTTTTCTTTTCTACTGCATCGTCAGGCTGCAAATTTTCTGAACTTTTATGTTGTTTCCCTTTTAAAATTGAATGCTTTTAACAGCATCCAAGTCATTTTTTGAATCCTTTGCTGCTAAGAAATTTCTTCCACCACATATGCTAAATCATCTCTCACAAGTTCAAAGTTCCATAAATCTCTAGGGCAGGGGCAAAATGCCACCAGACTCTTTGTTAAAACATAACAAGAGTCACCTTTGCTGTAGTTCCCAACAAGTTCCTCATCTCCATCTGAGACCACCTCAGCCTGGATCTCATTGTTCATGTCACTATCAGCATTTTTGTCAAAGCCATTCAACAAGTCTCTAGGAGGTTCCAAACTTTCCCACATTTTTCTTTCTTCTTCTGAGCCCTCCAAACTGTTCCAACATCTGCCTGTTACCCAGTTCCAAAGTCACTTCCACATTTTCAGGTGTCTTTTCAGCAATGCCCACTCTACTGCTACCAATTTATTGTATTAGTTGATGTTCATGCTGCTAATAAAGACATACCTGAAACTGGCAACAAAAAGAGGTTTACTTGGGCTTACAGTTCCACATGGCTGGGGACGCCTCAGAATCATGGCAGGAGGTGAAAGGCACTTCTTAGATGGTGGCAGCAATAGGAAAATGAGGAAGAAGCAAAAGCAGAAACCCCTGATAAGCCCATCAGATCTTGTGAGACTTATTCACTATCAAGAGAATAGCACTGGAAAGACCAGCCCCTATGATTCAATTACCTCCTCCGGGTCCCTCCCCCAACATGTGGGAATTCTGGGAGATACAATTCAAGTTGAGGTTTGGGTGGGGACACAGCCAAACCATGTCAATGGTCAATGTAAGTATTAGAGCCAATGCCCCAAGCAATAGACTGTATCAGAAAGTATGAAAACCATATATGCAAAACTTGTGTCTCTCCACTGTTTTGAAGATAAAGAATCAAATTATCTTCTTTTTCCAACTTTTAGGTTCGTGGGTACATGTGCAGATGGGTTACAGTTGTGTTACATAGTTAAATTGTGTGTCACAGGGAGTTGATATACAGATTATTTCATCACCTAGTGATTTAGCCTAGTACCCAACAAGTAGTTTATCCATCCTCACCCTCCTCTCACCTTCCAGCCTCAACTAAGCCCTAGTGTCCATTGTTCTCTTCTTTGTGTCCATGTTTAGTCAGTGTTTAGCTTCTACTTATGAGTGAGAACATGTGAAATTTGATTTTCTGCTTCTGAGTTAGTTTGCTTATGATAGTGGCTTCCAGCTCCATCCATGTTGTGGCAAAGGGAATGGTTTCATTTTTTTGGCTGCATAGTATTCCATGGTATATATGTACTACATTGTCTTTATCCAGTCTATGGTTTATGGGCATCAAAGTTCATTCCATGCCTTTCCTATTGTGACTAGAACTGTGATGAACATACACTTGCATGTGTCTTTATGGTGGAAAGATACATAGTTCTTTGGACATTTACACAGTAATGAGATTGCTGGGTTGAATAGTACTTCTGTTTTAAATTCTTTGAGAAATCTCCAAACTGCTTTCCACAGTGGCTGAATTAATTTACATTCCCACCAGCACTGTATAACCATTCCCTTTTCTCCACAGCCTTGCCAGCATCTGTTGTTTTTTAACTTGTCAATAATAGCCATTCTGAGTATGTGAGATCTCATTGTGGTTTTCACTTGCATTTCCCTAATAATTGGTGATGTTGAACATTTTTTCATATGCTTCCTGGCTATGAGTACGTTTTCTTTTTAGAAGTGTCTATTCATGTCCTTTGCTCATTTTTAAAGGGGATTGTTTGCTTTTTGTTTGTTGATTCAGTTTTCTTATAGATTCTGAATATTAAGACTTGGTCAGATGCATAGTTTGCAAATACTTTCTCCCATTCTGTAGGTTGTCTGTTTACTCTGTTGATAGTTTCTTTTGATGTGTAGATGCTCTTCAATTTAAGTAGGTACCACCTGTCAATTTTTGATTTAGTTGCAATTGGTATTAGAGTCTTCATCATGAAATGTTTGTGAAAACCTTTGTCCAGAATAGTGTTTTCTAGATATTCTTCGAGGGATTTTATAGTTGTAGGTTTTACATTTAAGTCTTCAATCCATAAGTTGATTTTTGTATATGGTGAGAGGAAAGAGTCCAGTTTTAATCTTCTGCATATGGCTAGGCTAGCTAGTTATCCCACCACCATTTATTGAATAGGAAGTCCTTCCTTTCCCCATTATTTGTTATTGTCAACTTTGACAAATATCAGATGGTTATAAGTGTGTGGCTTTATTTCTGGGTTTTCTAAAGTGTTCCATTGGTCTATGTGTCTGTTTTTGTACCAGTACAATGCAGTTTTGGTTCCTGCAGCCTTGTAGTATAGTTTGGAGTCAAGTAGTATGATGACTCCAGCTTTGTTCTTTTTACTTAAAGTAGCTTTGGCTATTAGGGCTCATTTTTTGTTTCATACAAATTTTAAGATAGTTTTTTCTAATTCTGTGAAAAATGTCGTTGGTAGTTTGACAGGAATAGCAATGTATCTGTACATTGCTTTGGACCCTATGGCTTTTTTTTTTTTGAGATGGAGTTTTGTTCTTGTTGCCCAGTCTAGAGTGCAATGGCGTGATCTGGCTCACTGCAACCTCCGCCTCCTGGGTTCAAGTGATTATCCTGCCTCAGCCTCCCGAGTATCTGGGATTACAGGCCTGTGCCTCCACACCCGGCTAATTTTGCATTTTTGGTAGGGACAGGGTTTCTCCATATTGGTCAGAGTGGTCTCGAACTCCCAATCTCAGGTGATCCACCTGCCTTGGCCTCCAAACATGCTGGGATTACAGGTGTGAGCCAACACGCCTAGCTCCCTATGGTCATTTCAACAATATTAATTCTTCCTATCCATAAGCATGAAATGTGTTTTCATTTGTTTGTGTTGTCTCTGTATCTTTCAGCAGTGTTTTATAATTCTTATTGTAGAGATCTTTCAACCTGCCGGTTAGCTGTATTCCTAGGTATTTTATTCTTTTTCTGGCTATGGTGAATGGGGTTGCATTCTTGATTTGGCTCTCAGCTTGGACATCATTGATGTACAGAAATGCTACTGATTTTTATACATTGATTTTTTATCCTGAAATTTTGCTGAAGCTTCTTTATTAGATCTAAGAGCTATTGGTCAGAGACTACGGGGTTTTCTAGGTATCATCGAAACATCTTCAAACTGGGATAGTTTGACTTTCTCTCTTCCTATTTGGATGCCTTTTATTTCTTTACCTTGCCTGTTTGTTCTGGCAAGGACTTCCAGTACTATGTTGAATAGGAGTGGTGAGAGTGAGCATCCTTGTCTTATTCTGCTTATCAGAGGGAATACTTCTGGATTTTACCTATTAAGTATGATGTTTCCTGTGGGTTTGTTATAGATGACTTTTATTACTTTGGGGTATGTTCCCTCAA
Organism: Homo sapiens; assembly: GCF_000001405.40. Taxonomy (NCBI): domain Eukaryota; kingdom Metazoa; phylum Chordata; class Mammalia; order Primates; family Hominidae; genus Homo; species Homo sapiens. The sequence goes on from NC_000005.10 coordinate 45,236,985, forward strand.
TGCCTAGTTTGTTGAGGGTTGTTAAGATGAAGGTATGTTGAATTTTTTTTTTTTTTGAGAGGTAGTCTCACTCTGTCACCCAGACTGGAGTGCAGTGGCGGGATCTCTGCTCACTGCAACCTCTGCCTCCCGGGTTCAAGCAATTCTTCTGCCTCAGCCTCCCAAGTAGCTGGGATTACAGTTGCCTGCCACCACGCCCAGCTAATTTTTGTATTTTTAGTAGATACAGGGTTTCACCATATTGCCCAGGCTCGTCTTGAACTCCTGCCTCGTGATCCATCCACCTTGGCCTCCCAAAGTGCTGGGATTACAGGCTTGAGCCACCGCACCTGGCCAGGATGTTGAATTTTATCAAAGGGCTTCTGCATCTATTGAGATGATCATGTGGTCTTCTGTTTATGTGATGAATCACATTTATTGATTTGCCTATGTTGAACCAACCTTGCATCCCAGGGAGAAGGCTTACTTGATCATGGTGGATTTGCTTTTTGGTGAGCTGCTGGAATTGGTTTGCTAGCACTCTGTTGAGGATTTTTGCTTTTATGTTCATCAAAGATATTGGCCTGAAGTTTTTTTGTTCATTGTGTCTTTGCCAGGTTTTGATGTCAGAATGATCTTGGCCTCATAGGAAGAGTCAGAGAGGAGTCTTTCCTCCTTGACTTCTTGAAATAATTTCAGTAGGATTGGTACCAGCTCTTCTTTATATACCGTGGAGAATTCAGCTATGAATCTGTATGGTGCAGAGATTTCTCCAGTTCCTTTTTTTTTTTTTTTAACTGATTCAATTTCCAAACTCATTATTGGTCTGTTGAGGGCTACAATTTCATTTATTTATTTATTTATTTATTTTTATTTATTTTATTTTTTTATTTTATTATTATTATACTTTAAGTTTTAGGGTACATGTGCACAACGTGCAGGTTTGTTGCATATGTATACATGTGCCATGTTGGTGTGCGGCATCCATTAACTCGTCATTTAGCATTAGCTATATCTCCTAATGCTATTCCTCCCCCCTCCCCCACCCCCCATCACACGGTGTGTGATGTTCCCCTTCCTGTGTCCATGTGTTCTCATTGTTCAATTCCCACCTATGCGTTAGAACATGTGGTGTTTGGTTTTTTGTCCTTGTGATAGTTTGCTGAGAATGATGGTTTCCAGTTTCATCCATATCCCTACAAAGGACATGAACTCATCATTTTTTATGGCTGCAAAGTATTCTATAGTGTATATGTGCCACATTTTCTTAATCCATTCTATCGTTGTGGGACATTTATGTTCGTTCCAACTCTTTGCTATTGTGAATATTGCCGCTATAAACATACGTGTGCATGTGTCTTTATAGCAGCATGATTTACAATCCTTTGGGTATATACCCAGTAATGGGATGGCTGGGTCAAATGGTATTTCTAGTTCAAGATCCCTGAGGAATCGCCACACTGTCTTCCACAATGGTTGAACCAGTTTACAGTCCCACCAACAGTGTAGAAGTGTTCCTATTTCTCCACAACCTCTCCAGCACCTGTTTTTTCCTGACTTTTTAATGATCGTCATTCTAACTAGTGTGAGATGGTATCTCATTGTGGTTTTGATTTGCATTTCTCTGATGGCCAGTGATGACGAGCATTTTTTCATGTGTTTTTTGGCTGCATAAATGTCTTCTTTTGAGAAGTGTATGTTCATATCCTTTGCCCACTTTTTGATGGGGTTGTTTGTTTTTTTCTTGTAAATTTGTTTGAGTTCATTTTAGATTGTGGATATTAGCCCTTTGTCAGATGAGTAGGTTGCAAGAATTTTCTCCCATTCTGTAGGTTGCCTGTTCACTCTGATGGTAGTTTCTTTTGCTATGCAGAAGCTCTTTAGTTTAATGAGATCCCATTTGTCAATTTTGGCTTTTGTTGCCATTGCTTTTGGTGTTTTAGACATGAAGTCCTTGCCCATGCCTATGTCCTGAATGGTATTGCCTAGGTCTTCTTCTAGGGTTTTTATGGTTTTAGGTCTAACATTTAAGTCTTTAATCCATCTTGAATTAATTTCTGTATAAGGTATAAGGAAGGGATCCAGTTTCAGCTTTCTACATACGGCTAACCAGTTTTCCCAGCACCATTTATTAAATAGGGAATCCTTTACCCATTGCTTGTTTTTGTCAGGTTTGTCAAAGCTCAGATAGTTGTAGATATGTGGCATTATTTCTGAGGGCTCTGTTCTGTTCCATTGGTCTATATCTCTGTTTTGATACCAGTACCATGCTGTTTTGGTTAATGTAGCCTTGTAGTATAGTTTGAAGTCAGGTAGCGTGATGCCTCCAGCTTTGTGCTTTTGGCTTAGGATTGACTTGGCAATGCGGGCTCTTTTTTGGTTCCATATGAACTTTAAAGTAGATTTTTCCAATTCTGTGAAGAAAGTCATTGGTAGCTTCATGGGGATGGCATTGAATCTGTAAATTACCTTGGGCAGTGTGGCCATTTTCAGGATATTGATTTTTCCTATCCATGAGCATGGAATGTTCTTCCACTTGTTTGTGTCATCTTTTATTTTGTTGAGCAGTGGTTTGTAGTTCTCCTTGAAGAGGTCCTTCACATCCCTTGTAAGTTGGATTCCTAGGTATTTTATTCTCTTTGAAGCAATTGTGAATGAGAGTTCACTCGTGATTTGACTGTTTGTCTGTTATTGGTGTACAAGAATGCTTGTGATTTTTGCACATTGATTTTGTATCCTGAGACTTTGCTGAAGTTGCTTATCAGCTTAAGGAGATTTTGGGCTGAGACAGTGGGGTTTTCTAGATATGCAATCATGTCATCTGCAAACAGGGACAATTTGACTTCCTCTTTTCCTAATTGAATACCCTTTATTTCCTTCTCCTGCCTGATTGCCCTGGCCAGAACTTCCAACACTATGTTGAATAGGAGTGGTGAGAGAGGGCATCCCTGTCTTGCAGCAGTTTTCAAAGGGAATGCTTCCAGTTTTTGCCCATTCAGTATGATATTGGCTGTGGGTTTGTCATAGATAGCTCTTATTATTTTGAGATATGTCCCATCAATACCTAATTTATTGAGAGTTTTTAGTATGAAGGTTGTTGAATTTTGTCAAAGGCCTTTTCTGCATCTATTGAGATAATCATGTGGTTTTTGTCTTTGGTTCTGTTTATATGCTAGATTACATTTATTGATTTGTGTATGTTGTACCAGCCTTGCATCCCAGAGATGAAGCCCACTTGATCATGGTAGATAAGATTTTTGATGTGCTGCTGGATTCATTTTGCCAGTATTTTATTGAGGATTTTTGCATCGATGTTCATCAAGGATATTGGTCTAAAATTCTCTTTTTGGTTGTGTCTCTGCAAGGCTTTGGTATCAGGAGGATGCTGGCCTCATAAAATGAGTTAGGGAGGATTCCTTCTTTTTCTATTGATTGGAATAGTTTCAGAAGGAATGGTACCAGCTCCTCTTTGTACCTCTGGTAGAATTCAGCTGTGAATCCATCTGGTCCTGGACTTTTTTTGGTTGGAAAGCTATTGATTATTGTCTTAATTTCAGATCCCGTTATTGGTCTGTTCAGAGATTCAACTTCTTACTGGTTTAGTCTTGGGAGGGTGTATGTGTCGAGGAATTTATCCTTTTCTTGTAGATTTTCTAGTTTATTTGTGTATATGTGTTTATAGTATTCTCTGATGGTAGTTTGTATTTCTGTGGGATCCGTGGTGATATCCCCTTTATCATTTTTTATTGCATCTGTTTGATTCTTCTCTCTTTTCTTCTTTATTAGTCTTGCTAGTGGTCTATCCATTTTGTTCATCTTTTCAAAAAGCCAGCTCCTGGATTCATTAATTTTTTGAAGGGATTTTTGCATCTCTATTTCCTTCAGTTCTGCTCTGATCTTAGTTATTTCTTGCCTTCTGCTAGCTTTTGAATGTGTTTGCTCTTGCTTTTCCAGTTCTTTTAATTGTGATATTAGGGTGTCAATTTTAGATCTTTCCTGCTTTCTCTTGTGGGCATTTAGTGCTATAAATTTCCCTCTACACACTGCTTTCAATGTGTCCTAGAGATTCTGGTATGTTTTGTCTTTGTTCTCATTGGTTTCAAAGACATCATTATTTCTGCTTTCATTTCATTATTTACCCAGTAGTCATTCAGCAGCAGGTTGTTCAGTTTCCATGTAGTTGAGCGGTTTTGAGTGAGTTTCTTAATCCTGAGTTCTAGTTTGATTGCACTGTGGTCTGAGAGACAGTTTGTTATTATTTCTGTTCTTTTACATTTGCTGAGGAGAGCTTTACTTCCAACTATGTGGTCAGTTTTGGAGTAGGTGTGGTGTGGTGCTGAAAAGAATGTATATTCTGTTGATTTGGGGTGGAGAGTTCTGTAGATGTCTATTAGGTCTGCTTGGTGCAGAGCTGAGTTCAATTCCTGGGTATCCTTGTTAACTTTCTGTCTTGTTGATCTGTCTAATATTGACAGTGAGGTGTTAAAGTATCCCCTTATTATTGTGTGGGAGTCTAAGTCTCTTTGTAGGTCTCTAAGGACTTGCTTTATGAATCTGGGTGCTCCTTTATTGAGTGAATATATATTTAGGATAGTTAGCTCTTCTTGCTGAATTGATCCCTTTACCATTATGTAATGGCCTTCTTTGTCTCTTTTGATCTTTGTTGGTTTAAAGTCTGTCCAAGACTAGCATTGCAACCCCTGCCTTTTTATGTTTTCCATTTGCTTGGTAGATCTTCCTCCATCCTTTTATTTTGAGCCTATGTGTTTCTCTGCACGTGAGATGGGTTTCCTGAATACAGCACACTGATGGGTCTTGACTCTTTATCCAATTTGCTAGTCTGTGTCTTTTAATTGGAGCATTTAGCCCATTTACATTTAAAGTTAATATTGTTATGTGTGAATTTGATCTTGTCATTATGCTGTTAGCTGGTTATTTTGCTTGTCAGTTGATGCAGTTTCTTCCTAGGCTTGATGGTCTTTACATTTTGGCATGTTTTTTCAGTGGCTGGTACCGGTTGTTCCTTTCCATGTTTAGTGCTTCCTTCAGGCGCTCTTTTAGGGCACGCCTGGTGGTGACAAAATCTCTCAGCATTTGCTTGTCTGTAAAGTATTTTATTTCTCCTTCACTTATGAAGCTTAGTTTGGCTGGATATGAAATTCTGGGTTGAAAATTCTTTTCTTTAAGAATGTCGAATATTGGTCCCCACTCTATTCTGGCTTGTGAATTTTCTGCAGAGAAATCAGCTGTTAGTTTGATGGGCTTCCCTTTGTGGGTAACCCAACCTTTCTCTCTGGCTGCCCTTATCATTTTTTCGTTCATTTCAACTTTGGTGAATCTGACAGTTATGTGTCTTGGAGTTGCTCTTCTCAAGGAGTATCTTTGTGGCATTCTCTGTATTTCTTGAACTTGAATGTTGGCCTGCCTTGCTAGATTGGGCAAGTTCTCCTGGATAATATCCTACAGAGTGTTTTCCAACTTGGTTCCATTCTCCCCGTCACTTTCAGGTACACCAATCAGATGTAGATTTGGTCTTTTCTCATAGTCCCATATTTCTTAGAGATTTTTTCGTTTCTTTTTATTTTTTTTCTCTAAACTTCTCTTCTTGCTTCATTTCATTCATTTCGTCTTCCATCACTGATACTCTTTCCTCCAGTTGATCGCATCAGCTACTGAGGCTTCTGCATTTGTCACATAGCTCTCGTGCCTTGGTTTTCAGCTCCGTCAGGTCCTTTAAGGACTTCTCTGCATTGGTTATTCTAGTTATCCATTTGTCGAATTTTTTTTCAAAGCTTTTAACTTCTTTGCCATTGGTTCGAACTTCCTCCTTTAGCGCGGGGTTGTTTGATCTTCTGAAGGCTTCTTCTCTCAACTTGTCAAAATCATTCTCCATCCAGCTTTGTTCCATTGCTGGTGAGGAGCTGCGTTCCTTTGGAGTAGGAGAGGCACTCTGATTTTTAGAGTTTCCAGTTTTCTGCTGTGTTTTTTCCCATCTTTGTGGTTTTATCTACCTTTGGTCTTTGACGATGGTGACATACAGATGGGTTTTTGGTGTGGATGTCCTTCTTTTTGTTAATTTTCCTTCTAATAGACAGGACCCTCAGCTGCAGGTCTGTTGGAGTTTGCTAGAGGTCCACTCCAGATCCTGTTTGCCTGGGTATCCGCAGCGTTGGCTGCAGAACAGCGGATATTGGTGAACCGCAAATGCTGTTGCATGATCGTTCCTCTGGAAGTTTTGTCTCAGAGGAGTACCCGGCCATGTGAGGTGTCAGTCCACCCCTACTGGGGGGTGCCTCCCAGTTAGGCTACTCGGGGGTCAGGGACCTACTTGGGGAGGCAGTCTGCCTGATCTCAGATCTCCAGCTGCATGCTGGGAGAACCACTACTCTCTTCAAACTGTCAGAGAGGGACATTTAATTCTGCAGAGGTTACTGCTGTCTTTTTGTTTGTCTGTGCCCTGCCCCCAGAGGTGAAGCCTACAGTGGCAGGCAGGCCTCCTTGAGCTGTGATGGGCTCCACCCAGTTCGAGCTTCCTGGCCGCTTTGTTTACCTAATCAAACAACTAACTCAGCAATGGCGGGGGCTCCTCCCCCAGCCTTGCTGCTGCCTTGCAGTTTGATCTTGGACTGCTGTGCTAGCAATGAGCAAGACTCCATGGGCGTAGGACCCTCTGAACAAGGTGTGGGATATAATCTCCTGGTGTGCCGTTTTTTAAGCCCATTGGAAAAGCGCAGTATTAGGGTGGGAGTGACCCGATATTCCAGGTGCCGTCTGTCACCCCTTTCTTTGACTAGGAAGGGGAATTCCCTGACCCCTTGTGCTTCTCAGGTGAGGTGATGCCTCACCCTGCTTCAGCTTGTGTGTGGTGCACTGCACCTACTGTCCTGCACCCACTGTCCTGCACCTACTCTCTGGCACTCCCCAGTGAGATGAACCCCGTACCTAAGTTGGAGATGCAGAAATCACCCATCTTCTGTGTCGGTCACGCTGGGAACTGTAGACTGGAGCTGTTCCTATTCGGCCATCTTGGCTCCTCCCCCCAAGGGCTTCAATTTCTTCTTGGCTCTATCTTGGGAGGTTGTATGTGTCTAGGAATTTATCCATTTCTTCTAGGTTTTTTAGTTTGCTTTCAAAGAAGTTTTCATAATGGAATCAGGGATTTTGTATTTCTGTGAGGTTGGCTGGAAGTTGTCATTTCTGGTTTTGTTTATTTCGATCTTCTCTCTCTTTTTTTTCTTTATTAGTCTAGCTAGCAGTCTATCAATCTTGTTTATTGTTTCTAAAAAAGCAACTCTCGGTTTCGCACATCTTTTGTGATGTCTTTCAAATCTCAATTTCATTAAGCTTCGATCTGATTTTGTATTTTTTTGTTGTTGTTCTTCTGCTAGCTTGGGGGTTGGTTTGTTCTTATTTTTCTAGTACCCCTAGATGTGATATTAGGTTGTTAATTTGAGATCTTTCTAACTTTTTAATGCAGGTGTTTCGTGCTATAATTTTTTTCTCTTAACCCTTCTTTAGCTGTGTCCCAGAGATTCTGTGTCCCAGAGATGTTGTATTTTTGTTTTCATTAGTTTTAAACAATTTGTTAATTTCTGCCGTAATTCCATTGCTAACTCAAAAGTCATTTTGGAGCAGATTTTTAAGTTTCCATGCAATCGTATCATTTTGAGAGATGTTCTTGGTATTGGTTTCTATTCTTATTGTGCTTTGGTCCAAGGGTGTGGTTGGTATGATTTTATTTTTTTTAATTTGCTGATAATCGCTTTATGTCTGAAAGTTTAGTTGATCTTAGAGTATGTGCTGTGTGCAGATGAGAATAATGCATATTCTGTTTTTGGGTGGAGTATTCTATAGATGTTTGTTACTTCTATTTGGTTGTCCAGTTAAAGTCCCAAATATATTTGTTAGTTTTTTTCAATGATCTGTCTAACAATGTCAGTGGAGTGTTGAAGTGTCCCACTATTATTGTGTGGTTATTTAAGTCTCATCCTAGGTGTCTAAGAACTTGTTTTATAAATCTGGACACTCCAATGTTGGGTCCATATATATTTAGAATAGTTAAAGCCTTCTTATTAAATTATATCCTTTATCATTGTGCAATGCCTTGCTTTATTCTTTTTCATCATTTTTTGTTTAACATCTGTTTTGACTGAAATCATAATAGCAACCACTGATCTTTTCTGTTTTCTGTTTGCTTTATTTTTCTTCCCCATCTCATTACTTTGAGCCTATGGATGTCATTCCATGTAAGATGGGTCTCTTGAAGACAACATACAGTTGGATCTTGCTTCCCACCACACCCCGCAAAATGGAGCCTCACTGTGTCACCCATGCTGGAGTGCAGTGGTGCAATCTTGACTCACTGCAATCTCTGCCTCCTGGGTTCAAGCAATTTTCCTGCCTCAGCCTCCCAAGTAACTGAGGTTATAGGTGTGTGCCACCATGCCAGCTAATTTTTGTATTTTTAGTAGAGATGGGGTTTCACCATGTTGGCAAGGCTGGTCTTGAACTCCTGACCTTGTGATCCACCCGCCTCAGCCTCCCAAAGTGCTGGAATTAGAGAGTGAGCCACCATGCCTGGCTGGATCTTGCTTCTTTATCCTACTTGCCATTCTGAGACTTGGAAGTGGGGCATGTAGCTCATTTATATACCAGGTCAATATTGACCCTAACATTGTGCATTGTGTTGTTATTATGTAGATTTGATTGTAAAGTTGCTTTTAGTGTCAGTTGTCTATGTACTTAAGTGTGTTTTTGTGGTTGCCAGTATTGGTCTTTAATTTCAATGTTTAGCACTCCCTTAAGGACCTACTGTAAGGAAGGTCTAGTGGTAATGAATTCCCTTAGCATTTGCCTATCTGAAAAGGATTTTATTTCTCCTTCCCTTATAAAGCTTTGTTTGGCTGGATATGAAATTCTTGGTTGGAATTTATTTTCTTTAAGGATGCTGACTATAGGCCCTCAATCTCTTTTGGGTTGCAGGGTTTCTGCTGAAAGGTCCACCATTAGCTTGATGGGTTCTCTTCGTATGTGACCTGCCCCTTCTTTCTAGCTGCCTTTCATGTTTTTTCTTTTGCATTGACATTAAAGAATCTGATTACTATGTCTTGGGGATTGTCATCTTGAATAGTATCTCATAGTGGTGCTCTGAATTTCCTAAATTTGAATGTCAAATTCTCTAGTGAGGTTGAGGAAGTTCTCATGGACTATATCATCAAATATATTTTCCAAGTTGTTGCTGTCTCTCCCTCTGTTTCAGGGATGCCAATGAGCCATGGGTTTGTCTTTTTACATGATCTCTTATTTCTTGGAGTTTTTATTCATTATTTTTTATTCTTTATTTTTGTCTGACACAGTTGGTTCAAATAACTGGTCTTTCAGCTCTGTGATTCTGCCCTCAGATTGGTATATTCTGCTATTAATACTTCTTATTATATTATGAAATTCTTGTAGTGAGTTTTTCAGCTGTATCATATCAGTTTGGTTCTTTCTTAAAATGGCTATTTTATCTTTCAGCTATTATATCATTTTACTGAAGTCATTATATTTCTTGGATTGGGTTTCAATTTTCTCCTGAACTTCCATGATCTTCATTGCCATCCAGATTCTGAATTCTATGTCTGTCATTCCAGCTGTTTCAGTCTGATTAACAACCATTGCTAGGGAACTAGTATGAAACATTTAGAGGTAAGAAGACACTCTGGCTTTTTGAGTTGCCAGAGTTCTTGCACTGGTTCTTTCCCATTCATAGGGGCAGTTATTCTTTTAATCTTTGAAGCTGCTGTCTTTTGGGTGGGGCTTTTTGCTTTTATATTCTTTTATGCTGTTGAGGGTTTGACTGTGGTATAAGCTAGATTCAGTCAACTTGCTTCATTTCTGGATGATATTAGGGGACCATGGCTAAGCTCAGCACTCCTGGTTTGCATGCTGTAACCCTGGAGACATGGAACAAGGCCCATAACTTTGTTCTCTGGCCCCTTGAGGTTGGGCACCTGCTGTGCTGGAGGGGCTGAGGTGTTCCTGGTGCACTGGAAACAATACTCTTAAGGGGAGTACTGGCAAGAGCATTTCATCAGGGTGGTGGCAGTGGGCCTGTGATTGCATGCATGTGCTGGTGGCAGCAGGACGGCAAGGTCTGCATGCTTACACGGGCAGCAGTGTGGAGGTGGTATGTGTGTGAACATGTGTACTGACACTGGCGGGACAATGATGTTGAGGTCTGCATGCACACACAGGTGAAACGGTGAGAGGAGGCTGAAGCTGAATGTGCTCCAGCAAAACGGTGGGTATGGGCTTTGGGGAACTGTGCCCTGGCAAAACAGTGATGGGGGGAGTGCAAGAAGGTGGACCTGGAAAAGCGGAGGGAAAGACTGTGGGTGGGGGTACGCTGCCAGGAGCCCACCTGCAGAAGCTGTCTGACTGCTAGGCAGAGTATGCTGGTGAAGGAGCTAGTGGCACTGGCTGCTGAGAAGCACCTTGGTTGGGCATCTGAGGCTGTGCTATACGCAGATGCATTCAAGCATGGAACCTGGGAGAGGCTAGCAGTCCCACGGAAACAGTCACCCTGTTCTGTCCAGCTCCAACAGTCAACGAAGGCCAAAGCCACCTAGAGGAGCATGGCAAACCTTGGGGAATGAGTGTTCCTTGTTGTGCTCCACTGCAGCCATTCCCACACCAAACCTTTTGGGCTCTGCATAGGCAGGAGTTCTATCAGTGCCAAGTCTCCAGGCAACAATCTCTGCCAGCTCAAATGTCTGTAGGGATCCTGGGGTCTCCTGCTTCTAGGATTCTGGAGTTACATGGTGAGGGTGGGCCACTGCATACCTGTTTAACTCACTCTTTCCCTAGAAGCCACTTGGGGCCATGAATGAATCTGGTGCTGGGCAACTCTGTGCAGGGTTCTCAGCTTCCTCCCACTTTAGCCGAGAGTCTGTGTCCTCCCTCCTCCACTCTTAATGCCTTCCTTTTGAAGATCTCCTCAGAGCGTGCTGGTTTTCTTGATGTTCGGGTCTCTCAGTGGGAGAAGCTCTTTCTGTCTGTGTCTAGTCAGCTATGTTGGCTCAAAAACCAAATTCTTAAGATAGAGATCGATGTCTTACCAGATTTTGCATGGTTTGTATTTTCTCTGCTTCACCAGCTTCATCTCACTTCACTCTCCGTGCTCCATTTATTCTGCTCCTCTCTTAGCTTCTTATATGTGCCATTATCCCAAATGTCTCAGGAACTTTGCCTTTGATATCCCTTCATCCCGGAATGTTTTTATGCCACACATAAAATGCCACATATCCCCACATGCAATATTTATCTGTCAAATCCTGCCCATTATCAGATCTCAATCCAAATAGCAGTTTCCATGGGAAACTTACCTTTACTCCCTGACTAGTTCATGATCCTATTAAGTGTACATATTCAGAGTACTATGTAAGTTTTTAAGATTTCAATTTAATTTAAACAGTTAATTTAGACTAATTTTAAAAGTCTTAAGATTTAAGACAGTTTGCAATTTCACATATATATGAATATATATTACATTTATGCATACATCACATTTATACATATAAATACACATGTATATGTATGTATATACGTGTGTGTATGTATACTCACATACATATATATGTATGTACACACACATATGTATTGTGGCCTACAATTGGTATTTCCCTGTTTTTATACCTGAATTCATATTGACACATACCATATATTTGGTAAAAATGTCTGAGACTACAACACAGGACTCCAAACCCCCAAGCCAAAAGAATCTCTAGAATGGTAAAAATGTAGCGCCACGAACTAAGCTAGGAACATTGATTTATCTTGTGGGTGAAAAAGAGAGAATAGTTTAACCCTGAACAGATTAAGTCTGAGAGGAATAAAAGATAACAACAAAACATTTTATAATGTAGGAGAAAATTGAATATTGGAAGTTAAGGGAGAAATTTAAGGAATAATTGTGTTAGAGAGAGGAGCAGGACTGGATTGCTTCTACAGGGGGAGCACAGGAAGGTTGACTTCATTTAAGATGAAAAATATGAATCTAGGCTCGGTCTGGTGGCTCATGCCTGTAAATCAGCAATTTTGGAGGCTGAGGTAGGCAGATCACTTGAGGTCAGGAGTTCAAGACCAGTCTGACCAACATAAAATACAAAAAATACTAAAAATTCAAAAAATTAGCCAGGTGTGGTGGCCTGGGCCTGTAGTCCCAGCTACTCAGGAGGCTGAGGCACAAGATTTGCTTGAACCCCACATTGAGGAGGTTGCACTGAGCCAAGATTTAGCCACTGAACTCCAGCCTGGGCAACACATCAAGACTATCTCAAAATTGTTTTTACGAAAGGAATAAAAATATGAATCTATTGTCAACTATGCCAAACTGGGTGTCATGTTATCTGGCTAATGATTTTTTTTTTTTGGTGGAAAACTTAAATGTTATGCTTCTTCTCTGAGATGATTAAACAATTATCATTTTTGGGAATATCAGTTCACAGGAAGATATCATTTTATCCATACTTGGTTTTGAAAATTTTAACCTCAGTTTTACCAGTTATTTTGAGCCTTAGAATTATTTTCTGGAAGCTAACTTGCGTTGTCAAAAATGCTAAACAAGATTTGATGATAGACTTTATCTCAAAGAATTTTGATCCATGTTCAATATTCTAGAATAGCAATAGTACCGCCAATTATTCTTTTTAAAATTTTTGTTTTTAATTTTTGTGTGTACGTGGTAATTATATATATTTATGTGGTATATGGAGTATTCTGATACAGGCATATAGTGTGTAATAGTCACACCAGGGAAAATGGGATCGCCATCACCTCAAGCATTTATCCTTTGTGTTACAAACAATCCAATTATACTCTTTTAATTATTTTTAAATGTACAATTAAATTATTGTTGACTATAGTACTCTATCATGCTATCAAATACTAGATCTTATTCATTCTTTCTAAATATTTTTTTTTTGTACCCATGAACCATCCCCACTTTCCCCCTGCAGCTCCCTACACTCTTCCTGGCCATTGGTAACCATCATTCTACTCTCTATCTCCATGAGTTCAATTGTTTTTTAGGAGAAATAGCAGAAACAATTCCTAATAGTGAGAGACACCACATGATTTTAAAAACTTCTTCTAGTGGGGTATTTATGATGATTATACTTCAATTCATTCATTCAACCAACATTTATTGGGTACCTGCTATGTAACTGGCACTATGTTTCAGGTTTTGAAATATCACTTGTACAAACAATCATTCTCTTGGCTGGGTGCGGTGGCTCATGCCTGTAATCCCAGCACTTTGGGAGACCAAGGCGGGCGGATCATGAGGTCAGATCGAGACCATCCTGTCTAACAAGGTGAAGCCCCGTCTTTACTAAAAATACAAAAAATTAGCTGGGCATGGTGGCGGGCGCCTGTAGTCCCAGCTACTCGGGAGGCTGAGGCAGGAGAATGTCATGAACCCAGGAGGTGGAGTTTGCAGTGAGCCGAGATCGCGCCACTGCACTCCAACCTGGGTGACAGAGCTAGACTCCGGCTGAAAACAAAAACAAAAAACAAAACAACAACAAAACAAAACAAACAAAAATCACTCCCAATAAAGTTCAGGTGGCAAAGTAAAACTAAAGTTTTGCCAGAAGCTCTGCACTAATCTGTTAACTTTTCCATGAGATTCCAACTTCTGTCATAGAATTCTTCATCTACAATGATACTCTTTGTAAAAGTACTGTTTTTGTCTTACTGGCTTTCTACTCAAAAGCTGTCAATGGCTCCTTGCTTCTGACTTGGTAAGTATGAACATTTTAAAGGCCATAATTAAGGCTTTCCTTAATCTTGGGCCTCTCCTCTGTAGAAACAAAATAAAATAAAACAAAACAAACAAAAAAACAAAACTCCCTCCAGTCAGATATCATATGCATCTAGCACTTACTTATGCATTTAGAATTTACATTCTTGCCTTTAGGTTTTTTATGTAGCAAAAATCCTGGAACATTCCAACTTTTCCCTCATTTCTATTTTTCTCAATTATGCTTGTCTATCTAGAGTTCCATAAAATCACTCTAGATTATAACAACCTCAAAGTACAGTAAATCTCTAGTTTCTCATTTCTAGGGACCCTTATAGCTCAAATGATTCTATACATTCTCCCTCTATTATATATTGCCCAAGTGATAATTGCTATGACAACTCTGATTTGTATAATTTAATTGAAATTATTACTTCTTGTGACACTCCTTTTGATTTTCTCTTGAACTGTTTTAGTTATATTTTGCTACTATTTATTTCAAGTGTTTACTTTCTACATGTACCTAGATGTTCAACAAATAATCATAAATTTGCTTTATTGCAGACTCTGTAGTTGTTAGAGGTAGGCTCATGATACCATTCTCTCTTTTCATAGAAAACCTTGCTGAGTGGAGGGATATTGGCTTCCTGATATTTTGCCATTTACGGTAAATACAGGAAAAGCCAGCCTTATCAGTGATCAGGTGAATTATAGTCCTGAGTCTTCATGAGATCTTTTGTGATACTGGGGCTGCAGGTCTGTTTTTACTTTTATCATTCAAGACAGTTTAACAAGCTCATTTCTAAGGACAATTAATAGCGCAAACATTCTAGTACTTCATGATTCTATACATTCTCCCTCTATCTATATTGCCCACATAATAATTGCTGTGACAATTCTCATTTGTATAATTTAATTGAAATTATGACTCCCTATGACACTCCTTTTGATTTTGTCTTGAACTGTTTTAGTTATATTTTGCTACTATTTATTTCAAATGTTTACTTCCTTCATGTACCTGGATGCTCAACAAACACTTATTAAACTTGCTTTATTGCAGACTCTGTAGGTGGTGGATGCACATTTGAGCAACATAAAGTCCCAAGAAATCACGGTGATGACATAAACTCTCCCTCCCATCAAGGGCAAGAGTTTTCAAGTTTCAGAATCTTAGATCTAGAAAAAATCCTACAAATTATTTAGTGAAATTCTTATTTTTAAGGTGAGAGCACTTACTGGTGTCCAAGAGTTAGTAGCCAATTTATTTTCATATTTTTTTAATTTCTTTTTTAATGATGGCATTTTATTTTAAAGTGCAAATACCTGGGATAATTCAGAAGTTAATTAACTCACAATAAGTTTTTAGTGATATTAGATTTTTTTCATTTTTGGAAGAAGAACAGAAAAAGTGTAAAAAGATGGAATAATATAGAAAATGGTAGCTGGAGGATTCAAAGAAGAACTCACTTTTATCATGTCAAAGCTAAAATATAAATTGTAGATTTTGCATATGTACAATGAGCAGAAACACATAGCTGAAGAAAGAAGTGTGCTAAATAAATAAATGAAGTATTAATGATTGAGCAGAGTCTTAGAAAGTTGGACATGTTAAGAGCATTGAATCTATTTAGCCTTTCATGCCATGCCCAAAATCAGAATTTTAACCTATACTAGGACTTTAAGACAAAAAATAGGCAAACAAAATCACAAAGTGTTACAATTGACATATGCAGTGAATTGTTTCCCTTAAAAACAACATTTTTTTTTTAGTTATATCACTACTATAAAATTTATTCTTCAACAGGCAACTAAACGTAATCTGGTTTAATCTTTTTTTATAAAGGAACATTTTAAAGTAATTCTTTTCTCCTAACAGACCATCTATTTTCCTCTAAATCTCTTTAGCTTTAATATCTATTTTAGCGATAAACAGTGCATGAAATAAACAGCTCAAAGCATGTGTTGTTGGGCCACGCATCTGATTAATTGGATGCAGCTGATCTGAAACTGCTGGAAGCTTCAATTTTCAAACTTCACAGTTCTTTGATTATTTCAGTCTTGTACTTTTTTCACTTGTCTACAGATTTTTTAACAATGTTCATCACAGGAACATTAAAGTACTCTGACATGAGGTGGGAGTTTTTTTTTTTCCCTACCTTTAAAAAAATACAAATCATGAAATAATAGTTTAGAAGTTTAGATCTCAGATCCTGCTGTGAACAAAGCTTTAAGAACTGAGTCCAGATGATCTCCTGTGGAGCCTAGCAGCCCAAAAGATTTTGTGTTCCTATAATTGTAGTAGGAGATTTTACAGCATAACTTCTAAAAAAAAAAAAATCTTGCATCACCTCCTTATCTTCTTGCTGTCTAGCAATGAGGCTGAATTTAAAGTACGGTGCAGAAAGGTCAAATTCCTAGGGGCAGGATGATTGCTGCATGCCAGAAGAGTTGGACTACACTTAGAAAGACAGCTAAAGAACAATTACACAGCTGACATCTCTCTCAGGGCATTGTATAGGCATTTGGCTCTTTAATGGGATCTGTACCTCAAACAAAAAGGAAAGCACTTGCATGTGACACCTTTCAGAAACCTGTCCCCACCTAAATAAGCTATGTAAAAGACAAGGCTCTCTGTGTGTAACCAAATGCATACGTGTTTGTGTGTGTGTGTGTGTGTATGTGGGCATGTGTTTATACTTTATCATTATCAAGTTTACAAACGACAAGATGACTATTGCACTCAATTGCAGATTCTAATTGTTCAAAAGATGTGATTATAATAATGTTTAATACAGCATGTCATAGATGCTATAGTAAGACATGCATGACATCCAGCATGTCATACATTATGTCCTACTTGGACCTAAACTTCTCTCGCACTAGGCTTCAGGACAAATTTTACTGTCATGTGATATATGTTAAGAAGTAGGCTCATGATACAACACTCTCTTTTCATGGAGAAGCTTGCTGGGGCTGAGGTGCTAGTTGAGGATACTGGCTTCCTGATATTTTACCATTTACAGGACAGAGAGGAAAAACCAGCCTCATCAGTAATCAGATTACTTGGCACCAAGAAAACTGGATATAGGGTGTCAGCTGTTCACAGAAGTCATCTAGAAATATTATCTGCCAAACACCTGGAGATCATGGTTTAGGAGGAATGTCAATGGGTGGAAGCCTGCTTCTTCAGTGAAGTTGGAATTGCATGCACAGACCCTTCCACTGGGAAGGTGTGAGAGGTCTGTCCCACCTAAGTTATGGCCCAGATAGCCTGGGGTGACTTAGAAAATTCTGCTCATTGCTCTTAGAATGTTTAATGGGGGCCAAGAACTGGAATAAATTCTTTGTAAAATTTAGCTCATTTAATCTTCACAACCACCCTGTAAAGTAGAAACTATTCCAATCTCCATTTTCCGGTCATGAAAGCAGATGTAATATTGAGAGGTGAAGCCAGCTGGACTTCCTGGGTCGAGTGGGGACTTGGAGAACTTTTCTGTCTTACAAGAGGATTGTAAAATGCACCAATCAGCACTCTGTAGCTAGGATTGTAAAACGCACCAATCAGCGTTCTGTAGCTAAGATTGTAAAACGCACCAATCAGCATTCTGCAGCTAGCAAGAGGTTTGTAAAATGCACCAATTAGCACTCTGTAGCTAGGAATGTAAAACACACCAATCAGTGCTCTGTAGTTAGCAAGAGGATTGTAAAATGCACCAAACTGCGCTCTGTAAAATGCACCAATCAGTGCTCTGTAAAATGCACCAATCAGCAGGAGTCTAAAAGTAGCCAATCGCAGGGAGGATTGAAAAAAGGCACTCTGATAGGACAAAAATGGAACATGGGAGGGGACAAATAAGGGAATAAAAGCTGGCCACCCCCAAGCCAGCAGAGGCATCCCACTGGGGTTTGCTTCCACCTGTGGAAGCTTTGTTTTCACTCTTACTGCTCCTTACTCTTTGGGTCTGTGCCATTTTTAAGAGTTGTAACACCGCAAAGGTCCGTGGCTCCATTCTTGAAGTCAGTGAGACCATGAACCCACTGGAAGGAACCAACTCCGGACACAATATGACTATATAATTCTACCATGGGTAGAATAAGCAAGTAGAGCAAGACATAAGCAGTAGAGCCAGTTTTTGTAGTCAGGCTTTCTAAACACTGCAGGTGTATAGATATAGCTGATGAAGAGAAGCTCTTTGCAAAATATTGACCACATTCATTTATTTTTATAATGTCAATGTATTATTGATAGCATTAAAAATGTTACAGAAGGCAATGGACACATTGTACTGATGTGATATTAAGAAACATTGCTAGCTATGGCACCAAAATTTATGTGACATAAGGAAATTATAATACCTAACACATATTAGTTTTCTCTTCCCTGGTTCTAACTAGCAAGTGCCAGGAGGCAGGCTGGGTTAGACAGCGTGACCAAGAGTAAACTTTGGATGGTCCAGGATAAAATTATAACATAGGTGGTTTGTCGTTGCTTGTGTTTATTTAATGTTCTCTCGCTTTCCTTGTCTAGCCAAGATCCCATGCTATGTTGACTTGTCATCTCCAGAAATGTCTTCACACTTGGAAGTTCCCTTAAAAAGCCCTTAAAATTTACCTCCTCTAGGACTTACTAGTTCCAATTTTTTCAATATTAATACACATATGAATCATCTGGGGATCTTGCCCAAAAGCGGACTTCTGTAGGTACAGGGTAAGGCCAAGGACTCTGCACTTCTTGTAATTATACTTCTGGGTGATACTGACGCTGCAGTTCCATGCACCACACTTTCCACAGTGAGGCACGCAAGAACATTTAGAACTGCACATTTTAAACAGAATTGTAATATGTTAGGTTGGTAATAGATGTTAGAAGAGTTAGGCAAACAAGATTTAATTTTGAATGCTTGGAAACTAAGACCTTGAACAAATATGAGAAAGAAATGAGAATACATTTGGAAAACTCTTTTTGAATCTTTCAAATTTCTTTGGGTTATGTTCTTTCTTCCTTCAAAAGTAAATCTTTCCTTTCTCAGGAGTTTTCCTCACAAATTTAACAGGAAATAAAAACCTTTCAAGAAAGTCTCTTTGCCTCTACACATCTGAATATTCTCTGTAGAAAACGATGCAACCTGTTTTTTTGCAAAATTCCGTTATTTAAAAAAAAAAGTCTGAATAACTCTACGTTACCTGAATTCAATTATATAATCTATTGGAAACATAAAGTGGTCCTCTTTTGAAGAATTATTATATTTACTAATTTATTCAGATTTCTTCAATTGAATGAATCAATAGTATTCTCTGCTCATATGGTATTACTGAAACAACTACATAGAAAAAAATAGCAGGGCCGGGTGCGGTGGCTCAGGCCTGTAATCCTAGCACTTCTGGAGGGTGAGGCGGGCGGATCACTTGAGGTTAGGGGTTCGAGACCGGCCTGGCCAACATGGTAAAACCCTGTCTCTACTAAAAATTACAAAAATTTAGCTAGCCATGGTGGCGGGCACCTGTAATCCCAGCTACTCTGGAGGCTGATGCAGGAGAATTGCTTAAACCTGGGAGGCTGATGTTGCAGTGGGCCAAGATCCTGCCATTGCACTCCCACCTGGGTGACAGAGCCAGACTCCATCTTAAAAAAAAAAAAAAAAAAAGATGTTTCCCTTTGGGAGTAAATGGCCATTGATGTTACATTAGAAATATAATAGCTCCAAAGAATGTTCACCTTTGCCACTCTTTGGAGCGTGTGTGATATCTCCAATAGAAATTAAAGAACTGGCTTCACTTTTTTGTTTGTTTGGGTTTTTCTTGAGAAAGGGTTTTGCTCTGTCCCCCAAGCTGGAGTGCAGTGGAACGAACAGGGCTCACTGCAGCCTTGACCTCCTAAGTTCAAGCGATCCTCCTGCCTTAACTTTCTGAGTAACTAGGACTACAGGAATACACCACCTATAGTCGGGTTTTCTAAACACTGCAGGTATGTAAGTATATACTGGTCAATTAAAAAAATTTTTTTTCCTTGTAGAGACCAGGTCTTGACATGCTGCCCTGGTTGGTCTCCAATTCCTGGCCTCAAGCATTCCTCCCACTTTGGCCTCCCAAAGTGCTAGGATTACAGGCATGAGCCACCACGCCTGGCCTGAGAACTTGCTTTATTTTAGCCAAAATTATTTTATCACTTCTTTCCCTTCTCACAGGTTCTAGCTCTTATCTTCTTGTACCCCTTCCCTGCCGCAATATATTATCTTACGCAAAGCAAGTAAACTTTCAGTTTCCTATTCCCATTACTCTATTTAGCAAACCTAGGACCTTCCTTAGGACCCAGCATCCTCACAAGGCAGGGTGGGGTTGTAAATAGCCCCCAGTTTTTGCTGTGTCATAAATTATTTTATTCCTTGTTACATTAGCAAAACAGACATTTCAATGTGAATCCTCCCCGTTGATAAGCTTAAATTAAGAATATAAAGTACAACACTGTAAAACCTTTGCCCTGATGTTAAAAGCCTTTCAGAAGGTTTTTGAAATCCCTATTTCCCACTTGATCTGGGTTCCTCTTCACCCTGTGAGACACTCCAGCTGCATTGAACTGCCAGTGTTCCCAATCAGCTGTGCTCTGTTAAACATCCACATTTTAGAAAAGCATGCTTAATTTTTCACTAAATGATAATTATTTCCCCAGCATTTAATGTATTACTCATTCTCTCCACATCAAGGACCTTGTAAACAAATTCAGAGCATTATCTGTAGGTTCTTTTAAGATCATCTTTAAATAATTTTCAAGGTGGGATGCGGGGAGTGTCAGCAAGGCTTCTCTCATTAAAAAACCTTAAAATCTCCATTTGTCCCTGTCAAAGCCTGAATTGGAAGCAGGGTCAGCATTAGGGTGAGACAAGAGATGCAGGGTTGTGCAAGTGCAGGGTTGTTAAAAAGGAAAAAAATTGAAATTGCTTAAGAAAGTCATTGCTTTTGAGGGGTAATAGCAGGTGTACTTCCCTAAGTACAATAGCAAATCTTTCAAAGAAAATTTCTATCCTATTTTTCCTTGAAAATAACCATATTGAATACAGTTATAGAACTGTATTTTATTTATTTGTATGTGCTACAATTTGGTGCATGCAGCAACCACAGTTCCTTAAATTTTTGGCCATTGTTTTCAGGACTCAAAATAGCTCAGCATTCCATTCTATAAGGCCCATGTTTCTTTCCCATGGTACAGTATGAGTACTTTTTAAAGTAGGTGAACATAAAATAAAAGTTTGCTAGTTGTAGTGCATATGAACAAAATAACCACATGGGTTTTATGGCACATGTTCTAAAAAGATAAAGATATAATGGAGAGATATCTCATTCAAACAGGTTAACATTATAAACAGTGCAAGTGAGGGCCATAGAAGCAAAGTAACATAGTAAAATTAACAAATATAAAAACCTAAGCTGAAAGAGGAGGTATGGAGATTTTTTAAATAGTCCTGAAAGATAATAGAGATTGCTCATAATTTGAAGTAGACATAATTCAGGATTTGAAATAAATCATCTAAAATTTTAAACATGTCATATTGTTTAAATCATTCTCTGTCCTATAGGAATGACGGTAATAACTTGACTATGTACTTTGTAGTGTCCTGAAAATAGTATGCTCAGTTAAGTTTATAAATTGCAAAATAACCATCTCTTTAAAGTGGAACAGCATTCATCAGGGAATTGTTCACTTATGAAGAGGTCATCCAGACCTGGAGACAAGCTACTTTTTTGGTGAATAGAATATATTGCCATTGCTACTATTTATCCTCCTTGTTTTCAGGAATGCTTCACTACTTATTCTCATTATGATAAACTCTATCTCAGGCTTTTAGGTATCATTTAAAACCCACTTGTGTGGGGAGGTTCTATCACTCTCCAAATAACTTTGCAGGGCCCAAGGCTATAAATATGAATATATTTATACAAACCTATTTTGTTATAATAGGGCCTTGGGCCTACTATACAAACCTATTTTGTTTAAGGCTATAAATATGAATGTATTTATATAAACCTGTTTTGTTATAATAGAGCCCAAGGCCCTATTATAACAAAATAGGTATGTTATAAAACTATTATAACAAAATAGGTATGTCATAGAACTATTATAACAAAATAGGTTTGTATAAATATATTACAGGACAATTATTTACCATTATTACAGGAAAATTATTTCTCATCTGTATATCCAATAATTACACAAAATGGTTGTGTTTTGAAGTTGGAGAACAACCACATTCTAAAAAGGCACAGAGCAAAAAAGAAAATAAGCTCATATTTTACTATACGAAAAAGGTAAACAAAGAAGTGGTTGAAAAATCCATGTTCTATTTAAAGTCCTCTCATTCCAGAATTATAGAATATAATTGATTTTATGTGATTATCAAGTATAAGCTCTTGGAAATTTTATGATGTAAAAATAGAGGCAAAGCTGTACTCATTAATAAAATAAAACATTTGATTAGCATATATTGATAAAATAAAATATTCATGATTGTAGTTTATTTTTTGTTGAATTTATTAATAATCTTTATATATATTTATATATGTATGGCTTTGAGCAAAGACAAAAGAAATACTCTAACTCATCCCTGATCATACAGTTGTTGTAAGAATCAGCTATTCTATTATCTTTCCAGCAGCAGAAAGACCAATGAATAATACATTTCTTTCTGTACAGATTAAAACTCCATACATACGGGCTTCACTATGTACAGAGAAAAGAGGTCACTTTTCAACTAGCAATGGACCTTTATATTACAGGAATGTGAGTCATTTTTTTTTCTTAATCTAAGTATATATACATTCATACATATATGTATATAATTTACCCTGTACCTTTTTATTAGTTTAATATATAAACCTTAGTTTTTTTGTCCATTCTATTACAAAGTGAATAAAAATTGTATGGTTGCACTGAAAGACCATGCATTTCAATTTTGCTTATGTTTCCCAATAGTGCTCAAAATAAAAAACCAAAAATTTATATATATAAAAATATTTCACTACCAAATCCATTAATCCTATCAAATGTAAACCTTTAATAATTTAAAGGACCAATACGTAATCTTAATAAATTGAAGTTAATTCTCATATTTTAATAAAATAAAGGAGTTTTGTACTGATATGTAAATGGTCTTGCAGCTTTCCCATAGGTTCTAGGTAGACTGAACAATCCCTTTCTTACAACAGTATTCCTGACATGCCATCATATGTCACCAGCATATTGATGATTACATTACATCGACTAGCAGTTAATTACTTCCACACCAGTTGGGATTTGTTTGAAATTAAACATAACAACTCATTTTGGTATTATAGGTATTATATCCACAAAAGGCATAACAGGCAGCAAGGATCCACTTTAGAGTTTCTGCTTTTGTTTTTGTTTTCTGTCCTCAAGTCTATCTGCAGGCCCTGTCCCACATAATGTGTGATCTCTGTATGTTCTTAAATGTATTGCCAGTGCCAGAGATACTGAAGACCTCCACTTTAAGTCATGCTCTTAACTTGGGTTATTTACCGCAGCCAGTTGTTAGGAATCTTTCAATTGTGTTCCAGTCATACTCCACATGTGTGGGATGCATTAGGCACAAATGATTACTAAGGGAGTTCTTTGAGAAGAAGCAGGTGCTCACAGATCATGTAAAGAGTTAAGAAAACAGACAGACAATGCTCATAGACGTTCAACTTTACCCCTGCTTTCTGTCACCATGTCTGTACTATTTTCAACACATTAAAAATGACAAACCTCCTATCTAAGGGCTACGTTAGTCACCACATGCCTTAAAGTTTACTAACCATTTAGTTACAATATACATAGAGCAAAATGTGTGTTCCCAAACAGACGTGATGCTGTATTGAATTTATTTCTTTAAATTAATACCATAGTAAATTACCAGCTACAGTGAAGACACAGACAACACTTAACTCCAAATCAAGCTGTGGTTTACAAATAATTATTTAAATAATAATAGCAATAATATTAAATAAAAGTGAAAACCTCACTTCTAGACTTAAGTCAGAGATCCAAGTCAGCCTTATAGGAATTATAAGATAGGCAATTAATGAATTGTTATGCTTTTCTAGAAACGAGAAATACTGTAAGCCTTTCTCTACAATGACTGATTTGAACCTATTTTTTTTTCCCCAGAAGCATGCAGGGACTATTTTCAGATGCTTGATTATGGCAAGAAGAAAGAAAAGTAACGATTTTTGGTGTAATACAAGCAATTTGTAGATTCGAGCATACAATTTTGCATAAAACATTGCAGGTTAAAATAATATTGTAGGTTTCAAGCCATTGCATTACAATTGAATAATTCTCACAATCAGGTTTTGTAAAATTTAAAACTCTAAGTTTTGAAGTGAAGCAATAAAACTAAATTCTTAAACAATGACTTTTACCTTCATACAACACAGAATAGCTATTTTTATTTGGGTTGAAAAAGTTATTTACAACTAACATTGATCGAGTCTTGGTAAAAGTCCGATAACACATGAAGACAAATATTAATTTTCCCTCAGCTTTCTGAAAGATCAATGAACATGTTTGAGGTTAGTGATATTCTTAACAAACAGTGGCAATGCTAGTCTCCTACGGTGGCCAAGCAAGTAGTGCATTCTTTAACCTAATTTGAAATTGAAAGCACCGAAATACAATTTAGATCTATAAAATGGGATTTGTTATTTAATTCTCCACCATTAATGATTAACAATTTAGATGCAGAGACACAGCTAATGAAAGAAAGTTTTGATTGGTGCTATTTACTAGTTCATTTGAGTTGCCTTTTTAAAATCAGTTTTGTTTCCATTGAATCCAAGAACTCTTCATAAAATAGAGAAATATACATATCAAAGGACTTAAGTAAAAGTAGGTTAGAAATAAATAATCTTACAACGACATTTTAAATCCTTTAATGATTTAAAGAAAGGAAGACATATAACACTGAATGCTAAACAGGTCTTTTGACCCTCTCTTGGGAATTTAGATATATATTTTATAGTATATGTATATATATTTTTACATTTCACGTGTAGGCCACAGCTGTCTAAAATATCTCTTCATAGTAGGCTAGAGGGATCTATCAGGAGATAGAATAAAATAAGATCTGAGTATAGTCTCAGTTTATGAGAGTATTTCTTTCTGCTTTGACAATCAGCAGGGATCATAAATTTGAAGCAAATCGTGGCTTTTCTGCGTCTGGGTCTGTGTTTAAGACTGAGGAAGATTCTCTTGGAAGAGCAGCTGCTGGTGGAGGGGGTGCTGGAGGGACTCCTCGGTTCGGGGGGATGGCTCCCGACGACATCTGTCGGAAGAGGGTGACGCGCTGCGGGACAGTGCTCCTGCCCCCTGCCTGAAGGCCCGTTCCGGGGACCGCCGTCACGGGTTGAGGGATGGAGGCCAGGGACTCGCCCACAGTGGGATGAGGTCTGGAAATCAGAGTGGACACCTCATGGGGCAGCGAGGGCTGCGAGGCGGAGAGTGGCCTGACTTCCCGGGTCAGGTTGGTGTTGTGAAGCGCCTGCGTGCTCTTGTGCACTTCATTTTTCGGCGTGGAGCTGCCAGGTGTCTGTGGCTGCGGGGACGGCTGCTGTGGCTGAGTCTGCGGCGGCTGGGACTGCTGTACCTGCTGCTGCGGCTGCTGTTGCATGAGTGACAGCTGGGAGGCGGTGGGGGAGGCATAGTGGAAAGTTCGAGCGGCCAGAGGGCTCTGTACAGGAGGGCTGCAGACCGCGGTGGTGTAGGAGCAGGGTGACAGGATGGCTGATGGCTGGGGGGTCTGTGTGCTGGGACTGGGGGAGTGCAGGTTGCTGTGAGACAGGCTGGTCGCTGTGTACACCGGTGGAGATTGTGTCCTCATGCGGGAGGTCGGGGTCGTAGTAGACGATGTGGAATTCAGGGTTGTCATTTGAGGATAATTGATGGGAGCGATTGCCTGCACCATCTCCCTGTCATGTTTCACAATCTGCTTGAGGATTTCGTTCTCCTGATTGTTGAAAACACCAGTGTTCAGATCCTTCTGGAACTTTTGCAGAAGAATTGAATTTTTCTTTCCTGTCAGCAAAAGAAAGATAGGCACTTAGAAAGCCTACCAATGACTGATGACAACGCCAAGTGAGAGTGGCTCCTGCAAACAGAAGTATAGCTGTGCTTCACAGGAGAGGCTTAAAAAGCCAGTCACTCACCTTTACACACCAAATACCAATGTGGCTCCTACCTTTCACACTTCCTGTATTTCTCTGGGAACTCTTACCTTCTACTCAAGTTGAACGGCCTGTAATATGGCAAAGAGCCACTTTACAGAAGAAATGGAGATATTTAACATGAGGGCCACCTTGAAGAATGGGGGAAGAAAGGGCTTTTGGAATAGGATGGGCTTGGAATCAACATTTGATTTTAAAGTTACTTTTTCAAGAAAGGACCATGGAGACATAAGCGAGAACATTTGAACACGTACTATGTGATAAGCACTCTACAAAAGACCTTAGGTAGATGATTTTATGTAACCCGCGACCCTGTCAGATAGGTGTGTTCATAATCTCATTTTACCTGAAAGGAGATCAGGACATGAGAAGACTAAGAACAGTGCCCAGGAAAACAAAAAAAAAACATGGTTGGCAGGTAACAGGGCTGAGAAAGACCATATACACAAAAAAGTGATTGCACATCCTTGCTATGGAAAATGAACCAACTGCCCCTGTCTCATCTGTGTGCTTGCTAGAAACTCAGCCTCCTGGGCCTGACCCCACTTGCTGAATCAGATGTTGCATTTTACTAAGATCCCCAGGTGATTCCCAAATGCAAATCTGAGGAGGACTGTATCAGGTTTTGCTTTTGACCCAGTGTCTTACACCAGTCATTCTCAGTCCTAGTTGGATATTTTTCTTATCTCTGGAGCTTTAAAAAATACTAACATCCACTTGTTCCCTACCAATTAAATCTAAATAATCATACATGGGCTCTGAATTTCAGTAGTTTAAAAGCAAATTTCCCCAGGAAATTCTTTTTTTAAAATTTATTATTTATTTATTTTATTTTATTTATTTATTTTTTTGAGACGGAGTCTCGCTCTGATGCCCAGGCTGGAGTTGCAGTGGCACCATCCCAGCTCACTGCAAGCTCTGCCTCCCGGGTTCATGCCATTCTCCTGCCTTAGCCTCCTGAGTAGCTGGGACTACAGGTGCCCGCCACCGTGCCCGGTTAATTTTTTGTATTTTTAGTAGAGATGGGGTTTCACCATGTTAGCCAGGATGGTCTCCATCTCATGACCTTGTGATCCACCCGCCTCGGCCTCCCAAAGTGCTGGGATTACAGGCGTGAGCCACCACGCCCAGCTTCCCCAGGGAATTCTTAAATGCAGCCAAGACTGAGACTGACTTTATGATCTTTCCTCTTCTGAATGGTTGTTGTGAGGACCAAGGGCATAGTGCATTGCAGGCTCTCAGCTCCCTCTAAGACCTCAATAAATTTTACCTTTTCCTGCCATCATCTTCTGAGTGGTTTGCAATACAGCTTTTCCTGCCATCATCTTCTGAGTGGTTTGCAATACTAGACAGTCTCTGGCATAATAATTATTAGAATGAATAGTGGATTGGTGAAAGAAGGGGAAAGTAGTGACTTTTCTATGGCATCATTGATACACTAATCTCCAAGTGAATATGGTAACTGAAAAGTGAATCAATTTGCGATATTGCTAAATAAACTAACACATTAAAGGTAACAAAATATATTTTTGAAGATAAATATGTATTGTAATTTCATTGACTGCTAGGAATGCAATCATTTTAAATGACTGCCAAAATAGTTACCTCTCCCTACTTACAGACTGTCCTAATTTCCCAAAGAACAAAAACTCCTACATTAGTAATAAATATAAATGCTTATTTAGCATATTTGCTTAACTAACTGCAGCATACATCTATATGCAATGGCCACAAAACCGAGAAGCATAATGTTTCTTTCTGATTATGTGAACAGTCAAAATATCTTAATCTAAGTATCTTTAACCTTGGGAAAAATAATGTAACTTTTAATACACTCTTACTATGTTATAAAGATCAAAAATTCAATTGCTTAGTGCCTATTAGAAATTGCATTGCCTGTATTGATTACGAACCATTTCATGTAAATATTGTTATAAAAATTAACTGCAGGCTGGGCGCGGTGGCTCATGCCTGTAATTCCAGCACTGTGGGAGGCTGAGATGGGTGGATCATGAGGTTAGGAGGTCAAGACCGTCCTGGCCAACATGGTGAAACCCCGTCTCTACTAAAAATACAAAATATTAGCAGGGCGTGGCAGTGCACACCTGCAGTCCCAGCTACTCAGGAGGCTGAGGCAGGAGAATTGCTTGAACCTGGGAGGCGGAGGCTGCAGTGAGCCGAGATCACACCACTGCACTCCAGCCTGGGCAACAGAGCAAGATTCTGTCTTAAAAAAAAAAAAAAATTAACTGCAATAAGTTAGATGAAAGTGAAGCTGTATCAGATTAACAGAAATTATCTAGTGAAATATCCTGATTTTAATGTTTTCTCTAAGGATGTCTAGCTGGTTTAGGAAGAAACTCATTGCTTAGAAATTAGTCTCTGTCTCTAACATAAACACTCACACACTACAAAGAGGGAAGTTATTTTCCAATTAAGTAAGGATGCCTTCAGGAGTGCCTACTTCTTTTGTGGGTATTGTCTCCCTGAATGAGTAGGTCTTGTTAAATCTCTAAGATTTCAATATGAATTTCTAATACGTTTGTTATATCTAATGATGATGTCCAAATACTGCCTTTACTTCTAATCTATTTTCAGATCTCTATGCAGTCTGCTGTCCTACTAATATAGAGAGAAAGGAAGATGTGAATGTGAAGTGCAGAAAAAAAGCCAACATAACAATTTATCAATCTGAAGTCCTTACCTTTAATAAGAATGAAGCAGTTGAGGTACCTCCTTGTTTATCACAAGTGATCCCAGCCCCATCTTTTTTGAGTTCATTTATTCCTTCCTCCCTTCCTACCTCTCTTCAACAAATATTCATTGTATACTAGGTACTGTGAATGTAATGGTGAATTAAACATGAGCTCTACATTGACAAATTTAGCATCTCTAGAGCCAGTAATAAAAGCAGTGCTGTGATGGGGGAGCTTCAGAGGCTATAGGAGAATGCATCCAAGGAACTGGGCTTAGTAGGGAGTGGGAGGTCAGAGAAGGTTTCTAGAGGGAGGTGATATCTAAACAGAGAGAGGAAGGTTGAGCAGAGTCGAGCTGACCAAAAAAAAGTAGAGAAGGGGAGGGTGGCAAAGAGGGTTTAGGTGTGGAAAATGAATGCATACTACCTTACAACATAATGTTCCAGGATATCTAGGAATGTTAACAGCAAGCCAATCCAAGCTAACTTTACTATGGCAATTATGCAAATCTTCAAACTAGCATAACTAATAAGGCCTAATGGTTGTATATATATATTTTTTTATTTGGTAGCAGAAAAGACTTTAAAATATGTTGATGTTTGCGAGGTAAAGCATCTATGTAGGGCATTACTATCAAGGCTTTTTTTTTCTGCTTGAGTCTATATTACAAACATTTTATTATGTCTCTGCTGAGATTAATTTAAATGTGCAAATTTTCAATTCCTAATATAAAGATAAAATGTAAAGTTGATCCAAAAATACAAAAAAAGTGATAAAACTTAGTTTGTAATATAGACTCATATATCATATTTTTAGTTCTATTTCAATGCTATCTAGAATTTTTATCATTGCTTTTTACCTGAAGATTCAAATTGTTTTGGCATCAGTCGGGAAATCAGTTTGTTTAGCTAGCAAAAATAGACATTAATAAATAAACCCAGAATACTTAGAAGAGATAGATAGGGACCCAGATCTCTCAAGAAATACGGCTACAGCTAATTGCTATTTCTACACAAATTAACAAGCAAGCTATAAACTGGCATGTGGGATTTTTTTTTTTTTTTTTTCTCTGAGACAAGGTTTCACTCTCTCTCCCAGACGGGAGTGCAGTGGTACCATCTTGGTTCAGGGCAACCTCCACCTCCCAGGCTCAAGAGATTCTCCTGCCTCAGCCTTCTGAGTGGCTGGGATTACAGGTGCACGCCACCACACCCGGCTAATTTTTGTATTTTTAGTAGAGACAGGGTTTCACCATGTTGGCCAGGCTGGTCTCGAACTCCTGACCTCAAATGATCCACCTGCCTTGGCCTCCCAAAGTGATGGGATTACAGGCATGAGTCACCACTCCCCACTGCATTTGGGACTTATAATTGCAAACCTGTATTATGCCAGGAGATTAAATTTTATATAAAGAAGGTAGAAAACTAGAGTACCTATTCGATCTAGTCGGTCAATGGCAACTGTCTCAAAGGCTCTCCTCATCATTGGATATTCCTCCAGGACCTCGTTGAAATTGTCCACGGAAAGTGAGTAAAGACGACAATATGTATCAGCTCGAACACTGGCAGTACGACGTCCTTTGGTCAGCAGGCAAATCTCTATAAAAACAAACAACAAAGAAGAATGACTTGTTTGATCATTTTCTTTTAAAAGCCATTAAGGCTTCCCACAACTTAAAACAAGTCTCATGGTGTGAAAAAACAATTATTAGCAGCATTTTCTATTATATCAGCAAATTCCTTCTGACAAAAATATCCGACTGCCAATACTCAATCTTAAAATAATGTTTTTTTGTTTTGTTTTGTTTTAAAAAAAAAAAAAACAGTTGAGAAGGCCAGGCGCAGTGGCTCACGCCTGTAATCCCAGCACTTTGGGAGGCCGAGGTGGGTGAATCACGAGGTCAAGAGATCGAGACCATCCTGGCTAACATGGTGAAACCCCGTCTCTACTAAAAATACAAAAATTAGCTGGGCTTGGTGGCAGGCGCCTGTAGTCCCAGCTACTCGGGAGGCTGAGGCAGGAGAATCACTTGAACCTGGGAGGCAGAGGTTGCAGTGAGCCGAGATTGTGCCACTGCACTCCAGCCTGGCGACAGAGTGAGACTCCGTCTCAAAAAAGACAACAACAACAACAAAAAAACATGGTTGAGACTTTTGGTTTAAATGCAAGGCTGAAACACAGTATACCTTATCCTTCCCACTCCAATCCTCTGAAATAAGAAATAAAGAAAAAAAACAAAAACAAAAGAGATGCAGAAAATGGAATAAAATGTCCACAAAGGAGTTGAAAAAAGAAAGGGGTGATGATTAGAAAGACGATTTTATGAATTCTGGAAGGCAGAAAGCAGATGGTATAATCTAGGCAGAAGCCAAAATGAGTCCAAACATTGGCTTAGAAAGTCCTATGATCAAACAAAGCTAGACCAGAGGTTTAGATATAGGCATGTCTAATGTAGTTTGTATATTCCCAATGAGATCAGTATGAAGAAAGTGATATTCCACATGTACAGAGGGACTCTCTATTTAAATGACTTTTAAGGGTAATTCCTTACTGAAATTTAGATTTCCAAAATATGGTAAACAAACATTTGCAAATTTGGATTTCATTATTGGCCAGCTGAAGCTATATAGCTATTAAGAGATAATTTTCCATTTTGTTTTCCAAAAATTATGATTTGAACTACTGTAGGCTTTGATTATTTTTAATTTGGAAATAATTTAAACATTTAGCTTCAAAATAACAAATTTGAAAAGAGAAATGATAGAAGTATTTCTAAAATTTAGTCACCTAACAAAAGGAAATAAATATAATATTAAATGTCTAAATTCACACTCGAGCTAATTTAAAGAAGTTCTATTTATGTTGACAAACACTGTGAATAAATCACGCTGTAGACACATGTACGTTCATTTGAATACAATCTGGTAAGAACAATGTCACATATATGCAAACTCTGAGAATACTAGAGAAGGACACGTGAACCAGTCTGGGAAGATAGAGAGGATTTTAGGAAATGTCACCTAAACCATCAATTATGCTGTTGTTCTTGTCAAGATTGAAAAGTAATGTTGTAAACCTGCTAAATAATATTGTGGGGTCTGTGTGTTTGTCTGAATGTTTTTGTGCCTGAATATGTGTGTGTGTCTGTGTAGGAAAATAAATCTATTTTGGTCAATTTTAAAGCAAATTACCATACCATGGAATTTACCTGCTACTGTAATATAAACAAGGTAATTAAAAGAAGCATTTTGAATACTACTCCAAAATTAAATTCCTGTGTCACTAAAGTACTAATGCCATATAATTATAATTTATGATTGCCACATTATGGCAAACAAAGCTAAGTGTTGGTTTCAAATCTTGTGTGGAATGCTAAATGAAAGAAGACAGACATGAGAAGCCACATACTGTGTGATTCCATTTATGTAAAATATTCAGAAAATACAAATCTGCAGAGACAGATAACAGATTAGTGGTTGCCTGAGGCAAAAGATGGAAAAGGGAATTAACAGTAAGTGGGCACAGGAATCTTATTTGGGTGATGAAAATGTTCTAAAACCTGATTTGTGGTGATGGTTTCATCACTTGGTAAATTTACTTAAAGATATTTGAATTCTACACTTTAATGAATTATATGTGTAAAATACGTTGCATTAAAGCTATACAAAGTGAAAAGAAAATTAGTTTTGTTTTTATTTTTTATCTTTATACTTATTATATTTTCATTTGAATTTATTTTTTCTGAACTCTTTCTCTTTACTCTGGAAACATTGTTTTGTCTCTTTTTCTAGGTCTTTCTCTTGTGTGTTGAATGTTTTCTTTTGGTAATCTATTGATGTCCAATCACATTTAAAGATAAAAAACTCTGGTAATGTTGCAGAATTTGTTAATTTAAAGTTTTTCATTAGGGTAAATAGGCGGGGAGCTTGTCCTCATATTTCTCTAAATACCAGAATGAGGAGGGCTTTACTCTAGGCCACTGACATCTCTCTTAACTGTCCTAGTTCTCCCTCTCATTCAATTGCTTTATGAACGAACCACTGACATTTCCCCCCACTATCCTCAGGTACATGGTTGGCTACAGACTATTCCGCAACATGGAGGGAGGGATGTCTCATACCTACCATCAGCATAAGTCACCCGCTTTCTGTTCTGTCTTCTGTGGTCCTGTTGTCTCTTAACTAAGAGCCTGTTTAGTATTCTTCCAGGATACCTGCTGTCTCCTTGGCTCCCGTTCTTTGTACGTATATTCCATGTTCCCTCTACTTTCCCTTCAAGGTTCATCAGTAACCACCAGCATACATTTAAATGCAGGCTACAGAATACCTGAATAGCACTGGTTTATCCAATACATTAATGTCATTATATTACAAAACAAAATTTGGGAGTAGGCAAGGCCAGCATTTGTTCAGCACTTCAATGATGCCAAGGCACTGTGCCCATAATACTTTTGTTTTCCTTGGCCTTCTTCTCATGATCACAAGTTGATAGCAACAACTACACACATTCATATACTCACACAACAGCATCCAAAGTTTGGGGAGACAGCAAAAGACTTTCTTCCTATATTTCTTTCTTTTTATTGTGAAGGCAAAAGTTGTACTACAGGTCCCTAACTTACTTTCTCTGGCATTTTATTATCAGAACTGCATCATGTGGCCAGCCTTAGCTGCAAGAAAGGATTTAAAACGGAATATTTGGTAAATCGGAATAAGGTAACTACTGTTAGTGATTGAGTTAGGTAAATACTGGTTTAATCCCTGAAGTAGTATATGATGCCAGCCATACAAGATTTTATTAACAAGAAAGGGCCATGGTTGCTGGCTATGGAACCAATGTTATCTGGCACTTCACTCATATCAAAAGTATTTTCTGTCTTCTAGAAACATGTCCCTTTGTCTCGTCTCCTGGTTGCTCCCAAATACAAATTCATGCATCAGGTTACTTTGTGGTTGAGTTTATATTTTATTCTTTTACTATTATTAATTGGGTCTCTGTAGAGGGATGAGATAAAGGCATGTCCTGGGAATCATCTTAAATAAGAAATGTATTTGTCTTATGCTTAGAAATTACTTGGAATTATTTTTACAAAGAGCATGTGTTTATATATTATTTTTAATTTTTAAAAACAAGTTTAAAAATTAGAAATAAGAATATAGCTATTCTCAGTATGCACAGTCATTTTACAGATATGTTAAAAACAGATTTACTGGAGCATAGATATAAGTTTAGTCAAATTTTTTCTAAACCATTATTTACAAATGATTTTCTGGCCTCTGTCATCTGATGATCTCATATAATGAATATATAACATATGTAGCATATGTTACATAGTATAGGTACACATTACTAAGTAATCATGGCTTGAATCAGTTAAATATTACCATTGGTAAGAAAATCTTCAAGGAGGATGCTTTTAAAATACTGTTTAAAGCCTACATGAAGAAATGTGTACGTGTGTTATGAGCTCTTAACCCAAAGGTTTTCTATGTTGCCATCTCAGTAAAACTTAGATGTTACTGTTCAGCAAATCTTACCTCTTCATTACATTTTGTTTAAAAAGATAATGTACTTATTTTACCTTTTGTAGTTTGTGGGATCAACACTGATATTCTAATTTGGTCTTTCTTGCCAGTTAATGAGGTAGAGTGCTGTTTGGGGCATTGTCTACAGCAGTAATGTCTGGTTTCCTGCTGATTCAGGTACACACACACACACACACACACACACACACACACACACACACAGACACAGTTGCTTGGGCTATTTTAGGGATTCTTTTTTTGGTATAGTATTGGCCTGGGGATTTAGAGTCCTGTGTTAGTCTCAGTCAACTTGCTCTTGTTTGTGAGAATTAGACACCCATTTATATTCTGTGGAGTTTATTTATCAGTGAAAAGTAAAACTCAATTATGTCTCTAGAGTTTTATTGTCCTTAACTCTGTAACTAACTTAGACTTCATTCAACATTTTATCTGTAAAGTCTCATTAATCTTTATATCTCCAGTGCCTACATGACAGATAGTAGGGGCTTAATGTTAGCTGACTTGAATAATTGAATCAAATAGCAACATGCTTAATGAAATAAATTATTTAATCACCTACAAAAATTCCCTTTGTATTTAATGTGACATATTCCCCTACGGAGCAACTAAGGGCTAAATATAGACTTGCACAACAAAGTCCCTTCAAAAGTTATATAAAGGACTTTGTTCATTACCAACTCAAAACTCATCAGCCATTACCTTGCTGCATGTCCTCAATAATTTCTTAGTGAGAAAAAGAACAACTGAAGGTTATTCATGAGAGGAGAAATAGTCATTAAGAAGTATGAAAAACACTTAAAATAATCTCTTCTTTTAAAGCCTCCATACTCTGTTTCTAGTATGAATAACAGAATTAAGAAATGGCACACCCTTAGCAACGAAAAAAGAGTAAACTTTCTGATCAAAGAGGCTTAGATTTCATGAATTGAATGTCCAGATTAATTTTCTCTTGATACAATATTAAGCTATTTTGAAAATCTACTTATTGAGTAAACACAGCCCTTTGTTAGGTGTTACAGAGTTTTGGTGTATTTGCCATATCTGTGTGTATATGTGTCTTTGGCGGGGATGGGGGGTGTTTAAATAAAGGATATATATAGAAAAAAATTAGTCATCTGTAGCTCATACTATCCTTTAGGTACCTTAGAAATTATGTATGTATTAGTTTATCACTATTTCATTTTATTTTATTCTACTGAATTTCTGTTTCCTAAATAATGGCTTTATCAACCTAGCTGGTTTAAGACATTTTAAAGACAGAAACCATATAGTTACCTTATAATATCCCTTATAGTGCCTGCTACATTGAGTTTCCAGCCCAGGCAAAATGATTTAAAAATGCTTATGCATACCCCAATTACAGTGAATAAACATAAAACCCACACTAAGTTATCTTCTTAAGTTTTGGATAATATTGGTTCACCTGTTAGGCATCTTCCCTTGGTCATAGAACTTGCCAAATGTTTTACGTACTTTCTTTGAGGAACATAACATATCTCTGAGGTTTTGTGCAATGTTTATAATAAAGAAAACTATCTGGAAGATTTGGTCATTTTTTTTTCAATGTAGACATGCCTTTACTCATCAGGAAGAAAATTAACCTGCTTATAGATATGCATGTTGATTTCATAAAGCAAATAAAGTTAAATACAAAATAAAATAAAATTGGACTCCCAAAGAACAGATTCAGTGCAGTTTACAGATGCAAGCTTTTTAAAGATTGTCTTGGCATACTTTCTAGAATCTGTCTGTTCCAGCCTTTCTGCTTTTTTCTTGTTTGTATACTCTCTGAGAGCTCAACTAAGAACTTCCCAGTGGTGTAATAACTGTTTTAAGAATCTTAGTGCAAATTTACTTGGGTAATAGGTCCCTTCATCTGGATGCGTATTTACATATTATAATAAATTGTAAAAGTAATGGGGACTTAGCGTATTAATTTTAATTCGGTAGAATTTTCCTGGTTTTCTTTATAGGGCGTTTATGAATGGCTAAGTAGTTATTTCACCTAGTTAAGATGAAAACTATTGGTAATGCATCCTGTATAGGAACATAGACAACTCTGTTTCCAATTTCAGTGTCAGAAAGAGTGTGGCCTGGGAGACTAGATTTGGCCTAGCACATTATTTGTATACCTTTAATAATCCTTAAGGTATGAGATATATCAACTTCTCAATGCTATTTTTGCTGGCATTAGTTAACCCTGATTATAAACATTTAAGTCCACCTGACATTACTGTCACCTACATAAACAGTCATTTTTATAAGGTAGGGCAAATGGCTTCAAACGTTTTGCAACTCAGAAATATTTTCCTGACCTCTAAAACTGAACTTGACATTGCTGTGACACAGAGCTAATCAGGAACTCATGACAGAAATTTCTAAAGTAATGTGCTTAACCTGAGCTTCTAGAATTTTGGGCAAAACTGTACTTAGCTTCTCATAGTAACCTAAACAAAAGCTGCTTCCTTCTTTAGTAACTGATACCATGAAATAAAAGTAATTCTCTGCTGTGCATCAAAATACTAATTTCCTATAAATTATTTAGATTTCTAATTCACTGTGTTATAATAACATGTAACAGAAAATATCACTTTTTTGCTTTCTTTTTGTCTTTGTAGACTTTCTGTATTTATATTAGTGAACTAGTAAAACACTGCCTCTGTATGGCACAGGAAATGATAACATCTGGCTTAAATCATTTTGCGTATCATGTTTGGCTGGTAGAAGTACTCTGGGTATCAAATAGATTTGAATAGAAATCGAAAGAAGTTTAGACTAGGAAAGAACATTAAATAGGTGCAAATTTTTTAGTATTTGATTGATTTCTTAGTACAGTACTTTAATGCATTTCACATTTTGTACAATCTTCTGAAAAAGAGATTGAATACAACAAATTTCTAAATATAGATATAAAGAAGGTATTATTCATGTATAGATTACATATTATAATATTCTAATAACCAGAATACCCAATTTTTCATTTTACTAAGGGTATAACTAGTCATTTCAACTCACATAGATACATTCCTAATTGCACAATTATTTGTGTCCTCTTCTACTACTCATGCCCTGTTATTTATGGTTATTTAGATCAAATAAAGTTATTGTTTTATCAAACAAATCTTAGCTCCAAGTTCAATCAAATCATCTCTCTTAAAACATATAAATTAGAGTGATCACGTGGGCCTCTGAATGTTGACCTAGTAGCAACTCTTCAGACAAGCTATGTGTTAGCAAAGTTATTCATTGACAAAGCTGTTATGTGGTTAACTAAAACAGTGCCTGTAAAAGAGTGCCTATAAAACAGTGCCTATAAAGAGTGCCACCACAAGCCTGGCACATTGTGGGTACTCGTAAAACATTAATTTCCTTCCTTTTTCCCCATTTCCTTGTATTCTAATTTTTCCTTATGATTTTGATGGTACCTGCTAGAAGCAAATAAAAGTAATGCTTCACACATCAAGTAGCTCTCCAAATTTGTGATATATAACTATCATCTTTCACCATCTCATAAACAATTTGTTCATAAACTAATCATACAAATTCCTTAGACTGTGTCTTGAGGAAGATGGTTTCACATCCACTAATACTCTTTCTTAATTGTCCCAGGGAAAATTTATCTTTGTGCTTCCTCTGTATCTTGATCATCTTGCATCTTAGTTCCTACATTATTGGACTTACTTGTTTATAATCTTTATACTAAACTATAAGGTCTTTAAAGGAAGTGCAATGATTGCTTTTGCAATGTCATCACTTACCAAACATTGTCATATATTATTTGTTTCAAGAAATATGGAATGTTGGGAGGCCGAGGGGGGCAGATCACTTGAGGTCAGGAGTTTAAGACCAGCCTGGCCAACATGGTGAAACCCTGTCTCTACTAAAAATACAAAAAATTAGTGGGTATGTTGGCAGGCGCCTGAAACTCCAGCTACTTGGGAGGCTGAGGCAGGAGAATCATTTGAAACCAAGATATGGAGGTTGCAGTGAGCTGAGATCGTGCCACTGCACTACAGCCTCGGTGATGGAGTGAGACTCTGTCTCAGAAAAAAAAAAAAAAGGAAATAAGTGAATCAATCAATAACTGAAAATGGCTTACATCAGATTAAAAATATTCTTCATAAAACAAGGTGCTCACATTTGAATACAATATACCAAATAGGCAAATCTTTTTGTGAAGCTTTGGCTCCAATTGACAGAAGTTATAATACAAAGCTCTCATCTGGTTCCTACTAATCATAAACATGTTTGTAACATGATTGTTTGATTTTGTTGTATATGTGAATTTTTGAAATTAAGGTTTACACTTTCTACTCCTTAACTTCTCTCCCTTTCCTCTTCTTTATCTGTGTCTTTCATTTCCATTGTAACTCCTTCAGCTTGCATAAAATCAGCTTTACATAATACTGTTGGTAAACTTATATAGAATATATATTTGTACTACTTGTCTTTGGCAAGTTAAAATACCTAATGGATATTACTGATATTACAGATATGTTACGTAGGTAGGAAACAATCTCAGGTAGCCGCGTGTTAGCCCATGTGACATAAACAGATTAAAGGGGTTCTGTTTTGTGATTGTAACAAAAATAACATAAAAATATCAAAGCTAAGAAGGGTAAAACCACAATTTTTCTGCTTCTATCTGTCTTTAAAAATTCACCAGACCATTCCAAATTGTCCCTTTCAATCTTTAAATCTAGCAGCACTCAAGTCGTCAAAAGTTAATCAAACACCTTGAATTATAAATGCCTTTAAAATGCAGCCAGCTTTTAAAAATTCATCAAATGATTTTTGGCTCTTAGGTACCTCCAATGTGTTTTTTGAAGTAATATCCTGACAGCTCTGTTTTCCTATGTGGCTTAATATGCTTCTAAAAAATGAAAAAAACACGTGGCAGAAACAATAGTCTCCATAGGCAATATATTCACCAGATATTTATGAGGCAAGTCTACTACAGCCTAAAAGGTTATTTGTCTCCAAAATATTTCCCTTGATGCTCTCTCTTTCTCACACACACACACACCACATGCACACATGATAAAATCAACATTTAAACATGCATTTCCTCTATTTGTTTAATGCAAAAATTCATTCATTCATTCAGAATGGATTCATTAGTGCAGTGTCACACTTTAATATGTATGGGAATCACCTGGGTTGTCTTACTGCAAAGCAGGTTAGGATTTAGTAAGTCTGGAGTGGGATGAAAGAATCTGCAATTCTAGCAAGGGATAAGTATTACCACTGATAAGCTTCTTTTGGGTAATGAGTTCATATAGCTGTCAGATTTATAATTTAAAAAGAGTTCCTCATTTAGAAGAAGTTGGAAAAAGTAAACAAAAGGAATGGAAATTAAAGATAACATGAATTCAAGTTAACCACCATTTTCCCTGCAACCTGTACCTTAGGCAATTGTGGAGAATACAAAATAAGTATATTTTGTATCCTTATCCTGACTGAAAGAGTCGAGAATTATAAATTCAAGCATAATATGAAAAAAGATTTGAGCATAATTCCAAGGCTAAATAACCTACTAGAGACTTTATGTAAATTCAAATAATATATCATTCATCATAGAGTAATTCTGTACATCATTGGTGACATGAAGGGTCTTGGTTAGACTTCAAAAAAGTGTAGAAACTACATTACACAAACTATGGGGATGAAGAGGACAAGAGAAAAGGAACAGGAGGGGAGAGGAGACATTAGAATGAAATAGTATCATGATACAGGTTCAAAGAAAGGTTTGGAAGCTAATTTTTATGAAATTTTGGAAGAGCAGCTTGACAGGATCATAAGTATTTGATTAGGCATAGAGAATATTTCTCCATGGGTAAGAAAGTTAGTCCTGGTCTACACTATTATTTTAGGGCTCTTCAGGAAAAACTTCGTGTGCAAAATATTATTTTAAGAAATTAACTTACATGGAATAGAGTGGAGAGTTCTAGCTCTCTACATATCTTGCCATTTATGGGAAAGATAGTTAGCCTCTCTTTCTCCAACAGGTAAATTTGTTCTCTCAAATCTTTTGCTTCATAATACAGGCATATTTATCTATAGTCAGTTTGCCAAATGAGCTGGAAGGGAAGTTTTTAGTAAAGAATTGTAAAGAAGTTTTGATAATAATTTTGGGGAATTGATTGATCTAAAGCTGTAGCACTGACAACAGAAGTAGTCTCTCTAAATAATCACTGTAAAATGAAACTTCAACAGAGCTTGAAAGGGGATGAGGCATCCATGATTTTGAACCTAAACATAAACAAAACAAAACAAAAAAACAATGCTAGGCTGTGTCTGTCCTAGGAGTGAATATAAGATAAAAGATTGTTTTGGGAACAAATAAAGCAAAACTTTTGCATAAAAAAACTAATTTCATGAAACTCTTTCTCACATTAAACCAGTTATTCTTTTATTAAAAAATGAAAGCAGTATTTGTGTGTGTGTGTTTTGTACAAATTGGAAAGCTTTTCTCATGTGACTTTAAAAATCTCTGATAACTGGTTCAACCAGGATTGATGCTTACTCCAAAGATGGTCATCTATAACTCAGGTAGCAGCCCATACAACGATCTGGCTGGAGAACTCTTTCGATGGGGATGCTTCAATCAGACTGTGACTAATAGAATTAATCATACCCATTGTTGGGGAGATTTAAAGTAAAGAATGAATAGCTAGAATAATCAGAGTGCATGAGTTGTGAGAATGATAAATCCCCAAAGTGGTGTTGGGCCACTGGCATCACTGTGGTTTCCTGATGGACAATCTCACTTGCCATAAAGTCTGCCTCTAATACTCCTGAGATAATTTCCCTTGCTTCTTTTCTTCCTGTGATCCCTTACAGTGCTTCTTTTCTTCCTGTGATCCCTTACAATGCACTCTATCATCAGTTAATCTGATCTTTACTTTGTGTCATCCCCCTGAGTGCCTGACTCATACACATCTCTACTCGTGACCTCTTTCAGGTCCAGAAGTTCATACCAGTCCATTTTGTTAAGAGCCTCTACCTTTTCTTTTATTTCCTTCACTCGATAGATTACAATGAGTTCTTCAAGTTCAGTATGTGAGTAGCCACAGAGAGGTCTTGAGGTAAGTAGAAAACTAATATCCTACCTATAAAGTTTTCATTTTCTACTTTTCAGTAATTTGAAGTATTCATAGAGGACGACTGGGAATCAATCTTTGTGCAAGATAACAGAAAAAATTTATTAGGCAAATAAAGAAATCCTATTACCACTGCCCAATCAAGAAAACATTCACACTTACAAATCAATCCTAACAGAGGTAAATATCTGTTGATTTTTTTCCCACTCCAAGAAACATAATTCTATATGACCACTAATGAGCAAATTGAAAGTAATAATTACAATCATAAAAATGCCACTGAGGTTTTGAGTTTAAAAAGTTTGTATGTAAGCTTAAGTATGGGTTGATAAGAAATACTAATCCACATGAATAATTAGTTACTTTAGTTAGTAGTATGTGTTAATTGATAGAGGTAGAATGCATATACATTAAAGCAATGATAATGATAAGAAAATATATTTTATAGAATGTTTTTTCCTTATATATCTTATTCAGAATGAGTTAAATTTGGAAAAGAGGCTTGTTTTGAACAGACGGGTTAGATCAGGAGTCCTATAACCAAATCCAACCATTGGCTTATTGAACTGCTTTTTTTAAATTAAGAAATGGATTTACATTTTTAAAGGTTTGTTAAAATAAAAGCAAAAATGAAAGATGGATATACAATCATATATGGCTTACAAAGCCTAAATATTAACTATCTGAACTTTTACAGAAAAACATTTGCCTACTCCTTGGTTACATACATTTTTTTCCTTACAAATAGATGTCCTTTATTGAATCTTAACTTAGGCAAATAAAATCTGGAAAGAACAGAAATCAGCAGACTAAAGATGTATAAGCCACTATTTAGCTTGTGACTTTAAGCAAAGTGAAGTGAGGAATTAGGTCAAACAGTCCAACAGGTTATCCAAACTACATATTATCTTTTATATTTAAAAAAGAAATTCTCTCTGACTCATTTGGTCAACATGATAAAAAGGACACCAGGAAATCCTCCCACCAAGGGGTCTGCCTTTCATCCAGGAGAAAAGACACACACTCATTGTTTCAAAGCTTAACTGAGGTGTGATACATCCTGTTGAAACCGTGTTCAAAGAAGCCTCATATAACCAGAAACTCAATAAACCAGTATTTTATTTCCATATTTGAGAAGGATAAGGATGAGAAATGACTTTCCAAAAAGATAAAAGTTACAAAAAAGCAGATTTTTCCTATATTTTGTTAATGTTTTATTGCAGAAAATTGTAAACACATAAAAGTAACAATATACTATATTACTAGAATACTAGTAGAAGAGTATAAATCTAACGAATTAGTAGAATAGTGTAACAAAATACCATAATAAAATCTCATATGTTCCTTGCTCAGATTAAACAATCATCAACTGATAGCTTGTTTCACTGGTACCTCATACATTTCCACCTAATTATTTTGAGAAAAATTGCAGACATATTATTTCAAAGATAAAATTTCAGTATGCATCACTAAAATATAAATATTCTTAAAATAAAAATGTCCATAATATCACCATAACACCCCCAAAATTAATAGTAATTTCTTAAAATTATCAAATACTTAGCTGGTATTAACATTTTTTAAGCAGGCACATATTTTGTAAAGAAGTTATTTGCAGGTCATGTCCCAACTCCCTCACTTTCCTGAGGAGTCTAAACAAAAACATCCTCTAGAACTATAACACTTAAAATAATTAAAAATAAGCTTTGAAACATGAAAGATATATAATTTATTATAATACCATATCAGGACAAGAAAATTCTACTCATGTATTTCAAGAAAGGATACTAGCCAATTTTTACAGCATCAACTAAAAACAAAAAAGAATTTTGCTGTTGTTGAGCACTAGCAAAATATAACTAAAATACTCTAGTCCTAGAATATTGATTTATCAAGCTGTATATTTACTTACTATTTTGCATCATCATCACTATCATAGCAGAAACTCCTAGACAGAAAGATGAAAGACAACTGGAATTTCGGAGGTCAAGTGAGAATGAAGGAAGACTTGAAAGAATCTCAGAAGAAAAACAAAATAAATGCAAAGAGAAATCATCTGAATGCTATTTGACTAATATTAACTTCTCCACTTGTGTTCCAATATATAAAACTGAATGAGACTTTCTAGACTAGGGTTTCTCAACCTCAGCCCTACTGACATTTTGGGCCAGATAATTTTTTGGTGTCTGGAGTTGTCCTGTGCATTGTAAAATGTTTAGCTTCATCTCCCTGGCCTCAATCTACTGGAAGCCAATAGCAAACTCCTCACACTGAAAGTACCACAATAAGGACTGACAGGAGTGCTCATGAGGACA
Source organism: Homo sapiens (assembly GCF_000001405.40). Lineage (NCBI taxonomy): Eukaryota > Metazoa > Chordata > Mammalia > Primates > Hominidae > Homo > Homo sapiens. The sequence goes on from NC_000005.10 coordinate 45,280,620, forward strand.
TATTTTTGGCCTCCTATCTTCATAAACTCTGCTCTAATAATCCAAGGTGCCAAACATGCTCATGCTTTGTGTCTTTGTACAACTTTTGGATCATATTTACAACAGAAGCTTAAAATTATGTTTTAGATATCAAAGCATCTATAAATAAACTTTTTGGGACATTTGCTTTAATTATGCAATCTTTTTTGGATACTCTTCTTGGAACGTTGTAAAGCAAATGCTAATCACTTTGTTCATGAGAGATAGCTATTTAAACACATTAAAAATGCTTTTCAAAAATTCCGTCTATTTTTCTTTTCCATTCAAGTGTCAGGTAACTCCAGTTGGTTTACCAGTTTAATTAACCAGGATAAAATAGATTTCTGCTAAAGAATCTGTGGCATTTAGATTCAGAGGCAAAAAAAAAAAATACAGAAAAATAAAATTTACATTACTGTTAATAAATAGTATCATGTGCAAATTGTTTATGACAGACAAAGTTTGATTCGGTTGGAGGTTTTTGTTAGTATGTTGATATGGTTTGGCTCTGTGTCCCCACCCAAATCTCATGTAGAAATGTAATCCTCAGTGTTGAAGAGGGGCCTGGTGGGAGGTAATTGGATCATGGGGGTGGATTTCCCCCTTGCTGTTGTCATGGTAATGAGTGAGTACTCAAGACTTCTGCTTGTTTAAACGTGTGTATTACTTCCCCCTTCTCTCTCTCTCTCTCCTGCTCCACCATGTATAGTATGTGCCTATTTCCTCTTCACCTTTCACTATGTTGTAAGTTTTCTGAGGCCTCCCCAGCCATGCTTCCTGTATAGCCATCAGAACTTTGAATCAATTAAATTTCTTTTCTTCATAAATTACCCAGTCTCAGGAAGTTTCTTATAGCAATGCAAGAACAGACTAATACATATGTGCAGACAAAAAAGTATTTGAGAGCATGCAGACAAAAAATATACAAGAGCTCTTCTCTTCTTTTTTTTTTTTTTTTTTTTTTTTTTTGAGACGGAGTCTCACTCTGTTGCCGGGCTGGAGTGCAGTGGCATGATCTCGGCTCACTGTAACCTCCGCTTCCTGGGTTCAAGCAATTATCCTGCCTCAGCCTCCTGAGCAGCTGGGACTACAGGTGCCCGCCACCACGCCCGGGGGCTAATTTTTTTTTGTATTTTAGTAGAGATGGGGTTTCACCATATTTGCCAGGATGGTCTTGATCTCCTGACCTCATGATCTGCCTGCCTCAGCCTCCCAGTGTTGGGATTACAGGTGTGAGCCACTGAGCCCTGCCAAGAGCTCTTCTTTTTGGCTAGCTATAGTATATGTTTAGTGGAATGTTAAAAGATTCACATACAAAGATATTCTTTCATATTGAGCCACACGTTTAAATTTTATTGACTTTTACACTGGTACAAAAGCACATAGATTATTTATTTTGGTAGAGAAAACTGAATAAAATATGCCCAATACTGTCACATAGGACTATCAAATATCATTAATAAATTTTGCAATATGTTTTCCACCATATAATGATATGTATATAAGTTTAATGGAAATTCCTTCAATATTTCTTTAGAACACCACTTAGTAAAGCATTGAAAACTACTTTGTAGTTACATTGACAATATTGTTTCATTTGTGCTCCATGTGTAAAAGAAATGGGCTTTAAAAATTGTTTTCCCAATATCAATGTAAAACATGTTGTTGTTACTGGCTTTCTTATATGTTATCTTGAGTAGAATGTTGCCACACAATATCTTGAAAATACATTGAAAAGTATTAATTCAAATTATGTGTAGTGAGTGGATTTAGGGTAAAGAAAGTTTGGGTCATAAAAACAATCATTCTGTAATTTGCTGTCTAGCTAGATATAGTACAAGAGTTTTCCTAGCCAAGGTAAAGACAATTCTTCCCCAAACTTGAATTAGTATCTCATGACCATTCACATTTGGATGCTACTGTCAGTGGAATAAATTTCAAATTCCTTAATCTGGCTTTCAAAACCATCCATAATCTGGTCCGATTTCATGTTTCCAACTAGTACTGTCTCTAATTACAATCTCAAATGCTCCATTTCAATTCAGCAAGCATCTACTTAGTTCCAGCTACGTGCTTCATTCTGTGTTATGGGAAATATACCCCGTAGGACTAACTAGTAATTCTTTCAATCAGCTCCAGTAATGCTCTTGGTCATTCTTTTCTTCAGTGTGTAGTGTGTATTTCTCTTTACAGAAACCCTATTCTTAAGGTCCTCTACATACCTAAATATCATCATTTATTGATTTAAATAAAATATTAGTTGAGTTGACATGTTTGTCTATTTTTTAATCTCTTCACTTAATGTGTAATCTTTTAAATCATCAGTAATAAAAATAAAATTAAGCTTTGTAAAGGTAATTACAAACTTGTACTGCATCCTCCATATCTGAACTGGGTCTAAGAAAGTTCCTACTTTCCCCAAATGAATGTGACTTTATGATGAACATTGCCATGGATGAAGATGAAAATATACTTTGATAGCATGTTCGAAATTATTAAAGAGAATAGTATAAAATGCACAAGTATTTTCTATCTTTAATCTTTATTATACTTGGGAAACCAACCTATGAAATACTATTCTTGATATAGGAACGGCCAAATATTTCATGACAAAGATGCCAAAAGCAATTACAACAAAAGCAAAAATTGACAAATGGGATCTAATTAAACTTAGGAGTTTCTGCACAGCAAAATAAACTATCAACAGAGTAAACAGACAACCTACAGAATGGGAGAAAATTTTTGCAAACTATGTAGCTGATAAGTCTAATATCCAGCACCTATAAGGAACTTAAACAAATTTACAAGAGAAAAACAAACAACACCATTAAAATGTGGGCAAAGGACATGAACAGACACTTTTCCAAAGAAGACATACATGCGGCCAACAATCATATGAAAAAAGCTCAATATCATTGATCATTAGAGAAATACAAATCAAAACCATAATGAGATACCATCTCACACTAGTCAGAATGTCTACCATTAAAAAGTAAAAAAATAACAGATGCAGGTGAGGTTGCAGAGAAAAGGAAACACTTATACACTGTTGGTTGGAGTGTAAATTAGTTCAACCATTGTGGAAAGCAGTACAGTGATTCCTCAAAGAGCTAAAAACAGAACTACCATTGGAACCAGCTATCCCATTACCGCATATACACCAAGAGGAATATAAATCATTCTACTATAAAGACACATGCATGCGTATGTTGATTGCAGCACTATGCACAATAGCAAAAATGTGGAGTCAACTTAAATGCCTATCAATGACAGATTGGATAAAGAAAATGCAGTATATAGACATCATAGAATACTATGCAGCCACAGAAAAGAATGAGATCCTGTCTTTTGTGGGAACACAGATGGAGCTGGAGGCCATTTCCCTTAGCAAACTAATGCAGGAACTGAAAACCAAATACGGCATGTTATCACTTATAAATGGAAGCTAAATGATGAGAACTCATGAACACAAAGAAGGGAACAGATACTGGGGCCTATTTGAGGATAGAGGGTAGGAGAGAGGAACAGAAAGGATAACAATTGGGTATTAGGCTTGGTACCTGGGTGATGAAATAATCTGCACAACCAATCCCCATGACATGAATTTACTTATGTAACAAACCTGCACAGGTGCCCCTGAAATGAAAATAAAAGTTAAAAAAATTGGCGCTCATTGAAAATGGAGAAGATTTTAATCTGTAACCCTGTAACCCCTTTCTTTCCTAACAAACATTTTTGAAATATCTTAGAGGTAAATGATTGCATTTATATAAATTGCAGTAAAGATGAAAAATAAGAGGAAATAAAACAAAAATATATTTAGTTAATAGCTAAGTAGGAGCAAAGTGATCCAATGCATAACTCCAAGGAGACTTAGCATCTGTGCACTGAAATGCTTGTTTTAACAAGTCCAACTGTGTTTTCTAACTATGTCAATCCTCTTTCCCTTGGCTAGTGCAGAATCCAGTTTATAGAATATATCAAACTTCAGCCTTCTTGCTGAGAGGAGCTGAATGCTGCTTTAATTTCCCAGCCGGGAGCTGGTATTTCAGCATGAACCAGGCATATTTAATTGTTGTGTAAATGTTAAGATCACAATGTAGGCCATATGGCAGTTTCTCTTTACAGAAGAAGAGAGACCTTCAAATCAAACTGTTAAGTCTGAGAACCATTTGAAGTCACAGTCATTAATTTGGAGATATGGACAAGAGATTTATTTCTCTTTTCTATGTGTTTCTTCCTCCTTCCTATGCACCATAAGAGAGATGGGTCTATTTAAAGTGGAAAAAACAATGTAGGTCAATTCTATTAAACTCTAAGTGGAACTTCCACAAGTTTCTATTTCATAATGGTGGGGGAAATGCTACTTTAAAATCAATTTTCTAAGTCCATATTAGGGTCATGCTTCACTTTGGAATGAGCTGGAGAGATTCCAGATCATCAGAAATGAGTTTCCTGAGGTGAAGGAGCAGAAGTAGCTCCATATAATTTTTTTCTTTAAAACAGGTCACATTTTCCTTCAATTTGCCATCTCCATCTCAACTTTTCTTTGACACACTACTATTCAATTTTTACAACTCAGCTCAGAAGTGAGGTGGGTACTCTTAGGGCCTTGAAGATTTTGTTTAGGCACAAGTGGGCCAATGCACATGGCTAATGCAAAGAATTGAACAATAAATCCAAAATATCTTTCTAAAATGTTATTCTCTGTGCTGGAAATACAATTTCACATCCTCTGCGGCCTTTTCTCATTTTCACTCTTCTTATATTATTATAGACGTCTCACTTGGAAGCTGGTGGGAACTAGGTGTATTCTTAGGTATTTCTGAGGTCCTATAGACTTAGACACTTTCGAAGCAATAAATCTCATTTGGATTTATTAAGGGTATTTCGCTTAAACATTTTTTACTGTATTCAGCCCTGAGTTATTAAAGGTATTTATATTTTGGCATCTTATTCATTTTCATGGTCCCTGAGAAAAATTTCAAGATTGTTATCTGAAAAATGTAGCCAAGATCAATCACCACCAGTTTCTGTCCTCTTCACGATTTCAGTGAAAAAAGATCTTGATTTAAAGATGTTCCTAATTGACTAATGATGGCAGGAATGTTGAATTTTGTTTTATTTTCTAGGACCATCCATACCCCCTTGCAGAACTGGAGGAAGTAGAGGTCTACATTTACACAAAAACATGGTAACTGTGACCATGAATGATTCAGAATGACCCAGGATTTGTTCTGCAGCACCTTATGATTATCTTATAAACAAATCATCAGATGTTTGCCATCAGTTCCTCATCTTCTCTGATAAACTTTCTTTATAGTTTGGGGAGACAAACACACACGGAAAATTTGTTTTTAAAGAACTTCAGAGTTAAGGAACTAAAAAAAAACTAAGTTTCTAAGATTCTCAGAAACTGGAAATTAACTTTTATTTAGATAATTCTGTTTCTCATTATATAGGAAAAAGTTGACAGATATAGGAGACAAGACATGGGAGTATTATTTTGTGTCTTCTCTCAGTGGCAAATCGATAATGATAATAATGTTATCTTTACCTACTTATATGGTTTAAAAATATATACCTTATTAGAAATTATAAGTGCAAACATTATATCCTTTCTGTTCTCCAAGTTATAATAGTACATGCACAACTATGAATATTATTATGTAAAAATGATTTCAGTATTTAAGAAGTACTAGACCAAAAATTTCCAGTTTCTTGAGGCTGGAAGCATTGGAGATTGCTCTGTAGTAACAAGTATCCTGTAAACTTCAAGAAAATAAGAACTTTTAACATATTTCAAATCTTTACAATAAGAGGATAAATGTGTACTGAATTAATAAGTCCACCACTGCATTGTAAAATGAATGCAATTAAGATTTTAAAGGCTATTTCTAAGAAGTGTCTGATGTGTTTTAGTCTTCATCTTTCTCACTCATGTCCAATCTGACTGTATTATTGTCAGCGACTATCAACTGACTTGTTAGTATTGAAAATATTAGACACATCTTTTGAGATTCTATTCATTTCTTTGGGGTACAACCACATATCCAAGCAAAGGGAACTACTTAGTGCATACCATTAAAACATTAAGATGTTGTTGTTGATGTGTTTCTCTTGTAACATATGGTATGAGGTACAAAGACAATTTTAAAATTACTTCTGGCATTTTAAATTTTCAAAGGACATCCCAATAATGTAAGTTTAATATACACTGAAAAATTGGTGATGAAACGCAATTTAAAGTGACTAAATGTTTTCTACTTTATTATTTTTTGCTGAACTGTTCTGACTGACAATTTTATTCTTCCCATGTAAGTAAATTCAGCCATGGAGAAGTGTCTCCATGGATAATAGATAGGTCAGAACAGTCATACTTAATTGAAGTATGCTTAGAATTATTAAATTCATATTATTTAGCAATAGGCTAGAAGGTATGCGTGTGTGTGTGTGTGTGTCTGTGTGTGTGTGTGTATGTGATGTGTTTTATAATTCAATAGAAGTGGGAAGAATTCTTATTTTCTGAAATGTTATAGAGTAACATTATTGGTAACAATGTTCAGAAAATTTACCTGTTACTGTAGGAAGAGCGGTTACCTGTGAGTGAAAGTCCCAGCCCTGTCACCACCAACCTCTAGGCTCATACATTTCTCAGGCTCCTCATTCGTATAAGAGGATTAGATAATGAATAAGCTCCCTCTAATTCTAAATTTACAAAAATGTTTATGAATAATTTAGTGTATGATAAATATATGCCTTCCATTTTACTTCTAAAGCATATGAGAAACATACCAAAAATGATAAAGATTATATATTCTTGTAGTTATTTTAATATAGCTGAGTTATGTAATACATATGGAATTACTTAGCACAATGCCTGGCACATTAAGAACTAGTTGTTTGAAGAGTTTGGATTTTACTAAATCCTAGAGTATGATTTCTTATGTGTGTGCTCACAATTCAATTTTGTTTATAGTGAGGAAATTAGAATTTTCAAAGTTGAGGTTATCTCTAGTTTTAAAAAGCTGTCATGATTATTTATTCCACCCTTACTTCCCCACCATCAGACACACACACACATTGATATAGAGTCATTTTCATTGCTATAGGATTAAGACTAACACATAGTCAGGAGAAATACAAATTGACAATTAGATCTCCAGTGTTGATTCACTTGACACGAGCCCTGAATCAATAATGCCCCAGTACTGTCTTTTACACGCATCTACTGCTTTATACTACACTGGCCCTTTCGCTTATGCTAATGCCTAACATCATGGCACAGACTGTGCCAGGTACTGCTCTAAGTATTTTAGAAATATTGGATCATTTCATCCTCTAAGCAAACCCTAGTGAGGTAGGAATTAACATTATTCCAGTTTTACAGGTTTGGAGATATTCTTGGGGAAGATCTGTGGCTTTCCCAAGGTCAAATAGCATCTCAGGGTGCAGCTGCATCACCTACACTCTTAACCAGTATCCTCTCATCTCCCACCACATTTCAAGGAGCTTCACAGTCCAAGGTCTGACAATTTCTACTTTATTTCACTATCCACGAAAAAAAGTGGCAGTTATTTTTTAACCACCGGAGCATGAATCATCACAAATCTCACCTACCTCCATTTCTTTTTAAATTGCTAAGTGCTTGGCCTTGAAAACACTCACAGTGATAATACTACAAATGAAATGCAGCCCTTCTTTAAAAATACTGTGAACTAGAATAGGCAAGAAGACATTTTGGATGTTTCATGCCAAACAACCTGGCAAAAAAGAATACACCCTTCAAGAGTCCCATTCTAACGGAATCATTGGTCTGAAAGGGGCTGTAGAAAGCGTCTGTCTTAATAATCTCATTTTACACATGATGATTCTGAGCCCCTGGGTGTTACACATGTTAGGTCCTATCTACGGAAAGAAAACTAGAACCTGGCTCTGTGGATGCTGAGCACACTGCCACATCATGCTGCCTCCTAATCCTTTTATAGTTTTGATTGTAAATATATAATTTAGTAAATTAATTTGCAATATTATAGAAAGAAAGAATCAGGCATTAAATCGTGCTTAGGTTCCCTAGACATAACTTGTAAGTTGCATGTGGTGCATAGTTTAGTAGGGAGAATCCTGGTACCATTGCACAGTTCTAGCAATTTGGACCTTTGGACTTGAAGGGAGGGTCTAAATTTAAGAGTAAGTAAAACCTGGGCATAGAATAAAAAGCTTCTGTTATTAGCACAGGGGGAAGGCCACATGGGAAAGGAGCAAGCTAGAGACAGAGTTGAAATGAGAACACAGTGAGAAACCAGCCATCTGTCCACCAGCAATGAAGCACACAAAGTAACCGCAGGACATCATTGCCTTCCAAATGAACCTATTCATGTAGCAGATTCCTAAGATCAGTCCTTTACTCATAAGCTGTGTTTTTGGGGGGCATTATACAATATAACCTTAAGAACATTTTAAACCTAAATACCTCACAATGATAAAAAGCCCATTATCTTTCCTATGGACATATTAACTATTCTTTAGTATAAAAATATGACTTAGAAACTGAAAGATTTTTAAATTGCTTCCAAATGTATACTTAATGCCTCACAATGTAACACTTATTATTCATACAGAAAGATGGTATTACTTCACCTTACTTTACTTTGGGCTGAGAACAGAGAATAAAAAAGGTGAGTGGAGAATGAAAGTATATTAAAAATAAAATTTTGTACCCTGGTTGCTTTCATGCAGTTGTACTTGCATACTTTGTTGAAGTGTGCCTTCTCAGAGACATTTATGTCACTTTTGTCTCCTAGACTCCACAGATACAATGGAGCATTATAATAATCCCTAAAGAAAGTAACACAACAGAATAATAGTTTGCACAACTTTATCCAAGGAACTCAAAGTACTTTATTAATGTTAGCTCATTAATCACACCAGAGTGTGGCAAAGGATGAATACATCTGCTGAAACAGGGCAAGAGCATCTTACTCAGCAAAGTTGTAGTGAGACTCAAAAGTCAAATGGGAGGCTGGAGAGCAAATATACAGGCACAGAAAAAGAAATGATGTCAAAGGAATCTTCTTATTCTATTCAGCACTGTATTAGTTCATTTAAAATGCGGTAACAAATTACTATAGAGTAGGTGGTTTATGGACAACAGAAATGTATTCTTACAGTTCTGGAGCCTCAAAGTTCAAGATCAGGGTGCCAGCATGGTCAGGTTCTGATGAGGGCCCTCTTCTAGGTTACATACTGCCTTCTTTGTATTCTCTCATGGTAGAAAAGAAGCTGGCTGGTTCTCTGCCTGTTTATATTGGGGCATGATATGGTTTGGCTGTGTCCCCACCCAAATCTCATCTTGAATTGTAGCTCCCATAATTCCCATGTCCTGTGGGAGGGACCTGGTGGGAGAAATCATGGAGGCAGTTTTTCCTGCACTGTTCTTGTGACAGTGAATAACTGTCACGAGATCTGATGGTTTTATAAAGGGCAGTTCCCCTGCACATGCTGTCTTGCCTGCCACCATGTAAGACATTCCCCCACTTCTCCTTTGCCTTCTACCATGACTGTGAGGACTCCCCAGCCATGTGGAGCTGTGAGTCCATTAAACCTCTCTTTCTTTATAAATTACCTAGTCTTGGGTATGTCTTAATTAGCAATGTGAGAATGGACAAATACAGGGCACTAATCCTATTCATCAGGGTTCCACCCTCATGACCTAATTACCTTCCAGAGGCCCCACCTCCAATGTCATCACATTTGAGACTACAGTTTCAACATATGAATTGTAGGGGACATAAACATTCAGTCCTTAAAAAGTACTAAGTAAGATATTACTGAAACACTAAGTCTAATTATTTGGTTTACATTTATGACTTCTGTTAAGAATTTGTAGGGAAAACAAAATAAATAAGACACTTTTGTGTTTAAAAATTGTAAAAAAAAGACACCATTTATTAGAAGAAAAGTTTGGGATTAGTTAATTTAATTTTATAAAACTTATTCAATTAAAGGTGGCTCCAAAAGTAGATCCAATGCTACCAATATTTACTCAGTAAAAATCATGTGTTAGTCATGATGCTGAGGGTGCAGATACAAACAGAAACATAACATGATCTTTTACAAGTCTACAGTATAATGGGAATGTTATAGTCTCATAGTTTCCATATATCTTTTATATAAATGCTGCAAATAATCATGAAGAAACAAAAGAGATGATGAGAAAATAAGGAAAAGACTATAAATAATATATGAAAGGAAAAAAGAATCTTAAAAGTACAGCTTTAATTTGGTTTCAAATGTCTTTCACTGAAATATAGGTTATTCTTGTCATAATAATGTAGGCATATACTCATTGTGTCCATCAGAAAGCTTGAAAATGCTTCATAAAACACAATGGCCTAAGTATTATTTGATTTTCTCACTATCACCATCTTTCATATTTTAATTTTTATTCAGCCACCGAGGTCATATCTTAGACTTTGTTATCACCAATAGCTTAACTAATTCCAAAACCTCTATACAGATCATTTCTTCTATTTCCAGCTTACTTTATTCTACTTCTCTACCTCCAATAACTTTTCTCTCTCATATGGACCTGTAGTTCATTAACTCTACTCTTTATTCACTGTTCACTACCTTCCCACATGAAGAGTTCTTGGTCTATCACTAAGATGATCACCTTATAAATATATCATGTTCTGTGTATGCCCACTCGTTCTGTTTTCTGGACACCACACCGAGCTCATCTTTTATAAATCTTTCAACCTATCTCTCTGGTTTAGCAAAGCTGGCATCCTTTTGCTCTTGGAACTGACCACCTCTGTTTTCACTTCAGGAGATTTGCACTTGTTATTCCCCATGCTGATAACGTTTCTCCCTCAGATTGTTACATGACTAGCTTTCTCTCTTTTTTATTTTATTTATTTTTTGAGACAGAGTTGCACTCTGTTGCCCAGGCTGGAGTGCAATGGTACAATCTTGGCTCGTTGCAACCTCCATCTCCTCAAGGGATCCTCCCACTTCAGGCCCCCCAAGTAGTTGTATGTGCTACCACATCCAGCTACTTTCTGATTTTTTGTAGAGACAGGGTCTCACTATGTTGCTCAGGCTTGTCTTGAACTCCTGGGATCAAGTGATCCTTTAGCCTTTGTACCCCAAAGTGCCGGGAATACAGGCACAAGCCACCACATCCAGTGCTGTCCCTTTTCATTAAGCTTTCTGCCCAAAATATTCTTTTATTAACTTGCTTTATTATTTTTTATGGCATCAAATATTATTTGAAATTATTTTATGTATACATTTGTTTATTGTTTATTTTATGTCCTTTCAATAGTGCATAATATCCATGAATGCTAGAATTTTATTTTATTCACTATTGCATGACACAAATTTAGAATACTATGTGGAATACAGTGTATTTTCAATATCCATTTGTTGAAGAAAAAAAAGGAAAGAAGAAAGGAATGTAATTTATTTGCCCCATTCCTGAAATAAATGAACACTCTTAGGGATATATTGGGCTTAACATGGAATAACAATTTTCATTTATACCATTCTAGATACAATTTCCTTGCAAATCTCCATTATCTTAATCTTACAATTGATAACTATTTTGTACAATATGCTGGGCACTAGTCAAATATGGCTATTAACATTTAATTCAATTTAAAATGATTATAATAAATAAAACCAAATACCCAGTTCCTCAGTCACACTAGCCACATTTTAAATGCTCAACTGCTATATATTGACAGTGGCTAGCTTTTTTAACCGTGTTAAATTTACAACATTTTCATCACAACAGAAAGTTCTGCTAGACATCATTCCTACAGATTCTATTGTTTTAGATTCTAGGACTATATTATCTGATCCCTAATAAAGTGAGATTAATTTGAAATTAGAAAACAATTTAAAAGGCATAAACTCTGAATTTCTCAGAAATCATCTGGTATGTTTCATTAAGTTTAGATTGTACTTTATCATTATCATATGTATAAATTTCCTATCTTCAAATAAAGAATGAGACTAACAAAATAATATTATTCTCAAAGAATGAGAATAATATTAAAGTGAATGGGATGCTTCACTACTTTTCTAAGTTTAGAGCTGGTGACAAAGAAGAAGAAATAAAGATTAAGAGCAGTGACAAAGAAAATATATCTATCCATTCATCCATCATTCTTCTACCCATCTACTCATTCTTTATAAATGTTCTTACTGAGTGTTGTTCACACACTGTGCTCTGGTTTTACATGTTTAAATTTGAAGAAATCATAGTGTTTAAACTCAGACAATTGATAAAGTAATATTTTAAATTTACATATGAAATAATAATTGAAATAATTCAATAATAGGCTAAATGCTATGAAAGCATAAAGAGAAAATCAGTTTACCTAACACCAGCACAAAGAGATGAAAACACATTTGAATGTATGTGTCTTTATAACAGAACAATTTACATTCCTTTGAGTATATACCCAGTAATGGGATTGCTGGGTTAAACGGTATTTCTGTCTTTAGGTCTTTGAGGAATTACAACACTGTCTTCCACAGTGATTGAACTACCATACACTGACATCAACAGTGTAAAACTGTTCCTTCTTCTCCACAACCTCACCAGTATCTATAATTTTTTGATATTTTAATAATAGCCATTCTGACTGGTTTGAGATGTTATCTCATTGTGGTTTTGATTTGCCTTTCTTTAATGATCAGTGATATTAGCCAGGCATGGTGGTATACACCTGTAGTCCCAGCTACTTGTGAGGCTTAGGCGGGAAGATCACTTAAGCCTAGAAGGTCAAGGCTGAGGTGAGCCTGGGTGACAGAGCAAGACATGGTCTACAAAAACAAAACAAAACAAAACAAAACAAAACAAAGCAAAAACCTCTTTAAATGTGGTCCTTTGTGAACTAGCACAGGAATATAGGAGGACCCAGGATTGTAATATGAACTTTTTAGGTTTCTCCTTCTTCCCCTCCTTCTCTTTTTCTATTTTATTAAAAAGAGAAAGACATTTTGACTTCAAAATAAAATGTCTTCTTAATGTTCATCCTAATTTTCCTAAGTATGTCAGATATTTGGCATTGATTCATTTATAAATGACTTTATAAAGACACAGAACTCTGAGGTGAGGATAAAGTGACTAGCATCTCTCTCACACAATGAGTTAGCAAAGCTTCAGCTTGTGATTGTGTATTATTTGACATTTCTAAGTCAGCCAAGACCTGACAAGAAAAGAAAAGATCTGACAGAGTTGTCTTACCAGCATGGACAAAATTACTTCATTTACCCTCACCTAAGAGGATAACGAATGAGGAAGGAAAAGAAAAATTAAAAAAAACTCCATAAGGAGATTAATCGTTCTTTCCTACGGCTGCCTCTTCTTCCTGCTCCTCATAAATGTAATAGAAAAAATTGAGCTAATCAAATTGTTAATTTGATTAACTATCAACAGTTTCCTTATGCCTTCTAGAAAACCAGCATGAGGTTAAACAAATATAATATAGAAGTAGAGTAAATTGCCAACTGCAGATTGGCAGATGTTTCAGTCCTCTTAGAGTTAACGAATAGTCACGGTGACCATGATTGCCTGTGGTTTTTTCGAATCGGTGTCTCTAAATTTAAAAATGTCAAATAATCATTATCTGCCCAAATGTATTTTGGTCATAAAAATCCTAAATACATACATTAACTCTGTAAAGTATCTGCCAGTCCCTTCACAGCTTGCGAAATGTCCATTATTAAAGCAGCATTTAACAACAGTCATGAAAAATATTTCCTTTCTCATGGGTTTGTTTCACATTATCATTCCATAAAAAGAACTTATGGGACAGACATTTTGAAAGAAAGAAAGTTAAGAGACTGAATCAATTAGAACACTTTGGCGTGGAAAGATAAATGATTGTTAAGAGGTGAATGAGTAAAGGAGATATTAATAATAATCAAATAAATTATATTAGAAAAACAAACTTTTCTTTAAAATCAAAGTATTGGTACAAAGGTATATTATTTGACATTTTAATATGGTTTGTTAATGGCATTTTACTTAGTGGATAATATATTTACAGTATGATTACCTTAATAGCATGGTCATATAAAACATATGAATAGATTACAAAACAGTTTAGTGAATTCCATGGAAATTAAATAAAAGGGCCATGGATAGATTTGAAGTGATATATTGGAGAATAATCATGCCCCTCTTAAGAGGCAGTGAGGTATTCTGGAAAGAACACAGGCTTCAAGTTCAGAAACAAACTGAGTTTGAAACCTGGGTTTCTCCCTTCTCAAGTCCATGGCCTTGGCCAGCTTGTTTAACTGCTTTGAGACTCATTTTCCTCATATTTAAAAGAGGATGATGAGATTATAAAATCTAACTCAAAGGAGGAGTTAAGCAGGAGTCCAGACACTCCTTTTGCTACAATCAAAACCATCACTCCTTGAGCACCCCAACACTCACCACAACCCCAACACTCACTCACCACCCAACTGGCCTAAGCTATGTAGACAAATCTCCTTAAGCTCTTTATGCCCATTCACCATCACTCTCAATGGGAAGCCTAGAACTCCCAGGTAATCCACATGCCTGGATTCTAACTCCAATATGGTTGTCACCTTTTTGTAACGTGGCTTAATATTTTTAGTAATTTCCAGGTTTCTTTATTAAATTCTTCTTTATAAAATATAACCACCCACTAAAATATAAGTTCCATAAGTATGAGTGGCATGGTACTTTTTGCTCACTGCTCTATCCCCAGGCCTTATGAATGTGTCTCACACTTATATTTGGTTCATTTCCTCATACTCTTTCTGCTACAACACTACGTAAGACCTCTGCTAAGAAGACTGGATGAGGTGGTGCATGAGTCACATGCCTCACCAAAAAGTAAAACAAAATATCTGAAGTTAAAAAATTATACTGATCTAGAAACATACTCCTGCATTATTGTAGATATAAATCAAGTTATGCACAGAATTCAAAACTTTTGAGTTTGATCTTTCTTTAAATAAGTCTCCTTAGCTTACTATTCTGCCCTCCATTTTGTTGGGGTTTAATGTTTGGTGAACTGATTATGTTTATTTAGTTAGATATATTAGAAGAGTGAAAAGAGCATTCCTCAGCTAATGTCTGGTTCTTCTGCTTAACAATACTATGAACTTGTCATGCTCAACTTATACAAATACAAAACTAGTATAGTATAAAATTTGGTGTTATTGATGTCAAGATTTCATATTAGATAATGAAATAGGCAGGGATTGTATAATATGTATAGCTTATTAAATAAGTACATGTTATTAGATTTTAACTGCCTTACATTATCTTCTTTGATGTCTAAAACTGCATGTTGATATTCAAAGTAATGTAAACTTATTTTTTCTGTAAACTGCCCATAAAAGGCTTGTGCTTCTGGTACCCTTGAGGTCCACCAGTAGCCACCCCATGTCATCATAGTGAAAATATGAATGAGATTAAAAGCTCTGAATGGAAACAAAATAGTATTTTACATACTTTCTTACTCAAGTGAGTTGGGTTAAACAAATAACAATGGAAGAATATTATTTTTCTCATTTTTACATGGAACATTTATCAAGAGTTAGGGCTATAAAACACACCTCAGCAAATAGAAAATAATGAGAATCATACAAGGTAAAATTTCAGATCACAATGAACTAAACTAGAAACCAACAATAGAAAGACAGATAGAAAATCCCTATATATTTATCACACTGAAAAACCATATGGGACAAGGAAAAAGTCTCAGATAATATTAAAAAAATGAAAGAAAATTAAAATATGACACCAAATTTGTATGAGGCAGAAAATGAAGTTCTTAGAGAGGAATTTATACTACATAGTATTAGATAAATATATTAGAATAGAAGAAAGATTGAAAAATCAGTATTCTAAGCTTCCATCTTAGCAAAATAGACTAAAGAAAGCAATTTAAGCTCAAAGCACAACGACTAAGAATACCATAAAAATTATGATAGAAATCAATAAAAATGAAAACAGGAAACAATGAAATGCAACTGTAGCTCTTGGAAAATATATTTTTTAAGATTCTCTAGGAAGACTGACCAAGAAAAAAGAACGTAAACATTATCAACATCAAAAATGAAAGAGGGGTCATCACTATTGATCCTGGGGACCCTAAAAGAGAATGATTCAAGCAAACTACAGAGAACTCAGTGTCCATAAATTTAATTTAGATGCAGTGGAGCAATTCCTGGAAAGTACAAACTAATAAAATTCACATAATGAGAACTATCTAACCTAAATAACTTTATATCCACAAGGAAATTGGATCAATTTGCTGAGACCAGCTCGGTCAGGGAAACCCTAACCCAGTGGAGCTAGAAGAATTAAAGACACACACACAGAAATATAGAGGTGTGATGTGGGAAATCAGAGGTCTCACAGCCTTCAGAGCTGAGAGCCCCAAACAGAGATTTACCCACATATTTATTAACAGCAAACCTGTCATTAGCATTGTTTCTATAGATATTAAATTAACTAAAAGTATCTCTTATGGGAAACGAAGAGATGGGCTGAATTAAAGGAATACGTTGGGCTAGTTAACTGCAGCAGGGACACACCCTTAAGACACAGATCGCTCATGCTATTGTTTGTGGCTTAAGAATGCCTTTAGGCGGTTTCCACCCTGGGCGGGCCAGGTGTTCCTTGTCCTCATTCCCATAAACCCACACACTTCCAGCTTGGGCATTAGGGCCATTATGAACATGTTACAGTGCTGCAGAGATTTCGTTTATGGCCAATTTTGGGGCCAGTTTATGGCCAGATTTTGGGGGGCTTGCTCCCAACATCAATTATTCTATGATCTTGCAAAAAATAAATCACCAGGCCCAAAAGTTGTCACCAGTAAATTCTACCAAATATTTAAGGAATAAATGATATCAATTCTCCACCATCTTTTCCAGAAAATGGAAGCAGAAGGAGCACTTTCAAATCCATTCTATGAAGTGAGAATCAGCCTCATACAAAAATCAGAAAGCACATTACATGAATAAAAATGCATAGAATAATATATCTCATAAAGATAGAGACAAAATCATGACCAAAATATTAGCAAATCCAATCCAATACATTTTCACATTTTGATGCAATAAAAGTTATTTTAGGCATGCAAGGCTGGTTCAACATTTAAAATTAAAATCAATCAAAACAATTCACCACATTGACAGACTAGAGAAGAAAAAACATAGGATCACAGACTTGGCATAGAAAAACATACATTTGACAATATCCAACACTCATTCATGATTAAAGAAAAACTTTTAGAAAAGCTGTAATGAAGGATAACTTTCTCAATATGATTAAGAACATCTGAAAAAAAAACTGTTCAATTAGCATCATACTTAATGGTGATAGGTGGATGCTTTCTCCCAAAATCAAGATTAGGGGAAAGATGTTGCTATGGTTTGAATATGTGTCACCTTCAAAACTCCTTGAAATTTAATACCCAATATGGCAGTACTGAGAGGTGAAGACTTTATGAGTTGACTGGCTCATGAGGGCTCTGCCTTTATGAACTGATTTATCCATTCATGGATTAATTGGTTGATGTATAAATGATTTATAATCGGAGAGAACTGGTAGCTTTATAAACAGAGAAAGAAGAACTTGGTCTTCCACATGAGCATGTTCAGCTCCCTCACCATGTGATACCCTGCACCACCTCAGGGCTTTCCAGATCTTTATTTCAATTACCATTCTCCAATTACAGAATCCAAGCCTCCTTGAAGAAATGAATAATTTTAGACTGATAGGAACTATTCAAGATGAGCCAGGAGCATATTGTGGTAACAGGAAATAAGAAAAAATTTACCCACAATAATGAGGACAAAGGGACAGAGGGGCTAATTGGAAGAGATCCCAATAGCCAAAGATGAAACAATCTGAGCAACAGAATTAATAAAGTAGTACTGGATTATAACCCAAATTATAAAATAAATATATCCAAGTGTCCATACTGATACAAAAAGGATTGTATAAATCAATAAATAATGAAAGAGAATAGGTAAATTTCCTGTTCAGGATGATTTCAAATTATTTATGTCATACGTGGCCTTTAAGGAAGTGGAACAATACTCCCCGCTCCTTACTTGTGGGCTGTGCATGGTGACTACCTTCCAAAGAGTACAGTATGGAATGGGAGGGAAAGAAAAATTAACTTTACAATGGAGATGTCTGACAAACCCTAACTCAAGTTAGATGATTAAGGTCAACATCAACAGCAATAAGATATATTCATAGCATGCACTCTCAATATGATGTGATGAGAATGGTACTTTAAGTCTCGTTTTTCTTCCCAAAACAATTACTCCGATCTAATCTTGAGAAAAGCATCAGACAAATCCCAATTGAGGGACGTTCTACAAGATACCTTAACCAGTGCTCCTTAAAACTGTCAAATTAATCAAGAAGAAGGAAATTCCAAGAAACTTTAATGATTAAAAGTAGCCAAAGAAGACATTACTACTGAATGTCAGGTGGTATTATGTATCAGATTCTGAACAGAAAAAGGACATTGGGTAAAGACTGGAAAAATCTCAATGAAAAATGCACTTTATTAAGTACTTTAACAGTTGGTTCATTAGTTTTGACCAACATACCATAGCAATGAAAGATGTTTACATTGGAATTATCTGTATGATCTTTGCAATAATTATGTAAATATAAAGCCCCTGTAATAAAAAGGAAGTAAAAGTTTAACCGTAAAAAGGGAACCATATATCTACATCAATATCTTCATCTCTCGCTCTCTGTCTCTATAACTATTTTTAATTTAAAAATTATTTTGAATCATCTGGGGATTTTTTTCAACATACTGGTGATTGGATTTCAACTCCACTCAATTATATGAGAAAATATAGTGTAGGTTTTTGGCATTGGCATCAAATTTTTTTAAAGCTTTCCAGGAGATAGTAATGTGTACTCAGTATTATGAACAATTGAATTAGATGAACTGAATGATTACTCCTAAAGAAATAGAAAACCTGAGTATTTTAATAACCACAAAATACAGGGAATCAAACACAAGTGGCTTTATTTGTGAAGCCTAACAAATATTCAAATAACAGGTAATGCCTAGATTGTTTAAACTTCTCTAAAACAGCGAATACTTTTTGAAAAAGTTTTATTATTCTTTCTAAGAAGTGAGCATAACCTGATATCCAAAGTCATCTAGGGGATCACAAAAATGACTCCAATAACAACAACATTATAGACCAATCTCACTCATGGACAGAGATGACACACTATGTTAAAGAAATATTACATCAAGAAAAAATAGTTTTTATCTCAGAAATGATCTTATGGTTTAACACAAGGATATTCAGTGATGTGATTCACTGTACTAATAGTTTAACCCACATAAGTCCAGGGAGGAACATATTCCAGTCTTTGTATAAAACCTTAGTCATATTACCAAATTAACTGTAAGGTATTTAAAACCTCCTCTGAATTCACAAAACATATGTCGACTTCACAAATCCCATCTTTGTGCATAATAACACTTCAAAAAATTCTTTTTAAATGTTTCTTCTACATATTCATCAAATCTCCAGAAACTGACTCAAAGACTTTTCCTCCTACAAATTTATCCCCAAACCTGGCCTATACATATACAGTTCACTACTTAACACAGGTTTGAGCTAGGCAAGCCCATTTATAGGTGGATTTTCTTCTGCCTCTGCCACCCAAGATAGTAAAAGTAACCCCTTCTCTTCCTTCTCCTCTTCATCCTACTCAACATAAAAATGATGAGGATGAAGACCTTGATGATGATCCATTTATTATGATGATCTATTTATTATGATGAATAGTAAATATATTTTCTCTTCCTTATTAATTTTTAAATATTTTATATTCTTTAGCTAACTTAATTGTAAGAATACAGTATCTAATATATACAGCATACAAAATATGTTTTAATCAACTATTTGTATTATTGTTAAGGCTTCCAGCCAACAGTAGGCTACTATTGTCAAGATTCTGCAGAGTCAAAAATTATATGCAGATTTTTGACAGAGCAGGGGTTGGTACCCCTAATCTCCACATTGTTCAAGATCAACTGTATACTTTCATTTCTTATCCCATCTAACTTCAATACTCTCTTTCTTTTTCCCCTTCATTCAAACATTAATTCTCTGCACTTTCTAAAGCAGGCCCTGTTAGATTCATAGCTTTTCCTAATCTGCTTTTTTCTTAGAATAACCCATACAAAAGGCTAAGGGGCCAATGAGACAACACAGAATCATTTTAACAAGAAAGAATAGTGGAAGAAATGGAAAGCTTCAAAATGGAACTTCAAAATTTTCCTTAATTGGTGAGCAGGAAGTTAAAGAAGTTAATTAATTTGAGTTAATATGTTTCACTCAGCCATAATAGATTAATGGGTTATAACCTCATGGTTATTTTGATAAAGTTAAAAAAATTCACTTACCAAAATTCAAATATTTCCTAATAAATATATCTTAGCTGTAAATGAGGAACATTTCTTAAAGTCAGCATATTATTAAGGAATCATTTCAAAAGTTAGCAGAAAGGATGAAATCCTTCATTAATTATTTTGGAAAAATTGTCTCTTTGGGGTAAAAAAGGGGGATAATATAGAATATTTCATATTATACTCACAAATATACTTTGGTTGGGTTAATACTAAAAAATGTATTTAGAATATGTATAATAATAAAATATAATAAATTATAATAACAGAGTAGTCATGATAAAATGTAGTAAAACTAAATAAAATAGATAAAAATGTGAAAAGCAATTCCAGTCAGGTGCGGTGGCTCATTCCAGAAATTCCAGAAATTTGGGAAGTCAAGGGAGGAGGATTGTTTGAGCCCAGGAGTTAGAGACCAGCCTGGGCAAATGGTGACATCCCGTCTCTACAAAAAATTAAAAAATAGGAAAGCAGGGCATGGGGACACATGCCTGTGGTCCCAGCTACTAGGGAGGCTGAGGTGGGAGAATCACTTGAGCCTGCAGAGCAAGGTTGCAGTGAGCCATAATCATGCCAGTGCACTTCAGCCTAGGTGACAGAGAGATACCCTGTCATTTAAAAAAAAAAAAAAAAAAGAAAGAAAAGCATTTCCATTATTTCCCAGTGTGTAAAACCCGCTTACAGAACATAAAATCTTTAATGCCCTAAGAAAAAATAGGCAGATTTAAATCAACAATAATGAGGATCAAAATAATGACAGATATTGTAAATGCAATTAAGAAACAAGCAACAAATTAGGAGAAAATAGTTGCATCATATAAAATATATATCTGGAACATTCCTATAAATTAGATTTACGAAGGCAAACAACAGAGTAGAAAAATGTGCAAAGAATAGGAACAAAAAAATAAATCCAAGCAATTAGTAACTCTAAGAAGAAATTTCTCAGCCTCCCAGAAATAACAAAAATGCAAACAGAAATACAAATAATTAGGGTATGTCCTTTTGTTTATTAACAAGATAATATGGTTTGGCTCTATGTCCCCCCAACAAATTTCATCTCAAATTGTAATCACCATGTGTTAAGGGCGGTGGGACGTGGATCATGGTAATGGGTGCCCCCATGTTGTTCTCATGGTGGTGAGGGAGTTCTCAGGAGTTCTGATGGTTTAAGTTTCCCCTGTGCTTTCTCTCTCCTGCTGCCTGTGAAGAAGTTGCTTGTCTCTCCTTCACCTTCTGCTGTGATTGTAAGTTTCCTGAGGCCTTCCCAGCTATGTGGAACTGTGAGATAATTAAGTCTCTATTCTTTATAAATTACACGGTCTCAGGTATTTACAGTAGTGTGAAAATGGACTAATACACAAGACAAAACTAAAACTGAATTGGCAAAGCAAACAGGCAGCCTTATCAAAGAAGCAATTTGGTGTTATTTGCCTAAGTCTAAAAATAAGATCAAATAGTCTTTGACCCAGTAAATCAATTTCTAGGCATTTTTTGTACATGTGTAGAAACATATATATATATTTTATATATATAATTTTAATAAAAATTGGAGATAAATATGGTTTGGCTGTGTCCCCATTCAAATCTCAACTTGAATTGTACCTCCCAGAATTCCCACATTTATGGGAGGGACCCAGGGGGAGGTAATTGAATCATGGGGGCTGGTCTTTCCCATGCTATTCTTATGATAGGGAATAAGTCTCACAAGATCTGATGGGTTCATCAGGGGTTTCTGCTTTTGCTTTTTCCTCATTATCTCTTGCTGCCATCATGTAAGAAGTACCTTTTGCCTTCTGCCATGATTCTGAGGCCTCCCCAGCCATATAGAACTCTAAGTCCAATTAAACCTCTTTTTTTCCCAGTTTCAGGTATGTCTTTATCATCAGTGTGAAAATGAACTAATATAGAAACAATACAAATTTCTGTAAATTTTTAGCAAGGTAAATTGCCATCTAACTACAGGCTACATTTTGCAGCCTTCCTTAGGCCTGAAGGTGATCCTATACCAATTCTGGGCAATCATATGTGAATAGCAATGATTTTTGCAATTTCTGGGCAGTAGGAATATCAAACAGAAGCTGTTAGTTTTTCATTTCTTCTATTATTTCTGCCCCATTATATGGGCCGTATCAAAACATGGTGGAGAGGAATCAGCTCCTCTTGTGGAGATGACAAAAACGAAACAAAACATGTTAGTGGATGGATGGAATCTAGGTCACCAAATTATACTTTCCATTTGACTTAAGCCCCTATTATTTGGTTCCAGATAAAGAGGTTGAAATAATATCTCAACCAATGTAGTAGTAAATGCACACACATTGAGCCTGTGACTCTGAAATATGAAAACACTGTTATAGACACTTTTATCAGAATTCACATACAGGTTTACATTCAAAACCAAAAAACTGACATGCTGACATCTCCAAAATTCTTAAAGATACAAATCTCAAGCAGTTTAGATTTCATCTTAGTTGCATCTTTTTTACTAACCTCCAAAGTAAGAGCCATCTGTCAGCTTCATTTCTTTACTGGATTTTGTAATGACACCAGCAACACCGTGTTGAATGAAATACATTTTTTTACCCACGGCTCCTTCTCGTATGATATAATCTCCAGGTTGAAACACCTCAAATCTCAACTTGCTCAGCATGGCAGTCACAAAATTAGGATCCGCATTAGCAAATAAAGGCATTGTAGCCACCAGTTTCCGACAGTTGAAGTTGACTATCTCCTAAAGATGTCAAGAGTAAACAAATATTAAGAGAGATATTAATCATATCTGGAAGAAAAACATGCTGAAATTTAAAATATATACAGCATAACATTGTAATTTAAATTTAGATACAAAAATTCATAAATTCTAGTAATGCGCATCATATTACAGTCAGGATTATGTTTTATTTTTATGTTGAAATTTTTGTATTCCCAGCACCTAGTGTAGTATAGGAATGTATTAAATATTCGATAAATGTTAATTCAATATATGAAAGTCTCAACTTTTTTAACTTCCCATTTCTTTACTACTGTGTATATGAAACTAAAACTTCTAAAATGTGAATACATTCTATTCTTCCTTTTATCTTTTATTTACGAAGAAAGAAAGCCATATCACTTCCTATTAGCTATGCCATTCCTGCTTCTGTGCTCCTTTTTGTCTGGGCCCAGCTACCAGACAAAAACATTTTGATGTTTTTTTTTTTTGTTAGTGTCATTCACATTAGAGTGAGGACAATGGATAGTACAGAAAAAGGTTACACAAAGGAAACTCTAATCTAAAAGTATAAATTCATCAGGTGCAGTGGCTCATGGCTGTAATTCCAGCACTTTGGGAGGCCAAGGCGGGTGGATCACGAGGTCAGGAGTTCAAGACCAGCCTGGTCAAGATAGTGAAACCCTGTCTCTACTAAAAATACAAAAATTAGCTGGGTGTGCTGGTGGGTGCCTGTAATCCCAGCTACTCGGGAGGCTGAGGCAGAGAATTGCTTGAACCCAGGAGGCGGAGATTGCAGTGAGCCAAGATCATACCACTGCACTCCATCTTGGACAACACAGTGAGACTCTGTCTCAAAAAGATTAAAAAAATAAAATTATAAATTCAACTGGTGTCTGGGCTAGAATCAGAAATCATTCTTTCTAAAGACTCCTGGGATTCCCCTGCAAGTGATGGGCTAGAGAGAGGACATATTTGCCTTTTCCTGACTTGTTTGTTTTATTCCAGGATCAGGCCAATTCTCAAATAGGAGATCTGTATGTTTGATTTCATTCTGTGGATTCTGATCAAGGTTAGACATATTTTTATCCCTCTGGATGAAAATAGAAATATGGAACCAAACATTTTTAATCATGCAAATCACTTATGTGACACAGAAGAGACAGTGGAAATTTACATTTTTGCCACAAAGCCAATTCTCAGAAATTTCCTTACCAATTAGTTACCCCAAAAAAGGTTGGGACTGCATTTGTGATTTTGTGTAAGAGTCACAGAAATTGGTCATGTCTGCTAAGAGGTGAAAAGAAGGCAGAAGGAATCATAGGTATTAACAGAGTCTGAGAACTCTATCTTCTGCCTTGGGGAAATGTGCTATACCGACCCATCAATTCCAAGACTGAGAAAGAAGGTTTCTATGATCTTACTTCATAAAATAACCTAATGCCATCCAGGATAGATAAAGAATTCCAGGTGATAACAGAAGGCACAACATTTTGAATCTATCTTGGAAGAGAAGGTGTTTCATCCTGAACAATATTTTATGAGTTTAGCAAAGCACAACAATGTCTGTAATAGTGGAGCTTCATGGAAGATGAGAAAATATTTACAAATAAGCAACAATAATCAGAAAGTGAACCTAGCAGCAAAGACAAGAGAAAGATATTACATGTGGTACTTGGTGCATCATTATTCAAATCAAAATACACACTTGAGTCCACGATTGGCTGTATCTAGGGAAATTTGTGATAATTTTAGCTGATGCATGGAGTGTGGGTCTATAACAATGTTCAGCAAGTAGTAAGTACTGAATCAATATGCATGCATATAAAGGAAGCCATTCGAAGGAAGAAATGAAGGAGGGGAGGAAGGAAAGAAAGAAGGGAGGAAGGGAGGGAGCAGGTGGGAAGGAAAGAAGGAAGGGATAAAAGAAGAAACAGAAGAAGGGAGGGAGGAAGAAAGGAAGGAAGGAAGGAAGGAGGGAAAGAAGGAATGAAGGAAGCAAGGAAAGAAGGAAAGGAGGGAGGGAGGAAGGAAGGAAGGGAAGGAGGGAGGGAGGAAGGAAGGAAGGAAGGTGGAGTCTCAGTTGTAAAAAAGTACTCATAAAGACTAATTTTCTCGTTGGGAGATGGTTACTTAAAACTCTTAGCTTTCTCAAGCAAATGGCTTGAGAGACAAGTCTTCTGTATTAAAAAATTTGTTTTTACTATTTCAAATATTTCTATACAAAAACAACAGGAAGATAAAAGGTGACGTGGAGTTAAAAGAAGACAGAGTTATGTCATGAAAATAGCTAGATGAGTTGATTGAGAGTTAATTATTTCACATGTAAAATGACAGAATAATACTGTGTAGGAAATTGAAAATAAGTCAGATTGTAGAGAAAATAAGAGTTTTCATATAAAAATAATAGAGAATCCCTTCATCTTTGTACCTTGATTTGAACTATGCAAATGTTTCACTTCATGGATCTCTCATTTTTTATTTTAGAAAATAGTTGGAATTATATTTGATAAGCAATTAACCTGATCTTTAGTCATATGAATAACTTGTTAATGATACATTGCATATCCAGGTGTTTCTGTTAGAACTCCCTTTATTATAACACTACTGGAATAATTTCATATTATTGTTTGAAGAAATCTATTAATGTTTTCTTCCTTCATGCAACTTTTACTTCCCAGGAGTATTACCTGATTAAAACTGTAAATTCTAACAGATATGATAGAAAAAATGGTAATGAGACAGAATCTTCTTGGATTCTAAAAACCTTTCATTCTCCCATGAAAACTGCTTGTTCTGAGGATGTCTAGTATAGTAGAAACAATCATGTAAGTATAGAATGAAGCAAAACTTTAAAAAAATATTTTTAATCAATCACCTTTCCTTAGGGCACATTGAGGCAAATAAAACACACTGTTACTATCTCTAATGTCAATTCAAATTACTTATGGCACTTGTTATAATTAGCTCTTTTTATCAAAATATCAGGATTGAGTTAGGAGTATTATCTATGTGCATTAAATTGAGGAAAGGTTGCTTGCTAAGGAAGGCAAACACATGGTCCTGACCTTAGTAATAAGTTGCTCCAGATTATTAAGTTTATGTTGGCACTTTAAAAAATGCAATTATTTCTTTCCTGGAACATTTTGTAGTACAAGAAAGTATGTACATGGTAAAAACAAATGAAAAAACAAACAGAAAGACCAATCCCCAAAATGAAACAGAACAAGAACCCCACAGTAATGAAGGTATTTCAAAGGGACACAGGGGCCAACTGAAAGAGTTACCAACGGTCAAACAAAGCTGGAAAAACTTGAGTAACAACAATAAAAAGTATTGGATTAAACCCAAAGTATAAAATAAATAACCAAGATCACATACAAATCTAAATGATTGGTTAAACTACTAAAAAGTGAGGGATAATACATAAGCTTTCTGTTTAAATTCCAAATAATTTCAAATAATTCATATAAGCACTCCTGCCTCAAAAAGTTGGAGAATAATTACCAAACCCTTAAGGATGGGCTGAGCATTGAGCATGGGGACTTCCTTCAAAGAATACAATAAGGAAAAGAGGGGAAAAGTAGTAACTTTCCAATAGAGAAACATGAAAAACTCCACCTCAAGTCAGGCAATCAATGTTAACATCAACAGTGCTAAATCATGTTGGTAGCATGTACTCTTGGTTTGATGTAATCAGAAGAGCATTTTACTTTTGTGGCATTCCTACACCAAACCCATAATCCCATTTTAATCATGACAAAACCATCAGCAAACCCAAATTCAGGAAAGTTCTGCAAAATATTTGGCCAGTTCTAAAGATGATCAAGGTAATCAAAAACAAGGAAATTTGGAAGAAACTGTCCCAGACAAGGGGAGACTAAGGAGACATGACAAGTGACCATAATGTGGTATCCTGGATGGGATCCTAGGATAGAAAAAGAACTTTAAAGAAAACTAAGGGAATCTGAGTAATGTTCGGACTTAATAATAATGTATCAATATTGAGTCATAACTGTAGTTATTACAAATGTAGCATACTAATGTAAGGTATTAAAAACGGGGGAAATTGGATGTGATGTACATGGGAATTCTCCATACTATTTCTGAAACTTTTTTGCTGATATAGTTTGGATGCTTGGCACTTCATGTCTCATGCTGGAATTTGACCCAATGTTGGAGGTGGTGCATGGGAGGAGGTGTTTCAGTCATGGGGGAGAAGAACCCACATGAATGATTTGGTGCTGTCCTTGAGTTAATGAGTGAGTTCTCACTCTATTAGTTTTCATGAGATCTGATTGCTAAAAGGTGTCTGGCACCTACTTTCTCTCTCATGTCCTCTCTCATCATGTGACATGCAGGCTCCCCTTCCCCTTCCACCATGATTGAATATTTCCTGAGGTCCTCACTAGAAACAGATGCTGGTGCCATGCATCTTGTACAGGCTGCTGAATCGTGAGACAAATAAATTTCTTTATAAATAACTCAGTCTCAGGTATTCCTTTATAGCAATGAAAAATGAATTAAGAAATCTGCAAATATAAAATTATTCTGAAAAAGCTTATTAAAGATGTAATTACTGCTCTTCATAGTTAAGAAAATAAATATGATTTTGTCATAGCATGTAAAGCATATTTTCTTTAAGTTAACTCTTTTAAAAGTTACTTTTAAAAAGATCTCCTAGTAAATGCTTGAAAACAATTATATCATAGTACAGTCTGGGGTTAAGCAGCAGGCCTGGAATGTGTCTGTTTATATTGTTGTGGAGTTAATAACTGTGGTCTGTCATAAGAAGACAAATTGTATATATATCATGCATTTTCAATTTCAGATATATGTTTCTATCAAGTTTTTATTTACAAATAAAAATCTATAATTATTTCTGTATTCTGTTCCATTGTTCTATGAGTCTGTTCTTGTACCAGTACCATGCTGTTTTGGTTACTGTAGCCCTGCAGTAGAGTTTGAAGTTGTGTAGCATGATGCCTCCAGCTTTGTTCTTTTTTCTTAGGATTGTCTTGGCTATTTGGGCTAGTTTTTGGTTCCATATGAATTTTAAAACAGTTTTTTCTAGTTCTGTGAAGAATGTCAGCGGTAGTTTAATGGGAATAGCATTGAATCTATAAATTGCTTTGGGCAGTATGGCCATTTTAACAATATTGATTCTTCTTATCCATGAGTATGGAATGTTTTTCCATTTGTTTGTATCATCTCTGATTTCTTTGAGTAGTGGTTTGTACTATCCTTTTAGAGATCCTTCACTTTTCTTGTCAGCTGTATTCCTAGTTATTTGATTCCTTTTGTGGCAATTGTGAATGGAATGTCTTCTGAGATTTATCCCTCAGCTTGACTGTTGTTGGTGTACAGGAATGCTGACACAATTTTTGTACATTGATTTTGTATCCTGAGACTTTACTGAAGTTGCTTATCAGCTGAGGAAGCTTTAGGCTGTCATAATGGGGTTTTCTAGACATGGGATCCTGTCATTCGCAAACAGGGATAGCTTGACTTCCTCTTTTCTTATTTGGATGCCCTTTATTTACTTCTCTTTCCTAATTGCTATGGCCAGAACTTCCAATACTATGTTGAATAAGAGTGGTGAGAGAAGATACCCTAGTCTGGTGCTGGTTTTAAAAGGGAATACTTCAGCTTTTGCCTATTCAGTATGATGTTAGCCGTGGGTTTGTCATATATGGCTCTTATTATTTTGAGGTATGTTCCTTCAATACCTAATTTATTAACAGTTTTGAACATGAAGTGATGTTGAATTTTATCAAAAGCCTTTCCTGCATCTATTGAGATAATCATGAGGTTTTGTCTTTAGTTCTGTTTATGTGATGAATCACATTTATTGATTTGTGTATGTTGAACCGACCTTACATCCAGGGGATGAAGCCTACTTGAGTTTTGGTGGATAAGCTTTTTGATGTGCTGCTGGATTCTGTTTGCCAGCATTTTGTTGAGGATATTTGCATCAATGTTCATCAAGGATATTGGGCTGAAGTTTTCTTTTTTTGTTGTTTCTTTGCCAGGTTTGGTATCAGGATGATGCTTCCCTCATAGAATAAGTTAGGGAGGACTCCCTCCTTTTCGACTTTTTGGAAAATTTTCAGTAGGAATGCTACTGGCTCTTCTTTGTATATCTGGTAGAATTCAGCTGTGAATCCATCTGGTCTTGGGCTTTTTTTGGTTGGTAGGCTATTTATTACTGCCTCAAGACTAAATGTAAAACCTAAAACTATAAAAACCCTGGAAGATAACCAATACCATTCAGGACATAAACACGAGCAAAGATTTTATAATGAAGACCCCAAAAGCAACTGCAACAAATCAGAAATTGACAAACGGGAACTAATTAAACTAAAGAGCTTCTACACACCAAAATAAACTATCAACAGAGTAAACAGACAACCTGTGGAATGGCAGAAAATTTTGTAAACTGTGTATCTGACAAATGCCTAATATCCAGCATCTATAGTAACTTAAACAAATTTACAAAAAAAAATACAAACAACCCCATTAAAAAGTGGGCAAAGGACATGAACAGACACTTCTCAAAAGAAGACATACATGTGGCCAACAAGCATATGATAAAGAGATCAACATCACTGATCATTAAAGACATGTAAATCAAAACCACAATGATATACCATCTCACATCAGTCACAATGGTTATTATTAAAAAGTCAAAAAATAACAGATGCTGGTGATGTTGTGGATAAAAAGGAACGTTTATACACCCTTGATGGGAGCATAAATTAGTTCAGACATTGTGGAAGACAGTGTAGTGATTCCTTAAAGACCTAGAGACAGAAATACCATTCAACCCAGCAATCCCATTACCAGGTATAAACCCAAAGGAATATAAATTGTTCTATTATAAAGACATGCATGCATATGTTCATTGCAGCACAATTCAAAAGAGTAAAGACATGGAATCAACCCAAATGCTCATCAATGAATGACTGGATAAAGAACATGTGGTAAATATATAGCATGGAATACTATGCAGCCATAAAAAAGAATGAGATCATGTCTTTTGCAGGGACATGGATGGAACTGGAGGCTATCATCCCTAGCAAATTAATTCAGGAATAGAAAACCAAAAGCCTCATGTTCTCACTTACAAGTGGTTGCTAACTGATGAGAACACATGGACATACAGAGAGGAACAACACATACTGGGGCCTATCGGAGGGTGGAAGGAGGGATAGAACCAAGAAAAGTAGCTAATGGATACTAGGTTTAATGCCTGAGTGATGAAATAATCTGTACAACAAACCCCCATTATCTCCATGTTCATCTATTTAACAAACGTGCACATCCTGCACATGCACCCTTGAACTTAAAATGAAAGTTAAAAAATCTATAATTATTTCAAAGTTAGAAATATATATTCATTTATTAAACACACCAAAAGTGAGGGAGAAACAAAAATGTTGTTCCAAAGAAATTCTCTCTCCAAGGAATATTATTACATAATTTATATAGCATCAATATGGTTTTTATTTTAAAAGATCTCAAGTTGCCCACTAGCAAAAGGGTGGATTTCAAATGTTACTATTTAAAATACACTGGTTCAATTTCTTCTTACTTTTGCAATCAGCTTATATTAGAAAATTTGTTTAAACATCTTAGAAGGGAATTGATAATTTTTGCTAATATTTTATTTTGTTAAAATAAGTCATAAGAAATATTTGGCATAAACACCCATGCAGAAATGACATAATTTTTAAGTTAAATGATATTAAGTTCTCTGGAGTGGACTTGTTGCTTTAGTGTTGATAATTATGGCATAAGTGTTATGATCCATGGAGGATATGTTGCCCATAAAAGGAACAGTTCGATATAAAAGTGTTGACTGAAGAAATGCCAAGAATGTGATTTCAGTAATATTCTTTGCATAAGGTTTCTCATTGAAAATGCATGAGACCTGCAGCTTTATTTATTCCTCTGAGGAAAACTTCAGACAGAGCAGTAATTGCAGAGGAAGAGTACACTGGTCGCCTTGGAACCTGGAGGGAATTTTCACCCTCAAAGTTCATCAACAGCTTTCTCAAATTTCTAGCTGTGGGCTAAACACTGGGAAGCCAAGTAAATAAGCTCAGATGCTATGGGAAATGCTGCAAACTATTTCCTCAAATATTTCAAGTAAGAAAAAATCTTTGTTGTCAAGAAGAGTCCACGTTGGAACCCAAGGTGTACATATATTTGTATTCATTAAGAAGGTGTCTTAAAAGATGACATGAGATAGAAATGTTTATGTCAGATGTTTCTGGGATCCACCTTTCAACCAAATGGAATGGTTGTTTCAGTCTTCTAAAACATTCAAGCACACACTTGGGTGAAGATTTTTCTTATGCAATGCCCTCTTGAGGATGCTTCTCATTTGGCAAACGGTAACCCTGCTAAAGGGTAGTGCTAAGATTTTAAATTGAATTTTATATATTATATACAAGAATGAAACAGCATAATACAAGAATGAAACAGCAATAAAGAATCTTGTTATTTGTTCTTTGGTTGACACGATGTCTATTTATTTTAGATATAAAAGTATTTGCTGGGGGCGGTTCCAAGATGGCCAAAGAGGAACGGCTCCAGTCTACAGCTCCCAGTGTGAGCGACGCAGAAGACGGATGATTTCTGCATTTCCAACTGAGGTACCGGGTTCATCTCACTAGCACTTGTCAGACAGTGGGTGCAGGACAGTGGGTGCAGCCCACTGAGCATGAACTGAAGCAGGGCGAGGCATAGCCTCACCCGGCAAGTGCAAGGAGTCAGGGAATTCCCTTTCCTAGCCAAGGGAAGCTGTGACAGACAGCACCTGGAAAATCGGGTCACTCCCACCCTAATACTGCACTTTTCCAATGGTCTTAGCAAACGGCACACCAGGAGATTATATCCCGCACCTGGCTCAGGGGGTCCCACGCCCACAGAGCCTTGCTCATTGCTAGCACAGCAGTCTGAGATAGAATCGCAAGGTGGCAGTGAGGCTGGGGGAGGGGCGCCCACCATTGCTGAGGCTTGAGTAGGTAAACAAAGCAGCCTGGAGGCTCGACCTGCATGGAGCCCCTCGCAGCTCAAGGAGGCCTGCCTGCCTCTGTAGACTCCACCTCTGGGGGCAGGGCATAGCTGAACAAAAGGCAGCAGAAACCTCTGCAGACTTAAATGTCCCTGTCTGACAGCTTTGAAGACAGTAGTGGTTCTCCCAGCATGGAGTTTGAGATCTGAGAACAGACAGACTGCCTCCTCAAGTGGGTCCTTGACCCCCAAGTAGCCCAATTGGGAGGCACCCCCCAGTAGGGGCAGACTGACACCTCACACGGCAGAGTACCCCTCTGAGATGAAGCTTCCAGAGGAATGATCAGGCAGCAACATTTGCTGTTCACCAATATTCGATGTTCTGCAGCCTTCATTGCTGATACCCAGGCAAACAGGGTCTGGAGTGAACCTCCAGCAAACTCCAACAGACATGCAGCTGAGGGTCCTGACTGTTAGAAGGAAAACTAACAAACAGAAAGGACATTCACACCAAAACCCCATCTGTACGTCACCATCATCAAAGACCAAAGGTAGATAAAACCACAAAGGTGGGGAAAAAAACAGAGCAGAAAAGCTAAAAATTCTAAAAATCAGAGCACCTCTCCTCCTCCAAAGGAATGCAGCTCCTCGCCAGCACCAGAACAAAGCTGGATGGAGAATGACTTCGATGAGTTGAGAGAAGAAGGCTTCAGACGATAAAACTTCTCCAAGCTAAAGGAGGAAGTGCAAATCCACCGCAAAGAAGCTAAAAACCTTGAAGAAATATTAGACGAATGGCTAACTAGAACAACCAGTGTAGAGAAGTCCTTAAATGACCTGATGGAGCTGAAAACCATGGCACGAGAACTAAGGGACGAATGCACAAGCTTCAGTAGCCAATTCGATCAACTGGAAGAAAGGGTATCTGTGACTGAAGATCAAATTAATGAAATGAAGTGAGAAGAGAAGTTTAGAGAAAGAAAAGTAAAAAGAAATGAACAAAGCCTCCAAGAAATATGGGACTATGTGAAAAGACCAAATCTACATCTGATTGGTGTACCTGAAAGTGACGGAGAGAATACAACCAAGTTGGAAAACACTCTGCAGGATATTATCCAGGAGAACTTCCCCAACCTAGCAAGGCAGGCCAACATTCAAATTCAGGAAATACAGAGAATGCCACAAAGATACGAGAAGAGCAACTCCAAGACAAATAATTGTCAGATTCACCAAAGTTGAAATGAAGGAAAAAAATGGTAAGGGCAGCCAGAGAGAAAGGTCGGGTTACCCACAAAGAGAAGCCCACCAGACTAACAGCGAATCTCTCGGCAGAAACTCTACAAGCCAGAAGACAGTGAAGGCCCATATTCAACATTCTTAAAGAAAGAATTTTCAACCCAGAATTTCATATCCAGCCAAACTAAGCTTCATAAGTGAAGGAGAAATAAAATACTTTACAGACAAGCAAATGCTGAGAGATTATGTCACCACCAGGCCTGCCCTACAAGAGATCCTGAAAGAAGCACTAAACATGGAAAGGAACGACCGGTACCAGCCATTGCAAAAACATGCCACATTGTAAAGACCGTCAAGGCTAGGAAGAAACTGCATCAACTAATGAGCAAAATAACCAGCTAACATCATAATGACAGGACGAAATTCACATATAACAATATTAACCTTAAATGTAAATGGGCTAAATGCTCCAATTAAAAGACACAGACTGGCAAATTGGATAAAAAGTCAAGACCCATCAGTGTGCTATATTCAGGACCCATTAATGTGCTGTGTTCCATTCAAGACCCATCAGTGTGCTGTATTCAGGAGACCCATCTCACATGCAGAGACACACAGGCTCAAAATAAAGGGATAGAGGAAGATCTACCAAGCAAATAGAAAACAAAAAAAGGCAGGAGTTGCAATCCTAGTCTCTGATAAAACAGACTTTAAACCAACAAAGATCAAAAGAGACAAAGAAGGCCATTACATAATGGTAAAGGGATCAATTCAACAAGAAGAGCTAACTATCCTAAATATATATGCACCCAATACAGGAGCATCCAGATTCATAAAGCAAGTCCTTAGAGACCTACAAAGAGACCTAGACTCCCAAACAATAATAATGGGAGACTTTAACATCCCACTGTCAACATTAGACAGATCAACGAGACAGAAAGTTAACCATGATATCCAGGAATTGAACTCAGCTCTGCACCAAGCGGACCTAATAGACATCTACAGAACTCTCCAACCCAAATCAACAGAATATACATTCTTCTCAGCACCACATCACACTTATTCCAAAATTGACAACATAGTTGGAAGTAAAGCTCTCCTCAGCAAATGTAAAAGAACAGAAATTATAACAAACTGTCTCTCGGACCACAGTGCAATCAAACTAGAACTCAGGATTAAGAAACTCATTCAAAACCGCTCAACTACATGGAAATGGAACAACCTGCTCCTGAATGACTACTGGGTACACAGCGAAATGAAGGCAGAAATAAAGATGTCCTTTAAAACCAATGAGAACAAAGACACAACATGCCAAAACCTCTGGGACACATTTAAAGCAGTGTGTAGAGGGAAATTTATAGCACTAAATGCCCACAAGAGAAAGCAGGAAAGTTCTAAAATTGACACCCTAACATCACAATTAAAAGAACTAGAAAAGCAAGAGCAAACACATTCAAAAGCTAGCAGAAGGCAAGAAATAACTAAGATCAGAGCAGAACTGAAGGAGATAGAGACACAAAAAACCCTTCAGAAAAACCATGAATCCAGGAGCTGGTTTTTGAAAAGATCAAGAAAATTGATAGAGCACTAGCAAGACTGATAAAGAAGAAAAGAGAGAAGAATGAAATAGACACAATAAAAAATGGTAAAGGGGATATCACCACCGATCCCACAGAAATACAGACTACCATCAGAGAATACTATAAACACCTCTATGCAAATAAACTAGAAAATGTAGAAGAAATGGATAAATTCCTGGACACATACACCCTCCCAAGAATAAACCAGGAGGAAGCTGAATCCCTGAATAGACCAATAACAGGCTCTGAAGTTGAGGCAATAATTAATAGCTTACCAACCAAAAAAAGTACAGGACCAGATGGATTCCACAACTGAATTCTACCAGAGGTAGAAGGAGGAGCTGGTACCATTCCTTCTGAAACTATTCCAATCAATAGATAAAGAGGGAATCCTACCTAACTCATTTTATGAGGCCAGCATCATCCTGATACCAAAGTCTGGCAGAGACACAACAAAAAGAGAATTTTAGACCAATATCCCTGATGAACATCGATGCAAAAATCTTCAATAAAATACTGGCAAACCGAATGCAGCAGCACATCTAAAAGGTTATCCACCATGATCAAGTGGGCTTCATCCCTGGGATGCAAGGCTGGTTCAACATATGCAAATCAATAAATGTAATCCAGAATATAAACAGAACCAAAGGCAAAAATCACATGATTATCTCAATAGATGCAGAAAAGGCCTTTGACAAAATTCAACACCCCTTCATGCTAAAAACTCTCAATAAATTAAGTACTGATGGGACGTATTTCAAAATAATAAGAGCTACTTAAGACAAACCCACAGTCAATATCATACTGAATGGGCAAAAACTGGAAGCATTCCCTTTGAAAACTGGCACAAGACAGGGATGCCCTCTCTCACCACTCCTATTCAACATAGTGTTGGAAGTTCTGGCCAGGGCAATCAGGCAGGAGAAAGAAATAAAGGGTATTCAATTACAAAAAGAGGAAGTCAAATTGTCCCTGTTGGTAGATGACATGACTGTATATTTAGAAAAACCCATCGTCTCAGCCCAAAATCTTCTTAAGCTGATAAGCAACTTCAGCAAAGTCTCAGGATGCAAAATCAATGTGCAAAAATCACAAGCATTCTTATACACCAATAACAGACAAACAGAGAGCCAAATCATGAGTGAACTCCCATTCACAATTGCTTCAAAGAGAATAAAATACCTAGGAATCCAATTTACAAGGGCTGTGAAGGACCTCTTCAAGGAGAATTAAAAACCACTGCTCAACGAAATAAAAGAGGATACAAACAAATGGAAGAACATTCCATGCTCATGGATAGGAAGAATCAATATTGTGTAAATGGCCATACTGCCCAAGGTAACTTATTGATTCAATGCCATCCCCATCAAGCTACCAATGACTTTCTTCAAAAAATTGGGAAAAAAACTACTTTAAAGTTCATATGGGGCCAAAAAAGAGCCTGCATTGCCAAGTCAAGCCTAAGCCGAAAGAACAAAGCTGGAGGCATCACGTTACCTGACTTCAAACTACACTACAAAGCTACAGTAACCAAAACAGCATGATACTGGCACCAAAACAGAGATATAGACCAATGGAACAGAACAGAGCCCTCAGAAATAATACCACACATCTACAACCATCTGATCTTTGACAAACTTGACAAAAACAAGAATTGGGGAAAGGATTCCCTATTTAATAAACGGTGCTAGGAAAACTGGCTAGTCATATGTAGAAAGCTGAAACTGGATCCCTTCCTTACACCTTATACAAAAATTATAAGATAGACTAAAGACTTAAATGTTAGACCTAAAACCATAAAAACCCTAGAAGAAGACCTAGGCAATACCATTCAGGATATAGGAATGGGCAAGGACTTCATGACTAAAACACCAAAAGCAATGGCAACAAAAGCCACAATTGACAAATGGGATCTAATTAAACTAAAGAGCTTCTGCACAGCAAAAGAAACTACCATCAGAGTGAACAGGCAACCTACAGAATGGGAGAAAATTTTTGCAACCTACTCATCTGACAAAGGGCTAATATCCAGAATCTACAAAGAGCTCAAACAAATTTACAAGAAAAAAACAAACAACCCCATCAAAAAGTGGGCGAAGGATATGAACAGACACTTCTCAAAAGAAGACATTTATGCAGCCAACAGACACATGAAAAAATGCTCATCATCACTGGCCATCAGAGAAATGCAAATCAAAACCACAATGAGATACCATCTCACACCACTTAGAATGGCGATCATTAAAAAGTCAGGAAACAACAGGTGCTGGAGAGTATGTGGAGAAATAGGAACACTTTTACACTGTTGGTGGGACTGTAAACTAGTTCAACCATTGTGGAAGACAGTGTGGTGATTCCTCAAGCATCTAGAATTAGAAATAACATTTGAGCCAGCCATCCCATTATTGGGTATATACTCAAAGGATTATAAATCATGCAGCTATAAAAACACACGCACACTTATGTTTATTGTGTCACTATTCACAATAGCAAAGACTTGGAAACAACCCAAACGTCCATCAATGATAGACTGGATTAAGAAAATGTGGCACATATACACCATGGAATACTATGCAGCCATAAAAAAGATGAATTCATGTCCTTTGTAGGGACATGGATGAAGCTGGAAACCATCTTTCTTAGAAAACTATCGCAAGGACAAAAAAACAAACACCACATGTTCTCACTCATAGGTGGGAATTGAACAATGAGAATACTTGGTCACAGAAAGGGGAACATCACACACCAGGGCCTGTCGTGGGGTGGGGGAGGGAGGAAGGATAGCATTGGAAGATATACCTAATGTAAATGATGAGTTAATGGGTGCAGCACACCAACATGGCACATGTATACATATGTAACAAACCTGCACGTTGTGCACATGTACCCTAGAACTTGTATAATAAAAAGAAAAAATATTATTTAATAAAATAAAAAGAAAAGTATAATAAAAAAAGAAAAAAAAAGTATTTGCTTACAGCAGTCCTTCCCATTATTTTGCTAAAATATGACAGGATTATTCATGTTCATTATTTAGTCACAGTGTAGGGAGTTTCTTTTAAAGTTACAACATAACTTGAAGTGGACAAATCCTAAGTGTACACAAATTTTAAGTCATTTTTTAAAAAATATATATGCACCCGTATAACCAGCCGGATTCAAATATAGACAATTTCTCAGAAGGCTCCTTTTGCCTCATCTTAGTCAACCCAGAGGTTCTAGCTATTCTGATTTCTATCACTACAGAGCAGGTCTTCTTGTTCTTGAAAGTCACATAAATGAGGTTGCATACTGTGTAGTCTTTTGTGTCTTGGTTCTTTTACTCACCATTCTGTTAATGTGATTGCTAAGTGTTGTAAGTGGGAGTTGATTCTTTTTAAATTTCAGGCTATATTTCATTTTATGGTTATACTACAATTTATTTATCCATTCTACTCTTCATGACATTTGGGTTGTTACCAGTTTTAGGCTAATAAAATAAATGTCAGCTAAAAATTAAAAGCTGGGAGGAACATTCTTGAAGCATCTTATGC
This sequence comes from Homo sapiens, assembly GCF_000001405.40. Classification (NCBI taxonomy): domain Eukaryota; kingdom Metazoa; phylum Chordata; class Mammalia; order Primates; family Hominidae; genus Homo; species Homo sapiens. Next base: position 45,319,189 of record NC_000005.10, read on the forward strand.
ACTGATTTGGCTTGAGTGTACACCATATATTGGAATTTCTGGGTAATAGAATAAGCACATACTTCACTACAGTTGCTGCCAAAAGTTTTCCTGGATGCTTCTATTATTATTCTCTCATTCCATCAACAGGTGATGTTTCAGTTGTCCCACATCTTTGGCAAAATTTGATTTTATCATTTAGCCATTGGTGGGTAAGTCGACATATCTGACTGTTTTGCTTTTTGCACTTGTGTTTTTTCTTATTGTAGTTTTAATATGCATTTTCCCATGAGTATCCTCATTATGCACATTTTCCTAAGCTTTTTGATCAGATGAATAGCCTGTTTTGTGAGGTGCCCAGTAAAGAGTTTCCCCCTTTTTCTATGTTAAGAGTTCTTCTTATACTCTTGACATGAGTTCTTTTTTTGGGGATATGCACTGCAAATACCTTCTCGCCATCTGTGGCTTGCCTTTTCACTCTAAGTAGTATCTTTTATTGTAATTGTTTTGTTGGTAATTTGTTTCCTGGTTTTTTTTTTAGCTTTAGAACTTCCAGAAAAAAAATGAGTTTGATATATTCAGATTGCTTCTAGAAGGATTTATGTTAATCACAAATCTGTATTTTGGAATTCTAAATACTCTGAAACTTTAAGAAATTTTAAGCAATATCTCATTTAGTTATTATAAAAAAGAATAGCAAAACTTTAAGGTTCCTTTAGCACTGTAACTTTATATTGATAACTTAAATATCACTGTATAAAGTCCAATTTCGTGAAACCTCTAATTCAGCTCCATTTTACATTATGATTATTCTAAACAGTATATTTCTGAAAAGTTTTAAGCATGGTAGCTATACATATAATTTCCACCATTACACAAATGAATCATAGAGTAATCTTAACAAAATAGAGCTGCTGTTACATTGCTAAATTTCTACACTCCAACACACCCTATATTTTTAGACTATACAGAGCATATAAGATCTTCCTTCTAAGAACTTAGACATTCAAAAGACATCCCTACCTGGAGATTTCTATATTGACTTTAGAAACAAATAAATATATGGAAGCAAATCTATACCACATGACACCTCATCTCCTAGAGAACATCCTATTAAAAAGTGCTCCAAATATCCCATTTTTTCTTTCCAATTCAGTAGCTTGGGTTCTTTATAATCAAAACAGCAGTTGGTATGTTTAGGGAGTTTTTTTGAGGTAAAGATAATTCTAAGAATGAATGTAATAAAAAGAAGAGTCAACATCTATTGAGTTCTTGCTGGGTTTTAGGTATTGTCTAAATGTTTTACAAATATTAATTTATTTTACCCTCACAATAATCCTATGTCTTAGGTAGTATTACTGCCCCATTTTGTAGATGTTATATAGTCTGCCAGTAACCACATGCTTGCAAGAGGAGGAACTATGGTATCCCAGGGCAGCCTGGCTTGCTACTTTGGGATTTTGATGGATTCTGAGAAGCCACCTTAACCTTTGCACAAATCTAGAATCACCACAAATCTTGAAGGTTTAGATATTAACCAACAATTTGTTTTTTTGAGTTATATATGTTTGCAAAGACAGACATGGACATTTGTTGATTGTCAGGTGGCAACTGAAGGCTATACATTGGCTTTTAAAAATCCGAATGGTTTTTAAAAATCTGAATCTGAATCCCTTTATACATAGCATGTACATTTCTATTCGTCACAGTTTTTAAAACACCGTCTGTATTTAACATCTCTACTTTCTACAATTAGGCTGACTGGCTTCTTAAAGCAATAGAATTTGAGATCTTTGGACACTAAACCAAGGAACTGCAAGAAAAGAAAGGGAGACCGGTATTTGTTCTTGTCTACTGGGGGATTCATGTCTTACATCACAGGGGACAGTGTCAACAAAATGAAAATTTTCTTTGTGGCTTGTCAATGACTGCCCTTTATACCTTCCTTTCAAAGAAATGTTTCTATTTGTTTCCTCAACGGTATCTCTGGATCTCCCTACACAGCCCCCAAAATAACATTTGTAATTTATTTTGATTACAAATTAGGGATGTAGAAAGAGGATGGGAACCTGATTTATTAAGCCCCCATTTTGAGCTAGGTAGTTCGCATATTATATCTCACTTATTTATTCCTGGGGGAAAAACAACGTAACAATAAACTTAAATTTTGTTTTATTTCTTCAACATATGCAGAAGAAGAAAGTGGTGCTTAGAGAGAGGAAAAGTATTGCCAAGGCTACAGAGCTAGAATATGTGTAGAGAAAACTAACTGTGCTCATTTCACCCCACAGTGGGGCCTCCCTGTTATCTGGATAAAAGTCATGAAAGCTTAGCACGTAGAATTAAACCACAGCTTTATATTTTGCAATAGTGTATATTTCAAAATGAAAAAAAAGAGTCACTTTTAGCATTTTACAGCTTCTTTAATCTAAAATTTTGCCCATTGGAGACTAATACCTATTTTTTTTGCTTAAATGTATTTCTTAGACAATTTACATTTTAAACCAGCTTGAATGCCATATTTTACACACATACGTATTTTTATGGCAGATCATTTAATAGCAATACGTTTACTGTTGTGGGATTATTTAAACATACATGGTTCTAGTTAAGGTATATTTTAAAAATCTTGCATTTTATTGCATATGATTCAATTTTTGCTGTGCAAAGATAACTGCTTTAATGATGGTCAAATATTTTTTGAAAACTAAGAAAAGCAATGTTTATTTTGCATACAAAAATAACTTTATCTTCAATTATATACATTCATTTATATGTCAGGTAAATAAGAAGCATTTCCTCTGTGCCTCACCAGAAAATTAGTGTAAAAGGTAAATATGGAAGAAAACAAATGAGATCTTGAGGCATAACTAAATGATTCAGCATTATATTGGTAAATAAGCATCCTGGTTAATATGAACTTATTTCCTCTAATAATTCCGTGACATAGTCACAAATGTTTTAAGAGACAACTGGAGTCTTGGTAGCTGGAGCTATACAACAATTAATTTAAAAAATGTAAACATGGAGCCTAAGGACACTTAATAAAGGTGTTAATGGGCTTTGGGTGGCTGTCCTAAACCCATTGAAATTATATGCAAATAGGTGAATACTGTGTTTGTGTGTTATGTGAAACAGATGGCAGCTTTTCTTAGATTTTTTAAAGGGTCCACTGGTCTAAATGTAGTATAATGACCACAATGATGATATTCACTAATATTTATTAAATGCTTTGTGCTTTCTCATGTAATTATAACAACAACCCAATGAAACACAGGTTGAGAATGTCTTATGTGAAATGCTTGAGACCAGAAATGTGGCAGATTCTTGATTTTTCTCATTTTAGAATATTTGCATATCCCAAATGAGAAATCTTGGGGATGGGATTCAACTCTGAACATGAGATTCATTTATGTTTCATATATACTTCAAACATACAGCCTGAAGGTAATTTTACACAATATTTTAAAATAATTTGTAGATGAAATAAACTTTTGATTGCAACCTGTCCCACGAAGTCAAGTGTGGAATTTTTCACTTGTGGCATCCTGTCAGTGCTCAAAAAGTTTCAGATATTAGAGTATTTAGAAGTTTGGATTTTCAGATTAGGAATGCTCAACCTGCAGTTACATTATTAACCCAATTTTATAGATAAACCAAATGAGTCTCAAAATGGTTGTCATTTGACAAAAATCACAGCATGTAGGAAGTGAAACCTACTACTACTAAGAGGTATGCAGTCTGTTCCTTGAGCAACCTTGTCTGATATAATAGTTCCTAATTGCATGGGGTTTTCAGGCACTTGAAACACGGCTAGTGTGAGGGAGGAACTGAGTTTTTAATTTATTTAACGTTAACCCATTTAAGCTTAAAGTTAAAAACTGATACAGTTCCGTTTTTAGAAAATGGTAAATTATGCTTGAAGACACTTGGACAGGTGGATATACTTCTTCAATTGTAAACTGTATGAAATCTACATACAGGTTAAGCATTTCTGAGAAAAATTCAGCATCCAAATCAAGATGTGATGCAAGTATTAAAATATACACCAGATTGTGAAGACTTGATAAAAAAATGAATATAAACTATCTCACGAATGATGTTCTTATATTGATTGTGTGTTGAAATCATAACATTTTGGATATATTTAGTTAACAAATTTATTACACTTAATTTTACTTTTTTATTTCTTAGTATAACTACTAGACAATTTAAATTATATAATTCCTATTACATCTTCACTGGACAGTAAGCACTGCTGTAGAACAATCATGATATCATATAGAAGGGAATGAAAAATAAAATGGTAGAATGCCTTTCTAGATTTTTTAAAAACCTTTATTAATTTAGAAAGAATTCAACAAGACAAACATAGAGTAAAATTTTTCTTTTTTTTCATTTTTTATCATTATTATACTTTAAGTTTTACAGTACATATGCACAACGTGCAGGTTTGTTACTTATGTATACATGTGCCATGTTGCTGTGCTGCACCCATTAACTCGTCATTTAGCATTAGGTATATCTCCTAATGCTATCCCTCCCCCATCCCCCAACCCCACGACAGGCCCGGTGTGTGATGTTCCCCTTCCTGTGTCTCTGTGTTCTCATTGTTCAGTTCCTACCTATGAGTGAGAACATGTGGTGTTTGGTTTTTTGTCCTTGTGATAGATTGCTGAGAATGGTTTCCAGCTTCATCCATGTCCCTACAAAGGACATGAACTCATCATTTTTATAGCTGCATAGTATTCCATGGTGTATATGTGCTACATTTTCTTAATCCAGTCTATCATTGTTGGACATTTGGGTTGGTTCCAAGTCTTTGCTATTGTGAATAGTGCCGCAATAAACATACGTGTGCATGTGTCTTTATAGCTGCATGATTTATAATCCTTTGGGTATATACCCAGTAATGGGATGGCTGGGTCAAATGGTATTTCTAGTTCTAGATCCCTGAGGAATCGCCACACCAACTTCCATGATGGTTGGGATCTAATTAAACTAAAGAGCTTCTGCACAGCAAAAGAAACCACAATCTGAGTGAAGAGGCAACCTACAGAATGGGAGAAAATTTTTGCAATCTACTCATCTGACAAAGGGCTAATATCCAGAATCTACAATGAACTCAAACAAATTTACAAGAAAAAAACAACCCCATCAAAAAGTGGGTGAAAGATATGAAGAGACACTTCTCAAAAGAAGACATTTATGCAGCCAAAAAACACATGAAAAAATGCTCATCATCACTGGCCATCAGAGAAATGCAAATCAAAACCACAATGAGATACCATCTCACACCAGTTAGAATGACGATCATTAAAAGTCAGGAAACAACAGCTGCTGGAGAGGATGTGGAGAAATAGGAACACTTTTACACTGTTGGTGGGACTGTAAACTAGTTCAACCTAAAGTAAGATTTTTCAATATTTATTTATAACTTGAAGAGACAGGTGAAAAAGAAGATGAAATTCCACAGACTAATAAAACATGGCTTGGTTTGACACTTGGAAAAATAAGATTTGAATGCTAAGACTTCCAAGAAGAATAAATCAATATCTGGAAATGGCTAGCTAGCCAAAGTTAATTTTGAGAAATGTCACTGAAAAGCTCTGGGAAAGTTATCTGCAATTATAATCTCTACGCTGACTACACGAAATTTGTGAAAAAAAATTTTTTAAAGTTAAAATAAGAATCAAGGAAAATTAAAATAAATAAACAAAATAAAACATCATTATCTTGTGATACAGTGCCCCAAGCTTCTACTCCTTTGGAGCAGTCCTTAGTGCCCAAGGAAATGACAGCTCAGAAATGAAGTGTTTAACACAGAACTTGGTGCATAGAAGGTGCCCAGGTGGGAAGAAGTTTGTAGGTACAATGTAGGACCAATCTGGAGCAGGAACAGAATGTACTCAGGATTATTACAAGGCCGTTGCCCCCATTATGGCTCTGAGGTAGACAAGGAGAAAAAAATTGCTTCACTGACCTGCCAAAGATGACATTTGCATCTCTGTTATTATTTAGAGGAAGACAGCACCTCTGCGGACTCATTTATGGTATTTTTTCTAAATTAGCCAGGTTCCAATTCAGATTCACATAACTCTTTAGGGAATATAACTCAAAATCTCTGTCATTAATAAAACACTCCAAGTCATAAGCAGTCAGGTGTGGAAACCAAGTCTCCTAGATTAACAAGTATCTGGAAACCTACATCTAATTGAGAAAGAAAGCTACATATGTATATATTCAATACATGATGATTGTAAATAATAAAATAAATGTGGGTTTTGATCAAAGTCAACAAATAAAACATATAACTCATAATAAAGCTACTCTATTGATATGATAAATTTGGAGGGCAAATTATAAATTACACATACATTCCATTATTAAAAAAGAAAACACATGAGGGCAATTTAAAAAATATATTCTTTTCCGTCAGCATTTCCAATGGACTTATATTAATCTGGTGGTTTGTCTTCTAAATTGCAAGATGGTTCACTGCATATATGAGAAAATCAGCCCATACTAGCAGATCTTAATGAATTAAAAAATCTTTTGAACATTCATTCAAGGGTTGACTAGTAAGTTCAGCACCTGCTTCAATGTCTTAATTTTAAAGGATTTCCCATGATTTCTCTGTCTCTAGTAGGAAGGATTTACACAGATTTATATTTGCACTATAATCTGTCTTATTTTTTAAAGAGATCTTATGGTGCAACTCCTGAATAATAAGAGTGTCAAAAATGATGTATTAAATTACAGGGGTAAAAAATACTTATTTTTATTATTTATATTTTGGGAGTTGAAGTTACATGTAAAAAAAAAGGAGGGCTGATGAATTGACATAAGATGCCTTAATTTAAGTTTTATTTAACTCCCCTTTCATTAAGATTAATCAAGCATTTTCTAAATTACCAAACTGTATTTTTAAAGTATTTGAAAACAAAAGGACCACGCATTTTCCTTAAAAAAATTACATATACATTTATATATCACATTGCATGCCTGTACTAAAACATCTCATGTACCCCATAAATACATACACCTACTACATACCCACATAAATTTTTAAAAAATAAACAACTGAAAATGTATATCTTTATTGTCATCATCTTCATGAAAGAAATTTATATATGTATTCCCTTCAAATAATCTCCAGTTCACCTTAACGTAGTTGTAACCATAATGTATATTCAATATTTGTTTCCTTTTTCTACACTTGTACCACAAAATATTTCCCAAATTGTGACATAACCCACATTGCCATTCTTTTTAGTGGCCACAAAATGTTTCATCTTATGTTAATTATAGTTATATTAAGAAAAATAGGCAGGAAGAGAAATAGACTGCAATAGCCTCTTAAATAATGGCAAACTTTAGCATTTTTCACTATTACTTGCTTACAAACCAAGTTATTTCTTTAACTGCTAAATTAATAGATTTCAAGTTATAAGTCAAAGGTAATTAGCCTAAAATAAAAAATTATTACTAAGTGGCTTAAATTATATCTTGTAAAAGATCAGAGCAAGATGAATTTTGAGATGTACAAATTAAAAGATTTTAATGTTTTCTGTAGTTACAGTTCTGGTATGCATTTAATTTGGCCCTGAGGTATTTAATCACATAGAAACTTTACAATACACATGCAAATGAAGTTTGAAATTAATTTTGTCTTAGCATAGTCCCACTGCTTTGCCTTACTAGAACATAGGGACATACTGTTCTGTTAAGGTACCATGCAGAATGACAGCAGATAATGCAAAACTCTCTTAGTGTTCACTTCCATTTGATTATAAAGGGAAAAATATAGAAGCAGACAAAAATTAAAATTAAAAATACTAAAATTAAGGAATTGTATATTGACAGGAAGAGTGTTCATTAGAGAATTTGTATCTCTGCTTTACTATGTGGTATCAGGTGCTCAAAGCAGTCATTTGATTTTTGTAAGGTCCAGCACAATTTAGCTCCAGTCGTCCATCTGTAGCAAGGTGTAAGAATGATTTGCCCAATAGGAGTTAAGTCTATTTGAGGTGATAAAAAAGCGATTGATTTTTAAGTGGCATAAACAATGTCCAGAAGTATGCTGAAACTAAACAAATGTCCAGAAGTATGCTGAACTAAAAAATATTATTAAGAGAATATCACCGATAGTAGAGTACATCTGAAGACTTAATTCTGTGAGAAAATGACTTGGAGAATTTGGTAAAAACTTTTTTCAAAATTTTATTATAGAATCCACATAAATTAATTTTCATTATTAACAAATCAGCAACAGACACAATTCAAACATAACAATATATGTATATGCACATGAGGACCTAAGGAAATCAAGTCAGGTCCTAAAATCAGGCAAGAGTACTAAGATAAATTAAACATTCTTTTATCTCTCACTTTAGTTAGATTTTTATGGGACATTACATGTGTTAGCATTTGTTATGGGTTGAGTTGTGTCTCCCAAAAAAATTTATATGTTGAAGCAACTGTACCTGAGAATGTATTTAGATAGAGGGTATTTGAAGAGGTAATTAAGTTAAAATTAATTAACTAGGGTGGGCCATAATCCAATCTGACTGGCTGACTGGCGTCCTTTTATAAGAAGAGGAAATTTGGACACACAGAAAAGACATCTGGGGTGAACAAGCACAGAGAAAAGGAAGCCCTCTGCAAATCAAGGAGAGAAGCCTCAGAAGAAACTAGACCTGCCAATACCTCGATCTCAGACTTCCAGTCTCCAGAACTGTGAAAAAATACATTTCTTTTGTTTAAGCCACCCAGTTTGTGGTATTTTGTCATGGCGTCCCTAAAAAACTAATACAGCAAGTTAGGCTGGTCAAAATGTGACAAGAAGAATGAAGTTGCCCCTTCTGAAGATCTGCCAAGATGTATCAGTACAGTAGTCCCCTGTCCTCTGTGGGGAGTATGTCGATGCCTGAAATCTCAGACAGTGCTGAACCCATTTGCTGTCAATCAGAACACATTTCTGTTCATGTATTCCACACACAAATTGAATGCCTTTTTCATCTTAACTAAGCACTTATCATGATTGTGGCTGTAACTGTCGCAGTTTGCGGTGCCACAGCAAAACTAGCATTTTTTTTTTTCTTCACAATTTCATGAATAGAAGATTAGTTCTTACAGAAGATCTTAGCAATCTCAGCATATAATTTTTTTCTCTCATATTACATAGAGAACTTTCACCTTTTCACTTGAAGCATTTTATGGCTCTCTGGCATATACGAATGACCAGCATCACTACTGATGTGCTTTGGGGAAACTTAATTACCTCTTCAAATATCCTGTATCTAAATACAAGCTGAGGTAGTGGGGCTTCAACATTTATTTGGAGAAGTCAGATAAGGTGGCTTGAAAACAAGCATAATGATACAGCAACAGTTTACCTGATAACCAAGATGACTATGAAGTGACTCAAGCATTGTGGCTCCACTGGGCAAAAGAGGATTCACGTCCCAAAGGAGATTTCATCCCACTATTTAGAATGGTGCACAATTTCAAACTTATGAGTTGTGTATTTCTGGATTTTTCCATTTAATATTTTCAGACCAGAGTTATTCTCTAGTAACGAACTGAAACTGTGGAAAGGGAAACCACAGATAAAGGCAGGACTACTCTACCACTGCTCTGAAAGTGAACTGTGGCAGAAGCACTATACACAATTTAGTTAATAAGCGATATTAGCATCTACTTTGCATAGATGTGGAACACAGTCTACACACTTCAAGACCTTCTGAGTTTTTCAGTTTGGGAAACAATTAATTTAAACAATATTTAGTGTTGTGGAGGAAGGATATTTTGTTTTAAATGTATTGTATGTGAAGCATCTTTGACATTGAGATAAAAGTGGGAGGCAGATAGGAGTGGTTTTGGAGATTAGGAAAATAGATTCAAGATTGGGTGCCATTTTCTAAGACTATTTTCAAAAAACTGTTTAAATATATGTAACAATATTAATAGTTTGACCATTCATAAGTATACAATTTGTCAGTACATTCACTATGTAATATCCTCACTATCTATACCTAAGCCTTTTTCATCATCCCCAACAAAAACTTTGTAACCATTAAAGAACTGCCACTTTCCTCCCCTTCCCCAGCCCCTGGTAACCTCTGTTCTACTTTCTGTGTCTGTCAATTTGCATATCCTAGGGACCTCTTATAAATGGAATTACACAATATTAGCATAGAGTCAATTTTTGAAGTCTTAGAGATAAACAATGTCACTCAGAGAAAGAGTGGTGGTGTAGGGAGTGGGGGATAATATTAGGAAAAATCAAGGAAAAGGCACAGGAGTCTGGATCTCTCTTATTACAATAATACAATCTGCTCCACTCCCCTTTCTGTCTCCTTGATTCAGTGGAAGTAAGAAAACTTTTAATGAACATATTGTACATAAGAGATGGTGCCTGAGAAGTTTATGAAACAAATGATCATAGAATAAATTATTTTTGCAATGACTCATATACATTTATAGATATGGGGAATAGGTATTTTGGAATCTTTTTTAAATTAACACTATTTATGTCCCACTGTAGAACCTTAGGGAAAATTATTTAAATTTTCATATTTCCACCAGAATCTAAAATTCAGAGATACCTGTCATCCAGCAAGAATTGGGATTGAAATAATAACAAAGAGGTACTGTGACTTATGGCTTAGAAGGTTCTTATACACAAATCATTTTATTTAACCTTACAACCATGAAAGACTGGTATTATTATTTTAATTTTACAGAATAAGTTGGGGCAGTCAAGGAGATTCCAGATAGGAGAGCAAAGACCATCTTCTTTCCAATTACATATATAGATTTTCAATTAGAGATTTTACTTTGGAAAAATTTTAGGTTTACGAAAAAAATGCACAATAATATAGAGTGTGTCCATGTGCCCCTTACACAATTTTCTCAAAGGTTTAATTCTTATATTACTATGAGACATTTTTCACACTAAGAAATCAACATTGCTGAATTACTATTAAACTCCAGACTTTGTATTTGATTAGTTTTCCACTTGTGCTTTTGTATGTTCCAAGATCCAAACCATGATGCCATGCTGCATTTGGCATACATAAATATTTGGGGAGTTATTAAATACTGGAGTTTACACTGTTGTGCTTTAAGAAATTGAGCTTGGTCAAATACAAGGAAGGAAATTGTGGATATATCAACAGTTTGTTGGAACATTAAACCTTATTTTTGTATGACAAATAAAACTTAACTAAATAAACGCACAAGACACCATCATATATATACATATGATGTACATATATACATATATATATAATGGCAAGATGATTTTACATATATATGTTTTCTGTAGTTACAGAAAACATTTCATGTATATGTGTATATATATGTAAAATCATCTTGCCATTCCTAGAAAAAATTAAAAATGCAGCATTAGAAAAAAGGAAACTAAGTTTAAATGACTCATCAATAATTTTTAATAGACAAACAATAATGTATCATGTCACTTGTTTCCTTTTCTTTTTCAGTGAGATAGCTTTGCAAGAAATTCTTATTACTCAATACAATGTTTTATAGATTGTTTCATAAGTATCAAATATGCTTCTTTGGTATTGATGTTTCTTGTCCTACTAATGCATACTCATTCATTTAAAAAAATTTTCAAATATATTTTTACCTCAAATAATGTATATATTGGAAATTTTATCTTTCTCAAAAGTATGGGTTGCTTAATATTGAGATAATTTCTAATGGGTAAAATTTACCAGGAAGCCACTTGCAAAAACTTTAAAAATGTTATTTTATATGCCTTTGTATCTGTCTTACTTTAACCACTTTTTGTTTTCCTTGAAATATATAATTTAGATGATAGAATTTCAGTTTAAGATATATGTCAAATATTTCTACTTTTCTTCATTAGTTTTTGAGATATAATTCTTAGCCTTCTCTAGATTTTCCTGCATATTATCTTTGGCATTGAACAGGTAGACATGGCTCACATTTACATCAGGTAAAGTGTAGAATTCAACTTAGGAGATGACAACATTTAAATATATTAATATCAGTATTAAGAGTTCTTAGGGCAGTAATCATTGTAAAAATAATATTATTGAACAGTTATTTCACACTGGGTTCTTAAGTGTTTTACTTATCATAAAGCATAATTTAATACACCAACACAGCTTCCTAGGGAACAGACACTAGGCTAGTCACTTCTCTATAAAATACACTTATTTTCCCTAATTTACAATTATAAATAAACATTATAGGTATATAAATCCTGTGTATAACCGTAACAGGAGAAGTAGTTTTAAAATATCAAATTTAAGTCATCAAATATTTCAGTGGCTTTATCTAATATTGTTTATTTCATTTTAGACTTATTAATATTTTACTTCACGTAATCAACATGTATATATTAAATCATCACTCTGAATTCAACTCAAGAGCTCAGATCTTTCTAATATTTGTAGTTTTCTGTCACTCTTGAACACAAAGGTTATATTGTTTATATGCCTATGTATCTCAACACACCTGCTCATAATCGCACTAAGTAATTTATTTGATGATTGCAATGACAGCAAAACCAAACTACCCAAACACGTGATATGCTGTTCTACATAAAGTCGATTTTTAAAAATCAATATCATCATTATCATCATCAAAATCACTACCACCACCATCAGCACTGTCACCACCATCATCATCAGTAATTCATTGAGTTGACATACATTATCTTACTCTATATTCTGCCAAGGCAAGCTTCAAAATCAAATGATATTAGATATCTTAATAATTTCCATAATTTAACAATGTGAAGCTCTAGCTATATAAGTCAACTGGGGGGATATTTTAAACAACAGAAAATTGGTTTATATAAGCTAGACAAATGTAGTATACATATGTTCTTTAATGGTTCTGATTTTAAACTCTGGAAAACAGTATTGTCTTTTTAAAATTTCTATTTAGCTCAGTGTAGAGCCTGGATGCTAAATAGAAGCTTTACCTAGCACAGGCATCTTTCTAATCTTTTCTTAAAATTTTTTTGTGGGTACATAGTAGTTGTATATATTTATGGGGTACATGAGATATTTTGGTACAGTAATGCAGATACTTTTGTATGAGTAGTAATCACATCATGGAAAGTTGGGTATCCATCCTCAAGGATTTATCCTTCATGTTACAAACAATCCAATTATACTCTTTTAGTTATTTTTAAATGTACGGTGAAGTTATTGTTCACTATAGTCACCTTGCTGTGCTGTTAAATACTAGATCTTATTCATTCTTTCTATTTTTTTTTTTCGTACCCATTAACCATCCTCACCTTCCCCCAACTAAACTTCTCAGCCTCTGGTAACCATCCTTCTACTCTCTATCTCCATGAGTTCAATTGTTTTGATTTTCAGATGCCAGAAATAAGTGAAAACATTTTTTTCTAACTATCATTTTTGTACCCAGTAAGCATCCCCACCTCCCCATTACCCTCCCACTATCTTTCCCAGCCTCTGGTAACCATTTTTCTACTCCCTACCTTCAATGAGTTCAATTGTTTTCATTTTTAGATTCCACAAAAAAGTGAGAATATGTGAGGTTTGTCTTTTTGTGTCTGGCTTATTTCACTTAGCAGAGTGACCTCCTGTTCCATCCACGTTGTTGCAAATAACAGGATCTCATTTTTTTTTATGGCTGAAAAGTAATTCATTTTGTATAAGTATCACATTTTCCTTTTCCATTCATATGTTGATGGACACTTCAGTTGTTTCCAAATTTTGGCTGTTGTGAACAGTGCTGCAACAAACATGGAAGTGCAGATATCTCTCTGATATCTCATTTCCTTTCTTTTGGGTATATACCCAGCAGTGGGATTGCTGGATCATATGGTAGCTCAATTTTTAGCTTTTTGAGGAAGCTCCAAACTGTTTTCCATAGTGGTCGTACTAATTTACATTCCCACCAACAGTGTACAAGGGTTCCCTTTTCTCCACATCCTTGCAAGCATTTGTTATTGCCTGTCTTTTGGATATAAGTATTTTAACTTGGGTAGATGATATCTCACTGTAGTTTTGATTTGCGTTTCTCTGATGACCAATGATGATGAACATCTTTTCATATGCCCGTTTGCCATTTGTATGTCTTCTTCTGAGAAATGTCTATTCAAATCTTTTGAGTATTTTTTATTTGGATTATTAGACTTTTTTCCTATAGAGTTGTTTGAGCTCCATATAAATTCTGGTTATTAATCCCTTATTAGATGGGTGTGTTGCAAATATTTTCTCCTATTCTGTGGATTGTCTTTTTACTTTGTTGTTTCTTTTAACGTCCAGAAGCTTTTTAACTTGATGTGATTCCATTTGTCCATTTTTGCTTTCGTTACCTGTGCTTGTAGGGTATTGCTCAAGAAATTTTTTCTCAGACCAATGTCTGAGAGAGTTTCCTCAATGATTTCTTGTAGTAGCTTTATAGTTTGATGCCCTGGATTTAAGCCTATAATACATTTTGATTTGATTTTTGTATATGGCTAGAGATAGGGGTCTAGTTTCATTCTTCTGCATATGGATACCCAGTTTTTCCAGCACCATTTATTGAAGAGACTATCTATTCCCCAGTATATTTTCTTGACATCTCTGTCAAACATGAACCTTCAAAGTGTTTGTTATAGTGGTTGCACTAATTACATTCCCACCAAACGTGTACAAGGGTTCCCTTTTCTCTACATCCTTGCCATCATTTGTTATTGCCTGACTTTTAGATAAAAGCCATTTTAAGTAGGGCAAGATGGTATCTAATCTTAATTACGTTAATGCATGATGCCATTGACTGTATTGACTTCTTAGTAATAATCAGGGCTTCTTGAGTTCGGTTTCCAATTATCTTCATAATTTTAGTTTGAGTTCTATTACTTACCTCTTTTCTCCAAGATCACTTAAAATAGTCATGGTTATTATAACTATAGAAATAAGGCATGGTTTATTATAACAATAAAAACAAGCTTATATTTTAGTTGTATTTGCACATATATAAAACTATAACTTAAGCCATTGTAGAAGAAAAAGTTATTTATTCTCTAGTTTATTTTCCCTTTTTGAACCAAATGAGAAGCTGAAAAAGCAACTAGATTTTGGAAATACAGGCATGTTTTCTGTCTGTTTTCCCTGTGTTCTTTACATCTTGTATCCTCTTTGTCTACTGAAATTCCACATGTGCTTCCAAATTTAGTGCAAACTCTTTCCACTGAGGACTTTTCAGTCTATTCCAGGCCATGGTGAACACACTTTTTTTTTTCTCAACAGTGTTAGTAGGTACAGTCTTCTTTTCTCCGCTAATTAACTATATGTGACTTCCTACATTTCTAGTATCCTCATTTTACTTTTTTCTTATACTTTTTTCCCATGTGTTCATGTCTTGTTTCTCCAAGAATATAGTAAGTACTTCCTTTGAGACTGAAAAATCACATCTTACAATTTACTTTCCCTGTCAAGCCTGGATCAATGTCTCACACACATTAAGCAATCAATAATTTTTGTTTGTTTTATAGAATGCAGAGATGCATGGACAACGCTCTAGGCCAAAAGAGTGACACACAATATGCTCGGCACTGTGGCCAAATCAGATCCTTTACATAATTTTGCTAATCTTTTGTTATTTATGCCTGTTACATGAATATCTTAAAATTTATAAGATGCTGGTATAGCTTCACAGTATGATTATGGCCATTTTAGTTAACTTTAAACACATTTTTAGAAGGCATTTAAAAAATCAACAAGTGTGTAGTTTAGAAAAGATGATTCAGAATTACACTAAATAAATATACATACAAATTATGTTTTCTTGCATAACTATCTATTCGACAAATTAAAGGTCAGCAGGATGGGATTACACTCTCAGCCTAATTCATGCTCTGTGAAAATGAAATATACTGACATTCTATATTCTACTGGGACACATGATCTGTACCTATTTTAAGCCCATGGCTCTTCACAATCCATTGTTTAAAAATAGATCAGTTCTGAACTTTGGAGACAGGCTCAGAAGGGCATTAACCTCTTTCTTGACAGTTAAGTTTGCCATTTTGCTCTAATCAAATCAGTATAAGTCTGCTCATGTTAAAAATAGACATTCTTGCTTTGTACACATTCCAACAGGCACTCATAAACAGAAGGTTCTACCTAGTTCTATTAGGTTCTACTAATGAATCTAATTAGTTTTTATTTTTAAATATACTGCCAGCATTTATAGAAGTATACATGAGTCTTATGATTCTAACATTTCAATATCAAATTTTGATGCTAAGGCAATGTCTCCAGGAAACTGGCTGATAAAATGAAGGGAAAGCTTACTAGCAGATTGTTTGAATACATTCCAAAAGAAATGGGGCATATGATATTGCTGGGTTTGGTGTCCCTCCTGAGTACTGGCCTGATACCCTTTGAATCACCCTTTCAGCACTTGCAAATAACTACATACAATTAGTTATTTAAATGTTTGTCACTCCCTAAAATATAACAGCTGTAAGAGCTCTATCCTATTTTTCACTGCATTGTAGTAACATTAAGAGTTAAATTCTACTGTGTACTTACTATGTGCCAGGCACTTTTCTGCATTTTTATGTGTTTTGCTCACTTAATCTTTACAACTCTGTGAAGCAGTTATGATCATTATTCACATTTCAAGATGAGAAAAATGAAGTACACATAAGTTAAGAAAATAGCTCAGAGTTGAACATCTAGTTAGTAGCGGAGCTGGATTTAAATGAGGCTTGTGGAAGGAGGGCCATCTGGTAATCGTGATGTGAAATAGCCCCTCAGTAGTAGGTTCTCATCCATTATGTGTTATATAGCTGAAAAATTGCGTATACTTATTAATGGTGGTACAGAAAATCACAAAAAGGATTTAAACTATCCCAAACAATGAAGCTTTGGATATTTCTCAGCAGCCAGGGGCAAATAAGAGCATGTTAAGTGGATGGGAGGAGAATCAAGGAGGAGGGCTCTCCAGGGAAAGCCAGGTCAGGCAGCAACTGAGAGGGAGGGGAGGATACTAGGGATTACTGAAGCCAACTTTGCAGACTCATACATTTGACTAGACACAGCCAGAGCGCAACCAGAGAGTACAGATTAGAGATAATGAATATACCACACAGTAATAGTTTTAATTTAAAATGCTATGTTTTGGGGTAACATCTTAAGAATTTTCCTCAGAAAACTGTAATGTTCCTTTACTATCTGACCCAAGTATTTTAGTGCACAGTGGAATGATAATTTTTTAAGATGACTTTACAATCACTTCCCAGAAGGCTGACAATTCCAGTGGAGCTCAGTGTGCAGGACGTACAGCCTAGCTTGAGGATGAACAACACACAACTGTTATCTGCCACTGTGAATCTTCTATACCTTGAAGTGTCTCAATATTTAGGTTTGGACAGGGGAACTTGAACAATTGTTTGATGAGTCATTGACATAATCTAGGTAGAACCGGTGTAGCAATGGTTTTATCCAATTTGGGCTGCTACACAAAAGTATCACAGACTGGGTGGCTTATGAATAAAAAAAAATTATTTCTCACAGTTCTGGTTTGGAGGTTGGGAAATCTAAGATCAAGGTGCTGGCAGACTTTGTCTAGTGAGGGGCCACTTCCTGGTTCATAGACAGTGAGCTTTTTGCTGTGTTCTCCTCATATGGCAGAAGGGATCAGAGATCACTCTGGGACTTCTTTTATAAAAGCACTGATCCCATTCATGAGGGCTCCACCCTCATGGCCTAATCACCTCCCAAAGGCCCCTTCCTCTTAACCTCCTAATATCATCACCTTGGGGATTAGGATTTCAACATATGAACTGGGGGCAGAGGGCATAAATACTCACCTTAGTAGCAATATAAAAGAAAAACCAACATATTTTCTATCTATTCCATGAATGTGATTGGGTTATAGTGATTGATTAGACAGAACATTTGTATACCCTCTATAATGGTACCTTCCTCTTCGCCCCACCATCTTTACCCCATCCTCCAAGTGAGCTCTGCATTGAATGACTAATGCATAAACACGGAGAACTTTTAAAAGTTTTTAAAGTTATAAAGTATTTTTCTTCTTAAAGTTAAAAAGAAACTATTTTTTCACATAAAAATAGGATGTTATGTCATACAGTGCATATACCAAACATAATCACAGAGGAATCTAAAGATGCCAGCATGCTTTTGTAATACATTAAAAATACATGGACCATAGTATAACTGACAGTGATACTAAGAAAGTTCTGTGGACAGAAGACTTTGTTTTGAGCATCACTTTTCTTATCCATATAAGCACAAGCACTACTGTTCTCTTGGCAAAATGCTGTCTCTAAGCTTTAACACTCAGTCACTCTGAGATGATTTGCCAAGTAGGTAATCCTTATTTATTGTGTACTTATTAATTTTTTCCACGAAGTAATTACAAAATATGTACTATCTGAGGGTTGGAGTCATAGAGGAAGTTAAGAAAGATAGTCCTTGCTTTTCCAGATCCTGAGTTCATATAGCAGAACAGGGAATGAACAAATAAATATTAAGGGCAAATAAGACAATATAATAATATGCATACAACAAAAACACTGATGTGATTGATGGAGAATGACTGAGAGGGAACTAATTTGGATGAGCTTCTCAGGGAAGGCCTCTTCAGGAGATAACATTTGTATTGAGATTTGAACAATAAGAATGGGCTAGTTATCTGCTAAAGGTGTTTCAACAATTTGTCTCTAACACACAAAAAAAGATAAATCACCTAATTTTTGCCACAAAAGTGAAAATAGGAGAATGCTTTCAATAAAGTAGTGTTTTTGAAATATCAGCTAACTGAATTAATTTTATATGCATGGTATGAGGTTTTTGTAAGAGGTTTCAAAGTTCTCACAAATGTAGTTCTTACCGCCATTTTACATCTTCGGGCTTCACAGTATTAAAACACATTGAAAGGAGAGTCTGAACTATAAAATGGATAAAACATAGTACAGACTTAACTGATAATGAATATAGACTAATTTTAACTTTCTTTACCACTGCATTTTACATTCTTTCTCTACTTTTAGGCAAAAGTCATTTGTATAAGTTTGTGAGACAATGAAGGTATGACCTATTCCTCACTTTTATAAGTTTCTGAATTCCCAGACTTGTGTTAAATCACTGCTCTTAACTATATATTAATGCCTCAAATTATGCAATACTTTCATAAGCTTTCTTATTTAATGAAGTATTTTAGGTTGAAATCATACTATAAGATAACATGTTGTTGACATAAAATTGAATTTATGATGAGCAATTCTAATCATGTATATTAGATGTGTGTATACACATTTTAATATTTTTATCTTTTGTCACAAAATACATATCAAATAATTGAACTTTGCCTTTCTGGATATCCTAGTTCACTCATTTAGCATTTATTTGTCATTCAATGTCTTCTATGTGCCAGGCACTTTCTAGACACTAAGAACATAACAGTGACCCAAACACACCTTTGCCTAAGTTGATTCCTCCTCTCCCAAGTGAAACACAGCTTTTGAAAGGTGAATTGATATATTTTACTGCTTTTTAGACATTTTTTGTAATCTATCACTGTGACTTGAATGTAGTAGGTACATAATACTCCAATTTGATGTTATATTTCTCATCGTTCTTACTAAACTTTTCTTCAAAAATCAGGTCTGGGTTTTTAGACTCAGTGTCATTTTAGTAATAACTTGTTATCTTTCTGCCATACGTTTCTTTACTTTCTTATTCTACTCATGCTTTTTCCCTTCAAATAAACTGTTAACTTATGTATAGCATTAAACTTAGACCTTTGTGTGATTCTGATATTAGAAAAGCAAAAGCTGAAGAGTAGGGAAGCACATGGAGAAACCCTGTTTTCACCTTTACAAGGTGTTAACTGGCTGAGCATTTCATGCTTCCACTTCTAGGATCTCTCATTTTATTAAGCAGTCATGATTCTTAGTATGATTTTCATTCACGACTCTGTTAAAGAAGACCTTTTACTCAGTAAATATTTCATGACTTCCTACTGCATGCTGGTTACTAGAAATACAAGGATATTAAGCACAGCTCCTATCCCCAAGAAGCTCATAGTCTTTAAAGAGATAATAAACTAACAAATGATAAATGCTGTGAGAGAGACAGAGTAGTGACAGAAAATTTATGAATGAGGTTAGGTAACTTATAAATGGTAAAAATGCTTACAGGAAAGTAGAAGGTAAGCTGAGTAGAAAGGAATGAAGATACGGTAGCATGAAGAAAGGCAAAAAGGCCATCAATAGCATTTATTTTCCAGGAAATTGTCAATAATACTCTATAGATGAAGCATTAATGTGAAGAAAGGAAGACTAAGGCAGGCCATGAAGAGCCTCTGTGTCATATGAAGGAGTTTGGGTGTTTTCCCTGAAGGGAATAAGAGGTCATGAGCAGGTTCTAAGAAGAAAGTTACATTGTCAAATTTGGGTTTTATATCAATCAATATGGTAGCTCTGTAATGGAATGCATTTTAGCTAATTGACATTCAAGCCAGGGAGAAAAGTTGTGACAGATGTTGAGGTAATGTTGAGAACCTGAATATGGCATTTAAATATATAAAGAAAAAATATTAGTCACAATTTAGCAATTGAATGATTGTAGGAATTGAGGAAATAAAAGGTTTGTCAGAGGATGCACGTAAAAGTGAAAAGTGGATATTTTTTCCAGTGAAGATCAGTGTAAATTATGGTGTGGCAGGAGGAAGAATAGTTTTTAATTTATGTATGTATTTATTTATTTTTTGAGACAGAGTTTTGCTCTTGTTGCCCAGGCTGGAGTGCAATGGCATGATCTTGGCCCACTGCAACCAGTGCCTCCCAGGTTCAAGTGATTCTCCTGCCTCAGGCTCCCTAGTAGCTGGGATTACAGGTGCCCACCACCACTCCCAGCTAATTTTTTTGTACTTTTAGTAAAGACTGGGTTTCACTATGTTGGTCAGGCTGGTCTCGAACTCCTGACCTCAGGCAACCCACCTGCATCAACCTCCCAAAGTACTGGGATTACAGGCATGAGCCACCATGTCCGGCTGGGAAGAATAGTTAATAAAACACATGACACAGAAAATGTTCTTGTTATCTTCATTATATATTACCTTGAGAATTTTCTGCCTAGAAGAATACTTCCCATTTAAGGGTACACATTACTAGGGTTCATTTTTATTCTCAGTTGTGCTGTTGTCTTTCTGCAGTCTTTCAATGAGATTTTATTCTGGAATCCTAACTTCTCCATGCCTTCTTAGAATATATGCTTCAATTTATCTTGTCTTTCTGTCTTTTGATTTGATATTTATTCCTGATACTGTCTGTTGGATTACCTTTGTCTCCTTGCTATGATCTGTCTCACTCTACTTTGAACCTCTCCAGGCCCCTGAGAATCCAATCTGGTTCCAGTGTCCTGAAATTCTGCTTTTCTTGTGAAGAAGTTTTAGATTTAAAAAGCAAAATATGTTGATAGAGTTTTTTTTTTTAAACAACTGATACCAGGGTCTTCAAAAAGCTTATGGAAGGTGCATATTATGAAAAAGCTATATATGAATTTCCTATTTTCTTTATCAAAATAAACTTGTAGAAACTTCTTACAACACATCTGAATAGGATCTAGTTTAAGGCACTAAGAAGAATGAGACATCAGTTTTAAAATAGCCTCTCTCAGAGCGATATGAATTATAAAATTGAAGCAGGAGCAAACATCCAATTCATGCTGAAGCTTGGATGGAAGAATGAGCTATCCATCTATAAACTGCTAATTCATTTGGGGCATCATTTCCATAAAGTTTTAGTAAAAAATCCTTTTTGCATTCCCTCAATGAGATTTTAACTAGATAACATTTCCTTAACTTCTTGGAATATATCCTTCATTCTATCTTATCTTTCTGTCTTTTTATTTGATCTTTATTCCTGATACTGTTTTGTAAAGAATGCTTCACAGAAACTTTATGGAAACAATGTCCTAAATGAATCAGCCGTTCACAGATGGATCACTCATTTTAAGAAGGAATGAGACAATGTTGAAGATGAAGCCCATAACAGCAGATCATCTGCATCAATTTGCAAGGAAAAAATTCAACCTGTTTTTGCCTTATTTGAAGGAGACCAATGATTAATAGCGGAAACAATAACCAACATCGTAGACATCACAATTGCTCAGCTTTCACAATTCTGACTCAAAAATTAAACTTAAGCAAACTTTCCACTCCATTAGTACCAAAACCATTGCAGCCAGATCAGCTGCAGATAAGAGTGGAGCTTTCAATGGAAGTTTTAAACAAATGTGATAAATATCCTGAAGCATTTCTTCAAAGAATTTTAACTGGAGATAAAACATGGCTTTGCAAGTATGATCTTGAAGACAAAACATGATAAAAATAATGGCTGCCAAGAGATGGAAGTGGTCCAGTCAAAGCAAAAGCAGACTGGTTAAGCGCAAAGGTGGCTCATGCCTGTAGTCTCTGTTACTCAGGAGGTTGAACTGGGAGGATCACTTGAGCCTGGGAGGTAAAGGCTGCAGTGAGCTATAGTTTCACCACTGCACTCCAGCCTGGATGACAGTGAGAACCTGTCTCAAGGAAAAATAACATCTGCTTATTATGAGAATATTTTCAGAGAGTTAGCTAAAGCTTTAGCAGAGAAACACCCAGGGAAGCTTCAGCAGAGTCTTCCACCACTACAACACTCCCACTCACTCTGCTCATCAAACAAGGGCAATTTTGTGAGAGTTTTGATGGGAGATCATTAGGCATCTACCTTATCATCTCAATTTGGCTCTGTTTGACTTATTTTTGTTTCCTAATATTAAAAAAATCTGTAAAGGGCACCCATTTTTCTTCAGTGAATAATGTGAACCAGATTGCGTTGACATGGTTAAATTCCCAGGACCCTCAATTCTTTAGGGATGAACAACATGGCTCGTATCATTGCTTAGAAAAGGGTCTTGAACTTGATAGAGGTTATGGAGCTTATGTGGAGAAATGAAGTGAATATTTTTACATTTATCTTTTAATTCCATTTTCTATGATCTTTTTGAAATCTTTTCATATATTTCTTTCCTTTTTTTTTTTTTGAGATGGAGTTTTGCTCTGTCACTGAGGCAGCAGTGCAGTGGATCTCAACTCACTGCAACCTCTGACTCCCAGGTTCAAGCAATTCCCCTGCCTTAGCCTCCCAACTAGCTGGGATTACAGGTGCATGCCACTACACCTGGCTATTTTTTTTTTTTTTGTATTTTTTATTAGAGATGGAGTTTGCCATGTTGGCCAAACTGGTCTTAAACTCCTGACCACAGGTGATCCACCTGCCTCGGCCACCCAAAATGCTGGGATTATAGGCAGGTGTGAGCCACTGCTCCCAGCTTATTTCTTTCTTTTAACAAAATATAAAAAATTGAAGTATATTTCCAAAAGCAAAAATAGTTATACATTCTAATTTGATTGAGAAATTTGTAGGGAAAATAAACTAACCAATAGCAGATATTTAGCCTCATATTTTTAAAACTCTTAACTGGTATCTTATGGCTATTCAAAAAATATAAAAAACTTTTAGTGGGTACAGAAATTTAGATAAGTTTATAAATGGTGAAGATATTAGTTGGAATACAAATACTTGTTTTTAAACTTATAGTAAACATACTAGGAATTTTAACAAAATTTGAAAACATAGACGAAATGTTCCTTGCACATAGGGGACTTTCAAGACAAAAGTGGAGAAAACAAATATGAAAAAATAATAATAACATGGGTAGAATGGATAAGTAGCACTCTTATATTACGGACTAAGTACACTGAGGGCCAGAGAAAGGAGATATAAGATCCAGTCTCATAGCTGATCAAATAAGATAAATAGAAATAAATAGGTATTATTTGAATTCAATTTTCCCAAGAGAGGAGAGACATTTCTGGAACACATGTGGTAAAGGTGAGAAATCATAACTGATTTTTTCAAAACAGCAAGTTGCACAATTTTGTTGTAGGCCACTTTGCAACAGACATGACAGTGGGGGAAAGGAAAGCTGGAGATTTAGCTGTAGTCAGAGTATAGAGGGACTGGAAGATGAGCTTAGGGAGTCTATACTTGATTCAATTTATAATGCAAAGACTGAAAGTTTCTGAGCAGAGAAATGACTAACTTATGTAAATAAAAGATTAATTTGACCGTGGTATTTTAAATGGTAGTCAGAGAAATCAGACCAAATGCTGGAAGGCAAACTAAGGGAACAGTGAAAATAGTCTATGTGAGATGCTTTAGTTTAGGACAATGGCAGTGGGAAAGGAAGCAAAGGCATGAATGTAAGATGTATTACTAAAGTTAATTGATAGCATTTGATGATTGGATGTACAGAGCACAGAAAGAAAAGCTGCAAAATAGGGCTAAAGTTTTACATTCCAAATAACTTGTGAGAATGACTAAAGAATGTACAGAGAGACTTTAAGAGATAAAATGGTTTAATGATGGAAGAAAAATGACTTCATTATATAATCTACTACATGTGTGGGTGCAGGGGATATCATTTAGCTTTAGAGGAAATGAACTTTAAGGCAGGAACTTAGAACTACAGTTTATAGAATTGAAATGTGAGATAATATAAATAAAAGATAATAAATTCAAAGATACAGAATGAAAATCCAATGGCTCAGAAATGTTGCAGTGTTAAAGAAGCCAAAAAAAAATTAAAAATAAAAAAAATATATATATTGGGAGAGATTCAGGAACTGTGTTTTGTTAACAGCATAAAAAGTGGTCCCAGCATCTTAGAAAAATTATCAATAATTAACAGGTGTATTAGTATATTATAATGCTGTTAATAAAGACATAACTGAGACCGAGTAATTTATAAACAAAAGAGCTTTATTTGACTCACAGTTCAGCATGGTAGGGGAGGCCTCAGGAAACTTACACTTATGGTAAAAGGGGAAGCAAACATGTCCTTCTTCACAAGATGGCAGCAAGGAGAAGTGATGAGCAAAAGGGGAAGAAGCTCCTTTTAATACCATCAGATCTTGGGAGAACTCACTCACTATCACAAGAATAGCAGCATGCGGGTAACTGCCCCATGATTCAATTACCTCCTACCAGGTACCTCCCATGACATGTAGGGATTATGGGAGCTACAATTCAAGATGAGATTTGGGTGGGAACAGAGCCAAACCATATCATTCCACCCCTGCCCCCTACCAAATCTCATGTCCTCACATTTCCAAACCAATAATTCCTTCCCAACAGTCCCCCAAAGTCTTAATTCATTTCAGCATTAACTCAAAAGTCAACAGTGCAAAGTCTCATCTGAATCAAGGAAAGTCTCTTCTGTCTATGAGCCTGCAAACTCAAAAGCACATTACTTACTTCCTAGATACAATGAGGGTATAGGCATCAGGTAAATACAGCTATTCTAAATGGGAGAAATTGGCCAAAATGAAGAGGTAAAGGCCTCATGCAAATCCAAAATAAGCAGGGCAGTCAAATCTTAAAGCTCCAAAATGACCTCCTTTGACTCCATGTCTCACATCCAGGGCATGCTGATGCAAGAGGTGGGCTCGCATGGCCTTGGGCAGCTCTATCCCTGTGGTTTTGCAGGGTACAGCCCATCTACCAGCTGCTTTCATGGGTGGGGATTCATTGAGTATCTGCAGTTTTTCCAGTTGCAGGGTGCAAGATGTTGGTGGATCAACCATTCTGGGGTCTGGAGGATGGTGGTCCTCTTCTCACAGCTCCACTAGGCAGTGACCCAGTGGAGACTCCCTGTGGGGGTTCTGACCTCACATTTCCCTACCACACTGCCCTAGCAGAGGTTCTCCATGAGGGCCCTGTCCCTGCAGCAAACTTCTGCCTGGACATCCACGCATTTCCATACATCCTCTGAAATCTAGGTGGAGGTTACCAAACCTCAGTTCTTGACTTTTGTGACCCCCACAGGCTCAACATCATGTGGAAGATCCCAAGGCTTGGGGCTTGCACCCTCTGAAGCCACAGCCTGAGCTGTACCTTGGCCCCTTTTATCAATGGCTGAAACAACTGGGATGCAGGGCACCAAGTCCCTAGGCTGCACACAGCAGGCAGCCTGTGGGCCCAGCTCATGAAACTATTTTTTCCCCCTAGACCTCCAGGTCTGTGATGGGAGGGGCTAATGGGAAGGTCTCTGACATGCCCTGGAGATATTTTCTCCATTATCCTGGTGATTAACATCCAACGCCTTGTCACTGATGTAAATTGCTGCAGAAGGCTTGAATTTCTCCCCAGAAAGTGGGCTTTTTCTTTTCTACTACATGGTCACGCTGCAAAATATTTCAAAGTTTTATGCTCTGTCAACTTTTGAACACTTTGCTGCTTAGAACTTTTTTTCCACTAGATACCCTAAATTATTTCTCTCAACTTCAAAGTTCCACAAAGATCTCTATGGCAGGGGCAAAATGCCACCAGTCTCTTTGCTAAAGCATAACAAGAGTCACCTTTGCTCCAGTTCCTAACAAGATCCTCATCTCCATCTGAGACCATCTCAGCCTGGGCTTTATTGACCATAGCACTTTCAGCATTTTGGTCAAAGCCATTCAACAAGTCTCTAGGAAGTTCCAAACTTTCCCACATTTTACTCTCTTCTTCTGAACCCTCCAAACGGTTTCAATCTCTGCCTGTTACCCAGTTCCAAAGTCACTTCCACAATTTCAGGTATCTTTGAAGCAGTGCCCAACTACTCTGTACCAGTTTACTGAAATAGCCTGTTCTCATGCTGCTAATAAAGACATACTCGAAAATGAGTTATTCATAAAGGAAAGAGGTTTATTTGACTCATAGTTCAGCATGGCTGGGGAGGCCTCAAGAAACTTACAAGCATGGCAGAAGGGGAAGCAAACACGTCCTTCTTTGCTTGGTGGCAGAAAGAAGAAGTATCGACCAAAAGGGATAAAAGCACCTTTTAAAATCATCAGATCTCGTGAGAACTTACTCACTAGCAAGAACAGAGCATGTGGTAACCATCCCCATGATTCAATTACCTCCCACGGGGTCCCTCCCATGATATGTGGGAAATGTAGAAGCTACAGTTCAACATGACAGGTCATTGACAACTTTCAAATGAAAAACTTTGGTAAAGAAGCTAAGACCAAACCATAATTCATTGAGTACATAGAAACCTTTTGAGAAGATTGGCAGTAAAAGAAAGGAGAGGGCAAAGAAGTGTAAGAAATATGAATAATGGTTGGCAGCCAAGATGGCTGAATAGGAACAGCTCTGGTCTACAGCTCCCAGCGTGAGTGACACAGAAGATGGGTGATTTCTGCATTTCCATCTGAGGTACCGGGTTCATCTCACTAGGGAGTACCAGACAGTGGGCACAGGACAGTAGGTGCAGTGCACCATGAGCGAGCTGAAGCAGGGCGAGGCACTACCTCACTCAGGAAGCGCAAGGGGTCAGGGAGTTCCCTTTCCTAGTCAAAGAAAGGGGTGACAGATGGCACCTGGAAAATCGGGTCACTCCCACCCTAATACTGCGCTTTTCTGATGGGCTTAAAAACCGGCACACCAGGAGATTATATCCTGCACCTGGCTTGGAGGGTCCTACATCCATGGAGTCTCACTGATTGCTAGCACAGCAATCTGAGATCAAACTGCAAGGCAGCAGCGAGGCTGCGGGAGGGGCACCCTCCATGGCCCAGGCTTGCTTAGGTAAACAAAGCAGCCGGGAAGCTTGAACTGGGTGGAGCCCACCACAGCTCAAGGAGGCCTGCCTGCCTCTGTAGGCTCCACCTCTGGGGGCAGGGCACAGACAAACAAAAAGACAGCAGTAACCTCTGCAGACTTAAATGTCCCTGTCTGACTGCTTTGAAGAGAGCAGTGGTTCTCCCAGCACGCAGCTGGAGATCTGAGAACAGGCAGACTGCCTCCCCAAGTGGGTCCCTGACCCCTGATCCCCGAACAGCCTAACTGGGAGGCACCTCCCAGTAGGGGCAGACTGACACCTCACAGGGCTGGCTACTTCTCTGACACAAAAACTCCAGAGGAACGATCAGACAGCAGAATTTGTGGTTCACGAAAATCTGCTGTTCTGCAGCCACCGCTGCTGATACCCAGGCAAACAAGGTCTGGAATGGACCTCTAGCAAACTCCAACAGACCTGCAGCTGAGGGTCCTGTCTGTTAGAAGGAAAACTAACAAACACAAAGGACATCCACACCAAAAACCCATCTGTACATCACCATCGTCAAAGAACAAAAGTCGATAAAACCACAAAGATGGGGAAAAAACAGCAGAAAAACTGGAAACTCTAAAAAGCAGAGCACCTCTCCTCCTCCAAAGGAACGCAGTTGGTCACCAGCAACGGAACAAAGCTGGATGGAGAATGACTTTGATGAGTTGAGAGAAGAAGGCTTCAGACGATCAAACTACTCCGAGCTACAGGAGGAAATTCAAACCAAAGGCAAAGAAGTTGAAAACTTTGAAAAAAATTTAGACGAATGTATAACTAGAATAACCAATATAGAGAAGTGCTTAAAGGAGCTGATGGAGCTGAAAGCCAAGGCTCGAGAACTACGTGAAGAATGCAGAAGCCTCAGGAGCCGATGCGATCAACTGGAAGAAAGGGTATCAGTGATGGAAGATGAAATGAATGAAATGAAGTGAGAAGGGAAGTTTAGAGAAAAAAGAAGAAAAGGAAACAAACAAAGCCTCCAAGAAATATGGGATTATATGAAAAGACCAAATCTACGTCTGATTGGTGTACCTGAAAGTGACGGGGAGAATGGAACCAAGTTGGAAAACACTCTGCAGGATATTATACAGGAGAACTTCCCCAATCTAGCAAAGCAGGCCAACATTCAGATTCAGGAAATACAGAGAACGCCACAAAGATACTCCTTGAGAAGAGCAACTCCAAGACACATAATTGTCAGATTCACCAAAGTTGAAATGAAGGAAAAAATGTTCAGGGCAGCCAGAGAGAAAGGTCGGATTACCCACAAAGGGAAGCCCATCAGACTAACAGCAGATCTCTCAGCAGAAACTCTACAAGCCAGAAGAGAGTGGGGGGCCAGTATTCAAAGTTCTTAAAGAAAAGAATTTTCAACCCAGAATTTCATATCCAGCCAAGCTAAGCTTCATAAGTGAAGGAGAAATAAAATACTTTACAGACAAGCAAATGCTGAGAGATTTTGTCACCAGCAGGCCTGCCCTAAAAGAGCTCCTGAAGGAAGCACTAAACATGGAAAGGAACGACCGGTACCAGCCACTGAAAAATCACACCAAATTGCAAAGGCCATCAAGGCTAGGAAGAAACTGCATCAACTAACAAGCAAAATAACCAGCTAACATCATAATGACAGGATCAAATTCACACATAACGATATTAACTTTAAATGTAAATGGACTAAATGCTCCAATTAAAAGACACAGACTGGCATATTGGATAAAGAGTCAAGACCCATCAGTGTGCTGTATTCAGGAAACCCATCTCATGTGCAGAGACACACATAACATAGGCTCAAAATAAAAGGATGGAGGAAGATCTACCAAGCAAATGGAAAACAAAAAAAAGGCAAGGGTTGCAATCCTAGTCTCTGATAAAACAGACGTTAAACCAACAAAGATCAAAAGAGACAAAGAAGGCCATTACATAATGGTAAAGGGATCAATTCAACAAGAAGAGCTAACTATCCTAAATATATATGCATCCAATACAGGAGCACCCAGATTCATAAAGCAAGTTCTGAGTGACCTACAAAGAGACTTAGACTCCCACACAATAATAAAGGGAAACTTTAACACCCCACTGTCAACATTAGACAGATTAACGAGACAGAAAGTTAACAATGATACCCAGGAATTGAACTCAGCTCTGCAGCAAGCGGACCTAATAGACATCTACAGAACTCTCCACCCCAAATCAATAGAATATACATTTTTTTCAGCACCACACCACACCTCTTCCAAAATTGACCACATACTTGGAAGTAAAGCTCTCCTCAGCAAATGTAAAAGAACAGAAATTATAACAAACTGTCTCTCAGACCACAGTGCAATCAAACTAGAACTCAGGATTAAGAAACTCACTCAAAGCCACTCAACTACATGGAAACTGAACAACCTGCTCCTGAATGACTACTGGGTACATAACGAAATGAAGGCAGAAATAAAGATGTTCTTTGAAACCAATGAGAACAAAGACACAACATAACAGAATCTCTGGGACACATTCAAAGTAGTGTGTAGAGGGAAATTCATAGCACTAAATGCCCACAAGAGAAAGCAGGAAAGATCCAAATTTGACACCCTAACATCACAATTAAAAGAACTAGAAAAGCAAGAGCAAATACATTCAAAATCTAGCAGAAGGCAAGAAATAACTAAAATCAGAGCAGAACTGAAGGAAATAGAGACACAAAAAACCCTTCAAAAAATTAAAGAATGCAGGAGCTGGTTTTTTGAAAGGATCAACAAAATTGATAGACCGCTAGCAAGACGAATAAAGTAGAAAAGAGAAAAGAATGAAATAGATGCAACAAAAAATGATAAAGGGGATATCACCACCGATCCCACAGAAATACAAACTGCCCACAGAGAATACTACAAACACCTCTACGCAAACTGACTAGAAAATCTAGAAGAAATGGAAAGATTTCTCGACACATACACCCTCCCAAGACTAAACCAGGAAGAAGTTGAATCTCTGAATAGACCAGTAACAGGCTCTGAAATTGTGGCAATAATCAATAGCTTACCAACCAAAAAGAGTCCAGGACCAGATGGATTCACAGCCGAATTCCACCAGAGGTACAAGGAGGAACTGGTACCATTCCTTCTGAAACTATTCCAATCAATAGAAAAAGAGGGAATCCTCCCTAATTCATTTTGTGAGGACAGCATCATCCTGATACCAAAGCTGGGCAGACACACAACCAAAAAAAAGAATTTTAGACCAATATCCTTGATGAACATTGATGCAAAAAGCCTCAATAAAATACTGGCAAACCGAATCCAGCAGCACATCTAAAAGGTTATCCACCGCGATCAAGTGGGCTTCATCCCTGGGATGCAAGGCTGGTTCAATATATACAAATCAATAAATGTAATCCAGCAAATAAACAGAACCAAAGACAAAAACTACATGATTATCTCAATAGATGCAGAAAAGGCCTTTGACAAAATTCAACAACTCTTCATGCTAAAAACTCTCAATAAATTAGGTATTGATGGGGCGTATCTCAAAATAATAAGAGCTATCTATGACAAACCCACAGCCAATATCATACTGAGTGGGCAAAAACTGGAAGCATTCCCTTTGAAAACTGCCACAAGACAGGGATGCCCTCTCTCACCACTCCTATTCAACATAGTGTTGGAAGTTCTGGCCAGGGCAATCAGGCAGGAGAAGGAAATAAAGGGTATTCAATTAGGAAAAGAGGAAGTCAAATTGTCCCTGTTTGCAGATGACATGATTGTATATCTAGAAAACCCCATTGTCTCAGCCCAAAATCTCCTTAAGCTGATAAGCAACTTCAGCAAAGTCTCAGGATACAAAATCAATGTACAAAAATCACAAGCATTCTTATACACCAACAACAGACAAACAGAGAGCCAAATCATGAGTGAACTCCCATTCACAATTGCTTCAAAGAGAATAAAATACCTGGGAATCCAACTTACAAGGGACGTGAAGGACCTCTTCAAGGAGAACTACAAACCACTGCTCAATGAAGTAAAAGAGGATACAAACAAATGGAAGAACATTTCATGCTCATGGGTAGGAAGAATCAATATCGTGAAAATGGCCATACTGCCCAAGGTAATTTATAGATTCAATGCCATCCCCATCAAGCTACCAATGACTGTCTTCACAGAATTGGAAAAAACTACTTTAAAATACATATGGAACCAAAAAAGAGCCCGCATCACCAAGTCAATCCTAAGCCAAAAGAACAAAGCTGGAGGCATCACGCTACCTGACTTCAAACTATACTACAAGTCTACAGTAACCAAAACAGCATGGTACTGATACCAAAACAGAGATATAGATCAATGGAACAGAACAGAGCCTTCAGAAATAATGCCGCATATCTACAACTATCTGATCTTTGACAAACCTGAGAAAAACAAGCAATGGGGAAAGGATTCCCTATTTAATAAATGGTGCTGGGAAAAGTGGCTAGCCATATGTAGAAAGCTGAAACTGGATCCCTTTCTTACACCTTATACAAAAATCAATTCAAGATGGATTAAAGATTTAAACGTTAGACCTAAAACCATAAAAACCCTAGAAGAAAACCTAGACATTACCATTCAGGACATAGGCGTGGGCAAGGACTTCATGTCCAAAACACCAAAAGCAATGGCAACAAAAGACAAAATTGACAAATGGGATCTAATTAAACTAAAGAGCTTCTGCACAGCAAAAGAAACTACCATCAGAGTGAACAGGCAACCTACAACATGGGAGAAAATTTTCGCAACCTACTCATCTGACAAAGGGCTAATATCCAGAATCTACAATGAACTCAAACAAATTTATAAGAAAAAAACAAACAACCCCATCAAAAAGTGGGCAAAGGACATGAACAGACACTTCTCAAAAGAAGACATTTATGCAGCCAAAAAACACATGAAAAAATGCTCATCATCACTGGCCATCAGAGAAATGCAAATCAAAACCACAATGAGACACCATCTCACACCAGTTAGAATGGCGATCATTAAAAAGTCAGGAAACAACAGGTACTGGAGAGGATGTGGAGAAATAGGAACACTTTTACACTGTTGGCGGGACTGTAAACTAGTTCAAACATTGTGAAAGTCAGTGTGGCGATTCCTCAGGGATCTAGAACTAGAAATACCATTTGACCCAGCCATCCCATTACTGGGTAATACCCAAAGGACTATAAATCATGCTGCCATAAAGACAGATGCACACGTATGTTTATTGCGGCACTATTCCCAATAGCAAAGACTTGGAACCAACCCAAATGTCCAACAAGGATAGACTGGATTAAGAAAATGTGGCACATATACACCATGGAATACTATGCAGCCATAAAAATGATGAGTTCATGTCCTTTGTAGGGACATGGATGAAATTGGAAATCATCATTCTCAGTAAACTATCGGAAGGACAAAAAATCGAACACCGCATGTTCTCACTCATAGGTGGGAATTGAACAATGAGAACACATGGACACAGGAAGGGGAACATCACACTCTGGGGAGTGTTGTGCAGTGGGGGGAGGGGGAGGGATAGCATTAGGAGATATACCTAATGCTAAATGACGAGTTAATGGGTGCAGCACACCAGCATCGCACATGTATACATATGTAAGTAACGTGCGCATTGTGCACATGTACCCTAAAACTTAAAGTATAATAATAATAAAATAAAATAAAGAAATATGAATAACCAAGAGCAAGTTATTTTGGTCCAGGAGTGATCTGAATATTCTAGTGGGAAGAAGGCAGATTTCTAGGGAGGAACAGAAAGATGATGCAAAGCAAAGAGGTGGTTATTAATGTTGCAAAGTGTTTGAATGAGATAATAGGAAATGAACTGCTCACAGCAAGTCATTGTCTTATCAGGGTCCATGAGATGATCCAGGAAAGTGAAGATGGGAGGAAGAATAGGAATCAAAAAGAAGAATCAGTTTGATAAGAATGAGGGGGAGAAAAATGGGGACAATATAGACAATGAGGCCACAAGAAGGAATTTTAAAGAGCCAGAAATACAGACAAGAGAACAGTTCTGAGGATCATAAATAGAACAATTTTCCAATACTTTTTTCAACATTTAAGAGCTTATGTAGGTGAGAAGCTAAAGAAGATAAGGACAAAATATCTTAATAAGTTTAGGTTTTTCTTTAGAGTAACGTGGACTAGAAGATTCTCCATGAAGAGAGAAAATAAACAATGATTATGTATTATGCATACTGAGGACAATAAATCTTACCTCTCTCAGAGGATCATTGAGTTCATTGAGAATATTTTCCTCATCAAAGATTTTGCCTTGGTATCTGTGTTCATAGTAATCATGTATCTTCTGACGCATATCAGCTGGTAACTTATGGAATGACATGTATTGTTCCACTTGCTTATACTGTAAGGAAGGGAAAATAAAATTAAAAAAAAACATTGTTAGGGTGTATCAGAAATCATATTATTTTGTTTTGCTATATTCAATAATATTTGAATACTCAGTTACAAAAAAAAAGAAATCCTTTAAGATGAAGGAACTAATTTACCTGGGTCTAATGTACCTATTTTGTGTTACATAATGTATAAGGCATTTTATTTAGGTGCACATTTCATGGAAAGAACTAAGATATCGTGGAGAGGAGGCATGAAGGGAGTTAAGAGTGAATTTAAGGGAGTAGCTACAGAAAAGCCAGTGATGGGGCAAAAACAAAATGTTATGCTATTTTTTTAAATTGAGTTCTAAAAGAAGTATGAAATTGTTTGGCTGTCGATTTTTAAGAAAAATCTCATACCTATGGATAGTACAATAGGTTTTATCTTAGGCTTTTTGGCAAAAGATCAGAATCTAATTAAATTTGGAATCGACAGGCAGGGAGCTTGGCAGGTATTTGCAGATCATTCATACTTCAACAACACAGATGCCCTGTAAATTACTGAGAACTAAGAGACTATGGCAGGCTTCCAATTTAGGATTTAGGAGAATATCACGGTGAGACTAGATCCACATTACTGTATAGCTGAAAGTTAACTTAGACACTGAAGTTCATTTAAACAAGTAGGCGTCAACTGTGATTGTTTTAAGAACTGGGGAGGGCATTGCTTTTTTGGAAGGCTGATCTTCAGGCTTAATTCCCGAGATTGATTCTATTGACCTATCTGCCTATTTATATTTATACACACATGCGCGTGCACACACACACACCCAGAGAGAGAGAGAGAGATTGTTTGTAAGTAGCATCCCTGCATCCCTGATAGTCAAACAGGACCATATAAGCATGGATATTACCTGGGTGCCTATTAGAAGAGAATAATTTCAAGCCTCATCCAAGACCTATGGAATAAGAATTTGCATCTTAAAAACGTCTCCAGATGACTCACGTGCATAGATATACACCTTAAAGTTTGAGAAACAATCCCTAGGTGTTTCAAATGCAGGGGGTCATAAGACCACACACTGAAAAAAAAATAATTAGGTCTTAAAAATTTTGTTTCATTGTATAGATGACAGCATCGAGTACAAATTTTAATAGTTGGTAACACAACTGGATAAAGATGTCAAAATAATATTTTTCCTCATGTAACACACATTTGATATACTTTATATGGACAAGATTTTCTGAAATATTTTCTTGATAACACAGCTCTGACTAGATCTAGATCTCCTGACTCTTTGCCCATAATTATTGTAATTGTACTTGGTAATTGATAATAGACCTAGCTAATGAGAAACAGCAACCCATTTTATTGCATCTCTTCATTTTTTCCAACATACTTTCATTTTGCAAAAAAATTATATTGTTTGAACATTCCCTTTTGAACATTAGTACCCTCAAAGGAAATACCACTTTGTCGTGAGACTTTCTTTGATAACCAGACTGTCCATCAAACTATTTAAAGCCTGAAGGCCTATGTACATCTCTCTGAAGTAACTTGCTTGCTCAAACACTACTTGGAGGGGTGAGAATCTGAAACCTTAACTGACACATTGAGATCTTCATTTCTACTTTCTTTTCCATGCATCTCAGAAATATGAAGAGCAGCACTGAAACTTAGTAGTATTTTATTCATTTTTGGGAAATTAGTGCTTGTATGCAAAGACCTACTAATCTAGGGAAAATATAATCTGCTCTATCTCTGTCTCTGAATTTGGAAAATTAATCCCTTTGTAGCTAAGAACAAATGTTACATGTATAGTTATTTTATTTTTATGAAGCTTAGGGTTGATTGAATCTAATTGTTTTTCCTCACACAAGTCATTTAACCCTTCCAGATCTCATTTATGAATCAACAATAAGAGAGTATTTGACTAAATGATCTTCCTTTTACTTTCAAACTAAAATTTTAAAGTTATATGACTATTTCTTATCATTTATTCATATTGTTTGAAGTTTGAATCTATATTACTATTTTAAGCATTCATTGACTCATAGTAACTATTGATCTAGCAAACATTAAATGATTATTGTATGCCAGTAGTTCTCAAGGTGTGGTTGCCAAACCACCAATAGCACTTGGGAATTCTTTATAAATACACATTCACAGTCTCCACTCCAGACCTACTGAATCAGAAACTCTACATTTGGGACACAGCAGTATGTGTTTTAACAGGTCCTTCATACACAAAAATTTCATAATCGCTGCTATATGCCAAGTACTGTGTCATCTTAGGACATAAGGAAGCATGCTTGAGTGAGCGTGGGGGAAACAAAGTAAATTTAGTTTTCAGCAAGTTAAGTTTAAGATGCCCATAGCACATCCTAATGCCTCTATGTAGGTCAGGCACTCAGAGAAGAAAATATATACATCATTGGTGACTAAGAAGTCACTAAGGGAGGATGTGTCAAATGAGGCGAAAAGGCTAAAAAGTGGAACTTATGTTTTAAAATCAGCTGAGCCAGGAGACTGATTAATTAAGGGTACTGTTAATACCTGCCAAGATGTGAGAGCAGAACCAGAAAAACATGATTAGAAAATCCAAAGAAGGATTAAATTTCACAGGGGGTGTGGTCAAAAGGAATCTATTCTAAGAAAACAGGTACTGAACAGTGGCCAGTGAATTTGGAAATTAGGTAGTAATCTCTGTTAGAATACAACACACTAAAAACAGGAGCTTTTTCTTTTTCTTTTTGTCTGTTTCTCCCACACCTAACAAGACTTGCAAGAATGTATGAAAATATCACTTCCATGTGATGTGAATAAAAATAACCAACTATTCTTTGAAAAAGACACTTAGTAGTGGTAGTCAGACCGTGAAACAAACTAGATGTTACAAGTAATGTGTAAGTTGGCAAAGTCAAAAAATGATAAAATGGCAAACTTTCTAATAGTTGTAGTAATATACTATATGCAAAATATGACTTAGTATATTTAGTAGTCACAGACAAATAGATTTTTGAAAAGCAAGGATGCCAATACAATTCTTTGGAAACATAAGATCAAAAGTTTATTCCATCAGATCTAAAGAGACTATAAAATAATTATCACTTAAAATTCTAATATATTTTTATTTTTAAAAGTTTCTGTATAATTATAAAAATTTATAAAAGTATGCATGTACATGATTATTAAAAATGAGATCTAACAAGAGTGTTTATAAAACACGGCAAGGATCCAGTTTCAAACCCACCAGTCTCACTTTTCCATGTTAAAAGGTGTTTAATCCATATCACTAAGCAATATGCTTGTTCCCGTTTCTTATATAGATAATTACAGGCATTGTTTATAAACTAACTGTCATAAAATGGTGTTTTGCCACTTACAGTACCCCAAATCTTCCTTTCTCATGCTATAGCTGTGTCACTAGTGTTAATTCTTACCTTAGTTGCTTTGTACCTTTATGCACCATGTTTACTATTATTTCTTGTTCAGATAACTCTAAGATACTTTACCAGGTGAAAGTAAAAAAACTCCCTCGTTCACTTTCATTTGATGACTTCTGTCATCTCTAATGTTACAATGTAAAGGTAGATTATAACTTTGTTCCTATAATTGGAACTTCCAAACTCATAGTGTTAACATTACTCTGGCCATGTAAATATTTACCACAAAGCCAAATGGTGTGAGTATTTGATGACATTTCCTTTCTTGCTCATCAGTAGATTAACAAGACTTGTTCATCCAATGGATTTGTTAATCCTGCAATTGCTGATCACATTTATTTCTTGGGTAATTAGCCTTCATTTAGTATTATTTTTTTTCTAGCCTCCTTATCCCACCAGATAGACATTGAGTTTTTTCTTCAAAGATTTTCCTATAGAATTTCTCTTTACAACATCCTTGGTTTGGCTCAGTATTTCTAAATGCCATGTTTCTGTTTTGGTTTATTTATTCATGTTGCTGGAAAAAATCCCCAAGTAAACGACTAAGAAAGATTGTATGTTTTCTGAATCTTTCCATGTCTGAAATTGTCTTTATTAAACTCTCAAAGTTGACTCCATATAGAATTCTAGGTTGAACTCCTCTAGTTGGATGTTGAGGCTTTGGATCTGAATTTGATTCTCTATGCTGGATTTGATTTGTTTCTTATCTTTATTTAATGTATTTAGTCTCTGCATTTTCTCCTACCTTTCTCTGCATTCCCTACATTTTCTCTATATTTCCCCAACATTTCCCCTACATTCTAGAATATTTTCTGAAATTCTTAGAAAACATTAATTCCGCCTCCTTTTCGTTGATCATTTATTTCTGTACTTTTAATATTTTTAGTTTAAAAATATACTAATATGAGATTTTTGAAAATGATTTTTAGGCCGCTTTTATTCTCCAAAATATGTGACATGTCTAAATGTGAATTCAAAATTACCCTCTAGATTTAGTTTCAGTAATGTCTTTGGTGACCTTTCCCTATGTGTGTATGTTAGGAGTAGGGATCATGTTACAAAGCAGACTGTAATGATTTGTGCTATGGTTTGGATAGGATTCTCCAAACTTCATGTTGAGATTTTATCCCCAGTGTTGTAGGTGGGACCTATTGGAAAGTGTTCGGGTCATAGGGGTGGATCCCTCAAGGACAAAGATTATGCCCTCCCTCAGGCGTGAGTGAATTCTCACTCTGTTAGTTCCCTAGAGAGCTTGATGATAAAAAGATTCTGGCACCTCTCCCCTCTCTCTCTCCCTCTTGCTTCCTTTCTCACCATAAGGTCTGTGCATACTCCTGCTCCCCTTCACTTTCTGCCATGAGTGGAAGCAGCCTGAGGCCCTCACCAATACTGATGCCCAAACTTGAACTTTCCAGCCATCAGAATTGTGAGCCAAATAACCTTTCTTCTTTATTAATTACCCGATCTTAGGTTTTCCTTTTTAGCAACAGAAAAATGGACTAAGAGAGAAGATAATGGAAAATAGAAGTGGCAATGGAAATCATAAGTATAATAACCATCACGAGCTGTCTATGAGGTGAGAACTGACGAATAATTGAAGGGAATAGAAGGCAATCTAATAGAAGAATAGTAAGCAATCTAAAGAATTTTAAATCACATTTATATTGTTTTTATATCCATGAAATGATACCCTTATTTATAAAACTGAAACACCTTAGTTTATCCCCTACTCCTTCATCCCAATCCTTAAGACATCACCAAATTATGTAAGTTTTACCTACCAAAAGTTTCAATAATTTTCCATTTCTCTGCATCACCATTCTGGTCAAAGCTACTCTCTCTCCTTCAACTCATGACCAGCTTCTTAACTACATTCACTGTACCTATTTATACATGTCTTCCTCCAACTCTAACTCATTTTCCATGATTCAGACAGAGACATCTTTTTAAAATGTTAATCTAATTGTCACCCCTAAAGGAAACTAAAAATATTTCACCCCAAATATACCTCTTTGACATATTTTGAGATGGCTGTTCAGAGGGCCTGCAGACAGGAATAGCCCTACAAAGGTGCCTTTTGTGGGGAGATTTGCATCTGTGGAGGCAATAAAGTGAAATAAATAACAGATGCAAGCAAGCTTTTCCTGACGCCCCGCTTGTCCATGTCTAGGAAAGATTAACAGAGAGTCTGACACCTTTTAAGATCTGACAGAGAAACATTTACCATAGACTATCACCTATTTTTTCTGAGGGCTGCTACCTGTACATCTGCACAAGATTGCCTTTACTCCATGCCTTTCTTCTTCTGCTCTAACTCTGACAATCTGTCTTGCCATGCCATAAGCCCCTATTCTTTCTGTAACCCCAAGATGGTATAAAAGCATCAATGATTGGGCATTTCTTTGAGTTTTCATATTTTGTATGACTCCTGTACATACATGTGCAGATAATAAATTTGTATGCCCTTTTTTCCTGTTAATCTATTACCAGTTTGTGTTATAGAGTCAGATTACAGGTCTTCAGGAATAATTTTATACACTTCACATTCCTGGAAGACAGGGATAAGAAGCTGTCCTTCCCATTGTATTAGAGGGGCAAATCACATAAATTGAAAAATAGCAAATTATTAATAATTACTCATCAAATCAGAGGGAACTTTAAGTTCATGATTCTATCCCCATGTCTCAAATCTATAAAACACTGCCTATAAGAAGTTAACTTTTTACTTTCAGGAAGCATCAAAAAAAAAAAAATATATATATATATATATCACCTGATTTATAATATCTCAAGATAATTTTATAGTGTAGTGCCCACAGTAGAGTCTTACCTGTGGGGTATCTATGTGTACATTGGCATCAATACACATCAACTACTATTTTTGTGAAACAAAAGTTAATACTTTTTTTTAAAAGGCAAAAGACTTTTTGGTGAGTGATGGAACTAATTTCCATGTTCAAATAAATCATAAATGCTACATTAACTAGCTATTTGAAAGTAGGCTACACTAGCTGAAATAGAGCTTCTTTAAACTTTATTTCTAGGACAACCTACAGCATCAGATGAAAGGCATAGACCTTCATCTGCCAAAATAAACATGCATGAAAATGTGTTACAATTTCAAGGGTGTTTACACATATCTGAGTGTCAATTTAAAAATATCTGAGTATCTTAACTGACCACATTAAGTTTTATTGGCATTGTAAAACTCCATGAGTGCTGGAACCAGTGGTGTCAGTGTTTAATCTACACTATATTCTTGACTTTTGACTTTGAGTATATATATATATATATATTTTTTTTACCTTTCAGTTTTTCAGTTTTTTATATGTCAATTTGAAATGATAATATCTAACGTACTGGGTGCCATGAAAATTAGTAGTGATACTGCATGTATGTTATGTGATAAATAATAAATAATAAATAGTAATTATTAGAAATATCATTAAAAAGCAAACAGGTTAAAAATCCAGTTGAATAAAAATATATGTCTCATTCTCAATATAAACACAGCAATGCTAAAATGGTTTCTGAAGAGGTATTTTTCTTATAGAATAAAAAAGTATAAATTTTATATTCCAGTGACTACATGTGTTTTAAATGTAATTTGACAAATAATAATAAATAATAAGAAAATATTTAAAATTGTTTGCTCTTCAAAGACCAACAATCAACTTTCTTTTTAACTTTTTTATGTTTAAATAAATAATCACTGGGCTTATGACTAATCTATCTTAATTTTTACCAAGAAAAATTCTAGTATTGCCAGCTATTTACACAGCAATTGAAGCCATAATTTCTCTTTATTATCCTACATTTAAAAATACATAAATTCATATATATAGAAAAGCTGGGTAATATGCTAATTCATTTAACAAGTATTGTTTCTAGAATTTTTGCAGCAAGATTGAACTATTTTCAAGAACTATGCTATAAACACAGCAACATCTTCAATGCATATCTTTTAGAATTTTTTTTTCTCAGTAAAAATGTGTTGCTGGTTATTTTATGAAAAAGTTTTAAGTCACATAGTCTTTACATAGTAAGTCATATAATCATAAAAATAACATGAAATCTTCCTGAATTTGATTTTCAATAAAATGAATGGGAAAAAACTAAAGGAAAATCACAAATGAGGGAAAGCAGATGGTTTAGAGATTTGTTTGCTTTTTAGCAGAAGTTTGAGTCAGATACTCCTATTTTATCTTCATTTTATATTTCCTTTTTTGGAAAGCTGGGTAACAAAACATAGATTTTTCTATGGAATAATGATTATTTAGCTCTCAAGATATGCAAAAGCTTTTTTGAAATAAAATATGTATCTACTTTGCATGGAAAACAGTCAAAATTCCAACTGAATGTAATTTTATTTTATTTTATTTTATTTGTTTTTCTCTGAGATGGAGTTTCACTCTTGTTGCCCAGGCTGGAGTGCAATGGCATGATCTCAGCTCACTGCAACCTCTGCCTCCAGGGTTCTAGCGATTCTCCTGCCTCAGCTGTAGCTGAGATTACAGGCATGCATCTCCACGCCCAGCTAATTGTGTACTTTCAGTAGAGATGGGATTTCACCATGTTGGTCAGACTGGTCACTGCAACCTCGGCCTCCTGGGTTCTAGTGATTCTCCTGCCTCAGCTGTAGCTGAGATTACAGGCATGCACCACCACGCCCAGCTAATTGTGTACTTTCAGTAGAGATGGGATTTCACCATGTTGGTCAGACTGGTCACTGCAACCTCAGCCTCCTGGGTTCTAGTGATTCTCCTGCCTCAGCTGTAGCTGGGCTTACAGGCATGCACCACCATGCCCAGCTAATTTTGTATTTTCAGTAGAGATGGGGTTTCACCACATTGGTTAGACTGGTCTTGAATTCCTGACTTCAGGTGATCCACCTGCCTTGGCCTCCCAAAGTGCTGGGATATTACAAGTAAAGCGTGTTATTCTTCCATCCAGAATAATCTCTTCCAATACAAATAGTCATTTGCTTTCTTGCTTATGGAACTTAGCTATCCATTCAGATATTTCACAAGAAACTATACTTTCATCTATGTAAAAATGCAGGATTCAAAAGAACTTGGAAGTTGTTTACACTACATAGGTTTTCATTTATCAATTATTATTATTATGTTTTTATTTTATAATGGCCAAGTTGAGCATTGTTTTTGAAAAGTCAATTTAACATTGTTTAAGATTTAACTAAGCATGTAATTGAAAAAAAGTGATGATGAGACTTTAGTGTATTTAGCAATTAGAAGAAAATCCTTGATTACTAAACAAGTAAATTGTCTGTCTAAAACATCTTTAGTATGTTAATTTATTTGTAATTATGGAATAAGGGTCAAGGGTTAGATGATTGGTAGAAGTAGAAAAAATCATTATAACCATTGTAATACAGCTAAATGTGTGCTTGAATATTTTTAAAATCCTTTAGTTTTCCTGCTCTAAATGACTTTAAACTTTATTACTATAGTTTTGCTTGGTGTGTGTGTTTGTGTGTGTGTGTGTGTGTGTGTGTGTGTGTATCTATCTATGTGTAGGGAAATGATCTGGCCCTTAATTGAACAAGAGTATGGACTGATATAACATGCCTACCATGGTTAACTCAATCACTCTTCCATTTTTTTAAATTGGACCATTTAAAGCATTTTATGCTGTCTCAACTTTCCTATTTCCTTCCCTCAACAGTTTCTTTCACTCACAGAAGATGACTTTACATAGAATTTCAAAAAGAAATAGAAGCTTTTACTTAAGAATATCTACTAACTCATTTAAAGAGAAATCTATTTTTTCTCCTTCTGTCTTTATTTCTCTTATAAACAATGAAAGAAGTGTTTCTAATTCCATTTAAAGCTACTCTTTCACCTGTATTTGAATGTCCAGTTACAATAATTAAAATCATAATCATATCTAACCCTTGGATATTAAATGCTGTTTTCCTGGCACTCAACTAAACCTTTTACTCATATTTACCTACTTAATCCTCATAACAACAGTGTGAGATTGCTATCATGATCTTCATTTTACAGATAATGAAATTGAGGCACAGAGAATTTAAATAACTTGCATAAAGTCACACAGCTAATTAGTGCTGAAGCCAGGATTTGAATCTAGGCAATATGGCTTCAGACTGTGCTCTTATTTGCTGCATGACATTCTTGTCATCAAAAAATGACTCTCTATTGATCACAAGTAGCCCTCTACTTACCATCCTATTTTTCTTCTCTCCTTTCTCAACCAGTTTCTTGAAAGTGTGGTCTACTTTTGTTATCTAACTTTCTACTTCTCATTAAAACCTTCAATTATAGCTTCCATTCCTTCTATTTCACTAATAATACTCTTGCATTTCCATTATTTCCTGATTACTACCATGATACTTAATTAGATATTTCACAAATATACCAAATATATATATATACATATTTGTGATCTGAATATATATAATATTTACATATTATATATATAACATATTATATATATATACATATATATATATATATATATATATCTGAATAGTACTGAACACCAGTGGTTAACACTA
The DNA here is from genome assembly GCF_000001405.40 of Homo sapiens. NCBI lineage: Eukaryota > Metazoa > Chordata > Mammalia > Primates > Hominidae > Homo > Homo sapiens. Next base: position 45,363,203 of record NC_000005.10, read on the forward strand.
TTGATGTCCCATACAACGCGTCTTTCCTTGTAAGCTGACCCACCTCTGACCTCAACTGTACCAATGGTGGAAAGTCCATCTCAGGGTTTTTGCATCAGGGCTCTCTGGGAACTCTAGAAAACTTGCTCAGCTCAACCTAGAGTTGCATGGTCTTCTGGGGGGTGAGGAGAGGTGTAGGTTACACCACATAAGGCAACGTTCAACCAATGAGGGACTTGAGTCTCCAGATTAATAACAGCCCCTATCCTTCAGAGAAACAAGTATAAGGTTCATTCTACACAGTTCCTCAGAGAGTGTCAGTAGGACTAAGCCCCAATTGTCTATAACTAAAAAAAACCTCAATAATATACCCTTCATTAGATTTTCCTTTTTCATGGTGATATGGTTTGGCTGTGTCCACATTCAAATCTCAACTTGAATTATATCTCTCAGAATTCCCATATGTTGTGGGAGGGACCCAGGGGGTGGTAATTAAATCATGGGGGCCAGTTTTTCCTGTGCTATTCTTGTGATAGTGAATAAGTCTTACGAGATCTGACGGGTTTATCAGGGGTTTCCGCTTTTGCTTCCTCCTCATTTTCTTTTGCTGTCGCCAAATAAGAAGTGCCTTTCTCCTCCTGCCATGATTCTGAAGCCTTCTCAGCCATGTGGAACTGTAAGTCCAATTAAATCTCTTTTTCTTCCCAGTCTCGGGTATGTCTTTATCAGCAGCGTAAAAATGGGCTAATACACGTGGTCTTACTACTCCTGTTTCCTAATCCTGATTCTTAAAGTTCTTCCTCAGTAAATTACCCACCCCAAATTCTTTTATTAGGCTCTGCTACTAGGAGATTCCAAACTAAGACAGTATTACAAACTGAGCCCTTCCTCCTAAGACATCTTTTCCTGTGTCTTCTCCATCCACATATGGTTCTGGCTTTCGTGTTTCTTCTTTGGCTGCTCTTTTCAGTCTCATTTGTTGGCATCTTTTAATAGTTGGTATTTCCAAAGACTATGCCCAAGGCCGCCTTTTCTTTTCACCTTACGTATTTTCCTTGGACAATCCTTCCCACTCACATGACTTCAGTTACTATCAATATACCACCAATCCTCAAGTCAATGGTCCAGCAGAGAACAAATCCCTGATCTCGACTCGTAAGCCTGTTTTCCCTTTAAACATCTACCCTTACAACATGTTTCATGGGCACATCAAACGCAAAATTGAAATTGTCTTCCTTTTTCCTGCATGTCTTCAAGTCAATGGTCCAGCAGAGAACAAATCCCTGATCTCGACTCGTAAGCCTGTCTTCCCTTTAAACATCTACCCTTACAACATGTTTCATGAGCACATCAAACGCAAAATTGAAATTGTCTTCCTTTTTCCTGCATGTCTTCTCTATCCAACCTGCAGCCTAGGCTACAGACTTGGTTTTGGGTACACTCATGTCTCTGTTTCCAACGTATTTTACTTTAAATTTTCACAAACTAACCATCTTGTCATTTGGGAGTTAATTTTTAATGCCACTTTCTCTGAGTAATTTTCCCTAATGCTTGTCTTAAATGTTAATGTAAATTAAAATAATATGAGAATTTTGTTAACATGAAGATTCACATTCAGTATGTATGGGGTTGAAACTGAAATTTTAGTATTTCTAACAAGATTCTAGATGATGCTAATGCTGGTAGTAAGAGAATTACAGTAGTTGAGATTTAGATTAGATTAGATGAGCTATTTATTCTCCTATAACATCAAGTATTTCCCATGCATTGGCTCTTTTCACACTATTATAATTTCTACTGAAATTACCTGTGTTCTTTGCAGACCATAAGCTTCCTGAAGGTGTTCAATAATTGATTAATTAATATGTTCTAAAATATTATTTATTGTCAAACATATTATTTAGTCTTTGTCAAGAACAAGCTTTGAAGTCCTTTTTAAAAATAAAAGTGCCATTTTTTTCATACGATCAAATATATGTAAATCATTTAAACTCTTTTACATATTTTTATTTTTATTTTTCATGTTAGATTTAGGGAATTCATGTGTTTGTTTGTTATATGGGTATTACATGCATAATGGTGGTGACTGGGCTTCTAATGTACCCATCACGAAACTATTGAACATAGTACTCAATAGGTAATTTTTCAACCCTCACCCACCTCCCATTCTCCACCCTTTTGGAGTCCCCAAAGACTATTATCTCTATCTTTATGTCCATATGTACCCATTGTTTTGCTCACATTTATAAGTGAGAACATATGATATTTGATTTTCTGCCTCTGAGGTATTTCACTTAGAATAATGGCCTCAAACTCCACTTTGCTGCAAAGGACATGATTAAATTATTTTTTATGGCTGTGTAGTATTCCATACATATATACCCACATTTTCTTTATCCATTCAACTGTTGGTGGATACTTATGTTGGTTCCATGATTTTGTCATTGCGAATAGGGCTGTGATAAATATATGAGTGCAGGTGTCTTTTTTATACAATTATTTATTTCTTTTTGGGTCAATACCAAGCAGTGGGATTACTGGGTTGAACGGTAGTTCTATTTTTAGTTCTTTGAGAATCTCCATATCGTTTTACTTATTTTTTTTAAAAAAGACTTCTAATGATACAGTAGAAACAAGCAAGTCAGACACCTATTTGTTGTCATAAAATACCTACTTTTCTTTTCCTCAAAGGCAGGTAATATGCCTTAAGCAGTTGAAGGATCCATAACTTAGTTTATTAAATTTTAACTTAAATGACCTCCCATTTAATTTCTTAAAATTAGATGATTAAGGACATAATGTTTCATAAATTATAAAGCCAATTAGCATAAATCTAGAGATACTATTTCACACCAGGGCTAAATCTACTAGGCTATCAAAGATTGCAGCTTTTAGAGCAATAATTTAGATAAGTTTGGGTGATTAAAATGATGCAAATATTTTGAAAATGTGGGTGCACTGATTGTTGTTACATTATAGCATTTGTGTGTGTGTGTGTGTGTGTGTGTGTATGTGTGTACATTCTCTTCTTTGTATGTTATGTGTGTGTGTGGTAATTCTTCAATAAAAAAAGGAAATTTAATTATGTTTAACTTCCATTCCATTGGGAAGATATATTCACTATCTGCAATAAACAGTTAAGTGATTTTTAAGAAATAATATATTCCTAATGTCCTTTTTCCACAGCCCCAACAAATTTTTTAAGCTTTTAGTGATAGATGATAAATTATTATGTAAGCCCTGTATATATATGAAAATGCGTTAAAAACAGTAATAGCTTAAAACAGGACATTGTTTAAATATCACTAATCTTCTACTTCATTATTTTAGTCAAAATGTTTCTTAGCATTAGTAATAGCTTGATTTACATTTGTAAATCTCTCTAGTTTGTTTGAAATGCAACTGTTTCTATCTTATTGTTTGTAGCTTTCCAAATTTAAAGCAACTGAATATCTGAGGATATGGATAATTACTAAGTGTAAATATAATCTGAAGAATAATTTTTAAATGACTCACCAGCAAATTATCATGCAGAAGCAACATATCTGATGAAGAAAGGAGCATTTATAATGCTTAACTTTTATCTTTGTATTTGTTTTTCAAAAGCGAAAAATTCTAACAAAGATATTCCTTCAGTACAAATTAAAAACCTGATTTTCTTTACATTCATAATATAAAACAAGATCAAAATGGATGTTATCATGGTACTTATCAAGTCTGAATGATGTGGTATTAAGAATTAATGAAGAAGAATACATAAATATTAAGAAGATTTAGTCAACATCTATGTTTCAGATCCAAGTATTGATTGGTTATCAGTCTCAACATAAATCAATTTGAATTTTTGTGCTAATCCAATGGGGGAAGTGACAAAATATAAACACTATAATGATCATTAGTAAGTACCTACTAAAGAGTAAGGAGATGTTATTAGAAGAAAGTGCAAAGTGTTGCACAGCAGAATAAGAAAAATCATAGTCCTTGAGTCTTAAGTTAAAAATCGAGTCTTATTTAAGTAAAATCCATATTGGTGAATATCAATGATTGATTTCAAAAGAATTACACACATATATGTATGTATTTTGTATACATACATGTCATATTGTATACAAAAGATCCATATTGGTGAATATCAATGATTGATTTCAAAAGAATTACACACATATATGTATGTATTTTGTACACATACATGTCAACATACAGAAATATGAATTTCTGAATGTAAGACTATATATGTAACATAAATTGAACAATACTTTGAATTGGCAGTGAGTTTTTAGTTACCTGTTGACACTGCTTTGAATTTGATAGCAACTCAGGAAAGTAGCATAACCATGATGCATGATGTTACCAGTGGTAAGAGGACAATTTCAGAAAATCATTAATGGAGTTTATAAAAGAAAATTGATCCAAACTTTCTCAACTTGGCTAGTATGAAACTAATGGTCACTGGTTGATCTAAATCTAAAATTTGACTGGCTTTTCAGAACCAGGTCACCATCGTAACTTCCAAATAAGTTTCCTGAAGTAGTGAGAGAAGACAAAGAACTTCCAATCTAACTACAATAAAGTCAAAACTACCTTATTAAAATTAGAACCATTCATCAATACAAAACAAAACAAAGTTTCCAGGTAAACTTCACAGCAATAATTGAGAGCAGCTGCTTACTAAAAATTTAGGGACCTAATACAAAGCCAGTGGTTTCAGATAAAATGAGGGTGAGTCAAGATAAATGTGTTATCAGGCAGGAAGTGAATTGGCTGTTATGGGTTATGCAAAGTAAAGAAGTGAAATGCAAGAAATGGACCAATAGGTTACTGGATCTTGACTGTAGATGAGGTGAGAAGAGAGCAAAACAAAGGAGTTTCCAGTTGTGTTCCACTCAAACCATAAAGGAACCAGGAGCTTACACTATTCCTAACAATCAATAAGATTTTTTGTTAATTTATTCTAATAGAAGAAGAGTAGATTCTGTTTCAATTAATACACGTTTTGTGTTCTCACATTATAAACAATTTCTCAAAATCAGCTGAGGCTGCAAGATAATGACACTAATTTGATCTTTTCTTCTATTTTCGCCATGCTGAATGATCTTAAGGAGACACATTTAATCCATAGTCACTGCTAATGAACATTTTCTTAGTCAGGTGTTTAACTAGGCAATGAGAAAATTATAGCAAAAACATAATTATTTTTCCTAAAGTTAAGATGGTGGGCTAAGGATGAGTTATATACATTTAAATAGAAATGATAAATAATGGAATAATTTGATTTGGAAATTATTCTAGTGCACTATTTCTCTTCTATATCAACATTAATTGATAGAGAATGTTGTTCTCTCCCAGTTTTATGGCTTTAGACTCTATATATACTGGTAAGACCTAAATATGTATTTCTAGGCTAGACTACTCCATTAAATCAAGATTCATATACTAAATGGCCTAATTGGCATCTCCACTTGGGTGTGTACTGAAGATTTAACATTTAACGCATCCAAAGCTGAAATCCTTCATCAAAACCTCATCTTACTAGTGTTCTGCATATCAGATGAGTTTCTACCGGGAGCTGGGGCCAAAAGTGTAAAGTTTTTGTTTTGCCATATTTTTTTCTCTCATACACCGCTTCTGTCAGCAAATTTTATTAGATGTACTATTTTTTCCATTACAGTTTCATTGAAGTATAATTTATATAAAATAACATCCATAAATTAAGTGAACATTTTCGTGAGAAATCATCATCATGTGGAGGTTTTAGAATGTTTCCATCCGTTCCAAAAGTTCCCTCATTCACCTTCATAGCTAGGTCATATTCCCTCCCCTGGTCCCAGGAAATCACTGATCTGTTTTGTTGTCACTCTTATTTTCCCTGTTCTAGATTTTTACATAAATGGAATAACATTTATTCTTTTTCATGTGGCTTTTTTTTTTCACTGAGGACAATGTTTCCAAGATATATTCATGTTGTTGCATATATCCGTAGATATTTTTTCTTTATTTCTGAATAATATTCCTGGATCTACTTTTATAATGTATTTACCTGTTCACTTCTATTGCTACAAACAGCCCAGTTTACCATGAATTTGTATGTGTATGATTGTGATAGCCTTCTAATTGGCTTGTTTCCCCTTTTGACTGCTCATAATTCATTCTTAACTCAGTATCTCATATTATCCTTCTAAAATGTAAATCTGCCCATGGCATAACTTTGTTTAAACTTTCCAAGTATTCCAATCTTAGATGGAAAGCCAAAATATTTCAATAACCTGTATGGGCCTATGAAACACAGCCTTTCATGGCCTATCCTATTACTGTCCTTGCTCACTCAGCCCCAGCCTGATTGGTACTCTCAAGCCTGGAAGGAGAGTGGGGAGCACAAGAGTAACAGAGAAGTCAAGAAATAGATATATTCGCATCTGCCTGCATCATCAATATTCTTCAGTGGTAAGAAATTTAAAACTATAATATTAGAATAATACAGATTATAGAAAATCCTGTAAAAATTGAACATTTGACAAGTGACATTAGTATATACCCCAAAACACTCCAGTGCATGTATCTAAATATCACTGCATTGTAGTTTTACTTGGTAAAGGAGTGTGAACATTATTGACTTAATTGATTATTCCGGATCATGAGCATAAAGAAATGTAATTATAGCGCAAGCTAAAATAAGATACCTAAGAGATAAGAGAACCTCTAGGAATAAATAATGTTAGCTCTGTATTTTCTTAAATCAAGTTTTCAAGTTTGTAAATAACAATAACAAAAATAGCAGGAACAAAATATACTGTGCTATAAGACCTGATGTATGACTGGAATTGTACTTCCACTGGGGTTGAAATAAAAAAAAAACCTCTCAGTTAATTTTTTCTTGGGAAAAATTATAATGGTATGAGATTCATATTTTCTTTGAAAATATAATAGCATATATATGTTTTCACTGTTAATGGAGTATGTTAAACTACTGCAATGTGAAGAATACAAGGTTGTTTTTGTTCTTCAAATAGACATAACTTTATATAAAACTACAATTACCAAATTTGATTAAAAACGGACATATTTATCCAATATTATCAAATTAAAACAAGTTAAAAAAACCTGAATATATAAAGATGTTAACTGAAAAACTTGATTTATAGGTACTCCCTATTTTCCTGCCTTAAAAATAATGTCCCATTACATTAATTTTTTTTCTATATTAAAGTAGATATTTTAGTGGGTCAGAAACATTGGGCATATATTCAACATACTGTTATAGGTCATAGTAGAAAACAGCACATATACACCTTGTTTCACAGCCTTCTGAACTTCAACATCAGAGTTTTGAAGAAGAGAACCTTCCTCATTGCTACCTTTATAAATTAAAAAATATAAACTAAATGTGTAAATAATAGAAACTACATATTTTTATTGATGTTCAAAGTTTTTATATAATTATAAACAATTCTCCCAAGAGATAAATATAATTTATCATATATGTGTGTGCTTATTTATTCTTTTCCAAACTATAATGCCATAAGGCCACAGAGCTAGCTATTGTCATGCGCCAGCAATAACTAGAAACATTTTCCCCTGATTGTAGAATGGTATTCTTACTCTTCACTGACACAAAATGCAAAAAAATGTTAAAGATAAATATTTTTTATGTGCACACACTCTAAAAGAAGTAATGGCAGTATAGTGATGATGGAGCTAAATGGAACATTTAAAAATGTAAATTTTAAAAATTCTTTTTACTGATTCTCCATAAATATGTATATTTCGAGGAGTTTGGTGATTTTATTTGCTAGGATAAGCAAAGGAGAGGAGAAAAATATATCAAAGCTAGAGAAGGAAGAAAACATTACAGACGTTGGGACATATATTGGGTAAACTGTGGACAATGAGAATTTTGAAAAGCAGTCTTAAGATACAACATACCAGAATCTCTGGGACTCAGCTAAGGCAGCGATAAGAGGGAAGTTTATAACACCAAATGCCCACATTGAAAAGTTAGAAATATCTCAAATTAATAACCTAAAATCACAACTAGAGGAATTAGAGAAACAAGAGCAAATCAACCCCAAAGCTAGCAGACAGGAAATAACCAAAATCAAAGCTGAACTGAAGAAAACTGAAATAGTAAAAACTGTACACAAGGTCAATGAATCCTGGAGTTGGTTCCTTGAAAAAATTAATAACATAAGTCGATAGACCACCAGCTAGACTAATAAAGAAATAAAGAGAAGATCCAAATAAAAATTCAACAATGACAAAGGGGATATTACCACTGAACCCACTGAAATACAAAATCCTGGCTGGGCACGGTGACTCATGCCTGTAATCCCAGCACTTTGGGAAGCCGAGGTGGACAGATCACGAGGTCAGGAGTTTGAGACCATCCTGGACAACACAGTGAAACCCTGTCTCTATTAAAAACATAAAAATTGGCTGGGCTTGGGGGCGGTCGCCTGTAATCCCAGCTACTCGTGAGGCTGAGGCAGGAGAATCACTTGAACCCGGGAGGCGAAGGTTGCAGTGAGCCAAGATAGCACCATTTCACTCCAGCCTGGGTGACAGTGAGAGACTCCATCTCAAAAAAAAAAATATATATATATATGTACACACACACATACACACACAAGGTGTATATGTGCTGTTTTCTACTATTTATATTATATATAAAATATATATAATATACATTAGTAATATTATATATGAAATAAATATAATATACATTATATTATAAAAAATATATAATATACATTATATTATATATAATATATAATATAATATAATTATATATTATATTATGTATATTATATATAATGTAATATATATAGTATATATCATATAATATATATAATATAATTATATATATATTATATATATAATATAATTATATTATATATTATATATAATATAATTATATATATATTTTATATATAATATAATTATATATTATATATATAATATAATAATATATTATATAATATGTTATTATATATAATTATATTATAATATAATACAATTAATATAATACATATTATATAATATAATATATATAATATATATTATATTTTATATATAATATATATTTATATATATATTTATATATATAATATATATTTCATATATAATATATAATATGTGAAATATATATGTTATATAATATATATCATATATATTTTACATATTATATATAAAACATATATATTATATAAATATGTAAATTATATAAAATATAATTATATAAATATGTAAAATAATATATACTTATATATAAAAATATATAAAACATTTACATATAAAAATATATAAAACATTTACATATAAAAATATATAAAACATTTACATATAAAAATATATAAAACATTTACATATAAAAATATATAAAACATTTACATATAAAAATATATAAAACATTTACATATAAAAATATATAAAACATTTTATATAAAAATATATAAAACATTTTATATAAAAATATATAAAACATTTATATATAAAAATATAAAATATTTATATATAAAAATATATACGTATTTATATATAAAAATATATACGTATTTATATAAAAATATATACGTATTCTATACACAAAAATATATACGTATTCTATACACAAAAATATTTACGTATTCTATACACAAATATATGTACGTATTCTATACAGAAAAATATGTTCGTATTCTATACACAAAAATATGTACGTATTCTATACACAAAAATATGTACGTATTCTATACATAAAAATATACACGTATTTTATACATAAAAATATATAAGTATTTTATACATAAAAGATATAAAATAAATAAAAAATAATATATAAAAATAAAATTATATAAAATATATATATTTTACATATATTAAATATATAAAATATAATATATATAAAATATATGTAGTATATAATATATAAAAATATAATATATATAAAATACATATAGTATATCATATATATAAAATATATAGTATATAATATATATAAAAATATATGTACTTTATAAAATATATGAAATATATGTATTTTATATATTTTATATATGTTATATATAATATATATTTTACATTATATATAATATATATTTTATATTATATATTATATATATTTTATATTATATATTATATATATTTTATATACTATATATAAAATATATATTTCATATATTTAATATATAAAATATATATTTATAAATATAATATATATTTTATATAATATATGTAAATATATATTATATAAAATATATTATAATATATATCCCTCAGATATACATCATCTATAATTTATATTATATACATTATATACATCATCTATCATATACAATATATACATTATATACATCATCTATAATATATATTACATACATTATATAGGTCATCTATAATATATATTACATACATTATATACGTCATCTATAATATATTACATACGGTATATACGTCATCTATAATATATTACATACGGTATATACGTCATCTATAATATATTACATACGGTATATACGTCATCTATAATATATTACATACGGTATATACGTCATCTATAATATATTACGGTATATACGTCATCTATAATATATTACATACGGTATATACGTCATCTATAATATATTACATACGGTATATACGTCATCTATAATATATTACATACGGTATATACGTCATCTATAATATATTACATACGGTATATACGTCATCTATAATATATTACATACGGTATATATGTCATCTATAATATATTACATACGGTATATACATCATATATATTACATACGGTATATACATCATATATAATATATTACATACAGTAGATACATAATATATATAATATATATTATATACATAATATATATTATATATATTATATACATAATATATATTATATATATTATATATATAATATATATAATATCTATTACATATATGTATATAATATATATTATATACATAATATATATAATATATATTATATACATATTATATATAATATACATTATATACATAATATATATTATATATTATATACATTATATACATAACATATATATTATGTACATTATATACATAACATATATATTATGTACATTATATACATAACATATATATTATATACATTATATACATTATATATATTGTATACATTATATACATTATATACATTATATACATTATATATATATAATATACATATCCCTCAGAGAGATATATATATCCCTCAGAGACTACCACGATGAAGAAATGGGTAAATTCCTGAACACATACAACCTCCCAAGACTGAATCAAGAAGAAATGTAATCCTTATACAGACCAATAATGAGTTTCAAAATTCAATCAGTAATAAAATCCTGCCAACCACAAAAAGCCCAGGACCAGATGGATTCACAGCTGAACTCTACCACATTTATAAAGAAGTGCTGGTAGCATTTCTACTTAAACTATTCCAAAAACTTGGGGAGGGACTCCTTCCTAACTCATTCTATGAGGCCAGCATCATCCTGATACCAAAACCCGGCAGAGACAACAAAAAAAGAAAACTTCAGGTAAATATGCTTGATGAACACAGATACAAAACTCCTCAACAAAATACTTGCAAAATACTATGAATATATATATATATGTGTGTATATATATATATATAAAACCATATATATGTAGATAGATAGATATCTTTTTCTTCAAGTGATTTTGTAAAACTTATTTTTGGTTCATGGGTATATATATAGAGAGAGACAGAGAGAGAGAGAGAGAACTATACTATAGTTCATGGAAAGTTGAACTATACTATAGTTTGTCGACAGCAGTGTGGGATTTCTCTAAGAACTTAAAACAGGATCACCATTTGACTCTGGAATCCTATTATTCAGTATATACTCAAAGGAATGGAATTTTATATATATATATAATATATTATATATAATTATATATAATATAATATTTTATAATATATAATATATTATATATAATATATTTTATAATATATAATGTATTATATATAATATATTTTATAATATATAATGTATTATATATAATATAATATTTTATAATATATAATATAATATTTTATAATATATAATATATTATACATAATATAATATTTTATAATATATAATATATTATACATAATATATTTCATGATATACAATATATATAATATAATATTTTATGATATACAATATATATAATATAATATTTTATGATATACAATATATATAATATAATATTTTATGATACATATTATATATAAGATCATATTTTATGATACATATTATATATAAGATCATATTTTATGATACATATGATATATAAGATCATATTTTATGATACATATTATATATAAGATCATATTTTATGATACATATTATATATAAGATCATATTTTATGATACATATTATATATAAGATCATATTTTATGATACATATTATATATAAGATCATATTTTATGATACATATTATATATAAGATCATATTTTATGATACATATTATATATAAGATCATATTTTATGATACATATTATATATAAGATCATATTTTATGATACATATTATATATAATATCATATTTTATGATATATCTTATATATAATATCATATTTTATGATATATCTTATATATAATATAATATTTTATGATATATCTTATATATAATATAATATTTTATGATATATCTTATATATAATATAATATTTTATGATATATCTTATATATATTTTATCTTATATATTATATATGATATAATATTTTATCTTATATATTATATATGATATAATATTTTATCACATATATTATATATGATAAAATATTTTATCACATATATTATATATGATATAATATTTTATAATATTTTATCATATACAATCTATAATATAATATTTTATAATATATATTATATACAATATAATATGTTATAATATATATTATATTATATATAATATAATGTTTTATAATATATAATATGTTATATAAAATATAATATATTATATATAATATAATATTTTATAATATATAATATATTACATATAATATATATAACATATTTTATATATAATACATTATATATAATATATATTCTATATATTCTATATAGAATATAGAATATATATTCTATATAGAATATATAGATATATATTGTATTATATATAAAATATGTTATATTACATATATAACATATATTATATATATATAGAGAGAGAGAGAGAGAGAGAGAGAAAATGACTAGAGCTGATTCTCTTGGCAATGTGTGGATGCTACTAGAAGATGGCCTTTAACGACCAGGAAGTTGCCCTCATCAGACACCAGATTGGCTAGTGTCTTGATCTTGGACTTGTCAGCCTCCAGAACTGCAAGATATAAATGTTGCATAAGCTAAACCAAAACAAAACAATCTTCTAAAATTTAAAGGATGATGATAACAAGCATGATAACATTTGGCTGGTGATTTAAAGTTTGCAAAGAATGTTTAATAGTCCCAACTATTCCATGAGTCATGCAGGGCAGACGTGATTATGTTTATATCTTCATGAGGACCCTGAGGTTCACTGGCAGGAAATAACATTCTTAATACCATTCAGCAATTTCCTTGTGTCACTGGGATTCTGAACCATGTATTTTATACATAGAACACATGCTCACTTTTTTTCTGTGAATTATCTGTCATATATTGGTAAGGGAGCCAGTTAAAATCTTCTGTGACTTTCTGACATTATGATTTCTTAGAAGATTTCAGGTAATTCTAATGTTCAGCCAGGTCTGAGAACCACTGGTCTAGAATAAGAAGAGTGCAACCAGGTGTTTGTCATGTGAGAAAAATAGGGCATATGAAGACTTGTTGAGAAAACTTGGAATGCTATCTTGGACAAGAAAGTAATTATAAGAAAAGGTTTGACTTAGCTCTACTGTACTAGGCAGAACTAGAGAAAATGGTGGAAGTTATAGAGATACAGGTGTCAGAAAAATAGAAGCCTTGAAATTCACAGAATTAAAATATCGCAATAATAAACGTAAGCCTTGTGAAGTTGTAGCCTTCAGAAAACTGCTCAAACAAAAATGGACAACCATAGATCAAGAAAAATGGTGGCAGTCGGAATTCAATGCAGATGTAAAAAATAACTAGATCTCAGATTTCAAGATACTTAATAAAATTTCACATTTGTCTTGAGACCTAATTCCCATTCTTCTGTTCATGACTATTTAATATTTTGTGCATTTGTTAAATATTAATAATCAAAACAAATGTGTTTATTAAAAATGATCTTTTTTGCTTCTTTCTTTGTGGTCTGATCTATTTTTTAATATAACTTTTCAAATACTTAGGGGGCTGTTTTTTACACAATCACTTGCAACCTAATCTTTATAGCCTTAGTTGACAGACTGCCTGCTGAAACTAACCGAGAGCAAAGTTAATGACTTTGGTAAGGCCAGTTAAAAAAAAGTGATGTATTTGAGAAGGCAAGAAATGCAAACACTCCTTATACCTACATGTTGACACCTATCTCCCTAAGACTCAGCAGTGTTTTAGCTTAATTATTTCCGGTTTTGTGACTGACCTACTTGAGATAGTTAGAAGTCAGGTAGGTATGTGACTGGGTGTTACTATAAATACATAAGACTATAACAAATTGGGTTGTAGCTCAAACCTACAGCTAGTGGAAGAAAGCCTCCCAAGAGGGCTGTATAGAAAGATGGTATTTAGTCTTAGAAATAATTACTGGCATAAGCCCTGAAAGTTATTTATATAGAATAGAAGAGGTCAGATGATATTAAGAAAGGGGATCTCCTTACCCTGTATCCTCAACCAGTACTATACATTAATGAATTATGTGTATAAAGATGACCCAAAAGACATTTAAAGTGCCTTTTGGGTGGTCCAAAGGAGATTAATACATATTTAGTATAGAAAGAGACATTCAGAACTGGAGGGCACCACAGAGATAATTAATCTGACTATGTTAATTTTACAGATGAGGAAAAGAAACCCAGAGAGGCAAATTCATTTCCACATATTTTATACCTAGTTAGCAAATGTCAGGAAGAAAACCAGGGTTCCAATTTCCTAATGCGTAATCTTTGTCATTATCCCTCATCAACCCTACCATTCAGCATGTTTTGTTGTTCTTCAGTTCTTATTAATTCTTGGGTCAAACTTTTATATCCTTTGTAACTACAATAATTATAAACTAGAGTGCCAATTTTCTTGATAACTCTAGATAAAGAGGCATTTAGAAAATGTGTCCAGCAAGAAAGAAGTATTCCATTCTGGAGTAACCGTATATGTTCCATGTGAGTTTGAGAACCTGCCTGGAGCCAGGCAACATCAGAATATATTCTCTACCTCTAACTGGAAAATTTAAGCACCCCTATCTCCATGTGGAGGTTGATAAGTAATTGTTGTCTATCTATCCATTCATTGATTAATTTTCCAATGTTGGGTCACTGTTTGTTGTTTTTCTTTCATGTGCACTTTTTTAAAAATTATACTTTAAGTTCTAGGGTACATGTGCACAACGTGCAGGTTTGTCACATATGTATACATGTGCCATGTTGCTGTGCTGCACCCATTAACTCGTCATTTACATTAGGTATATCTCCTAATGCTATCCCTCCCCCAGCCCCTCACCCCACAACAGGCCATGGTGTGTGATGTTCCCCTTCCTGTGTCCAAGTGTTCTCATTGTTCAATTCCCACCTATCAGTGAGAACATGCGGTGTTTGTTTTTTTGTCCTTGCTATAGTTTGCTGAGAATGATGGTTTCCAGCTTTATCCATGTCCCTACAAAGGACATGAACTCATCTTTTTTATGGCTGCATAGTATTCCATGGTGTATATGTGCCACATTTTCTTAATCCAGTCTATCATTGATGGACATTTGGGTTGGTTCCAAGTCTTTGCTATTGTGAATAGTGCCCTAATAAACATGCGTGTGCATGTGTCTTTATAGCAGCATGATTTATAATCCTTTGGGTATATAACCAATAATGGGATGGTTCGGTCAAATGGTATTTCTAGTTCTAGATGCTTGAGGAATCGCCACACTGTCTTCCACAATGGTTGAACTAGTTTACAGTCCCACCAACAGTGTAAAAGTGTTCCTATTTCTCCACATCCTCTCTAGCACCTGTTGTTTCCTGACTTTTTAATGAGCTCTTTTCTATGATACGCTCCTCTTAATGTGAAACACTATTTAGGAAAATTTTCATTTTTCATGGTCTCTGAATTGTATCTAAGAAATATGGTATCTAAGAAGTATTACTTTTGAGAAATTAAAACTTAAATTTAGTGAAAAGTTTGTGTATGTTTGAAACTATGTAAAGGAAATAAAACACAAATAGCCTGGGTAATGTCCAATCTGGTATGATAACATGAATTAATCAATTTATGTCTGTATAATTCATCCAAAGACACAAGATACTTCCTTATTTTTATGAATGTATTATGAAACTTCTATTTGTGTTTTTCTGCTTAAGAATACAAATAAAACATTGTGGTTACCACAAATCTGTATAAGATCTATGAGGAAAGCTTAGACTAACAAATATTTTCATGGAATGCATAACAAGGGGCTTGGATAGTGCTATAAAACACAATCTTAGATTCTGTTTTTTATTAAAATACTACTTGATACAGAAAGAAAACCACATCTGAAAATTAATAATAAAAACCAATAGGAATGATGGGGAGTGACTCTTTAATGGGTAAAGAGCTTCTGTTTGGGATAATGGAAAAGTTCGAGAAATGGATAGTGGTGATGATTACATGACAAAATAAAGAGAAAAAAAGAGAGGCATATTTACGGTACAGATATGTAAATATATTCAATATATATTAAGTAAATAAGAGAGAACTTGAGGAACAAGTTTGAAGAGTTAGGATCCATTTGTCTTAGTCCATTCATGCTTCAATATAACAAAATATCTTAGAAGGGATACTTTATAAAGAACAGGCATTTATTTGTCATGGTTCTGGAGGCTGGGAAGTCCACAATCAAGACATCAGCAGATTCAGTGCCTGGAGAGGTCTGTTCTCTGCTTCCAAGATGGTGCCTTGTTGCTGTTTACTGTGTCCTCAGATAATTGAAGAGCAAAAAGGCCAGGCAGCTCTCTGAAGCCTCTTTTATAAGGGTGTTAATGCCATTTACAAGAGCTCATGACTTAATCACTTCCCAAAAGGCTCCCTCTTAATACCAACAAAATGGGAATTAAGCTTCAACATGAATTTTGGAGGGACACAAACATTCAAACAGTAGCACCATTAGTCTCTGTATATTCTATGGATATCCAGCATATGTCTAGAAAACATTCTGGAATAATTTAAGTTACATAGGAGATTTGGTTATGGAGGTACTCAGGTTCAAAACTGCAGAGTTCTGGGTTACTAAATATGTTTATAATAAATGGACACATTTTTCATCAGAAGAAAATGGTAAAAATGATATATTTTATGTTACGTATGTTTTATGACAAAAAATAAAAACTAGAGCACATAAGACTTCATGGCCATGACACCTAATAAGACTCCTAATAAGAATTCTTTGTACATTTTGTGCCTTTGTTAGACCTGTAGTTCCCATTACACACTATAGAAAAAGTAGTATTCTATTTTTGTGGCAAAGAACTATAAGGAAATCGTTTTATTATTTACAAGATGGGAAACTTTCTGGAACCACGAGATAAGACATCCCGTTGCTTGCTCAAAGTGAGATTAATTACCTTCCTTCATGTAAAACTAGAAAATATTAAATGTTATTTCCTCTTCCAGAGAAAATGGCACAGTCAAGATTAGTGTGCTGTGAGCACAGTGATAATTAGCATCTATCTTCAGGTACCCTGAATCATACAGAGTTTTCCATTGAAGGAGAGTTGTTATGATATTGCAAAGCTCTTTTGAAGGCAACAAAACTAGATTTCCTGTTCAATTTCTTAAAGTTAATTTATGTAAGAATCTCAATAATAATTATAGGATTAGCAAGTGCAATCATGAAGAACATAGCTTGTTAAGGTATATTAAGGTGTATAAGCCTCATAAAATAAGATACTTTTGAAAATAATTTAATATTTTTGTAAAAATCATTCTGAGAAGTTCTTTGAACCAGCAGAAACCTATCCTACGATATAAGATAGGAAAACAACTTCAGATAAGTTTCTTCCCAAAACGTAGATTCTAGGGTCTCTCTCTTCTATCATTATGGATACATCAGGGCCAAGTGAATTTTTTACTTTCTACTACATCCTCTCTATATAGATAAATTACAAACTACAAAGCAATGGCCATCAGAAATTTGAAACAAATAAAGTAAAAAAGCTCACTTAAAGCTCTCATTCATGTAAAGTTAGTATTTTTGTCATAATGATTCTTTCCCATATGACAATCCCTCGTCCCTTACTCCTCACATGGTCAGCTCCATTTCATCCATCAGGGCTAGGTCCGATGTTACCTTGCTAAAGAGACATTTTCCAGATTCATCACCTGCCTATAATCCTCTCACATCTATTCCATCAATCCAGCAAGTCCTGCCACTTCTCCTGCCTGCATAAATCCCAGACCTTCCCACTCCTTGCTATATCCAAGCCATCTCTCAAGCCCAGACCATCACATCTTCCTGGGATCTCTTATCCAATTCCCCTGCTTCCATTCTTGTCCTAACTGGACCTACACCCCACACCACAGCCAACATGGTCTTTTCAAAACTAAAAACAAATCATATTATTTCCCTGCTTATACCTTTCCAATGGCTCCCCATTGAAATGTAAACTAATCAGACAAGGAGATGCCTCCTGATCTGGCCTGTCTTCCTATTTGAGCTTCAATCCTACTGTCCAGCCATTGTCCTCCGCACTGACTCTGTTCCTACATCACTGACTTTGAATTGCTAGAGCAAGTTAGCCTCTTCCCATCTCAGCGGCTGTGTACTTTCTCTTTTCTCTGATAATAAAACATCTTCCTTCAGATGTTTTTGCATTCTTGTCTCAGCATAAGTGACACTTCACCAGAAAGGACTTCTCCAACTAACCCTTCTAGGAGAATAGAGTAACTCTCTTCCCTCCACATGTTATTCCCTATCCAATTACTTTGTTTTATCTTGTTTAGAGCACTTATCATCATCTGCAAGCATCTTATGCCCTTGTATGTTTTAGTATTTACTACCTGTGTACACTGTAAGCTGCATGAAGACAGAGACTTGTCATGTTTAATATGGTACCCTCAGTACCTAGAAAAGAGCCTGACAAATAGAAGGTACTGGATTTGATGACTGAATGAATTAATATATGAATTAACTGGATAACTCTCATTATTCTCTAAATTCTTCATTCCTTTTCTTCATAACACCATATTATATCATGTTTATACACACACAGATATACCTGCTTATTTGCTTCTTTTAAATTTTTGACTTACTTATTAATTGATTTTTGGTCTGTCTCCTCCTTAACCTGTATTCTACATGAAGACAGTGGTCATATCTGTATTATCCGTATTTCAAATTTTGGAAATACTTTGGTGTCTGAAATATTATTAGCACTAAATAACACCTGATGAATTAATGAATCTGATAAACTATTCAAACAAGAAGAATCAACAGGTGTGCCTTAGAAAGTACATTTCCCTTTCTGAATTTTATCTCAGATGAAATAATGATGAAATCATGAAATTACGAAATGATGAATACACCCAATTCTTCACTGATGCACTTAAGCAATTGTTATGATTAAATGGGGGACTTTATTGTAATGTTAGGAAAGGAAAATTTGGAAAAATATAACTACTACACTACAGTAGAGAAAACTTTGGATCTTGTTTTTCTTATCTCTAAAATGTGAATTAATTGAGATTAAAATGATCTCTATATAGGAGGTTTGTCATAACGTTTGTTTGTAAAGTGTTATTGAGTAAAAATAATTAACTACTATTAGAGATGAAGAAAATGAGTCTCTAAGAGACTATAAAACTTGTTGTGGTCATGCAGTTATGAAGATGCAGAGCTGGGATTTAACATTTTTCAGTGTGATGCTATCGTCTATGCATTTTCTACTATACCAATTGATTAAAGTACATTTTAAAAAATGCAATGGGCATGTATTCAGAATTCTGGTAATTTGTTATAGATTACTAATTTGCATGTTTTATTGCTACCACCTCCTCTTTTAAATTAGTGTAACTTTTTAAACTAAGGCTTCTGAAAATAAATGATTATAATTTTAAAACATGGTACATAATTTCAAAATCTACACCTAGATTTAAATTCCATGAGGAGGCTGGGCACGATGGCTCATGCCTGTAATCCCAGAATTTTGGGAGGCCGAGGCGGACGAATCACCTGAGGTCAAGAGTTTCAGACCAGCCTGGCAACATGTTGAAATCCCATCTCTACTAAAACTACAAAAATTAGCCAGGCATGGTGGCACACGCCTGTAGTCCTGCTACTCGGGAGGCTGAGGCAGGAGAATCGCTTGAACTCAGGAGGCAGAGGTTGCGGTGAGCTGAGGAGACAGAGGTTGCAGTGAGCTGAGATCGTGCTCACCACTGCACTCCAGCAAGGGTGACAGAGACAGATTCTGTTTCAAAAAAAAAAAATCCATGAAGAAATATGAAAACTATTAACTTTAATTAATCAAAAATAACTTGGGTTATTTCCAGATAATATAAAATGTTTGTTTTTTCCACAATATTTTAATAGTAAAATACAAAAGAATCACAGATTCTCTTGCCTTGTTTGTATACCAAGTTAGTAATTCCACATCCTCTGCTCCACAAAAAACAAAACAAACAAAAACAACCTTATACAACATCTGAGAAACAGGTAAGAAGTTGCTACCAAAACTCCTGAAATTGATTATATTTATTTATATTCTAAAACAGTAAAATGTTCTGTATCCTAGAAAAAGTTTTATAATTAATTTTTGCCACAAATTCTCTATCTACTAAATAGGGAGAATAACTCATCAAAGAGTTTGCTGGGGGAATTCTAATGATCAAAGCTTAACAGCCACCGTATATACTCATGTTTCCTTTACATCCCCGTGCAGTATTTGGTGTTTAGTAAAGCTGCTTACAATGCCAAGTACATTTCCTTTCAAGTAGATAAAAGCCTTGTGATAGATGAATGTAATAAGATACTAAAAACACCCACAGATATCTAAATGATGTCTATATTACATCCAATATAGTCACAGAAAATCTTTGGAATAATGTGAGATCTATGGTATTTCATATTATTTCAAAGTTCATACTATTTTAAATTAATAAAACTCATGAAAATCAATTTTCTAAAGTATAACTTCACTGTTTATATGGCCAAAAGCACATAAACAGCACTGCAGAACATAAATTTTTAAGTGAAGATTTATTTATATTTCAATATATTGCTCACTTAACATTCTTGTTTACTAAACACAGGTGATCAAACAGGGAAGAATTTAATTAAACTGTTCATCAAATGTTTGATCTTTCTCAAATAAACTTGTTTTTACGGATGGAAAAAAATCTTAGAATAATAAATCTAGCTCTCAGTGAGGTCTTCCTTGGATGTTATGGACTAATTTTGGAGGTTGGAAGAAAAATGCAAAGGCTGATCTGCAAAGCACTTCTGAGAATTTTAAGTTCATCATTTATCTATGGATTTCTCCAAAGCACATTTGTTTGGGAAATAAGAATGCTGCTTTGTATCTTTGTGACTCTGCTAGTTAGAGGTATAAATGTGGAATCTAATTTAATCTCTTTGGATCTCAGTTTTCTTATCTCTACAATGTGAATTAATTGAGATTAAAATCATAATGAGGATCATAAATAGAAAAGTCTTCCTTTTTTCCAGAACTGGAGACTTCAAAAAATTAAACAGACAACTTTTAAACTAAGAAAATATTTGTGTCAATATTGTCTACATAGCATTAATTATCTGGATGGTAATTTAGCAATTTAAAATGTCGATATATGCTAACACTAGTTAGTCCTGTGCACACTCAGAATACTGACTGTTTTCTTTATTCTGATTCTTTAGCTGTTGTGTGAATTTAGCTTCCAGTTAATATCTAAAACTGGGTTGAGAATGGGACTATTTTATATTATTTTTATAAAACATGGGGACCTAATATCCCTTATTGCTAGATTTTTTACATTGCTCATAGGAGGGATTACCACTGTAACTGCATAAAGAGCACTTATTAATTTATGAAAGTTGAGAAGGTAGTCATTCGATTTTTTTTAATTAAAAAAAGGAAATTGATTTGTAAATTTAATTTCTTAAATTTGTGTTTTCATATAACTTCCTGGGGCTTGCAAGAGTTGAAAGCTATAATATTACTGCCAAGAAGCCAGGAAGAATGAGTCATCTAGTCAGGAAATAAAGGCAATTAAGGCTTTTAACCTTTCACCCCTTAAAGACATTTTAACATATTTCAATATGATCAAATCTATTGTGAATTTTCTGAAAATCTATTGTAAAGTTTCTTGATACTTTAAACAATATTTACCGTATTTGCAAGGTATGTTTCAGTGGTTATTAAAAATCCCATTTGTCTTTAAATACTTTAAAAACTGGGTGAAAAATCGGAGGAATTAAATAGTGAATGCAATTAAATATAAAATGTAAGTTTCGGTGAATTGGCAAATAAAATTCCACAATTACCACATTCTACTTGAGTGCCATGTGTCTGTTTGGGAATAATCGCATTCTTGGCTGGACACAGCCGTTGTGTGACTCAGAGCCTCATTTCCTCTTACAGCACATGGGACCCAATCCTCTGGATTCTCCAGGACCAGCTTAGCTCTACAATCCTCCTGCCAGATACCACTAAAACAGAAGGAGCTCTCATTGTAATAAAAATACATTTTATGAATTGACCACATTTTAGTGGAGCTGGACAGGAGTCCTTCAACCAGAGTCTTATCTAAATCAATTGAAAGCTATATGTCATGGTCCTCCATTGTATTGTGCCACAGCAGTGGGGACATTTCAGTTGCTGAATATTATACTTATTGTACTTACCATTTTTCTGTTCCTCCTTCTTGCTTGCTTATAGATTTTTTTTTTTTTTTGGACAGGGCCTTGCTGTGTCTCCCATGCTGGAGTTCAGTGGTGTGATCAGAGCTCACTGCAGCCTCAACCTCCCCAGCTCAAGTGATCCTCCCACCTCAGACTCCTGAGTAGCTGGGAGTATAGGTGCGAGCCATCATGTTCATCTAATTTATTTTTCACTTTTTCTAGAGACAAGGTCTCCCTCTGTTGCCCAGGCTAGTTGTGAACTCCCTGGTTCAAGCAATCCTCCTGCCTTGAACTCCCAAAGTGCAGGGATTACAGGCATGAGCCAGAGCTCCCAGCCAACCTTTTCTCTTTCTCTTCTGTCCTTTCTGCGCATCTACTTTTAGCAGCTCTGCATCTACTTATACTGTGTTGCTTTTCTACAAAGTTCAAAGGTGGAGCTTAGTTCAGGGGCTCATTATTACTAGCAATCTGAGCTCCAAATATGCAAGTTATTTCTGTAAATAACTAAAAAATTGTTCAGTGCTCTAATCAGCTCATCATTTGGAAATAAAATTTAAAAATCTTCTCACGTTAAAATAAAATTCAGTATTTTATATTCTCATTGGAAGAAAAACTTGAGTCTATTTACATCCTTTAATAGAAATCTTGAATTCTCTCTAAATATCACTTAATAACACTCTCATGCTAAAATTTACGATCATTTTTATTATACATGCCAATCTAAATATTTTAATAGAGGCTTTTCCAAAATTGCTAAAGTAACTTTTAAATTTTTAGTTCATTAATTCTAGTAATAACTTCAGTAAGTGGGAGACAGCAAGAAATCTTTTAAAACAAATATACTATTGTAAGATAATTTCACTTGGCAAAGCTTAAGCAATGAATATGGAATATAATCATTTATGTTATATTATAATCTGAATATATGTTTTGATCCTTTAAGTAAAATACTGGTATAGTCAGAAAAAAAGTTGAAAATATTTTGTCCCAAAGTGGTTTATAGTTGTCTCATATATATATCAAAAGTTTTTAATTTGTATTTTAAGTTCACAGTATCAATATATTCTGTTCAAAATGTATGAGTTACTTCATATATTCTTCAGAGAGAAACATTTTGACTTCAGAAAGTAAACTATAATATCTTACTCTCATATTATTGTTTCATACTATTTATGATACAAATAATATAATTATGTTTTATACAAATTTCCTTTTCTTAAGAATGGCAGAGAAAAATCCACGTTAGTGATTCACAATAAATGATCAGATTACAATTGAAAATTCAGGGGAAAACTATTGGTAAATAAATATTTTACATACTGAATTTTTTTTAATAACAGTGATATCTTTGTTAATAAAGAGGATACATTTAACTAATGTTTTACTTAGGGGCACTTCATTACTCCTGGTAAATAAGACACGGTGTATAAGATGCATTCTAGATAATGCATTCCAACATTTCTAACAGATGGCTTAAGAGAAGATAGCAATTTCGCCCTACATTTTATTATTTTGCCACTTCTTACCCTGTATATCTCCACATTCTCTGTCATCTATCAACTTACAGCACCAGGCCATATACAGTAGTCCTCACTTATTAGTGGGACATACGTTCCAAGACTCCCAGGGATGCCTAAAACTGCAGATAGCACCAAACCCTATACATATACTATGTTTTATTCTTATGCATACATACCTATGATAAAGTATGATTTATAAATTAGGCACAGTAAGAGACGCACAATAACTAATAATAAAATAGAACAATTATAACAATATACTGTGATAAAAGCTATGTGAATGTTTATTCGTGCAACTTTCCATTTGATATTTTTGGACCATGATTTACCACAGGTAACCGAAACTGAAAACAAAAATATGGATAAGAGGAGGGCTATGGTGACTCAAAGTCTCAGTGGTTCTCCATTGCCTACCAAACCAAATACAGACGATTTTAGGCCTTACAGCTACTATTGTTTTTCAAGTACTCCACTGCCCATTCAAAATATATGAACTTCCTAAGAAATTCCAAGCATCTTCCTAGCTCTTCATCTTTGTTCTTGTATCTGTGGCACAGGCCACTATTTTCCCACCTAAATCTCTTCTCTGCTTGTTCCCTATGGATAGAGTTGTTGAGTGGTCACAGTTCTGCTTAGTTAGAAAAAATTTCTCAGCCTCCTTGAGTAGAAATATATTAATAATTAAGTTCTCATCAATAAACCATGAGAAGAAGTAATATGCCTGTCCCGCTGTGTTCTCTTCCTCTTGTCATGAGCTGGAAGACAAACATGTCTCCTGCACAGCTTCAAACATGCAGACAAGAACAATACCCTAGGGTGGTGCTGGTCTCTGGACCGGTAGCAGCAGCAGCATCTGAGATCTTGTTGGAAACACAAATTCTCAAGCCCCACTGCAAATTTAATGAAGCAGAAACTCAGGAAATGTGGCCCACAAATCAGTGTTTTAACAAGCTTTTCAGGTGACTATGAGGCACACTAAAGTTTGGAAAGCATTGTCCTAGGTGATAGTGGAGGAACAACTTGGATGAACCTATATTCACAAATGGCCATTTGGAGCAGTGTCATCCCACTTACCCCTCTCATTTCACAAAGTTTATTTGTGAAATCATATAGTTCTTTAAGTTATTGAATTGTTGAGTCTCTGTCTTACAGAAGTTTAGTATTTGTCCTAATAGTATTTTTCAATATATAATGGCTATTTAGTATTCCCACCCTGTTTAATATGTCCACCCGCTAAAATGGAAATCTCACCTAGGTCTCTGCAAGTTTGCACTGGAAAACTGTGTAACGCCAAAGAAGACCAGGCCAGTTTTGCCTTCCTTTAATCTATTATACACACTGTTGATTAACATTTTTTAAAAATGGCAAATCTAATCTCATCACTCTTCCATTTCAAATTGCTACTAGACTCTCAAGGCATTTAGGCTACAAGATAGCATGGTTGCCTAGGCCTATAAGGTGTCACCTAAACTGATCCCTATCAGCCTCTCCAGTCTTATCTAGAGTCATTTCACCTTTCTCTCTGTTCTAGCTACACTTTCTATCTGTCTGTTCATGAACTGTGGTAAGCTTCTTCATACCTCAGTTTTTTCTCATGAAGTTCACTTTCATGTCTTACTTCTCATCTTTCAGGTCTCTTCTCAAATATAATATAATTTCTTCTTCTCTCCCCCCATTTCACCCTACAGTATTCCATATGAATCAAGTAAAAAATCTTAAAATCTCTTATCTCGCCTGTACATTTCCACTCATAGCATTAATTTCCTAAAAAAATAATGTAGTGCTTTCTATGAATCATTCTATTAGGTGAAATATCCTCCTAACCCCACCCACTATATTACAAGAAGCTTGATGAGAGGAGGTACCATGTCTACTTGCTCACTATGTGCCTAGCATCTGGTAGTAGGCCTGACACATGGTTAGCATTCTGCAGGAATGCATGGAGTGCAGGAACAAAATAGATTATTTGAAGCTCAAATAACACGACAACTTATAACTGAAGACTATTTGGATCCTACTTACTTATAAAAATGTTGTTTCCTAAAGTTTTATCTATTAGAGTTATCTCTACCTACTTAATGGGCTCAAATTCCTGCTTAACATATTTGTATTAATGATTCCATCAGAAACAATTTTGATCAAGGAATCTTAGATTCTAGGTTAGGAATACGTCGTATCTCATGCACTGTTGTGATTTATTTTTCTAAAAGACAATTTTAATTCAGACTTACCATTGCTAAGTTTTTCAAAGGATATCCCTTTAATAATGTACAATCTCATCATTCCAGAATTCAAAACTATTTTTGGCCATAATCTAGGCTATTTCACACTTTCCCCAGCAAGGTAGCTATTGTTTCATTCAAATTAGACTATTCAATATGTCTCATACATCTCTACCTCAGGGCCTTTGCACACTTTGTTCCTGTCTGCCAGAAATTCTCTCAGAATTTGGACATTTTTCTGAGACATTTCTCTCATGGTGACTAATCCTGCCTGCTGATTACCTCTTCATTCTTCAAGGTCCATTTCCAGTGCATCCCAGTAAAGCGGCTAACCAAACACAAGTTACATGCAGGTTGATTCTTGTCAATGTGGGTTCTTATCAGATTAGTGGCTCCCTGGTCACCAGGTTTCCCTGTGAAAGTGCTTCACAGTTTGTTTCTATCTTATGACATATAAGGAATACAAATACAGTAAGAATACTTGAAAGAGAACTTTGGGGAGTAAACTCAAAAATTCAAACAGTTCTAAAATATCAAATGCATAATCAATTAATTAAATGGAAAATACAGCTCTACTTTAGAGCTATAAAAAGAAGCTAACATATGTGCTGTAAAAAATAATAAATGTAAACAGCAAAAAACTAAATTAAGGTTTAGTATGGAGAAATCTTTAGCACTTTGCACAGTCCTGAAAATGTGAATATCTACAATATACATGTAGGGCATTCCAGCATATAACTTAGAGCATTGACACAGAAATTATCACTGGGGAAAAGGGATGCCATATGCCACAGTGGGTTATATCAAAATACAAAGTTTGAAAAATCATGGGATATGTGATTTACAATTGGTAAGTTTCTGTTTTTCTATTTAGTTAAATTAAGTCTCAAACTCCCTCCCTTATAAAGACTTACTCCAGACTTTATAACAACACTTAGTTAATATAAAAATTATTTGCCCCAGATGAGAATATAAAGCAACATTGTTGTACCAGGAGCCTGATTTGCTAGCAACTCCAATGGCTACATTAAGTTATTCCAAGCATTGTCACACTGGTGTTTTCCTGCAAGAGAATCTCACAGAGGTTCCCAGCCCTAGGATCTCCCTCGCCTGAGAACGTTTGGCTCTACTACCAATTTAACATACCACGGTATGTTAAATTCAGTTCCCGGGAAGCAAAGTACATGCTGTAGCCTAATAAAAAATTTTTGACTAAGGTACTATGTGGGAGTTGTACTCAAGGCATTCTTATTTGTAAAGGAAAGAGGAAAGCATTTAAGAATTATGAAGGAAACCAAGTGAAATGCTTGATTGAAAGCACTTGGATCTCAGAGCTAGCTCTTCCCCTTAAGAATAATCCTAATGCACATTAGGGTATCAAAACATTTTTTATTTAAGTACTCAGTCGATATGATTTTTCAAGGTCAAGATCATTATAACTTCAAAGTCCCTCTGCTCTTCTGAAGGCAGATGCTACTGAATGCTACAAAATCAGCAAACCAAATTAGTAACTCAACTAAGCTTCTTGATGTAATGAAGATGGGCTATAAAACAGGATGTAACTTTTTTCTTTTAAAACTAAATAATGGTATTATTCATAAATGATTATGGGCATTACTCCAAACTGTTCCTCTTTGCTCAGCCATTATTCTAGTCATATAGCTTAAAAAATTGAAGACTTAGAATTACATGACAATAA
The DNA here is from genome assembly GCF_000001405.40 of Homo sapiens. Classification (NCBI taxonomy): domain Eukaryota; kingdom Metazoa; phylum Chordata; class Mammalia; order Primates; family Hominidae; genus Homo; species Homo sapiens. The sequence continues at coordinate 45,391,583 of NC_000005.10, forward strand.
TGACAAACTCTCCCATCTGTCTTTCTGAGAGAGGAGGCTCCATCATCTCCTGAAGCAGAACACACCCATGATTAGCCCAAGACTAAGAAATGGCTTCAAATCTGATGAGAGGCACTTTGATAATATGCCTCTTGCTCCCAGGGAAATAAATCTCAGAATTCTAGAAGAGAAAGCAGATTGAATATTTCATTTCTAAAAAGTGATCTGTGTTCAAGCAAAATAAAAATAAGAAAATGGTCCTTATACTCCCTCTGGACAGAGAGAGTAAATACGGTAAACAAATGACTATACAATGGCATGATCAAGAAACATTCCCACAGCCTTCCAAAGGAAAAGGCAGAATCTATGTAAATAGTGAAAGGGGTAAAAGTATTTAAGGGGGTGGAGTGAAGGTAAGAATCACTTGGTATGTTGAGAGAACAATGATCCTTAAGAATTTAAGGATCCTTAAGAGTTGATTTGGCGCCACTCCTCCTACATCCAAATTTTTCTTGAAGAGCATATAACCAAGAAAGTATATATCTTAACCATAATTATTTTATTTTAAATGAGCTGAAATAAACTCTATTGCAAATGGGATTTGAATAGCTTGAAGATAAGAGCAGGTTTTGGTCCCTCACCTTTTGTGTCTGGGTGTACCATTAGCTTACACAAATTTGAAATATTAGGTTGATTTAAAAAAATTAAAAATGTATCTATGGAATAAATTTATGTGGCAGTTCTGATTATGGGCCTTCATTTACAAGAAAAAACAAGGATCTATGGATCATTAATTAAAACTAAGCAATTAAACAAAAACATTTGCCTGAGCTAAATAGGTTTAGAACATTATTTTTTGGTATGATTACATAAAATTGAATCATTTTATATAGGTGGATAATGATTACATATTACTCCTTTGTATAGCTGAGAGAGTACTTACATTAAACTTTACCTTCTTTTCCAAAAGGCCACTAATAGTTATCATATATAGGCCAGGCACGGTGGCTCATGCCTGTAACCCTAGCACTTTGGGAGACCAAGGTTGGCGGATTACTTGAGGTCGGGAGTTCTAGACCAGCCTGGCCAACATGGTGAAACCCTGCCTCTACTAAAAATACAAAAATTAGTCAGAAATTGCTGGAACTCGGGAGGTGCAGATTACAGTGAGCCAAGATCGCGCCACAGCACTCCAGTCTGGGCAACAGAGCGAGACTCCATCTCAAAGAAAAAAAAAAAAAGCCATCACATAAACTCTTTCCAAGATTAACAAAACTTGATAAATTTGTCATTTTGGAGAAGTTTAGCGTTTTTATTTCATATACTCGATAAACTGAGACTCAGCACATTCTTTGGACATTACATAACATAATCAATATTTGAATCTAGGTATAGAACTGGCTTGGTGGCTTGGTATCTTGTGCCCTGCCATTAGAAAGCACAGTCCATTTTAACAGCTCATTTTGCACCTGCCCTGGAATTATGCAGTCTGATTCACAGTTTCAGGATGCTATTCAGTCCATAAAGGGATTTGGAATTGATAACTTCCTCACATATTTAAAGTTATTCTTTGGTCATATTCAAGTTGGTGATATTCGTATTTTAATTTACACAATAAAAGTCTTTCATGTATATCAAGTATACCAAGGTGAGTTGCAAATCCCTGAATCTTAAGTCATGATTTATATTGTGCCAAAATTCTTGCTCATTGCAGAGGAAGAAGTGAACACATAAAGCTTCTATTACTATAGTTATTTGATTGGAGACAGCGACATAACTAGAAATAATAGTCAGCTTCCCAGGAGTGTCCAAATGTATGAACTAAGATGTAGTAGTATAAAAAACCAAGGTGATCAAAAGGAGTTTCATTTCATGAAGGCTAGATGAAGTGCAATTATATCTAGAAAAGAAAGTGACCACTCAAAATCAGTTTAAAAATAAAAGAATGGTCATCATGGAGAATTTGTCTTTATAGGTTAATTCCTTTGGACATTAGTAACTTAAAATCTATGGAGGCTTGGCATGAAGGTCAAAGATGGCATGTTAAATCTTCAGGGCACACACATTTACACTAAAAAACACTTCTGTAAGATTGTTTCAATCAACATTTCTGAACTTATTTGACCAGGGCATTGTTTTTATATATGCATAATACTGACATGTCTGTGAAGGACGCTTTTGGATTAGATGAGATAAAGAATGGTCTAAAAAGATGCTAAGTAAGGACTGAATCTGTCCTATGCTCATTGAACTGCAAATCTGAGAGTTATCAGAATATTGCTTATGTAAGAGGCTGTCTTCTATGCAAGTAAAAATTGTAAATGGTGATCTGAGGATCATAACTCCTGGAGGCTTCAGTCTTATCAATTCTATATAGAGATCAGGGGGTAAGGTGAGATTTTTCCTGATAGAACTAGTGAATACATTCCTTTTGAGAGAGAAGTTCCTCTGCTGTGAGTCCCTTTACAACCTCTTTTGGGATAGGGGTGTGAAAAGGCTACTTTCTAACACCTGACATATGGAAAACACTTGAAACAAATTCATTTAAGGATCTTTGAAATAAGCTCATGTGGTTGGGAGACATGGATCTGGACTCTGAATAATATCTGACAACATGTAAATAGTCTGCGAACGCTGGAGTCTGACTATCGTCAAGGAAGGCTAGATACACTCTCCTCATTGGTTTGGAAGAGAAGGAAGAGGAGTGCTAACAGATTGTCTAGGAGAAGGATGCATGAGTGCTTCTCTGTGGACTACATCTGAACCATATAGGAGGGCCAGCATTCCATTTTGGGTCCTGCCCAAGAGTGCCTCCTATCAGAATTTTACCTAAATAAAAAGATAATAATTTAGCCAAAACTCAAAGAGGGCAAATCACCAAAGAAGCTGCACATTACTCATCCACTATGTAAAGCCATGCTATAAGATTAAATTGAAATTTAAACATATACTTTTCATAAAAAGTAAAATTTTTAAAAAGTAACATAATGTCCTTAAGACCTATCCTGGATTACACTGACTAAAAAATGAGTACAGAACTTTAGAACTAAACTTCTTGGCAGAACTTGGTTTGTAGACCTAAAATTTATTCTTTTAATACAAAAATTAGTCAGGCGTGGTGGCAGGTGCCTGGAATCCCAACTACTTGGGAGACTGAGGCAAGAGAATCATTTGAACCCCGAAGGTAGAGGTTGTAGTGAGCTGAGATTGCACCACTGCACTCCAGCCTGGGTGACAGAGACTCCATTTCAAAAAAAAAAAGTTATATTCTTTTAATCAGCTGTTCCTGATTACATTGTTCCAAATGCCAGTAAATACCAAAGGGTTATACTAGTTTTCTTGTCCTCTATCAAACACTTATAAGATCAAGAACTTCATGATTTGAATTATTACAAAATCATAACATCTTTGCATACAAATATCTATGATTCCATAAGTGAATACATTGAGTTTCCAAGTTAAACTTGGCTAATACAGGAAATTTAAAAACATAAACTTTGTGAACTTATTTAATATGCAATAAAATGCTAATCACTGCAATCCTGGAAGTTAAACATTTGTTTTCTTATTGAGAAAATGTATAGCAATGATGCAGACCAAAAAAAAAAGTGTGAAAGGGGCATTTTTATTAAAAGCAACATAAAATGAAAGAAAAGCAACAGTGTAAGAGAAACATCAGATTTAACGTGATGTAGTCTTATCTTAAATCTCCATAAAATTAGCCCAAATTCCTTTAAGTATATAATTCTTAGTTAAATTCAGCATTGTATAAAGTCTCTTCTTCCTTACTACGTTCTTCGTTCTTTCCAATTCATTTGGAGACTATTTAAAAATGAACCTCAAACCAATTTTTGTGGTTTATCTTTTCATTACTTCAGTAATAAAATGCCAACTTGCTCACTGTAATAGCTAGTGGCAGTATAATTATATTCAAGGGAAATATCTAGGTTCCCTTTCTCATATTGTGTGATTATAGTGTTGAAAACTTCTGTAAATAAAGCAGTAACTGAAAACTTCTTTGGATGTTTTGAAAACAATTCTGAGACTAAGCTGTTATCACTCACCAAGAGAAATATTCTAGAGCCATTTTAATCATTACTTTCAGAAACGCTCTTTGGCAAGGTGCATGACTCTGTCAGGATCAACAAAGCCCCTACATTACACATTGTTCCATTAATTTAAAATATTCTTATTTATCTGTCAGAAAGCTACTGATGTTTGGTCAAGAATATTAGTACTGTCCCAATACCCTATATTTAGCCCTAGCCAAAGAAATTCTTCATGTGGGAAAAAAAAATCCAATGAATAAATCATTGCCTATATTTACTTTTTCTCTCTCTTGTGAGAAAAGTTTAGAGCAGCAATCATTTTAATTAGCACATTGAGCATAAGAATGCATCACAGCAGTTGTTATATCCAGTTTTAAGACTGGAGAGTGTGGCGACTTATCTAGATATACAGGTAATATATGCTCAGCTAAGCATATGGATTGTAATATAAATTATGATTATAGATGAGGGGGGGTACAGAGGGACATGCACAATAGCTGCCTGTCTCCACTTAATCAGCTAACATTTTTCTAACACATACGAGAGAAGGGTTTATTTTAACTATTGACATATGATAGAAAATGAGCCATGATAACATCTTCTATCAGCTTTTTACATTTTGAAATATATAGCTATTTTTTCTGTAGATGTAAAGTCACATTTAAAAAGATTATTATTCAACTGAGAAATGAGAAGCAAAAGATATGAGAACTATCTTGAAGAAACCTCAAAATATCAAAGAAGATAGTGTGTTTTTACTTTAAACATTTTATCTCTTTTTTTTTTTTATAGAGGAGATGGTGTAGTTATCTTGAACACAATTCAATTTACTGGTTCAGGTTAGCTGGTTAAAGACATTGGCGATAAATAAAACAAATTACCTTCTCTTGATACTGCCGCCTCGAAGAATCCAGAGACTGGATTAAAGCGGTGGCATGGCCGACAAACATGGCATAGCAGGTGGCCCCGACGATCATGCTCAGCATGGTAATCCAGAGGTCAGACATGCTGACTGGGGCTTGGGCTCCATACCCAATGCACAGCATGTGACTCATAGCTTTGAAGAGTGCGTATGAATACTGCTTTCCCCAAGAATCATTCTGCAACATAAGATAAAAAGAAAATTGACTGAGCCATTAGGATGGCAGAATGAAAAGTGAGTAGGACCTGTACACAGAAGCATTATAAAATACTGAATACTGGAAAAATCCTTACAATGGAGCATTTACAAATGTACTTCTCACTAACTGTGAATTAAATGATGTTTTTCAAATCTTTCTTACTATGATGAAGTGGAAACAGTCTGCTGTTACTTACATGCGCTTTGTCAGTTTTAAGTTTGCTGTTTTTAAAACTAAAATTCCTTTTGGGACAATGGTATGCCATGTAATAATGACAAGAATGAATGCTTTAAGGTTTCAAGGAAATGTGGTCAAATAGTATTAATAATATATTTGCAAGCTATGAAATGCAGCAGACAGTATGACACATACAGGCCAAAGTATAAACATTTTTATCAAAACCATGAAGTTCAGATTTTAAAAATCCATATTGATATAGCTGTATAGTCCTTACCACTACAACTTTCCTTAAATAAAAATTTGAACAAATATATATTGGAAATACAGGTCTGATAAATGGAAAGACTTCCTTGAAGCCCTCTCTCGAAGTGATGTATATTGTAATTTGTGTCAGGATTGAAGACGGCTGAATCTTGTTGGCTTTTTATAAAATAATAAAATGAAATAGGCAAAAGAACATCTTGGCTTATGTCCTGGAGAAAACAATAGGAAATGCTGACTTCTGAGATTATTTATTAGTTGTAACTTCTGATGTCATTTAAAAAAAATTGCAAGCTCAATTTTTTAAAAATGCTGTCCAATGTATCTTATCTAATTTTTGTTAAAATTTAAATTATTTTTTGGATAAATTTTATTGAACTCCCTAATTCAAGTATTACACAATTTATAAAAGCCAGAGCAAAATGAAAATGAGGGGGCTCTGGTTCAAAATGCGGGAAAAAAACTTATTAAATATAATAAAATATAAAGATTTTTCCTTTAAAACTACTTTATTATTTATAAAACCTAATGTGATAACAGTGATAAATGAGTAAAAATATAAGCTTACAAATTTTAAAAATCAATATTTTAATGTCATAGTTATATGTAATACCATAAATAATACTGTATTAATGTGATATTTTGATTGGTCATAAAATTTTTCTGGCTTATTTTTCTGAAATTCATTTCTTAGATTATCAAAATTTATACAATTAACAACTTTATTTTCAATGATTTAGTTGAAAATGACATTAGTTGCTCTTGGCTATTGGAAGATTACTTATTTTTAAATTTAAATTTAAATTTTAAATTTTACATATTTTTAAATTTAAAAATGATCTTTCTATTAATTCAAATGTTATTAAACCTATTAGGAGTATTTTATAGGCTGTGAGATTAGGGTCAACTTCTGATAATTTATTTAAAAATATATATTTGAGTACATTTGGAGCTGATGATTTTCATAGAACAACTTTTCAATAAATATTTAACTTATCATGCCAATCTGTTTCATACCAATTTCACATTGAATTTAGTTTTTATATCTGAATTTATTTTTTAATTTAACTTTTTACTTTTAGGTAATTACAGATTTACATGCAAGTTATAAGAAATAATAGAGAGAGATTCTATGTACTCTTCACTCAGCTTCCCCAGAGGTAACATGCTGCAAACTATAGAATAGTTTCATAGTCAGGAAATTGACATTGATATAATGTACTCATCTCATTTATAGCTCAGTAATTTAAGTGTACTCATTTGTGTGCCTATATGTGTGTGTGTGTATTTATGTCTATGCAATTTTGTCACATGTGTAGGTTCATGTATTTATTACCACAGTCAAGACACAGAATAATTCCATCACAAGGGTCACTTATACTGCCTTTTATTGAATTGAATGTTAAATTTAAATGTATGCAAGGATGTTTTAGTGTTTCTTCTGATATTTCCTGTAACTTGTCAAGGCCGTGCAAAAAATTGAAAGTAGTTTCAAGATTTGCATATAATTTAAAATGCCTGTTTATATATTGTATTGCTATATTTTTAGTTACAAAGAAAGTTTAATTTAAAAATTATCTTCCTTGTTAATAATTGGTTTAATTTAAAACTTCATATAAAAATCGTGTTATTTTCCATCAAATGTGAGTCTTAAATTTAATTTGTATTTCTAAGTTTATGGACATCTGCTGTGCAATTTTGCAGCAGCTTTCAAAACTGGACATTGTAAACACTGAGGAATTCTAATGACTTTCTAAAGTGCTTACTGCCGTGCCCATGTGTAAACATTTATTTTGTAATAATTTATTTACAAAGTTTACTGCCTGAGTGCCATGGGTATTGTCTTGGAATTTAGGTGGGAGATTTAATATCTGTTTAGATACTACAGGGATGGTCCCTTGGGACTGATGAGCAAGCTCTCTACTCACCATGGGTGTTCTCCCTGCCTGCATGGATAGCCACTTTCATCTCTCACGACTGCCTTTGTTGCTGCTGCTTCTCCTGCTGCTACAGATAGTCACTCCTAATCTGGGACCAGTCCTGGTTTGGCCACATCAGGGACACATAGCATCTAGACTGCTGAGTGATGCATATGCTGCCTTGCTGCTAGGCCAATTGCATGTCTCCTGTGCCTACAGGCCTGAATCTGTGTGTGTGATGCTGCCATCCTGCAGCTCTGCTGCTCATGTTCACACCCTGTTGTCCTAGTGGACTTCACTTACAAAACATAAGTTCAAAGATAAAATTATTAAGAGTTTCAAGATGGCAGGAGCAGAACATTAAACCAAGCACAGGGTTCTTTTGACAGTGAGGGGCTCTGTGCAACTTCAAGGTCACATATCAATGAAGCCAAACCTGCATTTGTCAAATTAACTCTTAAATTATCATAAACTTTTCAAGCTATTTTATTTTGAATAGATATGGGTAGTTTTGTTTGTTGTTAATAGGGTTTTCCAACATCAAATTTGTAGATTTAAACAATAAAACAGAAGATTGAAAAGCCCAGTCTTATAAACCTTGGAACTGCACATAGTTGCTAAAAAATAAAGAAAATAACTAGCCCCATTTAGCTGAAAGGATTGAGGTTCTTAAAGTGAAATTCACTATTATTTAATTATAATAAAAGTCCTGCTCATATTAAATTATCCTCTCTATATATGTATTTTCGCAAAAGTAAAAAATAAGATTTAATTTTAACACAAGAAAATTAGTTGTATGTCATATTTTAATATGTACATAGTATAATAAACTCATGCAAAAACTCTTATTTTGGAGAATGAGCAAATTTATACTTTACTTTATCAGTGAAAATGTATAATACTCAGAAATACATCTAAGATTTCCAAAATTCTAGATGGTCCATGAACAAGAAATGGTATATTTACATTTACTAAAATGTAAAATCTAATTCAAGATTTCCTTTCTCCACATAAGGGTACAGACAAGGTATATTGTTAAAGCATCTTGAGGTATTTAGATAAAATGGAAATAATAAAAAGTTCAATGGGGTGTCGAGTGGAGACTACACTTTATTTCTATTGGTATTGTTTATTTCTTTTTGTATGAATGGAGGCAGGGTATGGAGCTGGAAAAGAAAGTTTAATTCAGTTTTTCAGAATAATACAGCTATGTCTATTCTCATTTATTTCACTAGAGACACAAAACACACACCTGTGTATACATGCTCTTAAATGACTTGAAATAAATATATATTAAAAATGCTTTTTTTTTTTTTTTTTTTTTGAGATGGAGTTTCGCTCTTGTTGCCCAGGCTGGAGTGCAATGGTGCAATCTCAACTCACTGCAACCTCTGCCTCCTGGGTTCAAGTGATTCTTTTGCCTCAGCCTCCCGAGTAGCTGGGATTAGTACCACCATGCCCAGCTAATTTTGCATTTTTAGTAGAGACGGGGTTTCACCATGTTGGTCGTACTGGTCTCGAACTCCTCGAACTCAAATTCCATCACCTCAGGCGATCCACCTGCCTTGGCCTCCTAAAGTGCTGGGATTACAGGCATGAGCCACTGTGCCCAGCCTAAGAATGCTTTCTTATTTTTAAAATCATTAGCAACTTTTCTATTTTCCATTCTTCACATGTTTCCATTCCTCTTTCTCTACCTACATTTCCCCAAAATCAGGTATGGATCATTCTGTGCCTTTCTCCATGTTCATATAATCACACACACATGCACATACACAAATCCATGATTCTGGCTTTTTTTCCCACAAAAATGAATCCTATTATATATGCTCTTATTGTTGTTATCACATATAAAATGCCTCCAAATAATCTGTTGTTCACATAACTATGTAATAGTTTGTTGATCACACCATAGTTAATTCAGTCATTTTTTCCATTGTTCTCCAGCTTTTGCCACTACAAACTATTCTTTAATTAAAAACTTTATCCATATATCTTTTCTTTCTGTCAGTAACACTCCCAAGAGTGTGATTGTTGGTTCAAAGAGTAAGATTTTCAGTTTGATTTTAAAATATATTGCCAGATTGATTTAAAAGGCAGTACCTTTTCCAATGTGTAAAAATATACTGTATCACCTTATAGAGTGAGAAATAATAACCCATTGTTATTTTTATTAGCATTTCCCTAGCCAAGGAATTTGAGAAGGCGTTCATGTATTTATTTACCAAATGGGCTTGCTCATCTCTAATGAAATTTTTTTTTCCTTATTAATTTGCAATGCCTCCTTGAAGACTGGGTATCACCCCTTTAACTGATATGTGCTATAAATATTTATTCCTAATTTATCATTTGCCTATTGACCTTCTAATCATATAATTACTCATATAAATATTTCAATTAGTTTATGTAGGAAAATTAAATCTGTAAGTTCCTTGGCAGCTGCTGGATTTCTCATAATGATTAAAAAGCTATCTCTAAATAAGATTATTCCTATGTCCTGAATGTTTTTTCAGATTATTTTATTTTTTATATTTACTTATACTTACACGTATTACCTAGAGAAAGGTTTTTTTTTTTTTTGGATATAGAAAAGTTCACATTTTCTTTATTCTAAATTAATGGAATGTCTTTTGTGCCAGTATATAACTTTTAGTAAATCAACAGGTCTCCATATAGAGAAATATATCTCTTTTATTATATATTGTCTCTATAAAAATGGTATTTGTGTCTGGGCTCAATATTTTGTTTCACTGCTCTGTTTAGCCACTTTTATACTGAGTTTTAATTAAACAAGGTTTAATTAAACAAGGTCCTTGTTTAAAAAACAAGGACCATCTCAATTCCAACAGGGGTTTAAACTGAACTACTGTGTGAGGGAATTTGAGTAAGACCATGGGTCATGCAGGTAAAAATCTAAAACACGAAGTTTGATGGGGAGTAGGAGTATTTGGAGGCTGAGAAAAGTTACCAAACCCCATAGTATGTGTGTGTACATATATAAAATTTTAGCCAGTCTAAATTGTAGAGAAGAAACAGGAGGGAATGAGGAGCATACCAGAAATATGACAGAATAGGGAACATACCAGGCAACACAGTGATGACCAGAGTCTGAGTCCTTAAACATTTTCAGTACAAAACGGGAAGCCAATGAAAACTTGTGAGCAGAGAATGATATGATCTAAACCGTATTTTAGGAAGATTGATCAGGCAGAATTGCAGAGTGCTGGTTCTTAACTAAGGATGATTTTACCACTTAGGAGACATGGCAACATACAACATCAGCAGACATTTTAGTTTTCACAACTGGCAGAGGTGCTATTAATATCTAAAGGGTAGAGGCCAGTGATGCTGTTAAAAATTCTGCAGTTCAGAGGAGACTCCCTCTCCTGCCTCACAACAAAAAATTGGGAGGTCCAAAATATTAGCTGTGGTGAGGCTGAAAAATCCTGAGGTAGAGGAAGGATGTAATAAGGACCAAATACAGAAGTCAGTATAAATGTTATTACAAGTTTATGAGAAGTGAAATGAGAACTTAAATAATATAAAAGTATAAAGCAACAACAATAACAATTTTGAGAAGACAGTATCTACAGAATGTAGAATATTAGGGATTCATGGAAAATTCAGAAGGATTAATGAAATATAGGCTTTCTCTCTCTCTCTCCCCCTTCCTCTTTCTTTCCTTCTTTCTTCCTTTCCTTTCCTTTCTTTCCTTTCTTTCCTCCTTCCTTCCTTCCTTCCTTCCTTCCTTCCTTCCTTCCTTCCTTCCTTCCTCTACTTCCTTCCCTCCCTCCCTCCCTCCTTTTCTTTTCTTTCTTTTGTCTCACTCTTTTATGCAAGCTGGAGTCCAGTGGCATAACCATAGCTCATAGAATTTGAGCTGTAACCTCAAATTCCTGGGCTCCAGCAATCCCATATCAGCCTTCTGAGTAGCTGAGACTACAGGCATAAGCCACTGTATCTGGTCCTTAGGCTATTCTTCATGAAGAGTGAATGATTAGGCATAAGGATCTTCTCTGTTACTCTACAAGGCCAATATTGCTTTCTTTAGACACTGAATTTTGTCTACACACATTGCTTGTGTTTGCAAGGGCCAAGTGAACCATAACAAAGGAAAGTGAGCATTTAAGTAGCAGATTCTGAGGCTGGTGTTGAAAGAATTCCAAGTAGAGGAATGACATCCTAACCCCTCCTCCATCATACCTACATATCATTAAAATCCCAGGAACAAAGGGCTTGTATTAGTCCATTCTCAGGCTGCTAATAAAGATATACCTGAGACTAGGTAATTTATAAAGGAAAGTGGTTTAATTGACTCAGTTCAGCATGGCCGGGGATGCCTCAGGAAACATAACCATGGCAGAAGGGGAAGCAAACACGCCTTTCTTCACAGGGTGGCAGGAAAGAGAAATGCCAAGCAAAAGGGAAAAAGGTCCCTTATAAAACCATCAGATCTAGTGAGAACTCACTCACTATCATGAGAACAGCAGCATGGGGATAACTCCCCCACCATGATTCAATCACCTCCCACCGGGTTCCTCTCACAGCATGTGGGGATTATGAGAACTACAATTCAAGATGAGATTTTGGTGGGGACACAGCCAAACCATATCAGGGCTCAAGGAGAAAAAATAGATTGACTGTGATAAAACACACACAAAATGTTATCCTTATAAGCAGTATATTATAAATCAGGTACATGGTTCTAAACTGTTCAAAGCACCAATTATTATGTTAAACTAGTTTAATCATGAGTACTATTCTTACCATCATTTGACAAATAATGACACTGAAGCAGAGAACCTAAGCGACTTGCCCAGGGTTAAAATTTTGTAAGTGGAAGATTCAGTGTTTTCAACCCATGCAGTCTCCTTCTAAGGACCACAGTATTATTACATTACACTGCTCTCATTTTTATAAGCCTACAAAAGTCATAGGTTTTTTTGCCCCACTTCGGGCATCCTGTTTGCCTTATTTTAATCTACTACCATTGAATGATGGCTTGAATGGGAGATTTAGGCTATCATCTGAGAAAGTTTTGTGAAAATCTAGGAATGTTTGTAATCCCATTCTGCCTTTTTTCTTGTGTTACATGGCTATTCCTTTTTCACCTTGTAAAGATGACTGTATTATATTTTAGTGTACATTACTAATATGATATTATATGCGAATGGGAGACTGTATACTCAAAGTGTTTTACCATACAGTCCAAATATACCCAGTTTCATATAATCTGAATCCCACAGACAATAAGCAAATAAAATATAAGGGAACTGTTTCAACTGAGGTTTATCTTGTTTTCATTTTAGGTAACAATGTACCAACAAATTGTTCCTTTTAGATTATGTTTTTGTTATTAAAAGTGTTCATTTAGTTAATCACTTCACTTAGGCATCACTGAAAATAATTTTTTTTTTTTTGAGGAAAAGATATTGAGTCAAATTAATGGGAACATAGTAAGTACCTTTGCTTATTCCACCTGAGAACTTTCTCTTAGTAATAATGCATTTTGAGCTTTCTATAGGCTTGAATGAAAATACTTTCTAGTCATCCTGTCCATATTGTTACTAAATTTAGGGAGTCAGGATGAAGGGCTATTTGCAAAAAAAAAAAAAAAAAAAAAAAAAAAAGGAAAAAGAAAGAAAAAGGAATATTTATTCTCCAGTGTCCTAGACCTCCTGACATAATATATCCAATTCAAACTTAGCCACTCAGTAGCCTGCCATGGGAACAAAAGCTCTCCAGTCCACTAGCTTTCACATGAGCTGAAATTTATTTAATTTAGGGGGCCAAAACTTTCCATTATTGAATATCAGAATTAATTTTTCTTTATTATTTGCAAGCAAATACAAGTATAAACGTGTTGAAGTAGGTAAAATCTTAGGAAAATCTAAAATATGGCACTCAGAGACTCTGAAGTGCACAAACCAACTGCTAAAATATTGAAGAATTAATGGATAATAAAGAGGTGAAATTAGAAAGCCATGAGTAGAGTATAAATTCTTTAGAGCTAGGCTACAGAATGTTGATCAGCATGTCTATTTTTTTCCTGCAGTCATTGCATAAACATATCATTTTTATCAATTTTGGAAATGCCAATCAGATAGAAAGTTGCATTTAAAAGTTCTTAAGGAAAAGAATATAGTGTAGCATAATTCATTTGCAGTCATAAGAAGTATAACAGGTCATCAGTGTCAAAAAGAGTGTGTTTACTTGAATACACCATAATTTTATTATCTGTAAACAGTTGGTCTTTGAACAATGCAGGCGTTAAGGATGCCAACCCTGGGCATAGAATGACTTTTGACTTAATTAATCAATTAATTAATTATTTCGAGACAGGGTCTTGCTCTCTTCCCTAGGCTGGAGTACATTGGCACAACTATAGTTCACTGCAGCTGGAACTTCTAGGCTCAAGTGACCCTCCTGCTTCAACCTCCTGAGTAGCTAGGACTATACACGTGCACCAACATGACCAGCTTATGTTTAAAATTTTTATAGAGATAAGGTCTTGCTATGTTGCTGAAGCTGGTTTCAAACTCCTGGCTTGAAGCAATCTTCGTGGCTCTGCCTCCCAAAGTGCTGGGATTATAGGCATAAGACACTTTGCCCGGCGTATTTTTCTTATATTTAGTGCTATGATCTGCGTAAAAAACGTTTGTACCTCTGATAACAACCTTTTGCCTTATAAGAGGGTTTAAACAGTTTTTAACAGTAAAATATAGAAGTATTGCATAACTAAATTGCTGTTGCCATGAAGAGTGATGTCTGATTATTTTGAGAGTTCATTCTCAACTTGTTCCATGGTCAATTAATCACTCAAGTTCTAAGTGTACTTTTTCTTGCTTCAAGAATGATGATAAAATACAAAATTTGCATTAAATAGACTTATAAATTAAAATTTAGTGATGCTTGATATCACAGATTTTTTCTTATTTTTTTGATATTGGTACATTATTTTAAAAATAAAAATTAAACAAATCAATGCATTATTTTAAATTTGACTTGTTCATTCATCCAATTTTTTATACTAAGAGTTCATTGGTACTATTTATAAAACAGGCCCCAAATTTGACATTACTTAAATACTGTAAGTGTGATGTTTCAATTACAATTAGCTTTTCAAGTAAATCAAATATTTCTATGGGGTACCTCTTTGTTAACATAAATAAATATAAGCAAACATATTTTACATATGTTTATATATAAGTATTAGTGAATATATTTTATGTGTATGCAAGCATATATGCATTAATATAAAGCCAGCATAGAAGAAATCAGCATACACTGAGGACTTATTTACTGCAAGGTACTATTATAACATCATCTCATTGCTCTTCTTAACAGTGAAACCTAACTTGATATTGTTATTATGGATTGGAAATGCAAACGTTGGAAAAATTAAATAACTTGCTTTAGTTCACACACTTGTAGGTGCCAAATCTGGAATTCAATCACAGATCTGTCTGAACCACACTATAAACTCTCTTCATTCCAAAGACCATAGCCATTTATGTCATAACCGTTTATATGAGTAAAATTCATGATAATTATACTTTTATATGAATAAAATTCATGATAATTATACATAGGATTTTCAGGCATTTTAAGAACATAACCATAACAGAGAAATTCTTTAAACTATGTTTCTTCTCAACCACCAAAAGAGAGCCTCTATTATACCTTAAGGACATTTAGAGAAAAATTATCTAAGGTTTTCATTAGAGAAAAACGCTGAGGTAAAATTTCCTGGAGAGTGTGAGGTCAGTGAAGATAGTTTGACCTTAAAATTGTACTTTAGTTTTATACTTTCCTATTAGTCAAAAACTTTTAATGAATTCTTCTTTCCACCTAACCCCAAAGCCTGGGATCAAGCAATCTATACAGTTATCTGATAGGAACAGTCCTCTAGAAGAAAATCCTTGCCCGAGGCTCAGCACTCCAGAGTATGAAAGGTGCAGATGGCACAGGGTGACAGGTTCAATCTGAAACACTGAGTGATGTGCTTTCACTCAACACCTGGACAAAGTAAAATAAGTACAATCATGCACCACATAATGATGTTTCAGTTAATGATGGACCGTACATTCAGCAGTGGTTCTATAAGAAGATGATAATGGAGCAGAAAAATTCCTATCTCCTAGTGATCCTGTAGCTATCATAATGTCATAGCACAATGCGTCACTCATCTGCTTGTGGCAATGTGGTGTAAACAAACCTACTCCACTACCAGTCATATAAAAGTATAGCATATATGATTATGTATGGTATATAATACTTGAAAATGATAATAAACAACTATGTCACGAGTTTATGTATTTAGTATACTACCTTTTTATTGTTACTGTATTCTTTCAACTTATACAAAAATAAAGCTACTTGTAAAACAACCTCAGGTATGTTCTTCAGGAGGCATCGCAGAGAGGCTTTTTATTTTTATTTTTTTAGACAGAGTCTCACTCTCGTTCCACAGGCTGGAGTGCAGTGGCGCGATCTTGGCTCACTGCAACCTCCGCCTACCTGGCTCATGTGAGTCTCCTGCCTCAGCCTCCCAAGTAGCTGGGATTACAGGCACCCACCAGCATGCCTGGCTAACTTTTTGTATTTTTAGTAGAGATGGTGTTTTACCACTGGTCTCGAACTCCTGACCTCAGGTGATCTACCTGCCTCAGCCTCCTAAAGTGCTGAGATTACAAGCGTGAGCCACCATGCCCGGCCCAGAAGAGGCATTTTTATCATAGGAGTTGACAACATTTTGCATGCTACTGCTCCTGAAGACATTCCAGTGGGACAAGGTGTGGTGGTAGAAGACAGTGATACTGATGATCCTGACCCTGTGTAAGCCTAGGCTTATGTGTGTGCTTGTGTCTTAGTTTTTAACCAAAAGTTTTAAAAGTAAAGAAAAAATCAAATAGAAAAAAATCATATAGAATATAAGTACAGGGAAAGAAAATATTTTTATACAGTTGTACAATGTGCTTGTGTCTTAAGCTAAGTGTTACTACAAAAAAAGTCAAAAACATAAAAATAAAAACATTATAAAGTAAAAAAGTTAGAATAAACTAAGGTTAATTTATTATTAAAGAAAATCTTAAAAATAAATTTAGTGTAGCCTAAGTATACAGTGTTTATAAAGTCTACAGTAGTGTACAGTAATGTCCTAGGCCTTCACGTTGCCTTACTACTCCCTGACTCACCCAGAGCAGCTTTCAGTCATGCAAGCTCTATTCACGATGTACCATCTTTTATCTTTCACACTGTTATACCCTTTTATTTTTTATACTGTATTTTTATTATACCTTTTCTATGTTTAGATACACCAATACTTACTGTGTTACCAATGCCTACAGTATTCAGTACAGTCAACATGCTGTAGAGGTTTGCTGCCTAGGAGCAATAGGCCATACCATATAGCCTAGGTGTGTAGTAGGCTATATCGTCTAGGTTTGTGTAAGTACCATCTATGATGTTTTCACAATGATAATATTGCCTAAGGATATACTTCTCAGAGTGTTTCTTCATCTTTCTAATGACAGGCATGACATTACATTGCTAAGTACTATTAATGTGCACGTTTAAATTAATTTTATGAACTTTCACCAAGCAGCTTTACAATGATCATTCTCAAATTAGTAGATCATCTCTTTTATGGCATTCTTGAAGTGTTTAATGCTGCTATTTTGAGGTTTGAGCACACTGGAGTGTTAAAAACTACTAACAAAGTGAAATTAAAGTGAAAACAAAAAACGTTGTATATATTTTTGTGCTGGGCTCAAGTTTCTGCTCTTTATAAACAAAGTAGCTGCCTAATGCATTAAAGAAGCAGAAGAGTTAAGAATGTCTTTAATCATATGTGTAGTCTTTGGGTGTTTATGTCGGTTATCAGATCATAAAATTTATTAAATATGCAGTTTTGTATATGGAATTCTTTTACCATATATGAGAGTAAGGCATTAGATTTTATTTCTAGATAATTTGCATATATTTCAATTTATATGATAGATGGTACAATGTGGAAAGAATTTGGACTTTTTATGATAATTAAACAAGAGACTATATAAAAGGCTGCTATATTAACAAGCTCTATATAAAAGAGCTAATAAATAATAAGCTTTCTGTTTTCCAACTGAAAGAGTTTTGTAAATGAGGGGATAAATTTCTTACCGATGTGTGTGTTTTAATGGAAAAATATGTTCATAGCACGTTTTGCTATGAGTAACAATTCTAACCTCTTTGCAAATACATAAATCATGAAAAATTTATTAAAATCTAATGCTTAGAGATGGGCATAACTAAAATATAGACAAACTTAAACTATAGAGAAAGGAAATGTGTATGCTGATAAGCAGCTTACGTAGTAATTGGTTATTTATATTGAGGTTAAAAAGAGCTTTCCCATTATCTCAAAAATCATGCTCTCACCTTTACAGATTCTAAAATTCCATCTTAGTAATGGTAGAATTTACCCTTAACACTTAACATGTCCACGCAATTTTGATGACATGGTGCAAACATCTCTGATTTTTTTCTTCTACCTAGATTTACTACTGGGTTGGGGTTCCCACTACCAGACATAAGAAAGGATAGTACAATAAAATAAAATAGTGGCACATTAAATATTTTTATGGTAGACTGACTTTTATCCATCAATTCATAGAAAGTTGGAATTGTAAGGGATCTGTATAACAATTTATCCTTTTTATAAGTACACTGAATTTCAGAATCTCCATGATTATAAGATCAAAATACATAAATAAACAAATAATTAAATATATTCAGATTACCCAACTTTATTCAAATCTAGTATGTAAGGAACAATACATCTTAAGGTCATGGAAAACATTAAGTTACTTGCCCAAGGTCTGATCTGGTTTGTCTAAGAATTAAAAAACAAAACAAAAACAAAACAAACAAAAAATACAAACTCATGTCTGATGTGCTTGCAAGTATTATTTTCATTATATTTGCATAATCATAATACTGACCATAGCACAACTAACAATAGCAGAAACATGAGTACAGTTTGCATAGATCTCTTACAAGGAACTTAATAGACATGGTGATTATCACAAGAGCCTTGTGGTAGCAAGAACAGTCTTTATTATCTTCATTTACTGATGTGGATAAAGTTCAGAGTTTCATTCAGTAGCCTATTGGGTCATGATAGGTAGCAGTATCTCTCTACTGGATCTCTAGGCTGCTGATTGCAGATATAGTGCTTGCAAATCTAATTATTATTGTAATCTATTTGGTAAAATGATGAAGATACTATGATCTGTACTGTCCAATATTTCCATAGAGTTATCTATTTCAGGCAAAAGTACTCTTATGAGATCTGTAGCTAATCAAATTATATAGAGAACCATTCTCCTATGCTAAAGTTATTTTAATGAACATTTAGAACATGAATGACGTCAGTTAAAACTACTCCCTTACTTTATTAAAAAAGTATTTTTAAAAGTCATATTCTTATTTACAGCTAAGTTATAATTACATAACTCAGCAACAACGCATGTTCCTCAACTCTAAAGACATGACTTTAAATTGCAAACAAATAAATAAAGCTTCAATTACAAGTAATGCTAGAACTTTGTTTATTGATTATGAAGTATAACAAGATAAGCCTAGGAAATCCCCTGCTGTGTAAGCCTGTGTAAAAAGGCAGAAAGTATTAAGCACTTAAAGCTATTTTTAGAAGCCTAATTCCCAACTTAAATTCTTATCCTATGTTGTGTATTCAGTGTGTTCTTAGTATGAAAGGCTTCTGTGTCAGTTACCCATCTGAGAGAACATTTAGCATTGACGTCTAAATCCACATAAGCTGTATACAAGTGTAAGTTTTATCATGTGTAGACTCCTTGATCTCACAGACAACTTCACAGAGAATTCAAATACCAAATAGTATTTAAGAGAGGCAAAACACAACTTCTTAGATCAACATAATCAAGCTAAATACCCTTTTACTAGCACTCATAAAGGTTAAATCCCTAGAGAATCACTTGTCTCTGATAAATAAATTCTCCACTCACATTACATTTGAGTCTCTCTGTGTGTGTACATTGGGGTGAGGGCATGAGGAAGAGTTGGGGAGAGAGACAGAGAGAGACTGAGAGATACAGATTTCTTTTCAAGGCCCAGATTATTCTCTCTCAGGCATATCTCTCAATTCAGATGTAGACTGATTTGGAAATCTGTTAGCAAACAAGCACAGAGAAAAGAGTATTTGCAACAATCTGTTTTATTTTCCCTCTCTTTCTTTTAACTTCTGTTTTTTTTTTTTATTCTACCCAGTTACAAGACTAAACCAATGGTGATTCAGGCGTAATTCCTATTTCTGATGAGCTCCTTTCAGTTATCTAAAATCAGGAAAAAAATGCATATTCAATCATAGTATTACTAGTCAAAGAAAATAAAGCGAAGCAGGGCCCCTTTAAAATTTAGTGCATTCCACTTGAAATCATGCTCATGAGGATATTCTAGCTATTTTTTATGGCACAGAGAAGAAAATGAAGGTTATTTTACCTTTAGGAAATAAGTCATTTTTACTGCATTTCTGAATGATAAAAACATTAAGAAAAAGGCAAATGCAATATTATAATCCATTTATGAGATTTCTGTTTTCAGGAATGGAGAAGAAATGGGCAAAATAATTAAATAGACCCAGAAATGGAGCATCCCTGACTCCTTCAGTAGAACTCTTATTTGCTTCAAATCCTAATATTACTTAATGCCAACAGTTCCCACAATTCTGAGTACTTTGGGTATGAAGCACAATTACTGGCAATTTTTGAAGGGAGCACACCACTTAGTGCAATTCCTGTAGAAGAGTGAATTATAATTTAATCAAGCAGAATGCCAAGTTTGCCACAAATTGGCAGACTAACTTTAAGGAATATATCCAGACAGATCATAAAGGTGTCTTGCCTTAACCTCCTCCAATGTGGAGGGAAACAACAGTATGGCTTACTGACAAAGCAAGAGAATACCTTAATAATTATCAGCATACATTTCTTAGTCAACAGGGACTGTTCAGGAAAGGAAGTAAACATTCAAAGCTTAATGATTTCTCTTGTGCATAGCTTCTGTGACTCATGCCAGATTTTCCTGAGCTAGTTCTAAAATGATTTATCTGCTTCAGTGAGTTTAAAGCATTTCATCTTCACTTTTCTTTGGGCACTGGGAATAAAGGTTAACAAAGTCATCTGCGTATATTGAGGTGTGGGTATCTGTGTATATCTACCCCAGGCTGGCCTAGAAGAAGTGTAGCATTGTGGTCTCCTTTATGTACAAGCAAACGTGGTAGCACTGTACCTCCAGGTTCTATGGATAGTGGAGCCGGGAACAGTGTAAGTCTCAAGGGAGACAACTGCAATCACACTGCAGATGAGGTTTGGGAGGATAGTACCTAATTCTCTGATGACAGAAAAAAAGACAAAGAATAACCTACTCAGAAATCTCTCCCATATCTTCTTCTGAGAGGCTTGAAATTACCTCTATTAAGCTTCTCTCTATTTACATAAGAAAGTAAAATCAATGGCAATGTCTCTGGAAGGCTGTTATTTGAATGCGTGTATGTTGCATTTAAGTCAGTATTCAAATAGCCTCCTTCCATGGCCTGGAGGTTGTATAGTTTGCCCCAGTAGGGTTCAGGTTGATCCCCAAGAGGCTGGAACTGGGTGAGCACGGATTGACAAAGGATGAAGAGAGCATGAGGATCATCTCATAAGAAATTATTTTGGGGATGAAAAGAACTGAATAGCATAAAAGTTAATAAAAATGGCAGAGGTTGGACCCTCCAATTAAAAGGAGAACAAGTTAGAGTGAATGTATATCAAGCACATAAGATGGCATGCAGAAAGATTGCTATTAGTTTTGAACATTCTTGGCTTGCCTTTGCCACCTATTGAAAATGCAGTGTCTGGTTAAAATGGGGAATGATTCAAAGGGTTCTTTTTATTCTCTAATCGATTATGGTGAAGTGACATGCTAGATTAGTGGTAAGTCACCTTAGAAAGTTGCCTAAGGACAAAAAATAAGATGCGTACAATTCCATTTGGGGAATAAAAAGTTTTACAGAAACTTAGAGTAGGAAATAGCTAACTCACAAGAGGTTAAATCCCAGAACATTTATTATTCACAATGAATGTGAGATCCAAGCAAAGGAATAGAGTATCAAAGTAAGTCAGGAATAAAAAAATAAATATTTTAATTTCAGATATTTTTTATGATTTACCTGAATTCAACACTGTTGAGATACAGTATCATTTTGCCAGAAGAGGTAAATGTATTGATATTCTTTGTAAACCAGTCGGTGCCTTGAGAGAATAAATAATAGCAATACGGTTATTATTAGTCAGCCCAACACATTGATAATGACATAGCTGACTGATGATTCCAATTATACATGCCAATTTGAGGATATTCAGATTTGTTTTTGGTTATGTATTTTTCCATAGTTTGTTAGCTACACCATGCAGGAGCAAATTGCGTAAGTAAGATGGGTGGGCTGTCAACAAAATTTAGGTTGAAAACTTTCAGAGGTAGAAATGAAAAAGGAGAATATTCAGTATTTTAAATGGCAATAAATAATCATAAGGATATGAAGGGGCAGGAAAACTTGGTTAAAGTAGTGATCTTGATAACATTAGCCATATAGGAAAATTTTTATTTTAGAATGCACTATGACATTTCCAAAGACAAATGCAATAAGGAATCAAGGTGTTTTCAAAGACAATAATCTACTGCTTGGCTGAAATATTGAAAAAAATAGATTCATAATAAATTATCTTTTTTTAGGAAACTAAATGATCAACAATATCTCTATGAATGTACAATACAAAAATTAAAGGCAATCTTAAAGCAGGATTCACATATTTTGAAGCTCAACAAATTGTTGCCAAAGTGTAAGAAAAAACAGTAAATACCTGAACTTTGCAGCATACCCTAGATATTAATCAATTAGACCATGGGAAAAAGAACAACAGTTTCAGAAAGCAAATCTTTATGGCCAATTCGCCAATATTAGCCTATCATAACATAAATCTGAAGGCATCACAGGGACTCTGAGCTACCACTCAATAGACTAAGCAGGAGAAAATCTTACATAGTCTTACTATTGAGTGAACTATCACAGGTCTCACTCCAATACCATCTTAGTTATTTGTTAATCTTGTCTCCCTCCTCCATGCCTCACCTTCCCAAAAAACAATCAACAGACTAAAAACAAACCTGGGTTACTCTCAATTATTTAGGTGAACAGAGTTGAATATCATTCATCTAAAAAAGAGGCCTCTCTCTTGACTTCTCATCTTATCTATATGGAGGCATTTGTCTCTACTCAGCTTTACACAAACATCCCAAATCTGTGTGTCCAAACTGAATTCATTTAACCTGAGTATGCTGCTGATAAAACATGTTTTCTCTGAATCCCTAGATGAGTTTAGTATCACTTGATTGACTCCATGCTGTACTCCTCTTTTCTCCACTGGGTGGGTCCAGAGCTTCTAGACAGAAGAACAGCTGAACAGTATCTGCTTCTACTGTTACCATTTAAATACTAAATAGTTATCAGGCTAGCAGCCTGGAGAGTGCATACTTATCAAACAACCAATCAAACATACACAAATGACAATTAAAAATAATCTTTCTTTTGTCCCATCTCTTTACAATACACAGGTTCCCATTCCTGCCTAGTGCTTATCTCAGGGCAGTCT
Source organism: Homo sapiens (assembly GCF_000001405.40). NCBI lineage: Eukaryota > Metazoa > Chordata > Mammalia > Primates > Hominidae > Homo > Homo sapiens. The sequence continues at coordinate 45,414,805 of NC_000005.10, forward strand.
TATGGTATCACTTGATTTGAGACTATCTTAGGCCCTAGGTTACTTCTATTATTATATATTTGCCATATGTAAAATGACTTGGCATCCTTAATAACTATGCTTGTCTTTTGTGCATTTCTTCCTTGTGACCCTTAATAATTCTGAGGTCAGTTGTTTACTTTCCAAGGTTTTGTTAAAACCAAATTACACTTCCGTACACTCTGTCACAATTAGATATCATCCTGTCATATCTTGTAAGCAGTGGTTAAATGTTAAACTTAACCACCTGTTCTTTCACCAACCTTGGACTTTGATTCTGCCTCTTTTATTTCTAGGACTACATAAGACTTTTTCTAACCATGATTTTACTTTGCTCTGAAATTGAAAAATATAGCAGTTATTTGTTTTAATGAAAACAATGTTTTATCTTTTATTTTTTCTTTTCTAGATCAATACAAATTTTAAAACAAATTTTAATAATTTGCCATCTCAGTTTAACTCCCTTTCAGTCCATTCTTCAAAGCATCTAGTTACACGTCAAATCATGCCACTCCCATGCTTAAAGTTTCCTCATAGCTTCAAGAGTAAGTTGAACCTCTCATGAGAATCACAAAAACTTGGTCATGATGTATCCCCTGCATCTCTCCTGAGCAATACTGCTTAACTTTCCTAAGCCTTATAACAAAACCTAAGATTGTACTCCTGCCACCCTGAGCTACTTGCAGTTCCCCAAACAAGCCAATTCATTATTTGCCATGCTTTTATATAGGTAGTTTTCTCTGACTCAGTGTGTTTTCTGGTCTCCTTTCTCTTTGACTGGACACTTTTAACAGTGTTTCAAGATGCAGCTCATTTTGTAAGTTTCTCAAAGATCGACCTTCATCCCTTCAATTCAGCCTTCCCAGCCTGGTTCAGCTTCTTGTCTAAATGGCCACAGCACTTGTGCTTCCATTTATCATGTGATTGCTGTACCGTCTGTTTATTTGTTTGCCTTCACCAGTATAACCAAAGTTTCCTAAGGGCATAGACCATGTCCTAAACATCTTTGTATCCAAGACATTTAGCAGAGTGATTGATATGAGTGGTATCTAGGAAAAATATTGAACTGACTTAATAACAGTATACAAATGTCATCCTGTTTGATAATGTACCTTAAGTTATGTTGTAAGTTAAAAAGCCAGATGTCTTCATCTGAGCCACAAAAGAAACCAGTATCTCTCCTTAAGATTCAGGGTATTTCTAACTATGGTTGAAATGTGAACTTTAAATTTAATGAAATTAAACAGATGCCTTTAGTAGTCTGATCAACTGTTCTCCCAATTGATATATGTATAGCAGATATCATAAACAATTCAGCATATATTTTAACACTAATAGAAAACTTGAAATAATGCAAAATATTTCAAATTTATTAGGTATTATTTTAATCATGAATGCATTGTCGGGGGTAAGCATCACTGGCTAGTTTTCATACGTTCATATATCCCACTCCTCACTTGATTTACTCGAGTGAGGAATGAAAATGTCCCTTCACAATGATATATTTATGCTTTCCTGGACTCAAAGTGCCTAGAGTTAAATTTGGAAATACCACTGTAGTAATGCAAATATTATTCTTCACATATTTTTCTGAGGAAACAAATATGGAATGCATATATGATATATACAACCTGACAAGCTACACAGCAGAAATTGCTTTTGGTTTCCTTAGATGAAGAAAACAAAAACAGCACTGACATTGAAAGTAAAAAGTGTGTTCTATTACTCAGATTTAGAAATGTGACTAGACTAGTGAAATAAGTGCTTATAGATTTGGTAAGAGAAGGATGAAGGCAAACGCATAAATACACAGTACTATATATATGCTATTATTGTTTAGCCTTAGATGTTTCCTAAGTATATTAGAAATGAAAGCAGAACAACTTTTTCACTTTCATAAACAATTAATTGGATAAGATTGTATTCAATATGCTCAAATTTTCATTTTAAGGTAGAAAATAAAAGTGGCAAAAGTTTTCCCATAGAAGAATAAGCTACAGATTTTGGAAAAATAGGAGACACTGAATCTTGTCTCCCCTCTCCCCCAACACCTTAAAAAAGGACAAAGGCAACACAAATATTTCAAAACTTTTCTGTTTTTAAGTCTTAGTCTTTTTGCCTAATATTAGAATTTCCTAGGCTTCCTAGAATCATTCATGTATGGACAAAATAACAGAGAACACATTTAAATACACTAAAGTTTGAACCTGCTTTACAAACAACCCTGAATTAGTTTGAAATTACGTAAAACTCAAAATTCAGTAGTAATGAGAACATTCAGATGTGGTTTTCTCTCAGTGCAGTGCCAGGCATGTAGTGTGTAGCCATTAAATATTAGCAGATTGTTTATTTTCAAGAGATAGCTCACGGTATCTATTGAAAGTTGACATTTTTTTTGTCTCTAGGTGTACAACCAATTAAACAAGTGGACACTAATAAATTTCCCTTTCACCTACTACATTAATGTAATGTTTCTATAATATTTTAGTATGTTAAAAAAACAAAATCCTAGCAATTATTGCAGAAGCCATTTTTCATCAGTATTTTATACTAAGCTATGTTAAGGTCAGAATTAAGGGTAGAGTCTATAGTTTGTATTTACTAAGTCCTGTAGTATTTGACCTTTAAATGCTGTTTTGTCATAGCTATTACAGGGAAAGTGATAGTGATATATCCAGTTTCATTTCTAAAATAAATACAAGGTCATTGCCTCCAGCAGGTGACTGGAAAGAATACAGTGTGATATTCTTAATTGTGATATCCAACATAAAGCTGAGAATTTTTTAGACCTTCTGAATGTACTCAAAAATATAAATAAATATAACAACAGGTTATCCACAGTCAGCTATGATCAATTTAATTTAGCCAAGCAGACAAAAGCAGCTTCCTTAAATAAGAGCTACCCAGGGTCTCATTAGTGTAGAGAGACAAAAAAAAAAAAAAAAAAAAAAAAAACAAGGTCACGCTCAAGGTGTATGACTTCATGGTGGAAAATTTCAATCCTCCAAATACCTCCCAGAAAAGAAACCAAAGGCTAGAGAAACAACTGTCAGGCAGATTTCAAAATCTCATTTAGACCACTGAACAAATAAAAAGATAGAAAAACGTGTTAATTCTAAATATACTGATATATATTTTTACAAAGTAAGGTTGACAAAGTTGAAGTTGGGCATGGAATGTCTCTTATTAGAATGGCATAAAGAATTCACTGCACAAGTTTGAATCTGGAAAAGTGAGTACCTAAAATAATAAAGTGGCAATTTTCTGAGAATTAAATTTTAGGAAAAAAGTAAACAAAGGACTACAAATTGATTTTATCAATAGATACAAATGCATTTTCGTTATTTATCTTTTAATCTTGTCTTGGCATATTTAGAATGATAAAAGAAAAAGTGTTTATAATGTACTCTGTTGAAATGCAAGCAAAGAAAGGTGAGAAAACATATTCATTAAACTATATTTATTCAACAATATATGCAAACATAAGGATAAGATACGTTTTTCTACATTATACATGCTTCTATTTCTCCCTCCTTCATAAATATGATGAGGCCAAATCAGCATTATTTTTTAGCTCAGATGAGCTCTGTGATAGGCTAAAAACTATCACCTATCACAGAGCTCATCTGAGCTAACAAATAATGCTGATAGCATTAATGGACTTCTAATTTATTTAATATTGTTTTACATGCAGCTTTTAAGATCAAGCAATCTGATCCTTTCTAAAAGATATTATGGTAGAATAAAGGTCACATATTTAGGCTGGCAAACCCATGAGGAGAATAATAGTGCATTTCCCATTAGAATCTAATGCTGATAAATCAACGTAACTGTCAACAGCTGAGTCCTAAGATTAACACAGATGTGGAAAAGGAAGGTAAAATACAATTATGAAAATGGAAGCAAACAGTATGCTTAAGGATGTCAGATATCTGGGAATTCCTTTTTTGAGCAGAAAATATAAATCTATAAGCCAGTTTTCCTTTAGAAAGTTCTAATGCCTCTCTGTAAGAATATTTTATTTTAATTTGAAGATTTATATATAATTCTATATGTCATTAACATAATCAGATCCAGAAGTATCACCAGAGCACAAATTACACAATAAAATTGAAGTGACTATCTTCACCACAGACTGCTATGTGATTTATAGTGATGCATTTCAATTCCACTTGCATTTGTGCCCGCTTTGTGTTAGAAATCATCAAAGATGGAGAACTTAGTTTTTGCCAGGTATCTTCCTGGACACTTTCAGGAACTTGGGATGAACTTTGGGAAAGCTCAGCATGTGGTACACTATGACACTTTACAAGCTTCCTATGTTGAAAAAACCTAAAGGACTTTGAGCTATTATTTCATATCTTGAAAGAACTATGGCATAGCAACTAGGATAGGAAAGCATCATGGAAACACTGGAACAAGTTACCAAGTAACTGCTTACCCAGTACCAGCAAGTAGCTAATGAGAAGCACCTCAGATGCAAAGAACCAGCACCCTATGAGACAGGCTGATACCCTCGGAGTGTGAAGAATGAGACAAAAAGAAGCACACAAGAGTGTGCTAATTAGAAACCTAAAGGAGTACTGATAACCAGGACGCCAAGCAATCCAGAATCAGAAGCCCTCTAAGATATTTGAGTAAATAAGAGAGTGTTTATATTATACTAATAAGACAGTGTTTCTGTTACCTAAGAATGAGCCATTGTACTGGAAATCTCTTTGTCCCTCCAAATCTGTTCTTCAGCTACCTTTTGTTCAGGAAATTGACCTGTATGGATTCCAACAACAAACTCCATTACCCTCTGACCTCAGTTGGATTAGGCTAATGGAGAACCCTGAAAGAAGATCAGACAGAAGAAGGAAAATGTGACCAGTACTGGGGCTCCCGCTTTGAAGACAGTGAGCTGGCTGTGTTTCCTGTTGAAGGTCACTACTCCTGTCAATGCAGTCCTGTCTACATTACTTTCTTTTCTGGGTTTTAGCATTGGTAACATTTCTGTTACTACTATTCCTGGGGTCCCTGATCTCCTCTTTAGTCCCCAACATTCCACCCACAACTTGGTAAACAGTCTTCTTTTTAAAACTTCCTTCAACTTTGTAACTTAAGAGTGACATCTGTTCTCTGTTGGGACCCTGCCTGTGTAGCATATAGGTAGAAAGGGGAGAATGCACATGGGAAAACGGAAAGAAAACTCACATGAGAGTCAAGAAACATTGGCTCAACATCTATCACTAATAAATCTATGCACTGAAGAAAGCCATTTATCTTCTCTAGGCATCTTTTTATTTTTAAAGAGCAAATTTGCGAAGGGATCTGAAGTTTCTTTTTGCCTTTAAAAATTTATATTTCTATGACTCTAAATATAGAAAACATGATTATAAGACAGTTGGTATCTGTTTTTTTACATCCTTCTTGCATCCTGTGGCACACTACTGATTGCTTTATCAATATTCATCCTTATTCTGCTACAGAACCCCCCAAAATTTGGGGTGGCAACATGCCCAGCTTAATAAAACATATGATTTATACATTTTGGAAGAATAGGGCAGCCAAGTGATTTAGTATTGGCTAATGAGGTAAAAGTCAAAGTTACTGGATGGGGCCTCTGGAAACATGTAAGGCTGTCTCAGGGGAATGTGTGCTTTTTCTGCCCTCTGTCCTTCCTATTCTTTCCTGAAATTTGGGTGTAATAGTTAGGGTGGGGAGGTCTTCCGGAGAGTGATCGTGGCAGGCTGGTGCGACAACATGTGGAAGTGGCATGCCAGCCTTGGGTGGTCTTTCAACTTATTTCCTGAGAGAGCTTACATAATGACGTTTTTGGTGTTTCTCCAACATAAAGTCTTTTTTTATTTCTCTAACTCAAAGTAGAACATAATCACTGTTATACACACACACACAAACACACACACACCATTTACTCCTCGAAACACTCAGATCAGGACTCTGTACTTAAATGTCACAATAAAGTCTACTTCCCATTTTTAGTCATATAAGCAATCCAGTGCCTCAAAGTTTACCAGCACTGTGCTGAAAACCAGGTAAGGCTCTAATTCCCAAAGTGACAGCTAACTTGTCTAATCCATGTGGTTTCCTTATCCTAAAACTTACCAGTTTCACTTACAGTTAGATACCCAAGAGAAACTCCTGCACAATTACACTTGTTAAGAAGAATGTTCACAGCGGCATGGCTTTTCTTTCTTTCTTCCTTTCTTTCCTTTCCTTCCTTCTCTCTTTCTCTCTTTCTTCTTTCTTTTTTTTTTGACAGAGTCTTGCTCTGTCGCCCAGGCTGGAGTGCAGTGGTGCGATCTCAGCTCAATGCAAGCTCTGCCTCCTGGGTTCACACCATTCTCCTGCCTCAGCTTCCTGAGTAGCTGGGACTACAGGCGCCAGCCACCAAGCCCGTCTAATTTTTTGTATTTTTAGTAGAGACTGGGTTTCACTGTGTTAGCCAGGATGGTCTCGATCTCCTGATCTCGTGATCCACCCGCCTGGGCCTCCCAAAGTGCTGGGATTACAGGCGTGAGCCACCACGCCCGGCCAGCAGCATGGTTTTTAACAACAAAAAAACTAGAGATTGTATACAGATGCCATGGGATATCATACTGCATTGAAAATGAGTCAACTACAGCAATAAGCAACTATATGGATTAATATGTCAACAAAATAATGAGTGAAGGAAGCAAACCTTGTAAGATAAAGGAACAGCTTATTAACCTTTACATAAAGTTAAAACAAAACAAAAAAAAACCAAGAAACAGAAACCAACAGTATATTCCAAAAAATATATTGGTTTGATTTAATATATATTTTAAATCTATTTTTTAAAGTAAAGGAACTGAAATATACAGATTTCAATGTTGAATGCTATCTTAACCAGTTTGGGTTACTCGAATAAAATACAATGGACTGATGTCTTAAACAACAAACATTAATTTATCACAGTTCTGAAAGTGGGAAGTCCAAAAGTGTCAGTATGGTGGAATTCTTGCTCAGGTTTGTCATCCTGACTATGTCCTCATGTAGCATTTCCTTGGTGCTTGCACACATAGAAAGATTTTCTCCCCTACTTTTTATAAAGGCACTAATCCCATTCATGGGGTACAGGACACACTACCCCAAAATATGGCACCTTGAAAACTGAGAAAACAGCAAAAGCAGGAAGGTCACTCTCTGATCTTTTCCCACTTTCTGTGTGAGAGCTAGACATAACAGAATTTTCTGACCTATCTTCCCTGAAATATATATAACCCTCACATATAACAAGTGCCCTGCCCATGTGTGGAAGAAAGGAATAAAAACACAGAGATGACAACAAGAATCTGAACAAACAGGCCTTGCTAAGTTTCCCCCAGTTTATTGCCATTAGATCATGTTGCCTTTTGTCCAATCATACTTCTACATGACTGTCTACTCTTCATCAAACCTAAGCATAAAAATACAGGTATGCGGTTTTCCCTGTTTCTGTGGGTCTTCCTTTCCAAAGGCTCTTGTGCCACATAAAACTTTGTTTAAATAAATTTGTAATATTTTTCTCTTGTTAATATTTCTTTTGTTGTAGAGGTGTCAGCTACGAATCTTGCCGTGGGTGAGGAAAAGATACTACTTTTCTCTCCCCTATGATGTCATTGGAGCCTCTACCCTCATAACTCACTTAAACCTAATCACCCCTCAAGGGCCAAACCTCCAAAAACCATTGCTTTGAAGATTAGGACTTCAACATATGAATTTTGGAAAGACACAAACATTTAGTCCATAAAAATGTCAACTTTCTAACACTATTATTAAATAATTATAACCATAAATTTGTGCATGTAGACAGACAAATATTTGGCTTAGGGCCCACTTTTCTAAACTAATCAAACCATTTCAGAAAACCTTCCAGAATCAGCAATAGTTTTTTTATTCACCATAATACATCAGTTTAAAAAATATATATATCACTTAACTCTCCCACCCCTTTTATATTTCTGCAACTCACAAAGTCATATATGAGAGCTAAAAATTAAAATGATCAACCTCATGAAAATGAGAGTAAAATGATGGTTACTAGAGACTGAGAAGGGTAGTAGGGAGTGGGGGATTAGGTGAGGGTGGTTAATGGGTGCAATGACATATTTAGATAGAACGAATAAGATCTTGTATTTGCCTGCACAACAAGGTGACTACAGTCAATAATCATTTATTATTATTTAGTTATTAAAAATAACTAAAAGCTTTGAGTACAATTGGAATGTTCCTAACACAAAGATAAATGCATGAGGTGATGGATATTCCAATTACCCTGATATGATTATTACATATTCTATTCCTATATCAAAACTTCACATGTACCCCATAAATACATGCACCTACTATGTACCCATAAAATTTTAAAAATTAAAAAAATACTTATTGTTACCTTCTAGCTTATTTTACATTACTGAGGTGTTAATGGGATAAAACATGAAGCTCAAGAAGCAGAATAGAGATGGATTACTGCATGTGGCTTAAGAGTAAGAGACACAAAAATCTCCTAAATCCATCTCCTTTGGTCTAGCATTCAAGGTGCCACACAATCAGGCTCCAGCCTCTTTTCCTACCTTTCTAACTTACTCTATTTCAATCACCCTTCACAAAGCCTCCACTGTAGTCAATCTCCTAACTCCCCAACAACACTTAGACTTTCCTGCATCAGTGTTTCTCCTAAGGACTATTTTTGTTCACTACATTCTACATGTCTGGAAAACTGTCTTCTCTGTCTACATATTTCAATCATATCCATTCTTGAATATCCAGCTCGTATTTTTTCTTCTTCTTTGAAACTATTTTCTTAGACTTGCTATACAAATTCTCATTTGTAAAAAGCTTATTTGTTAGCCAATCTGTACAGCATCATCTGCTCTCAACTCACTTGTTTACTATCATATTAGGACTTCTCGCAGTGCCTACCTAGAATGGGATAGAGGTTCAATAAAGAGTTTCCAAACATCTAAACTCCAAAATATCTTCAACTACTCTCTTGAAATTTTCTTTAAATTGCATATTTTTATTTTTCTATTGTCTTCCTACCTAAACCTCTTTGAGAGAAAGAACTATGCTTATTGTATACTTTTCCTGATCTTGCTAAATTCATTGCTTAAAGTGCTCCATAAAAATTGATGTTTGCCTTTAAAAGAATAAAAACATTAAAGCAGTTGGGCACGGTGGCTCATGCCTGTAATCCCAGCACTTTGGGAGGCCGAGGAGGGCGGATCACGAGGTCAGGAAATCGAGACCATCCTGGCTAACATGGTGAAACCCCATCTCTACTAAAAATCCAAAAAAAAAAAAAAAAAAAAAAAATTAGCCAGGCTTGGTGGCGGGCACCTGTAGTCCCAGCTACTCAGGAGGCTGAGGCAGGAGAATGGCGTGAACCCGGGAGTTGGAGCTTGCCTTGGGCAGAGATCGCACCACTGCATTCCAGCCTGGGTGATAGAGCTAGACTCCGCCTCAAACAAACAAACAAACAAAAAACAAAAACAAAAAAAATAAAAACAACAACAACTAAAATTAAAGCTGTGCCTAAGAATCGTGTCAACATATTAATTTCCTCTCTTTTAAAAACACACCATGAAATCAAGTCCTAATAATTTCTGCAGAAAATAAGAAGATTAAATTTATTTTTTGAGTCAGGTTACATATGGTTCAGAATCACAACACAGGAGAGAAAAAAATTCTTCATAATCAAATTTGCCAAAATGTTCCAAAATCTGGGGAAACAGTATTACTTTCACTAATAAGATGCCATGAAATGCAATATAAAATCACAAATATTATTAAATTATTTCATAAACTACATTTGGAGATTTTTAAAAATAACTTTAGCACTTTCCTATTATATATATTTTTGCTGTTTATTACTGACAATGTTGAAAATGTATCTAGAATACAGAGTTGCAGTCTTAGTATTTTAGTTCTCCATTAATGAATAAGATTAGATTAAATAAACAATGCGATAGAAAAATAACGTTTACTGCTGTTGTCTATCCTGGAAAGCACATTCATTTCTCTCATACTGTGTATATACATGCATATACATATACACATGTAGTTTATATATTACACATAGGAAATTATCCATATCATCACTAATTATAATAGATGTTTTCAATCAAGGGGTCATTTCTTATCAATCTCATTAACGGTCCATAGTTTGGGTGTTTGTCATTTGAATATAATTAAACCGGAGAAAATGGCATCGATGTTTTATTACAATTACCTAGAATATAATGCCTGGCACACTGTAACTGACAGCAAGGGATAAGTGGTGGTTTGTACTTTTTCTTGCCAAACTTTTAAACTAGTCCCTATTGCCGGGCATAATATAAAATCAACAGCATAAGTTAACTGCAGTGGTATATGCCCACACTTAACAGCTTCTGCCTTCTTACCCTGTGCATCACTCAATTAAGTACTTAACACAGTTTATATGCACATAATTATAATTAACTCCATCTGTGTGGCATTTCACTTAATACCAAGAAATTCATTTATTTGATCATTTGATAAACTCAAAAATCATTCATTAAATCCTTTGACATTAATTACAAAAGTGCATAAAATAACTCTAGGATAATTCTTGTTAACATATTAGTAATCACATCAAGATGTCAAATAATACTTTCAAGTAGAACTGGGTAAGTTAGTGATTTTAGCTGAGAAGATGGCAGAAGAAATTTCATATGAGGATGGTAGTGATCGAAAGAGAGGGCAGGAGAAATAAAGATTTAGAGGAGAAAATAATCTAATTCCCAGTAAATTAGAACAAAGAAACAACTACTTTGTAAAGGACTAAGTAATGAAGTAGTTTGAGCCATTTGAGGAAGAGCTTTGAATTAATTCTATGCTACACATTTTAAAATGAATTAGAGATTTAGAAAAGAATCATTGGAATTCAAGGATAGAAATGTATTGTGATTTTATTCATTGATTAAGAGATTTTACCGACAGAAGAGTGTGATACGGAATCAAGTCAGGAGAGAAGGGAGGCTGGCAGATTAACTAAGGGATTTCGTTTGTAACCTAAATATGAAATAATACTTGAAAAAGACAGATGCTTGGGAATGACAAAAGATAGAACACATAAAAAGCATATAACAAACTAGAACTTGATGTGAAAGCAAAAATGAGCTGATTAATGGTGTTGTTGTAATTCTGTGGGAATGAGAAGATAGGTACTAGGTATATATGTTCCTGAGCCAGGATAAACAAGATTCTTCTATGCCGCCTCTCCTCTCTTAAAGTAGGGTTTCATCTTTCTCTGTAGTTAATTCCATTTAACTGTTTGAATAGGCAAAAATTGTTGAAATCAAGTATGATGAATCTCATGCATGTGATTCTTACGTTGCAATATTTACATGTATGGTGAATACCTTTTTGTTCTGTCCATTTTAGGGCTCACTTATTTGGAAACCTCCAAACAAATGGATTATGGAGCTAATGTGAATGGTTAGTCATGGAAATCTCTCTCTTTTCTTCATGGGAGCAAGAACTTAAACAAACAGGATATGTCCCTGATATGGTTTGGTTCTGTGTCTCCACCCAAATCTCACCTTGAATTGTAATAGTCCCCACATGTCATGGGAGGGACCTGGTGGAGGTAATTGAATCGTGGTTGTGAGTTTTACCTGTGCTGTTCTCATGATCGTGAATAAGTCTCATGAGATCTGATGGTTTTACAAAGGGGAGTTTCCCTGCACATACTTTCTCTTGCCTGCTGGCATGTAAGACATAACTTTGCTCTTTCTTCCCCTTCTGCCATGATTGTGAGGCCTCCTCAGCTGTGTGGAACTGTGAGTTCGTTAAACCTCTTTCCTTTATAAATTACCCAGTCTCAGGTATGTGTTTATTAGCAGCATGAGAACGAACTAATACAGTCCCTGAGAAGAATTCAGAAGCACTCAAGTCTGCTCTTCATATGAAATCTGAGAATGTGTGTTTATGTATTTAACTGTACTAAAAATAAAAAACCTTACATTTCTTCTCCAATTGCCTGCTAAACTAAAGGAAAAATTTTAAACTATAGTGTAGACAAAAGTAATTATGTAATCTGAATTTGTAATAAAATTTAGCAGTTTCTATGTCACATGAAAGGTATACTCAACAGTCTTGCAATGTTTTATACTATATGGCTATAATTATAATAAATATACATATTCATTATATTATAATATGAATTTTAATTCATAATACATACCTATAATATGACACACATATTCGAGTAGTCTTGCCGTGCTTCAAATGAGATAAGGTTAAATTCTTTTTGCATACCAGCATTTTCTATGAGTTGACTCCTACACAGCATGTTGACATTGGTCAGCTGTATTTTTCTTAAAATGTTTTCTTCTTAAGGTGCTTCTTACAAGCTGCTTGTTTCTAAGATACCAAGATACCAAGGGCTGAATACATCACAATTTTCTACCTTTAAATGTCAAAAGCAAAACAGAAAAAAAAAATACAAAAGAACTAGTGGCTGTTCCCAGAATGTAGTACACTGGCTTATCTTGTTTATTTTTTATGACAAGTGGTACCAAATCCAGGTTTTAGTTTTTAGGTTTTAGTTCTATTTTTATAGTTAACATTAAGTCTTATAACTGTTCTGCTAATAAAAAATCTTTGCCTCTTTCTAAAATATCTGAATATTTATGTTTTCTCCAAAATCTGTTCAATCTCTCTTCCTATACTATTCCTAGGTATCCTACAAATTAACTTGCAAAGCAGTCAGGTGTTTTGTTAGATGTGACCAAAATCTAGATTTTTGACAACATAATTTTTGGGGAAAAGTTATAATTACATTGATCAATAATTAGTGTTGGTAAAATGTAATATTCCTAAGATATAGATACATATATCAAATGTTTGGTTGCACTAAATTGCTTTTATTTGTTCTTGTGCTTGTTGACTATAGTTATTGATAACATTTTTACATTAAAACAAAGTATAAAATGTTTTTATGTCATGTAGCATAAGAGTATTACAAGAGAGTATTCAGGTCCTTGCTCAACTTGGCTCTGAAAACAGATCCTGCTTTGCTATGATTGTATGAAGATAGTTTTTTCATTATGCTCCATTTTCAAAATTTTAGAGCATTATCTGAAGGAGAACTTTATATCCTCAGCCTGTGAAATCTGTAGTATGGTGGAAAGAGGGTGTATTGTAGAGTTAGATGGTTCTTAAGTAAAATTCTTACTTGGTTTTTTACTTGCTGTTTTTCATTGTTCAAGCCACTTAATATCTATGAACCTGTATTCACTTCTATTCTTTATCTATGGATAAAACTCATAGAAACATTAAAAGAATTAAATAAGATAATGAATGCAAAGCACCTGGCATATGATAGATGCAACATTTGTAAATACTTTGAAAAAAACAGAACTACTACTCCTAGTCTCACTATGAAACAATTGATATATTGTACAATTTGATTTTTAGAGATGATTTTGGTCAGTTTCAAATTTTCTTCTAGGAGTTCAGTTCTCCTGTTAATGTTAATGAGTTTATTTTATTTAGAATTTTGATGATCAATGTCAAGTTTCTCTTGGGTCCTTACTTTCCCTTCTTCTTTATCATTAACTTGCTTTTCAACTATCTTATTGCTAACTTGAAGAAATTTAGAATCATTCATTTAAAAAAAATTCATGTCACTCTAATTCACTGTGTACTCATAAATTTGTAAAAATGAATTACATTAGCAAATTTTGTATTTAAGTATTTAATAGCTAATTTATATACACATTTAATTTTTAACTTTGTTTTACTAGCAATAAAGGCAACTGCACATTTTTATATTAAACATTTAGTATGATTTGAACTGATTTAATATCTTTCATTTATTATTAAATTAATGCATTGTTATCACCCTGCAGCATTTGGAAACCAAATTTGGGCTTGAAATAATATAGCAAAAAGATAGAAAGGCTGGAATGAGTAACAGTCCACTGAAATGACAGAAAAAGCTGAAATAGCAAGGAAAGGATAGGAAAGATTAAAAAGCTAAATAAAATATTAATGTACTATATATATTATACACAATATAATGTTTCATATGTAATCGGAAAAGTGCATAAGGAAGTCAATAAAGGCTTGAGAGAAAAAATGGAAACAATATTCTGTACCCAACTGGAAAATACCTAGTACAAAATAATAGTAATGTTAGCCAGGAACTTGACAAATTATTTTGAATAAAGTATTCTAAGGGCTTTGAATGCATTGTCATTTAGCCCTCAAAATAACCTTTAGAGGTTTGAATTATTATTATCTTTATAGGTGATGGAACTGATGCTCAAAGAAGTTAATGTGCACTCTGAGAATCACAGAATTTATAAGAAATGATGGCAATGACAATCTCAAGATTTTGTCTCAATAGCCACCTCTTCTAGTTATACATTATTGTAAAAGAAACCAGCCCAAAAGTTAGTGGATTAAAATAACAATCATTTACTTTTCCCAGGAATGTGAAATTTGGGCAGGGCTCAGCAAGAATGGCTCTTCTCTGATCTGTTCAGCTTTATATGGGGGCTTCTCAACCGGGGCTAGATAATCCACTTCCAATATATATCCCTTACTCACATAGCTGACAAGTTAGTGCTGGCTGTGTATTAAAACCTCAGCTGGGGCTAATGGCTGGGGAGGGAGAGCTCATCTCTTTTGAGAGGGGTGAATGTGAGGACACGAGTTGCATGACAGATAAGAAAAAAAAAGGTGCAATCAATTAATTGATTTAATTTCCCAGTGGGCTGTAAACATTTCTGGAATTGAGAAAATAGAGGGAATAAACTGGAAAGCTATGAACTCATGGCCAGAAAGCAGAATGTTTGAGATTTTGGAAGGAATATTGAATTGGTAATGAAAGTGTCTGGGCAAAGAGCTTAAGAGTGAGTGGCTGTGGTAGGCTGGCAGATAGGTCATCGAAGGAGGTGAAAGAGTCATCTATTTGGATACTGAAATCCAGAAGAAAAATAGCAGAAGTAGTAGTGGACACACTGACAGTGAGCCTGGAGATGAGACCTTCAAACAACATAGGAAAGTAATTTTCATGGGGCATAGGGGAGAAGTGGTGGGGATAGACTATAATATGGAGTGGTAGTTAACAGTACAGTAATGATATCAAAGATGGATTTTTTTTTTTAAGAAAGGCAAGATAATGTTCCGTAAGCAGTAATATAAATAAGAATTGAGCTATTATAAGTACAAAGACTCTAGGCATAAAGAAATACAAACACAAAACAAAAATCTTCCAATATATTATTTCTTATAAATCCCTGGATAATAAAATTAATATAAAAGAATAAAACTCCAACATTCATCAAATTATCTGTCTTACAATTAGGCAGATCCTAATTACAGAAAGAATAGGTAACACTGACATGACTAAAAATGTGACTTAGCCACAGCAATTTGCTGAGTTGATCTCAAAAGTGGTAAGACCATGTTATAGTCGATGATTCTTAACTTTTATTTTATGGTTCAGGGGTACATGTGTAGGTTTGTTATATAGGTAAACTGTGTGTCTTAGGGGTTTGGTGTACAGATTATTTTGTCATCCAGGTAATCAGCATAATAACAGATAGGTAGTTTTTTTTTTTTTATTCTCTCCCTTCTCCCACCCTCCACCCTCAAGTCTGCCCCAGTGTTTGCTGCTCCCCTCTTTGTGTCCATGTGTTCTTATTGTTTAGTTCCCACTTATAAGCGAGAATATGTGGTATTATTCTTTCTCTTCCTACATTAGTTAACTTAGGATAATGCCTTGGGCTCCATGTTGCTGCAAAGAACATGATATTGTTCTTTTTTATGGATGTGTAGTATCCCATGGTGTTTATATACCACATTTTTTAAAATTTACTCCATCATCGGGCGCTTGTAGTCCCAGCTACTCAGGAGGCTGAGGCAGGAGAATGGCGTGAACATGGGAGGTGGAGCTTGCAGTGAGCTGAGGTCGCACCACTGGACTCCAGCCTGGGCGACAGAGCGAGACTCTGCCTCAAAAAAAAGAAAAATTACTCCACTATTCATGGGCATTTAGGCTGATTCCATGTCTTTGCTATTGTGAATAGTGCTGCAATGAATATATGTGCCATGTGTCTTTATGATACAATGATTTATATTCCTTTGGGTATATACCCAATATTAGGATTCCTGGGTCAAATTATAATCTTGTTTTAAGTTCTTTGAGGAATTGCTACACTGCTTTCCACAATGGTTGAACTAAACTCCCAGCAGCAGTGTATAAGCATTCTCTTTTCTCTGTAACTTTACCAGCATCTGTTATTTTTTGGCTTTTTACTAGTAGCCATTCTGAATCGTGTGAAATGGCATCTCATTTGTGGTTTTGATTTGCATTTCTCTAATGATTAGTAATGTTGAATACTTTTTCATATGCACTTGTTGGCTGCATGTATGTCTTCTTTTGAAAAGTGTCTCTTCATGTCCTTTGCCCTCTTTTTAATGGGGTTGTTTTTTTGCTTGTAAATTTAATTTATTCATAGATTTTGGATATTAGACTTTGATGCATAGTTTGTAAATATTTTATCACATTCTCTATGCTGTCTGTTTACTCTGTTGATAGGTTCTTTTGCTGTGCAGAAACTCTTGAGCTTAATTAGGTTTCCGTTCTCAATTTTTGCTTTTGTTGCAATTGCTTTTGGCATCTTTATCATGAAATATTTGCTGGTTCCTATGTCCAGAATGGTATTTCCTAGGTTATCTTCCAGGGTCTTTACAGTTTTAGGTTCTATATTTAAGTCATTAATCCATCATGAGTTGATTTTTGTGTATGGTATAGGGAACGGATCCAGTTTCAATCTTTTGCACATGGCTAACCAATTATCCCCAAACCATTTATTGACTAGGGAGTCCTTTCTCCGTTGCTTGTTTTTGTCAACTTTGTCAAAGATAAGATGATTATAGGTGTGTAGCATTATTTCTGGGCTCTCTATTCTGCTCTATTGGTCTATGTACCTTTTTTTGTAGCGCCACCATACTGTTTTGGTTACTGTAGGCTTGTAACACAGTTTGAGGTCGGATAACATGATGCCTCCAGCTTTGCTCTTTTTGCTTAGGATTGCCTTGGCTATTTAGGCTCTTTTTTGATTTCATATGAATTTTAAAATAGCTTTTTTCTAATTCTATGAGAATGTCATTGGTAGTTTCATACAAATAGC
Organism: Homo sapiens; assembly: GCF_000001405.40. Lineage (NCBI taxonomy): Eukaryota > Metazoa > Chordata > Mammalia > Primates > Hominidae > Homo > Homo sapiens. The sequence goes on from NC_000005.10 coordinate 45,432,000, forward strand.
ATTGAATCTGCAAATTGTTTTAGGCAGCATGACCATTTTAACGATATTGATTTTTTCCTATCCATGAGCGTATAATGTTTTTCCATTTGTCGCTGTCATCTCTGATTTCTTTGAGCAGTGTCTGGCAGTTCTTATTGCAATTTTTCACCTCCCTAGTTTGCTGTATTCCTAGGTATTTTATTCTTTTTGTGACTACTTTGAATGGCATTGCTTTCCTGATTTGGCTCTCAGCTTGAATGTTGTTGGTGTATAGGAATGATATTAATTTTTGTACACTGATTTTGTATCCTGAAACTTTGCTGAAGTTGTTTATCAGATCAAGGAGCTTTTTGGTAGAGTCTATGGGGTTCTCTAGGTATAGAATCATTTTCTCTGCAAAGGGATAGTTTGACTTCATCTCTTCCCATTTGGATGCTTTTTCTTTCCTTCTCTAGTCTGATTGCTCTAGTACTTCTAGTACTAGATTGCTCTAGGACTAGATTGCTTCTAGTACTAGATTGCTCTAGGACTTCTAGTACTATGTTGAATATGAGTGGTGAGAGAGGGCATCCTTGTTTTGTGCCAGTTTTCATTGGGAATACTTTCAGCTTTTGCCCATTCAGTATGATGTTGGTTATAGGTTTGTCATAGATGGCTCCTACTATTTTGAAGTATTTCCTTCATGGCCTAGTGTGTTGAGGGCTTTTCATATGAAGAGATGTTGAATTTTATCAAAAGCCTTTTCTGCATATATTGAGATAATCACGTGGTTCTTGTTTTTAGTTCTATTTATGTGATGGTGTGTTAGTCTGTTCTCATGTTGCTAATAAAGACATATCTGAGACTGGGTAATTTATAAAGAAAAAGAGGTTTAATAGACTCGCAGTTTCACATGGCTAGGGAGGCAAACGAGGTGTTTGCCTCATGGTGGAAGGCAGACAAGGAGCAAAGTCACAATTTATGTCTTACATGGAGGCAGGCAAGAGAGTGTGTGCAGGGGAACTCCCCTTTATAAAACCATCATATCTCATGAGACTTACGCAGTATCATGAGAACAGCACATGGAAAGACCCCCATGACCGCAATTACCTCCCACCAGGTCCCTCCCATGACACATGGGAATTATGAGAGCTATAATTCAAGATGAAATTTGAGTGGGGATATAGCCAAATCATATCAGATGGACACGTTTGTTGATTTGAGTACGCTGAACTACCTTGCAACCCAGGAATAAAGCCTACTTTATCATGATGTATTTGCTTTTTGATGTGCTGCTGGATTCAGTTTGCTAGTATTTTGTTGAAAACTTTTTGTATCTCTGTTCATCAAAAATATTAGCCTGAAGTTTATGTTGTTATTATTATTGTGTGGAGATTTTGATTTAAAGTCTGTTTCATCGGAAATTATAATAGCAATGTCTGCTTTTTTTCTGTTTGCTGTTTGCTTGGCAGATTTTTCTACATCCTTTTACTTTGAGTCTCTGGGTATCGCTGCACACGAGATGGGTCTCCTGAAGACAGTATACCATTGGGTTTTGCTTCTTTATCCAACTTGGCACTCTGTGCCTTTTAATTTGGGCATTTAGCCTATTTACATTCAAAGTTAGTATTGATATATGCAGATACATTCCTGTCATCATATTCTTGTTTATAGGCACTAAAGCACAGCTGCTGATGTATTTTTCTCTTCCTTCTTCCTCTTCTGTCATTAGCCTGGCAAAATATGCAATTTTTATGTGTTTTGTTGAAGGTTCAAATGCCTGAGAAATGCACCATTTCAAACTAGATAATTTTATTTCCTGAGGAGAAGCAAAAGTGAAAAAAATGCCTTTCCTTTCTACATTGTGCCAGCAAGACTTAGCACATGCCTAATGTATAGTAGGTGCTCAATCAATATCTGTTGAATGACAATTCAAATTGGCAAAATATCACATGGTGTGGGAGGATAGGATATAAAAATAGTTGGTTTATCCTTAAACTTAACTAATGTGATTTAAGGAGGAGATTAATCCATGCATGGTATATTAGTTAAGCAAATGGAGTGGTGTCCCAGTGTCAGAGAAATACTGAGGTTAATTCCTCACTCCCCCAAAGGTGTATTCAGCACAGGTGATTTAATAGCTCAAAGATTGCTTTTCACTTCTCCTCTAGGGAGAGTACAATAAAATGAATTTTAAGTTGCTTCTGAAGAATTTATAGACTTAATATCTGAGTCTTCTGATGCAACCTATTTTCTCTCTTTTACTGGGAAAGTGGTATAATATGCATTTTTATAAACTTGTACAAGATGATGGGTTCCTAATTATTGGTAATACCCTTGGAGACACACTTGTGGTCTGTCCTTTAGGACATCTGCACCAGCACTGTTTCAATCCAAAAGGTTTACACAGCTCTGAAATGGACATCCGCAGGCAGCCTTCTGAAGTGAAACAAAGACTATTTGCATGTTAGACAAAGCTTATTCAGTAGGAATCAAGATGGATGGTGGAACTAAAGAACACTAAGATACATACTAGAACGTAGAAATTAAAGTAGATACAAGAACGTGGAGGAGGAACAGTTGACATTTTTTAGAATAAATTAAATGAGAGTTAAAATCATCACTATGCAAAGCTGCAGATTGAGAAGGCATTTGGCCAATGTCTGAACAATGACAAAGAGTATGGGTGATTTGAAAATTGCTAATTTTGTCAAATTTTGGCACATAGAGGATTATATTGGTAATAGCTAATATTTTGAGTGTTGACTATATGCCAGATATGCTAAGCATTTTATAGAGAGTTTTATAAGTCTTACAACAATGCAAGGAGTATGGCATCATTGGGTCTTTTAAAACTTTTAAAGAAAAAATAGAGAATAATCAAAGTGAAGTTCTATTTTCATAACATATATATCTATATTATAAAAGAATTATAGTCCTGATCATCCAAAAGAGCCAATAGATATTTAAAGAATATTGTAGTCATAGATCATCTTTATTTTTTTTAAAAAATGTCACTTGCTATATTGTCTTTATGTTAAGACTAATTGAAGAGGGCACAAAGTCAAAGCTAATTAACAACATCCAATATGTCAGTATAAGAATACTGTTATTTATATTTTTGTCAAAAAGAAAACATCTAACTAATTTAAGGTATATTTTACAGTACAGTTTTACAAAGCATATCATCAAATGACTAATTTATATACTTATCATCAAATCACTAATTTATATATTTAAAAAGTAAATTTATTTGTGCAGGAAAATCAAATAGTTCCCCAATGTATTGATACGATGACTGAAGCTTGCATGTTATCATGGTATTTTATTCTTCTGATATATCTCTTGCAGAACAGAATTAGTAAATAAAATGCATATTTCACTTTAAAATTTTTAAAAAGTTGATTATTTTTCTAACTTCCTCTGAAACATCAGTCATTCCAATATTCAATTAAATTTTTGGTTAAGATAGCCTGTAAAATCAATATGAAATACATTTTGCTGTTTGGTAACTAGGTTCTAGACAATTAGAAAACTATATCAATAAGATAATATCATATTTTTTATTTTAGAAAAGGCTCAGGCAACTGTTAGACCTTATTAATGACAATGACTCAATGTAATGAAAACAAATCACAGAGATCTGCTAGATTTACAAGAATACACTTGCCATACATAACACTTTATGAGATGGGGTGTGGGTTTAATATCAATAAAGAGAAGAAGAAAAGATATTAAATGAGACTTTGATAAGCTGGAATCTACTAATCAAAATTCTCAATGACATTTTCTTCTAACGTTCTTTAAAGAAGAATCAATTCCCGCAAATATACCAAAAAAAGATACTAGAGATAAACTCACAAAAACACCACAAAATTAGTAATTATGACAGAACTATTCTCCTATAGAACATTTCAGGGGGAAAATCCTACAACAAATGATACATGAACAAGTGTCCAAGAGTGTGCTTTTCACAGTGGGGTCTGTTCTATAGACCCCCGCCAATAAAATTCCATTATTTCAGCATTTTATCTGGACTTCTTGAATTATTGAATTATTCCATGCATGCTGAAAAAAATAATTGAAGCTTCAGTTTTCTCTATATTTACAAACATTTAACTGACATACATATAAATACATGACTATAAGAATGTATAGACAGCACTTGTGTGCAATCTGCTGTATGGCTTCTGTGAATGTCACTGGAGAAGACTCCTTATGGCACAGATTTATTCATTCCCACAGTTTTTATTTCATTTTGGCAGAAGATTACTCAGAGTTTTAGGGTTTGTCCAATCAGCTTTTAACTAAGCCCAGCATACAATGCCAATAATGAATTCCCTACCTAAACCCAACTAACTATGTGAATGCTCCAGATGTTCTTAGCTCAAACATCTGTTGCTTAAGGCAGGGGGGAGGTTCTGCATTGTACCATACCTGAGTTACTTGCTACATTTACATACTTCATATGGGAGGCTAATTCAATCCACTGAATTTTAATATAGGTCACTGTACAGAGGTCACCAATCATGATAGAATAATAAAATAGTGATAATTTAATGATAAACCAGTAAAATGAAGTAATTATGAACTAAGAAGAACTCCAAAAGAAAATCACTTTACTCAATCTCAGTTTGCTATGGCAAGTAGTATATATATTTTATTAAATGTTTTCTACTGAATAATTACAATATTATAAATACAATAGTCATACCATGGTCCCAGTAACACTGACAAGGCCTTTGAAGGACTTGGAGAGATAAAGTCTGGGCTCCAGGACCACACCCGTACTTTGGGCCAGATCATCTAGGCTTCTATTCACATAGTCAGTTATTTATTTGACATATTGTTCTGCACTTTTTGTTGGAATAAAGAATTCCAAGGCTAACTACATATAGCCTAGCTCCCTCATTTTACAGATGAGCAAAAAGAGACCAGAGAAAATAAGTCCGATCAACCAGATTAAATAATACAGTAAATGAAAACTTGGATTAGAATCTAGTTTTCCTAATTATCTAGTACTCTATGCCCTGCACAATACTCCCTCCTTTATGTCAAAACATCCCTACTATAAACCCATGTGTATATGGCAAATCCAAATTGGTGGCAAGTCAGTATCAGATTCGTTTCAAAAGAAATGCATGCAGTTTTATTGTTCAGTTAGCTAGCAGTTGGGAATTACATCAGCAAACATATGCTTAAATGTACACAATAGGGTACTAATTTAATACATATAATAATTTTAGAAAGAATGAATGAATCGGGTATGATCAAGCCACATAAGAGAATCAGTTCCATTGTATCATAGCCATCAACATAAATAAATGTAAATTTCTTGTCAATGTGATTATAAAACACAAACTCTGAAAATGTTTTTAGTTAATATATTTCAATTTCTTTTTTACAAACCAAGGCTTTTACATTTTCTCAGTAATATTTTCTTTATAGATAATGAAAGGCAAATTTCATTCTGGTTCTTGCCAAATAACCGCTAATTATAAATGTATAGTATTTGAATAAAGTGATTTTATTATTTCCAAGAATACCTTTTTCTAGTCTCATCCATTCACATTCATGGTATGCACACAACAAATTTGTCACATTATGCTGTTAGCTGAGGTCACAACTTTAAACTCTGAGACTACTAAGGTGAATAAACATTTTCATAAAGAGTGTGACATTTGAGTCACTGGAGTCAGTGAAGAAGAGAAATGGCTTGGAAGCTTCCTTGGCTATGCTGACAAAAAATACAAGATACAATGCCAGGTGCAACAATTATCTATTGCTGTATAACAAGTTACCCTGAAACTTAGCAGTTTAAAAGAATACTTTATTATTTCTTACACTTTCTGATAATCAGGAATCAAGGAGATTAGCTGGGTCCTTCTGGCCCAGGATCTCTTCTGACAGAGTCAGTACAGAAGTCAGATAGGAATGCTTCATCTGAAGGGCTGGAGGATCCACTTTCAGCTTTTCATGTGTGTATTGGCAGGAGGCTTCAGTGGCTCTGCATTGGGCAGCTCATACATAACAGCAGGCCCCTCCCAGAACAAGTGATCCAAGAAAGAACCCAAGATAGAAGGTGACCTAATCTCATAAGTGACATATCATAACTTCTAACATATTTTATTGGTAACACAGGCCAACCTTGGCACTATGTAAGAGGGAATTTATTAGGGTTAGAATACTACAAAGTAGTACCATTGGGAGATGTCTACCACACCAAATGAAAAAGCAACATGTTAACACATCCAATTTTGATCATCTACAAGATATGCCAAGCTGGAGTTAAACTGATAGAAGATTGAAAGTAGAGTCCCATGTGTTGATACAGAATGGCTAAGATGTTAAAGAGCTCTTGAGGTAGGGAATTAAAAACACATATGACACTTTGGGAGGCCGAGGAGGGCGGATCACCAGGTCAGGAGATCGAGACCATACTGGCTAATACGGTGAAACCCCGTCTCTACTAAAAATATAAAAAATTAGCGGGCGTGGTGTCAGGTGCCTGTAGTCCCAGCTACTTGGGGGGCTGAGGTAGGAGAATGGCGTGAACCTGGGAGGTGGAGCTTGCAGTGAGCCGAATCGCGCTACTGCACTCCAGCCTGGGCCACAGAGCGAGACTCCGTCTCAAAAAAAAAAAAACAAAACAAACAAAAAAAGAAAAACAAACAACAACAACAAAAACAACAAAACACCTGAGTTAAATTGCAGCTCTACTATTTACAGTGAGTGATATTAACTACTCAGAACTCCAGTTTCTTTATCATAAAATTGGAATCAGTTATGTATACTTTGGAGTTAGTAAAAATTAAATGAGATGATGTACACGTCAGGTTTCTTAACATATAGTAAGCACAATTATTAAAGTAAAGGAACAAGTAGAAAAAGGAATATACTCTTTAATTTGGTCTACAATAGTGACTAATATGTTTCTACTAGCCCTAGCTATAGAAAGAGTATGGATTTAAATTATGTCTCTTTTCATAACAACCCCTGTGACTATAATTATGGACAGCTATAAATTGCCTAATAAGATAGGAATACCCTTAGACTCAACAAATCTTTCTTTTGTCAAAAGAAAATTTATAAATCTTATAGAACTCAAAAATATATTCCAAGGGATGATCTGTATGCATTCTCACTCGTGATTATATTTTTAATAAGCACTATTTCAATTTAATAATATGATTATCTTGTTTATTTTCAAGTACCAATAGCCCATTAAAATTTCACTGGAAGGTCACTAAGAAATATTTTCCTTATGAATTTTAGTGTAAGTTTCTCTCTTTCAGAGAAGTGATAAGTAAGCTTAATATAATGGCTCCCAAAATCTCTCTCAAATACAATTCCATATACATATTAGAGTGGCTGTAGAGCACATATGATGAAAACAAATTTCACATTAAAAAAATAATATTATTGGGGATATGTAATGGGCCAAATGATACCTTAACCTTCAAATTAAATGTATAGAGTTATTTAATATTTTCTAGTAAGTTTTTATCTTTTAGCAAAAGAGAAAAATGAAGTGTAATGAATGATGGGTTAAAACGGCAAAGACTGTAAATTAATGTTATTTTTGAGAAAAATTGTCAAATTCAAATCTCCCTTTTTATTTAAACAGAGTTCTGTTTTTATTTCCATGAAGTTATTCCAACTGCGCTGTATCATGATGTAAGTAGAGTGATACAGTGCAAATGGTTCAGAGACACTGAAGATTCCCTCCAGAATTAAGAAATGATGGCCAGCTAACCAACAGGATATTATTTTTATAATTGTAGTAGCAGCATTTTAAAATAGCTAGCTAATGATTTTATGTGATATAAATGCTAGTTCACAGACGAAGACAAACTTCCTGGAACAGATGATATTGAAGGAGACTGGCAGGAAGGTACGAAGAAACATAAAACACTAACATTTGATAAAATATTATATAGAATAGTACATAATATACATTATATTAGTCATATTGTATGTAATTATAAAAATATAACAAAAATATATTATTAAATATCATATATAATATATAATGATAATATTATATAATGTATTATATAGTATCATATAATGTAATGTACTATTATTATATAACATATATAGATAAAGGATCAACCTCAATTTGGAGTAAAAGTTGAGAATTTTTTCAAATAATAAAGATAGAAACTTAGATCAAAAAGTTCAAGCATCACTAAAGGTCCAAGACTGTCAGAAACCAAACATTTGTTTTAGTTTATCTTCACTGATTACTATACTTGAGGAAATCAAGTTTACCTTCAATTAGTCCTTATATAGGAACAAATTCAATTAGAATGTAGAACTCCCAGGGTAAGATAATAATGCCTACAACACTGCCTGGCAAAGAACAGTCAAGAAATATTTGTTGACTGACAGAATGAAAGAGTGAATAATTTCCCCCCTAGAATAACATTATGTCTGCTTAATACTTATATTTAAATTATATTCATAGCTGCTTCTTCCTTCATAACCAAGAAACTCATGCCCCTCTTGTGACTACCCACTAATACTCAGAAATATGACACACATTTTCAAATAAGTCTGATATACTTAGGTAGGCCACTGTGTTCTTGCTCTCCCCCAGGGTGAAGTGAGCTGCTGTTTTCCTTGCTAACCCTGACTAGTTCACATCAAACTCCCTGTGCTGCTGCGTGTTGCTCTGTTTTGTCTACCTCAAGCATTTATTGCTCACTGCCAACTGCTGTGTTGTTCTGCCCAAACCACTTACTTGTTGTGTACTGACTTAAACATTTGCTCACAGGCACTTTAGTTCCTGGTGCTGTAGCTATTCTGTAAAATAGCAAAATAGCACTCTCTTCTGTCTTCAACCCTGGTAGAAACTATCACAACATAGGAAACTCAGCCTCATTTAGCTTTTCACTTTACCAAGAACAGAACCCCAAATCTTTCTATGGTTTACAAGACCCATTGGGATTTGGCTGGCTCCTACACATCTTCTAACATTATTTTTGTTCTTCTCTCTCACTCCACTCCAGCCACACCAGCCAATATTGCACTTGCTGTTTCTTCCTTCTGGATTATTCTTTTTCCAGATATTAGCATAACTTCTTCCTTCATTTCCTTGAGTTTTCTGATTAAATGTCATCTTTTTGGGGATGGCATATAGGAACTATTCTATTTTTGAAAGATCTGCTTGACCCAGGTTACAGTATTCTGTTTCCTTGCTTTAAATTTTGTAACATAGTTTGTGCTGCTTGACATATTTTATAGCTGTTTAATTTGTTTATGTTCTATTTTTTTCTGAGAAAAACAGACAACTATGAGGAAAAGACTTTGTTTTATTATCAATATATTTGCCATTAGATCAAAGCATATAAGAATAGCTACTCGAGACAGAAAACATGAAAGGAAGAAATGAAGGAGGGAGGGAAGCAAAGAAGGAGCGAGAGAAGGAAGGAAGGAAAGAAGGAAGGAAGGGAGGGAGGGAGGGAGGGAAGATATATAAATAGATTGATACTATTTAATACATCCTAATCTCAAGAAAACAAGTGGAGGCAAATTGATCCTGTGGTATGGGAAGGGGTGTTATACCTTGCACATGCAATACTCTACCAAATCTTTTTCAGTCCAGCCTGGACACCATATACTTAAAACTGAACAACAACTCTTGTGATACGATTAATATGCTTGAAATATTTTTATTTTATCACTGACATGTGGATTAAGAAATTAAAATAATTAAGAAAAATCTTCTTTAAATGAAATATTTGGAATAGAAAGCTAGAATCTCAGGTTCCCCGAGTCTGGTAACTGTTTATTATGGCTATGGATGCAGTAAAGCTCTAGCTCTTGATTTATTAATTAATGGAGTGCTCAATATATGTTTCTCAACAATAGGTAACATGAGAATTGAAGAAGACAGGAGACATTAACTTTAAGAAAACCCTTAATGCTCAACAAATTCTGCAAGGTTAATGTATGCTGTTTTACAGGAATATCACAACTAAAATATTTTAATATTATTTTTTCCCTTGCAACAATAAAGAATTCTCATGCAAAGTCTTTATTTAACTTGTCTGTTGTTTGTCTGTTGTGTCCTTTTAACTTTATTTATGTATTTTATCTAGGCTTGATCTGTCAGACATAAGCTGTTTGATAATTTATCATATTATTATTGAAGCAAGTTGTCAAACCAGTTAAATTCATGTGAAAAGGAATTCAAATTAGGGCAACAAATCTTCAAAGTCCAGCTGAACTGCTAAAGTAGACAAATTCCTTTTCTTCTGTTTTCCCCAGATGCTTTTTACATTCACTGATTTTTCTTCCCTTTTGTAAATGGAGGAGAAAGGAAGAATTCTGTTAAGGCAGGAGTCTGAGACAAGATACCAACATATCTAGAGGCAAAGCCAGCATTTCTGTTCTCAACCATAAGAACATACGAAATTATGTTTGATTAATTTCAGGAGGTGGAAACTGAGGGCCTGCTGGCTCTAAATCTGGCTTGCTGAAGCTTTTTCCTTTGGAACACATTGTTTTTTAAAAGCAATAATTATATAAAATGATATATAAGTATATATATTAAATAATATAAAACGTGCATATGCATATCTATTTGTACATATAGATGCATCTATAGGTATGTGTATATATATGTAAGGTAGTTACCATATATAAAATATAATGGCATTTACAATAAAAAACATCTGAATATTCAGCTGTTCTTGATGACTCTAGGTATCATTAGGCATACATTTCCACATGATAATCATTAGATAAAACTGAGAAGTAGGCACATTCCTTGGACAGAGTATGCTTTACCAATTCACCAAAGTCATGGGCTGCCTTTTATCTTACATTTGGTCTAATTCATACATCTATATTATGAGAATGGCTTCTGTAGGCATGTCAGTTTGCTATCAATTTTTAATCAGTTTGATTAGGCTAGAGAATATTTGGGTAACAGCTTTTGGTTGAATTGGTAGTTTTCTTCAAGAGCTAGTTTAACTTGATAGCCCCAATTTGTCATGTACCTAACTTTTTCTATATCCAGTACAATTTATATATTAAATAGCATTTTTAGAGAATTAAGTTTTCTTGTTATGCTTGACACATAGTTACAGGGGAATTTTGCCTTCGAAAGTTGGTGTAAGATTTTTCTTTCCCATCATGTTAAATGAAACATGATAGACAATATTAAATTGTTTTTTGATAACCAGGAGTTTTTAGATAACCATAATATATTCAATTGTAGTATGCTACGAAGAGGCATATACAGGGCACTGGATTGGACTGAACCTGCATTAATTCCATAGCCAAGAATTATTTTGGCTAACATAAATTTTAGAATAACTATCAGGTACTTTCTCCATTTTTCTTGCTATTTGAACTTTTGTACATCAAATTTTAGGAAAGTAAATGAAAAAATACATTATCTAAAGGTTTTGATTAGTTCTATTTTAATGACATGGAAGGTGAGTCACAGGTGTTTGGTTGGTTGTTTATTTCATACAGATTTAACTCTCCTCTCCAACAGGTTTTCCTAAGTCCCCTAAGTAAATGTAATTTTACAATTAAAAGATTTATAGAAAAAAGATGCGTTAACTCATCCATTATCTCTATATAGATAAGCATTTTTAGGAAAGTGTAGGCTTAATTTTCCATAAGTTTTTTGCAATGAGAATAATCAGCAATGAAATAAACTAGCAAATACAACACATTTATGTTAGGGCTGACATTACTTTTGGTGAATTGTGAAATATGCAACTTCTGACTTTCTTCCCTCAAGTTAAAACATAATTTAATATTTTTCTCTAATTGTGTTCCAAATAGAAACTGACAAATAGTTAATTTAATCTAGAAGGCTATTTTGTTACAATTTTAAAGATTTTTCTTATTACTGGTAATAAAGACAAATAGAATCAATATTTATAAAACAAAACGTCTATGGTTTATGAAAGAAAAGCCACACATTTCTAAGTTTTTCAGTCAAGGATTTCATCATCCTGATCTGCCATAATGAGTAATACAAAGTTATGAACCCAAAGCAGCTACACATAAGAAATGTACTACACAGAGAAATGTGTTGCAAAGCAAGGAGCTTTTGTTTTCTATTTGCATAATTTAAAAGATTAACTGTAAAAATAATAAAATCTCTTGTTCAATTCATCATAATTTCATCCTTTCTGCTACACTTTTGGCAGGTTTTTATAATATGAAGGTGTACTTTACTGCTTTCTTAATATCTAAATGCTCTGTCAAATAATCAAGTGAGTTCAGTAAGAGGCTATTAAAAACAAAGTTAATTACTAATCTGTCACAGTCTTTATTTAAATGAATTTATAAATGAATTTAAATTAGTTTTGAAAGCATCATTTCAGAATATAAGCAGACAGCCAGTGAGTATTTACATTTCAAAGAAGTATCTACTAGTTAGAAAATAATTGCCTGAGGAATCAAAATATCTTAGTATTTGGCACCAAAATTCAACTATTTTTAATAAAAATATTATTGTTTAGAATCTTTATGTAGTTAAAATGAGCAGTATTTCAATTATGTCGTATATTGAAGTTATAGTCACAAAAACCCTTAGTATGCTTTACATCTTTGGCTGAGCCTTGTCTGATTCTTGTACTTGTCCTTATCCTTGTTTTTTTCTGAATCTCTTATGGGATCTTATGTTTGTCATATGAAATCCATTCTCTTAGGCTAAGTTCATCTTCTTATATAACAAGATATTCTTAAATATGAATCTATAACCCAGCATACTAGCCACTTCTTTTTTGCTTTTTGTTGGCTGCATCTTTGGTGACTTCAACCAGGTTATTATTTTTACTTTATTCTTTTCTTTTTTTCTTTTTCTTTCTTTTATTATTATTATTATTATACTTTAAGATTTAGGGTACATGTGCACAATGTGCAGGTTAGCTACATGTGCCATGCTGGTGTGCTGCACCCATTAGGGGAGGAGCCAAGATGGCCGAATAGGAACAGCTCCAGTCTACAAGCTCCCAGCCTGAGCAATGCAGAAGACGGATAATTTCTGCATTTCCATCTGAGGTACCAGGTTCATCTCACTAGGGAGTGCCAGACAGTGGGCGCAGGACAGTGGGTGCAGCGCACCGTGCGTGAGCCGAAACAGGGCGAGGCATTGCCTCACTTGGGAAGTGCAAGGGGTCAGGGAGTTCCCTTTCCTAGTCAAAGAAAGGGGTGACAGATGGCACCTGGAAAATCGGGTCACTCCCACCCGAATACTGCACTTTTCTGACGGGCTTAGAAAACGGCGCACCAGGAGATTATATCCCGCACCTGGCTCGGAGGGTCCTACGCCCAGGTAGTCTCACTGATTGCTAGCACAGCAGTATGAGATCAAACTGCAAGGCGGCAGTGAGGCTAGGGGAGGGGCACCTGCCATTGCCCAGGCTTGCTTAGGTCAACAAAGCAGCCCCCAGGCTTGAACTGGGTGGAGCCCACCACAGCTCAAGGAGGCCTGCCTGCCTCTGTAGGCTCCACCTCTGGGGGCAGGGCACAGACAAACAAAAAGACAGTAGTAACCTCTGCAGACCTAAATGTCCCTGTCTGACAGCTTTGAAGAGAGCAGTGGTTCTCCCAGCATGCAGCTGGAGATCTGAGAATGGGCAGACTGCCTCCTCAAGTGGGTCCCTGACCCCTGACACCCGAGCAGCCTAACTGGGAGGCACCCCCCAGTAGGGGCAGACTGACACCTCACATGGCCGGGTACTCCTCTGAGACAAAACTTCCAGAGGAAGGATCAGACAGCAGCATTCACGGTTCATGAAAATCCACTGTTCTGCAGACACCGCTGCTGATACCCAGGCAAACAGGGTCTGGAGTGGCCCTCTAGCAAACTCCAACAGACCTGCAGCTGAGGGTCCTGTCTGTTAGAAGGAAAACTAACAAACACAAAGGACATGCACACCAAAAACCCATCTGTACATCACCATCATCAAAGAACAAAAGTAGATAAAACCACAAAGATGGGGAAAAAACAGAGCAGAAAAACTGGAAACTCTAAAAAGCAGAGCATCTCTCCTCCTCCAAAGGAACGCAGTTCCTCACCAGCAACAGAACAAAGCTGGACAGAGAATGACTTTGACGAGTTGAGAGAATAAGGCTTCAGATGATCAAACTACTCTGAGCTACAGGAGGAAATTCAAACCAAAGGCAAAGAAGTTGAAAACTTTGAAAAAAATTTAGACGAATGTATAACTAGAATAACCAATACAGAGAAGTGCTTAAAGGAGCTGATGGAGCTGAAAGCCAAGGCTCGAGAACTATGTGAAGAATGCAGAAGCCTCAGGAGCCAATGCGATCAACTGGAAGAAAGGGTATGAGTGACGGAAGATCAAATGAATGAAATGAAGCAAGAAGGGAAGTTTAGACATGAAGAATAAAAAGAAACGAACAAAGCCTCCAAGAAATATGGGACTATGTGAAAAGACCAAATCTACATCTGATTGGTGTACCTGAAAGTGACGGGGAGAATGGAACCAAGTTGGAAAACACTCTGCAGGATATTATCCAGGAGAACTTCCCCAATCTAGCAAGGCAGGCCAACATTCAGATTCAGGAAATACAGAGAACGCCACAAAGATACTCCTCGAGAAGAGCAACTCTAAGACATATAATTGTCAGATTCACCAAAGTTGAAATGAAGGAAAAAATGTTAAGGGCAGCCAGAGAGAAAGGTCCGGTTACCCTCAAAGGGAAGCCCATCAGACTAACAGTGGATCTCTCAGCAGAAACTCTACAAGTCAGAAGAGAGTGGGGGCCAATATTCAACATTCTTAAAGAAAAGAATTTTCAACCCAGAATTTCATATCCAGCCAAACTAAGCTTCATAAGTGAAGGAGAAATAAAATCCTTTACAGACAAGCAAATGCTGAGAGATTTTGTCACCACCAGGCCTGCCCTAAAAGAGCTCCTGAAGGAAGCACTAAACATGGAAAGGAACAACTGGTACCAGCCGCTGCAAAATCATTCCAAAATGTAAAGACCATCGAGACTAGGAAGAAACTGCATCAACTAACGAGCAAAATAACCAGCTAACATCATAATGACAGGATCAAATTCACACATAACAATATTAACTTTAAATGTAAATGGACTTAACGCTCCAATTAAAAGACAGACTGGCAAATTGGATAAAGAGTCAAGACCCATCAGTGTGCTGTATTCAGGAAACCCATCTCACGTGCAGAGACACACATATGCTCAAAATAAAAGGATGGAGGAAGGTCTACCAAGCAAATGGAAAACAAAAAAAGGCAGGGGTTGCAATCCTAGTCTCTTTTTTTTCTTTTTGAGACCAGGTGCGGCTCTGTCACTTAGGGTGAAATGATGCAGTGGTGTGATCTTGGCTCACTGTAACCACAGCCTCCCCAGCTCCAGTTATCCTCCTACTTAAGCCTCTTGAGTAGCTGAGACTACAGGCATGTGCCACCACATTCTCTAGCTATTCAAAGTTTTTATAGAGACAAGGTCTTACTATATTGCCCAGCCTGGTCTCAAACTCCTGAGCTCAAGTGATCCTCCTGTCTTGGCCTATCAAAGTGCTGCGATTACAGGCATGAGCCACTCACCCGGCCCAGGTTATTATTAATATGTTGAAAATAACTCCGATCTGAAGACAGGATCCTAAAGATGTCCTCTTACATATCTTCATCTTTGTTGATCTCAATTTATCAATCTGTACTTTAGGATCTGGGGAGAGAAAACATTCGCTCAACCTGTTATTAACTTAACTCAGTTCTATAGTGTGTTAGTCCAAATATTTCATATCAGAAAGCACCTTGTAGAAACATTTGTATAAGTACATATGCTAGTCCTAAGGTTCACCTCAAAAAGGGGGAGGTGTTTGGTATATGTCCTTAGCAAGGTTTGCAACAAGATTTTTCCCCTCATAATATCATATGTATATATTTTATGATATATATATATATATGAGACAGAGAAAGAAAGGCTAATCTGTTATGACTTGTTTCATTAAACTAGAGCTTTCTCTGACCACGCAACACAAAAGAGAACATTTTTTGATTCACTGCTATATGTTTTTTATAAATTACAAAGATATTATGGTAAATTCCAAACTTTTCCTACATAAGTTTTATAATTACCAAATTATAATGATAATTATCTCATATATAATTTATTTTATAATTTGGTACAGAATCTCACTTTGTAAATTCATACATCATTTTCATATTCCATGGAAAAACAGTTCTTTCATCATTTTAATTGCTTATTAAAGATCCTGTGCAATCAGTCCATCATTTTTCTCTAATATATGACCATCTTAAGGTGCAATTCACATAAGCCAGGGGATTGAGCTCATTTGGAATACCAAAGTATTGTCTCGGAGTTCAATTTCTCTGGACTTTATTCCAGTTTATTCAGTTTAAAATATTTCACCTTGACAGAAGACATTATTAAACAAGAAGAAAAGTATTCCACTAACATTCTGTCATTTATGTGGATCCCAAATGGAGGGTTTATTCACTTCCTGGTCCTTGCTCCAAGTATTACTAAATGCCATTAATGTTTCTCTCATTCTAAATGTTCTTTGAAACTAACATTTTGTCTAGTATTCTGCAGGTGGTAGCAAAATAAAAACAAAGTTTTACATTCAAATACTATTGGTTTCTTTAGCCACGTTTATGCATTATTAACTTTTTCTTTTTCTGCCATTGTTCTGTTAATATTTCTAGGTATACAGTACATCTGCTTGTACTCTCAGCTACCTGAAATTATTCTATTTTTGAAATGACAGGAATATATACCAATACATTGATAGGGAATATCAACTCTAACTCACACACAAATACAACTATTAATAATAGCTTTTGTGTACTGACTTGAGAAGTATAATAAAAATTGTTGGTCAGGCATGGTGGCTCACGCCTGTAATCCCAGCACTTTGAGAGGCCGAGGCCAATGGATCACTTGAGGTCAGGAATTTGAGACCAGCCTGGCCAACATGGGAAAATCCTGTTTTTACTAAAAATACAAAAGTTAGCCAGCTGTGGTGGCCCGTGCCTGTAGTCCCAGTTACTCGGGAGGCTGAGGCATGAGAATTGCTTGAGCCCACGAGGTTGCAGTGAGCCAAGATCACACCACTGCACTCCAGCCTGGGCGATGGAGTGACCTGTCTGAAATAAAATCGTTTTATTTAGTTGGCATATATAAGCACCTTTATTTACCTCAAAATTCTGTGAAGTAATTATGATTATCATCCCCACATTACAGATAAAGTAACCAAGGTACAAATATGTTAAGTCAGTTGTCCAAGGTCACATAGCTAGCATAAGAGAACCAGTAGAGGAATCTAAATAATCTAGTTCCAGGACTTGATTATGCTAACCACTTCACAATACCACTTCTCATATTTTGTTTAACTTTACTTGCATGCTTCTTATCAGATTTTGATCACTTAACTCTAACCAACAAATTCAGTTTTTGTTGAAGTAGATTCTCATCATTTCTTCTATGCTTTTTACTGTCAACTAGGCATGCCAAGAGCTCATCAGTCGTCTGCTTTAAGGAGATTAGATGTCCCATCTCTTTTCCAGTTCTAAGGTGTGCCCTAAACCTGCCTCCATTTTACTACTTTTGGACCTTCTAGTATGCTGTTAATAACACTTCTTCATTAATGTTTCTTTTTTTTTTCTTTATACCGCTTTATTTCAACCTTCCCAGCATGCTAGATTTCCATGTAGTGTGTACCCATATGACACCTGGTCTTCTCCAGTTAGGTCAATTTCTTTCTTAAAAAATGTATCTCAATAATAAATTCTAGCCCCCAAAATTTTATGATTTCCTTTAGAATATGTATCATTCTGCCATACCTATGCATAAGAATATTGAAATTGTAAGAACATAAGTTGGTTTTTTTTCTTTTTTTGAGACGGAGTCTCACACTCTGTCCCCCAGGCTGGAGTGCGGTGATCTCGGCTCACTGCAAGCTCTGCCTCCAGGGTTCACGCCATTCTCCCGCCTCAGCCTCCCGAGTACGTGGGACTGCAGGTGCCTGCCACCACGTCCGGCTAATTTTTGTATTTTTAGAAGAGACGAGGTTTCACCATGTTAGCCAGGATGGTCTCAATCTCCTGACCTCGTGATACGCCTGCCTCGGCCTCCCAAAATGCTGGGATTACAGGCGTGAGCCACCGCGCCCAGCCGAACATAAGTTTTATTTGTGGTTATCTTTCAAAGTGTTGCCTCAAGAGAGGTTTTGATAAGCTTCATATTATTTCTGTTTATTTCAGTAGCTAACTTATCAACTGATTAAAGATAAACTCCCATTTTTAAATAAAAACAATGAAACTGAAGCAAAGTTTGATTTTACCCAATCATCTGGACCTTAATATATCAGTATATGATTTCTATATTCATACATTGATGGAAAATAGAAGGTAGTACAAGTAAGGAGACTGTGGTCTTAGTTCCAGTTCTGTCACCAGCTTTCTGATTGAGTTTTATAGATAATTTGAATGTCTCTTTCCTAATTCATAATTTATTCACAATCTTGGTGATTATATATAAAGTACTTTTAAAAAGTGTTTTTGACACTATGATTAATGAGTTATTTATTAATCAATACAGACAATTTGCTTCACATGGTTGTGAACAGATACCACAAAACTGCTAGACAAATAAATAAGCAAAATAAATAATAATGAATTGCAGGTACTAAATATTAGATATGTGGGAGCAGTTCCTGTATAGGAATTATTGTAATAGTAGTTGGTAGAATTACATCCATAAACTTATATTGTTTACTTCCTGGACAAGAAATAAAAGATCTTAATAAGAATGTAGCTCAGGAAAATAAATAGTGTTAGGATCTCAAACAACACATGGTTATGATAAAGGTTATAAGTTTTATCTCCTTTGCAAGAAATAGGGCAGGCTTCAGTACCACCTAGTGACAATGGTGAATGGTCTCAATGGCAAAAAACAGCCTGGAGGAGAAAAGACAATCTGCTTTTATTGTATTAGCTATTTGGCTTCTATCTCCTACTTCTATTCCTTTTTTCATTCTTCTGTAAGATAATGTGTTTATCCTACTTTTGGTTTCTTCAAATTTTGCAATAATTTAATTCCTGTACAACACTAAATCACCATGGAAATTACCCTGTTCATACAATGAATTTGAATACAAATTAAATGATCGAGAAATACATTCAAAAACTTTAGAGCATGACAGTCTCATAAATATTTGTATATAAACTGTCTCTACATCTCTCATTTATAGGGTTTCTATTTTAACATGATCCTTTGTATAAAAATCTGTATTTATTTACATTTCTTTTTAATATTTTTCAAAAGAGCTACTTATTAAAAAGTTCTGATCTCTTGGTATAATCAGAACAGAAAAATATAGAGAAATAATAACACTGATGAATGTAAGGGAAAGGTGCCCCTCAGGAGAATGATTTCCATTAAATGTTACAGATTACTACATTTTGGTTTGATTTGCCTAATATTTACTGATTTCAGGCACATGGTAAATTTCTTTTCTCTTCTTTTTCCTTAAGAATTGATAACTCAGTCGAGGACAGAATTACAAAAGTTGTAGACTAAATGTAATCATAAATAAATGGCACATTAATGCTTACTTTTAGCTTGGGAGCAATGGGGAGATAATAATGCCCACCATGGAAATGATACCTTTTTCTATTATATTATAATTTCATTGAACTCAGTAAAAATCTTTTTTTTAAAAAAGTGAATAAATAGCTGACCTTAGGAAAAACACAACATCAATTAAAAAAATCTGAAAAGTCACCTAAAGGCCAAAAACATAGTTTCTGGAAAATTAAGAAGGTCAAATTCAATTATATCCACATTTGGTATGTAGTTAAAATTCAACATATTTCCACTAGAAGCCCTTCCCCATGTTGTAGGAATCAGGATTTTAGATTATCACATTGATCACAGTAGCAAAGGGTAGCACACAGTGATCTCTAAATACACATCATTTGCTTTGATGGACATTATAAGTAGATATTATAAATAATATTCATTCTATATTTAGAATATAATTAGAGACCATTTTAATTGACTTTATGATATGCTCAAGAAAACGCTACTGGAGTATAGAGAATGGATTGTGATTCACTGCTATATGTTTTTTGTAAAATACAAAGATATGGTAAATTCCAAACTTTCCCTACACAATTTTTATCATTACCAAGCTTATGCATGAGAATAAATGATAACAGTCCACAGCTAGGTGTGCCTATTTCTCTATGCATGAAATATGAGATACTGGATGTAGAACAGAGACAGGTATTGATTAACTCTTATTTGGATTGGAGCTGTGTTTCTGAGGCACCTAGCTGGTAAATACTAGAAGGGTATTTAGTTTTTTTTTTTTGTTTTTTTTTTTAGGTTCCAGGGTACATATGCAGGTTTGCTATACAGGAAAATTGCAAGTCACAGGGGTTTGATATAGAGATTTTTTTTTTGTCACGCAGGTAGTAAGTATAGTACCCAGAATAAATTACATCTCTAAAAACAGCAAACACTTCTAAAAAATGATGGGGTATATAAGATAGTAAGATAGAACCCAATAGGTAGTTTTCCTATCCTCTCCCTCTCCCACCCTCCACCCTCAAGTAGGCCTCACTGTCTGTTGTTCCCTAAAAGAGTATTTAAATGTTAATCATAATGGCCCTATGTCTAGACCCTCAAAGTTTAAAGAAAATGGGCCAATTAGTCTATTCTATATTTTAAGATCTCATTTAATAAATTGCTTACAGTGGTTGATACATTATAAGAATATATGTATAAAATAGCTGAAATAAGTTAAAGGTTTAAAAGCCAAATTCATCATAAAATTTACTCATTACTCCAGAATAAATTACATCTCTAAAAACAACAAACACTTCAAAAAAAATGATGGGTTATACAATGGGGTTACGAAATGTTCGTTTTAGGTTTCAAAAAGTGTCCCTCCTATTCTTTCTTATATCCCGCATTTATCACATGGCTTTCTTCATGTCACTTCTGATTCTGTCATATATCTCTAGAGTAGCATAATTAGACTGGGGTATAAAGCAGGAGGGATAAAAATGAGATGGAATAGAAAAAGCAAAGTGTGGAGAGCCTTTCATTATGGGAAGCAACTATATAATCTTGTCTGGAAAATTATCTGAAAATAGGCAACTTAGCTTACATAATTTAAGTCTATATAAGTCTCTTTTAAACAGAGAATGATAACCTTGAACTCTTTAGAAAGAGAAAGTTCATATGAATTGCCTGACATCCGTATATCCGTAAATTGAATAATACAGTAGAAACTATTAGTCTGCTATTCCACTGATTCCCAGATTGAAGACAATGTTACTATTTTATTCCAATCTGCATCAATTCAAAACAACATTTTTATGTGAAACGTAAATATATGAGGAGTTCAGAAAAAATAAGATATTATAATTGCCTTTCTTTGCCAGATTCTTTTGAATTTACGACAGTAGTAAAAGGAAAGACCCTAAAACCCAACACACACATACAAAACACAATGACTTTTCACGTATTTTTCATATACATTCTGAGCTCTTCCAGCAGTGCAGCCAATTCATGGTTGTTTTCTATAAACATAAATTGGCAATGGTTTATAAAAGATGAAGTTGTCTGGGGCTCATGAAGTAGAATGGTATGGTGGGTTCATCCTTAATCCAAGGGGAAATATGGATTTTATAACCAGCTACCATACTGTCTCTGGCTTTATGCAAATGGAATAACAATTCTGTTTCAGACTCTTTATCTTTAAAATGGTAAATGTATTTTTACTCATTTCCTTCAAAATAGGTGAGATAATGTGTTATACATACATGAATACTATATTTGTGAATGTCTCAACAACATTTAGAATAGCAAGGATATAACGGAGAACTAAGTCTAGCAAATTAATCATTTTGGAGGAAATATTAGACAGCAAAATACTTTTTTTTCTTCAACTTTATCAGGTGCCACTTGTTAGATAAGGTAATTTCATGAATAGTGCTTCTTCTGCTATTTGTTGCTTAAAATTTAAGAGCCAGTCTATGTAAGCGGGAACAAAAACATGTTTGGAACTTAACGGCTTGGTCTTACATTGCTAAAGCAACTCAAGGTCACCATAGCCAATATACAATCTCATCAATATCCTGTATCCCTCTCGATGATGAAATTATAGTTCGATTTAAAATTTTCTGAAATACACATTTTATCTGAAAACAAAATATCAGATTAGAGTTGATTTCCTTATTTTTTTCCTGTAAGAGAATCCACATCTGAGAAGGAAGAACACAGTATGTGAACCCTTTCCCTTTTGTGATGAGGTCATGTTTCTATCCAATAGAGAGCAGTTGCCAGGCAGACTTTGCTAATTGGGAGAGACAGGACAGCAAAGGAGAATCGCAACACTCAGCAGGCTGCTGACCTACTTTATTATTATAACTCATAGGAGCTACGAAGGCATTTTTTTTTCCAGTAGAGCTACAGTGACTTGTCAGCAAATTAGTTACCCTTTGTTAGGTCTTAAAAAAAAATAAAAAAAAATAAAAAAAAATAAAATCTTTCTGTTATGGCAGTACGTTCTATTTTAAAAAATTAATATTATCAGAATAATACAATTTCTAAGCCATAGAAATTCAAATCTAAAATAGATTACTGAATCTCAAGAGAGGGGAAATATATTTTTAATTAAGAGATTTTTTAGCTCATTTCTTCGTAATATTACTTTGGCTATATTATGTCAATCAGTCATTACCTAAGTAGTTAAATGGGCTCTGTAAACAAAAAGTGAATCTATTTTAATTTTGCCCTTAAATATTTGATAGAATGGCAATAGATAAAATAATTGTCCGGGTTTCTATATTCTAATTGTATATGTGAGCTTACATATGAATAATTCTCATTGCTTTTTTTCCAAATTATTTACTTAAAATATCAATAAATAGCTCTCTCTTCTCTGCCCACCCAGCACACATTTATTGGGATGATTATAGTTTTTGAGCTAGAAGTGCCTGAAGTATCTTGATTCCCCACTCTATTGAAGGTTCCTGATCTAAAGCCAGCTAATACTACTTGAAATGAATGTCTCTCTATTTTGTGTCTCCCTGGCCCTCGGTTTTTCATAGATTTTATTTCAATCCACACAGGGCTACTACTAGAACACCACTGGATGAGTTAGAAAACAGACTGTACTCCCTGGGTATCTAAATTAAGAAGAGAAAATAGGCTTGCATGGCTTCATTTTCAAGGGAACACAGTTTGGAAAACAGAAAAAAGGGGAGTAATTCACCAGCACTTGAACCATGCTCTTTGGGCAGTGCAAACATTTCAGAGCTCTCAATTCAAATTCCTATTAATAGATATGTCATATAATTTACCATTTCACTGGATTATAAATGTATTCATTGTTGAGCTTACATTTTGTCAAGTTTTATATAGTTTTTAGTACCCAGAAAAGATAGTTTGAATAAAAGCATGTTAGAATGTAAGCCTAATGAGGGCAGGGACTTTGTCTCATCCTCTACCATGTGTTTAGTGCCTAGAATAATGTCTGGAACAAAGAAATACTCAATAGATCATTTAAATGAAAAAATACATAATATACACTTAATTCATAGCTAAGAAGCTACGTACAAGAAAGTCAAGTGACTTGCATAAAATCAGCAGATTTAGGGGTTGAGGTAATTCCGATATGTATGTCTTTAAATTTAATTCTGCAAATTTCGCCCCCTATGTTTCTGTACAAACGAGTTAGGATAGGCTATGTTATGTGTGAGCTTCAAATTAAGACATGCTTCTGGAACTCAAAAAAAAAAAAAAAAAAAAAAGGGTTGAGGGCATTATAGCAGCTTTTCAATGCTTATACCTATAAGTGAAATATACTGCTATTCATAGGCCATTAATTATTAATTAATAGCACAGACAGGTACCCATCTAACTGAAAGGCAGCTAGAAAATATGGAAAGCACGTGGCTATTTGGTTGTTAGTAAGTGTCCCTGTCACATTGTTTCAAATAAAAGTAAAATAGAGTAACCTAGATTTTCCAGTGGAATCCCTTATTCTCTCCATATAGATTTTACTAATTAGACCATTACAGACATTTTTTATATCAGTTTTTTTCTCTGATATTGCTAGATTGGTTTACGCATCTTAACTTTTTGGAAATTAATATATCTATAGATATGTAGAGAATTAGAGGCTTATTAATTTTGACTTCAGCAATTTAGAGTATGTCCACGAGTTCTAAATTCAGTAATTTAGAGTATGGTCAAGTGATTGATTACTTATCTTTGAAAAAAATAACTTGAGATGCACAAATCATTAAAACAAAAACTGTATAAGGAAGACCACTTAAATAGATAACTGAATAATTAGTTTGCACATATTTTAAAAAATGCTGATAATTACCATTTTGATTATAAACAATATTTTAGTTAGCAACACATGCAGAGTTGGTATAGGAGTTGTCTAGGATGCAGATACATGAAAGACCAATTGTCTGCACTGTAGAATAGCACTTATCAAAATTAAATAATGCACAGATTCCTTCAAATCACAACAAATGAATCATTACAATGAAATACCCTTGACTTGGGTTAAATTATTTTGATTATAATGTTACTCAAATAAATACAAGTATAAAACTAAAACAAACATAATTTTACAAATCAAATACAAAATAATGAATCAACAAATACATCTTAATGTAAATTTACTGTGATGAGTAATGCTGTTTTGCTAAAACCAAGTAGGTGCATAAAATGTAAATGTAGTGCTGTAATGCCAGGTTTTGTAGATTGTGTGATTTTATACAGTATTCTACAACTGAGTGCTATGGAATGACTAATTGACTTATCCAAGTTTTTCTTCATTTTGACTACGGTGAAACGTGTACAGGATTTAATATGTTATTAATCTTTCAATTGGTATAAATGCATCATTTATTTGTTATGCTCAAAAACCAGAATTATTTGATGTAACTCCTCATGACACAACCTGCTCCAACTACAAAAGCATATTCAGATTCCATATGTATGACATTCAGATAATCCTAAATTCATAACATGCTATGTTAAAACCTTCAAAATGATTACTAACATGTAATCATATATTTATAAGATTGCTAGTAGAAAACATGGACTCCCTGACAGTAAACCTATAGACTTTTAAAGAAAGATTGCTCTAGGAATGTACTGTTTAGCTGAAAATCCTTCTTTATCTGTTCTATAAAGTCATTCCCTAGGTTACATCCGATATTTGAGATTCAGTTCAAAATTAATACGCAAGTTAACGTGCATCATTTATTTTCTTATATTCTTAAAATGAATATTTCATACTTGTAATTTTAACAAAAACCCATTACTCCCAATCTTGTTTATAATGATTTAATATAATTTTAGTGTTGTACACCTAAACACATAGCCACAAAATGTCATGGGAATAAAACTAATCTTATTAGAAAGTAATTATCTGCTATATCCAAGATTTTCATTCAGATAGAATTATATAATTCAGACTTATTTCTTGAATGAAACAAAAACAAATAATATAAATACAAAGCAAAGTTACTTCCTGTTCACGTTGTGTTTTGCAAGTCAGTATCTCCTTCCTAGTCAATTTAAGTAGCCTGCACTTTTAGTCCGCTTTCCGTTGTTACAACAAAATACCACAGACTGGGTAATTTATAATGAACAGAAATTTATTTAGCTCACAGTCCTGGAGGCTGGGATATCCAAGATCTTTTAAAGTTTCATGTGGTGAGGGCCTTTCGGCTGTCCCCTACCACGGCATAAGGATAGAAGGGTGAAAGGGCCAGCAATCACATGTGAAAGAGAGCTGGAGATAGCCAAACTTATATTTATAACTAACCCCCTTCTCCAATAACAATATTAACCTGTTCATGAGGTCAGTCTGCTCTTTATGTAATCACCTCTTACTAGACTTTGCATCCCAACACTTCTGCAGTGGGGATTAGGTTTTCAACACATGAAGTTAGGGGGATACATTTAAACCATAGCACCTGCGACGGTTAGTGATTGACTTTTTAAAAATAATATTTAAATAAAAACTTTAATGAGGAATTTAGAAAGACTGCAAAGGAATTCACTGAGAGAGATTGAACCTACATTTATGGAATGAAATAGTTAATATAAGAATAGATATATTAAACAAATTATCAACACTACAGTTACAGATACAGTATAATTATAGCATTGACTTTGAGTTTCTCCTCATCTAGCTAGTGGGATACAGATAAAAGTATGGGTATAAGTGCAGATACAGTTAAGAAGGATATAAATATATAGTAATTAATATTTAAGAATAAAAATAATTTAATGATGGAAGGATACAATGAAGAAGAATAAACATAAAGAATTTGTTAGACCCACTAATCTTTATTATAAATAATTTAGAATCAGAGCCTAAGGTCATAGCATGTTTGTCAAGCCCAAACCCAAGAAAGACGAGTGCATTCCTGCATATATCCTGGCCTGGCTCCTTAATTTTTTGATTTCTCAACTTGATTTTGGTTTTCTACATCTCACAAAAGATCAATCTTGCCACTTTTTAGTGTCAGAGCTCAAACGTTAATTTTAATGGGATTTTCTACTGCAGTTGGAGTGCTTTAACTAACAGGTTTTGTCTCTTTATTACTACCTTCCTTAACTGTTCTTTATAATCTATGCTGCACAAAACCGTCCAACATGGTTTAGAGCAGAAATTACAGAGTCAGATATATAAGCATTCTACTCTTGGTTCTATAATCTAGCTGTGTGACATTGACTATTCATTTAACTTCTAAAAACTTTAGTTTTTCTAGCCAAAAAGTGGGGCAAAATAATGTTTACCTCATTCAGTTGCTGTGAGGACCAAATAAGATAGCATCCTTCAAAGCACAGAGTTTTGTATATAGTAAGTGTATTAAATAAATGCAGGGTGCTTTTGTTCTCATATTGGATTTGCACTTCTCCATTATAACTCCTTGTGCATAAATATACTTTGCTTTTTATTATTGCAATAAATGATTTACCAAAACTCCATAACTTTAGAATGGAAAAATAGTATCTTCAAGGTCAAATGATACCATCAAGATTCTCTCTTGATTCAAAAATGGTCTTTTTTATGGTTATTTCCTTCACATCACTATTATCCACAATATAAATTAGGCCAGGCATGATGGCTCATGCCTGTAATCCCAACACACTGGGAGGCCAAGGTGGGAGGATCACATGACTCCAGGAGTTTAAGACCAGCCTTGGCGACATAGCAAGACCCCCATCTCAAAAAATAAAAACAATAAAATAAAATAAAATAAAATAAGTTATGGCTTTTATATTTGAACATACATGACGGTTTCCTTCTCTCTACATTCGAGTTACACATGGAAAAATGTTAAATAAACACAAGAGAAAATAAAAACCAACTTCATATGTAAATCTGCAGCCAAAAAAAAAAAAAAGCCAAGAAGTGAATTGCAAATTCTGGAAAGATATTTTGTATAATGTCAGGATATTAAAAAAGGTTGAAGGTTGGGCTATGTTGGAATAAACATACTACACACACACACACCACAAACACACACATGAACACACACATTTGAGCACATATAGACATGTTTAAAGAAAAACAAGAATTTTTTTCAATAAATGTGTTTATCATCAGATATATTAAGTAGTATATTGCCTTATAATTATACTACCATATGTACTTTATAGACATCCCAAAATAGTTATTTTACTATATCTATGATGACAATTGGTATTTTTCTGAAAGATACATAGGAAAAATGTAAAATAATAATTTTTTACCAAATTAAATATTGGTTGGTGCCAATGAATCATCTTTTGGCAGTAGTGCTAATGTTTTTATACTATCCTCTCAGTCAGTAGCCAGATTATAGAGCTGTTGCCTTTTCTTCTCCTGAAAAATACAATTATTACTATTTTTACCATATACTTTCCTCCTTCAAAAAGATAAGTAAAGTGACAGATCTATAATCAAGTAGACATCACAGGTTTGAAAAATGAGCCAACCAAACTACTGCTTACTTTGTTCTTTAGTTATCGAAACTACCATATAGAATATTTCTCAAAAAAACTGTCAATGATAAGTGACTAAGTCACAACAAATTAATGTGTCAGGTACTATTCTAGGCACTTTCTATGGTCTGAATGTGACTCCCAAAATTCATGTGTTAGAAGCTTAATCCATATTACAACAATGTTGGGAGGTGGGGTCTAATAAAGGTGTTTAGGTCATGATTGCTTTGCTCTCATAAATAGATTAAAGAAGGCTTTCAGAAGTATGTTCCTGCCGCCTTTCCACCTTCTGCCATGTGAGGGATAGATTTGTCTTCTCTGGAGGACATAGCAGCATGGTGCCACCTTAGATACAGAAATTGAACGTGCTGGCACCTTCATCTTGTACTCTCCAGGCTCCAGAGCAGTGAGAAATACATTTCTGTTTTTTATAAATTACCCAGTCCATAGTATTCTATTATAGCAGCACAAAATACACCAAGACACCACTGGAAATACAGGACAGAAGAGAACAGACATTACATTCTGGTGTGGGGAACACAGAAAAATATAAATAACAAATAAAAGTGTATATACATACACATAAGGTGGTCAGGAGAGCTCTTTGTGATTTAGTGATATATAAGCAAATATTAATGAAATGAAGCGAGATCTAGGTAAATATAATAAATATCAGGTCAAATATCAATGAAAGCATAGAAAAGACAAAAAGAAAAAGGAAGGAAGGAAGGAGGACAATAGGGAAGAAGATAGAAAAGGAAGAAAAGAAGACAATACATCTTAACTGTCAATGTAAATCGCCTTTTTTTTTTCAAATAGAAAACCTATGCTACAATCATTAGGAGAAAAAATCATAATCTTTGGTGTCCATGTAATTTCTACAAAAATAAGCCAACAAATCAATAGTAGAACAGTTTGAGAAAAGACAGTATTTGATTTATACCTAAGGGAAAAATGTAAAAATCTCATAAAATTAAAGTACCATAAAATGTCACACATCAAAGAGGGCTATTCACAGTTAAACAATGTTTTATTAAGTAAAAATGTAATTAAAATGTAATGCAGGAAGAAAATATGGGAACTTATACAAAAAGAACAAACATTTGTGAACACATATGTGTGTATATATAAAATATATATAGAGAGATTTATAGATATATCAACCAAAATATTCCCTGTTCTTTTAATTCTTTTGTGAGTGTTGAGTGTTGCATTATATAGATCAAAACATATCTTCTTAAAATTAAATAGGAATATACATAGCTATTTAAATCAAATTTATACTTTATAGTTTTTTAAATATTTACATAACTTTCAGAGGTAAATTTAAAGCCTACCTTTTCCCCGAAGTTTTCCTTATTTTCCTTAGCAAAAAGTAGTATCTGAAACTTCATTTGGCTTCATACATATTTAATCTATATCTATGCTGATGTATCTGCCTTTGCATGTTTTACAATCCCTAAAAGTGTATGTCTTGAACCTAGTGAAAGCTAAAAAATGTTGATGAAATAAGGCGTTATTCTAAGCCACAGGCATTTTTGAAAGAATGCTGTACTGTGGTAATATTTTATGATTGTATCTTTGAAATAAGATATGCCTCAGTATACACAGAATAAAATATATAAAAGTAGATGTTGTAACATATACATACTCAGGAACATAGTCAATTAGTAAAATTTAGTTGTAACCACCCTCCACAAACATAACATCTGATTTTATATTCATAGAAGCAAAATCAAGTTGTCTGTAAACATTTATAGAGAAGAAATCAGATCATTGTAACATAATTACTTAAAAGGTTTTGGCACAACGTTGAAAAGTCAGAGTGTAAAATAACAGAATTTACTTACAACCATTTCATTTAAAGACACCCAGCAATCTGGTGGGAAGTCCTGCAGTAGTGGTACTAAGAACTGAAGACAACCATCCCAGTGGCACAGGAGCAGCATCATGCCGATGAGATTAAAAATTCTCACCACTGCACTGGCGAGATCATATGTCATGTGGAATATCTGTTGACCAAAATATAAAATCAATTCTTATAATCAATTTTTTAGAAAAATCAAGCATACTACTGATAGTAGGCATTGATGTTGTGTAGCGTAAGCATTGATTTAATAAAAATATGGGAATAACTTGCAGAAATAGAAACAGATTACATTTCTTTATTTTTACAATAAGGTTGACACTCCACTTTATGAATATTAAAGCCAACTATGTCTCATGAGCAACAGAGATAGCATGAATATATAAATGTATGTATTAAAGAACATCGATGTTGCCAGAAGTTTTTATTTATTGTTCTTTTGCATATTTTAGCAAAGCTACTTTAAAACAAGGTAGCAAAATTTACAAATGATGGGTAGCTTCTACTCTGCTTCTCATCTCTTGTTATATTAATAGATTTGTTGAAAGACAAAGAAAATACCCAAGGACTGAAAACCATATGCCAAAGGAGTTCAGCTGCAAAATATGAAGTAATATTGATAATAAATTACAGTTAAATTTATAGCTATGTGAGTGGAGATATTTAATTGTGGATACTGAACATAAATAGAAGCCTTTGAGATAAAGGCTACCTGGATTTGGTTTAAAAACAATTGTGCAACACTTTTAAAAATCATAACTATTTCCATAAACTTTTTGTATTTTTATGGTACAGGCTTTACTTTTCAGTTACTCCTTATTGTTTGTATTTTGATGAAATTCAGTATGGTAGGTTAGATTATTTCAGAAAACACAAACATTATGACAAATCAACATAATCCATCAAAATTTTATAAATGGAAACAAATACCCATCTTTACATCTGTAACTACTCATTTTTCTAGAATTTACAAGAAATAGATTCAGAATGTGAGTCCTTTCTTTAGCAGTTTATTGTACTCTCTAACTGGCTGCTAATATAGTTTCTACTTATATTTTACCTAGTCTAGAATAGCAAAACCCACTTGGGAGCAGACCTACATTGTAGAACTAAGTTTTGTTATAATTGTTAAGGAATTACTGCATTAATAAATACAATTAAATTTGAGTAAGTACTTATAAACACAATAACTTCAGATATTTAGAATCACTTTTTGTATAATTCACCAAAAGAATGGTGTGTTTTTGAAGTAACAAGGTAAACTTGTATTGAAAAATTATCCAAAAAATGTAAAGAAAACCAAAAAAAATACATTTGGTTTTAGAAATGATATCTTTGTAGGAAAATATCTATAATTCTTAAAATACACACACTGAAGTACTCAGAGGTAAAATGACAGGGCATCTGTGATTTTGCTTTTATAAAATAACCAAAATCTGTCTTTAATTAAATGTTTTTCAGTTTGATATATTTCTATGAGCATTAATTCTTTCTTTAAACAATCTTTTTGACATAGTAATTATAGTGAGCAAAAAGATTTTTTTCGTGGGAATATACACACTGTTCTGAATTCTTTTTAAAAGAAAGTTGGCAGTTCTAATTTTAAGGGCAACAGACCACATATTTTGATATTCAGACAGCTATACACACAACTTATTATATAGCATTAAGAATTTTACTTTTCTGTAAGCTACTTTTTATTTTGGTTTTAAATTTGGAAAACCTACAGAAACATCCTTTTGATATTATTCCCTCTGATATTTCTTGGTCACTGAATACATAAATAGAAACTCTACTAACAATTTCATCAATAATTTCTCATTAAAAGTTATATAATACAACATAATAAAAAAGCTTTCTACTGATAAAGTCGGAAAAAGTCATCATGAACTTAGTTTTTTTGTTGTTGTTTAGTAACAGAATTTACATTTATATCTTAATATTTCCTGAGAAAATCATTTAAGATGTCTTGTGGATAAAGACTGCGTTTTGTTGGGAAATAGTGTTAAATTGCAGAATATAAACTTCTGGAAAAACCAGGAAGCTTATCACATTTCAGCCCAATTATTTGAGGCAACTAATAACTATCTGAAAATATTACAAAATCTACAAATTATAAGTATACAGGCAGTGGCCATCATTCAATTATCAGGCTTTAGAGTGGAGTATGGAATGGTCTAGAGAACTAGCATCGATTCTTGGTAGATCTGACTGGGTTTTTCTTGCATTTTCTACTTCCTTTTGGGAAATTAGATTCTTTTCATGGGCTCTCAAGAGATAAAGATAAAATAATATGCTAAGTTATTCAATTCCTTTAAGAAAACCCTATTATCTCTAAAATGTTCTCTAGAGAGACAGGACCACTAATTTCATAGAGGAAGTTAATGGGGATATAACATCAATGATAACACTTTAGAAACACTTTTTGTTTTGCTACTATGCATTTTCATGAACTATTATAAGATTATGCCTAGATTCAAGCCTATCTGCTACCAAATAGTCATTCCCAATTCCATAATGTTAGGTAGTGCTAGTGCTGGCTTCATACAGTAACTCTACTATCTTTAGAGTACTCAGTAAGAACTCACATAATTAATTTTATAAACAGTCTCCCTTATGGACATTAATATTATGTGTTCAAAATTGACATCACTTTTGGAGCTATCCCAAAATTTAACTTTGGAGAAGGTACAAGCAAGTTGGGTATTTTTACACTGGTTAATAGCAGAGGCAAATTTCAACTAGTCAAACCCATATATCTTCATCTTTATTTATCTAACTGATAAAAGAGCATATGTAAAGTATATAATATTACTTGTGATGAATACGTGAATGTGTGCATTATCTCGGCCCGATCTGATTGTCTTTTGAACCCTTATAACTAAGATACTCTGGCAGGCATAATCATTACATACGATCTGAATACTGAGATTAATAGCCCTGTTAAAACTTTACTCAAGAAAGATTTGGAATGAGAAGGCTACTTCCTTACGGAGCTCACACATCTGTAGATAGTCAGGTTAACCAAAGAAGGAAGCATCTGATCTAATTTATGCACAGCCACAACTTATTATTAATAAGGGCAGCTTGTAGGATAAATCTAAGTGTGACTTTATTCACCTTACTAATCAAGTGGCTAACACTATTGATCAATATTTTTAGTTTTTCTTCATCTATAAGGTGGACATTCTTAAGTAATAAATTTCCATATAAATCAATTGTCTTGGTGCTATTGCATGAAAACTTGACTTCATGTAAAATGGCACCATGAATGACCCTCAGTAAATTGTTACTAAATGAATGAATGAGAGAGTTGAAGGGGTTTAATAATAATAACATAAATAACCTTTTATGGTGTACCACTTTGCTTCTGTATCTTAAACAAGGGAATTAAAACAAACAAAAAAATCAAAAACTTCACTATTATTTTCCATCTTCTAAGTAACCTGACTTGAAACCTAACCTCAGGTTAGGGTAACAGGGTAAGAGGGCTCAGGGTTGGGGTAACAGAAAGAAAGGCTCTCTTCCCCGACTAGCAATACACTTTTAAGTTACTTTCAAGTGGTATTTACAGGAGTCAACTGAAAAAAATGTAATTAA
Organism: Homo sapiens; assembly: GCF_000001405.40. Classification (NCBI taxonomy): domain Eukaryota; kingdom Metazoa; phylum Chordata; class Mammalia; order Primates; family Hominidae; genus Homo; species Homo sapiens. The sequence continues at coordinate 45,465,463 of NC_000005.10, forward strand.
AGTAAGTTTTTCAGCCAGGTGCGGGGGCTCACACCTGTAATCCTAGCACTGTGGGAGGCCGAGGTGGGTGGATCACAAGGTCAGGAGTTCGAGACCAGCCTGGCCAATGTGGTGAACCCTTGTCTCTACTAAAAATGCAAAAATTACCCGGGCGTGGCGGTGGGCACCTGTAGTCCCAGCTACTCAGGAGGCTGAGGCAGGAGAATCACTTGAACCTGGGAGGTGGAGGTTGCAGTGAGTCGAGATCATGCCACTGCACTTCAGCCTGAGTGACAAAGTGAGACTTTGATGTGAAAAAAAAAAGTTTTTAAACAACTCTTTAATCTTATTTTCACCATATCTAGACTACAAACAATGTCTTTAGGAGACACGGTGCTTTACATTTGTCCAGCTCAGGACATTGTGCTGTTCATGTGACCTTAATAAGAAGAAAGATCTGGTCACAAATTCTCATTGAACTTTTTTTATATTATAGGTTTAGAATTTTATTTAGTTGGAGTCCAATAACTCCAGACAGGATAAATAATTAACTTTCTAAAACTGAAAAATGCTCTAGGATATTTTAAGTCAGAATCCCAAATTCTACCTTAATATTTGCGAATCGTTCATCATAAATGTGATTTTTTGTGATATTTTCCCAGGAGCAATGTTTATTTCATCTTGTTTTTAAAAGGTCTTTCTAAACTGCACTATACAACAGATATCCATAAATTGGCTTAATTCTTTTAAAATGCTTCCATATTCTTTCCTGATGAACTGGATTCATCGGTCTTTCAATCTAATAGCTTGTATATAAAACGAATGACCTTAATCTATGCTTAATTATTTGTTCTATTTTGTCTTCCTTAACCAAAAAACTATCAAAAATAATTGAAGACTCTTTATATTGTGCATTAAACTGCTTTTAGTCGTTGACTTTACATACTGGGATAATTTCTGAGCTAGTTTGTGTGATCTCAATATTGATTCAAGACTTCTTAATACACCTTCGTAAGTATCAAAATAAGATTAAGAAAATGGGCCAAAAATGCCTGTCTTGACAGAGAACATTCTATTTTAAAAGGTGTAAAACAAGGTTAGATTCTTCTGTTTCTCTTTATATTTCGGCACCTGCACGATTTGTTATATTTTTTAGATGGAGTGTATACATACCATCCTGACACAAAATTAAAAAAACAGCTACTCAGATTCAGTTGTACTGTTAACATATATTCAGGGCTCAATATGTAATAGTCCTAATCAATGGTAAAATAAATATTTTAAAAGCCCTATTATACCTCTGTGATTCTTGCCCTGAAAGTCATTCAGGTCATCTTTCCATGCTTTAGGTACAAAGTGTAGAAGGTTTTACTTCATATGAGAGAATAACACTCTTCATAGTAATCTCTTTTAACACTGACCAATGACTGCAGTCATTGGATGAATCTTATCAGTCCCCTTTTTAACTAGGATTTTATTTGGACTGAGAATACCTTAACATTCAGAAGGTCAACCATCTGAACATTTCAAAACTATCATCTTCTGTCCATAGTCCAAAAGCAATAATCCACTCTTCAGCCTCCTCCAAGTATTGTCCCATACTCATGCTCTTGAGTGCTTTTTACCTGGATTCTTCTTTCCACTATTCCTTCCAAAATTCCTCCTACATAATCAATTAATTATCAAATACCCTCAGCCACCTCACGAAATGCTTTCTCTACTTCTCTGCTTTTCCTGAGACTTAAGACTCTCCCCACCACCTTCCCCTCCCCAAAGACGCAACTTCTCTGGTAGCTTTCTCAAAGTTTGTTCACTTCTTTCAAACCCCAATGTCTTAGGTTCTGATGTGAGTGCCCTTATTTCCTCACTGCCCTCTGACAACGTCACACGTTATTTGTCCAGCTATATAAAAAATTATTTTCTTAATGTTCATTCTATTTGCCTACACTACCCATAATTTTGCTCATTTCTGGCATCAAACAACCTCCCAATGTCCACGTGCCACACATCTCCATTTATTAAGGGCTCTGTCCTTTTCCACTGCATTTTCTCTGAAAAAAAAATGTCAACTTCTGATTAATCAAAACAGCCACCTTGTATACCTAAACTTTGGAAGATTACTGGAGAGCAAACTGTGTAGCTTGTACTACTTAATTTTTTTTAAAGGATAGCAACCTTAGTTGAGGCCCTCAGCAATGGTCTATCCATTTCCCTATTCCTAACAACAACCCATTCTCTCTTTCTACTTCCCCAAAGCCCATGACTATCTTCTTCAGTTTCAGCTTAAAGTTTTATATTTTCAAAAGGAATACTCTTATAGTTGAATTCCCTCAACTTTGGGGGCTAGATTAACCCCCAAAGATTTAAAAACAATAAAATCTCTCAATTCCTAAAAAACATTTTAATTGAAAAAGAATCTTCACTTCCTAGGTATTTTCCTAATTCTTTTTTTCCCTCTTTTTAGTCTTCTCTGTTTAGCTTCTCAAACACAACTCATCGGAACTTTGAGACACAGAGAGAGCTGGCCTGCCTTACAGGGTAAAACAAATTTCTTCTCATGGCTATATGTACACATTTCCAGGAGGCACAAAGCAAAATTTGATTTCCAGAAGGACAGATGTTTCATAGCTACTCTGGGCCTCTGATTCTCAAACCAACCCATATATGAGGAAAATGTGAAGATACTTCAGGCTGACTTTATTTCCCAAATGGTGTATCAAAACTTAAGAAGTCTTTCTTCTGAGAAATCTTTTTGAAGTGGCACAGATATGATGATACCTTTGAAACATTAGAGAAATATATGTCTCATTACATGACTGCAGTGAAGAAAATAGTACTTTTCATAACAACGATATGCTCATATAAGTAGTTATAGAACAGAATGTATTCTTTATCAATCATGAGTTGTAAAATAAAGTATAGGTGTATATGTTATTTTAATCCAGGTGTTCCTTTAATAAACATATACATGTTTGCATAAAATAAAAAGAAAGCAATTTTAGACATTTCAGTTATTTTTTAGAAACCTGTTATGTTTCTTAACTACCTTTTCAACTATATTTTACCTTGGCTATTACTCAGAATTTCTATATATGTTTCATTTTATTTGCTGCTATGTGATATACCATCCATTTCTATGCATACATATTTTTTGCATAGAATTTTAATTTCATCTATCTAAAACATTTATGAAAAGTGTGTTTTTTATGGAAACTTGTTATTTAGCTTTAACAGTCTGAGAATAATCAGAGATAATGTATTACTAAGAGAAATATCAACAAATGGGAAACTTAAGATATGAATCCTTTGAACATTTTTGGTAGGAAACAATGACAGGAAATAGGTATAATGTAAACTGTAAAAGTACAAACTTTGAAATCTGTCAAGCACAATGCCTGGTGGCACAGAGCTCGTGCTCAACAAATGTTTTTCCTCCTATAGAAGTTATTCAACTAACAAATCAATTTGTATAAAGGGGTCAGTACTAATAAATATCTAACTGAGCTGAACTGTTTCTATTAATTTTATTCATTTTTCTTCAAATTTCAAGTCAATACCAGCTGACAACTTGGAATAGGTCAAAAAACAAAAATGTTTTGATAGGTGACATTTTGGTATAGTTATATTTTAATATTATAGAGTCATATTTAAAATATCACCTATTTTAATATGATAGGTTATTTTTTAACTGAATCTACCCAAATCTTTATAATTCTTAAGTTCCTTAGGAAAAGAAATACATCTTTTCAACTTTCATGATGACCATGTGACAGGTCAGAACATTTATTAATTGTACCATGCCCAGGAAAAACGAAAGAGCAAGCATAACCTCATATGCTTAATTTATTTTAAAAAGCAGCTTAAGTGATGGGAAAATCTAATTATGAATGAATATTGGAAATGACCCTACTAAGAAGAAATTTCAATGGATTAATACTCTAAAAAACAGACTAAAATTAAACAATTTAAGATCATTGTCTATTCCTCTATTAAAAATTTCAAATGGCTGCAAATGTAGACGATATTTACAAATTGTGCAACCACTGACATATTTAAATGAGGCGAAAACCACATATCTTATGATGGATCTTTGAACCTCATTTTAATGATGTTTGTCTGAAGATTATTTGATGTTTACTATACACACTTAATTTCCAGATGTAAGTCAGCACTAATATATTGATTTGATTAAATATCACTATTATTTTCTGAAGTTTTTTTCTAAAATTTATCCTGAGAATTCAAAATAAAATACCAATTTTTAAATTAAAAAGGCAGTGTTCTTTTCATTGTGTAGTTCTTACACATTAAAAAGAATAATTAAAAATCCTAATTATAAAGGAGTGTGTGTGTGTGTGTGTGTGTGTTTGTGTGAATGTAGAGAAAGATGGTGAAAAAGAAAACTAATAGACAAATTAGCAATATTCTATTAACTCTGCTTTGGTTTTTCCACTAAAAGAAGTGAGAGTGAGCCTTACATTGGGGCAAACTGCACAATGTCTTTAACATCCCAGCCTCCTGTCACCATTTTAAGTCTAAAAAGGCATATGCCAACTCGCTTATTGCACCATTTGATAGGTGAACTCTATAGGGGAGATAACAGAAAGAAAAACAGGCTTCTGAAAAAACTGTTAAGATGAAAGCAAAGCTTATTCATAATTTTTTATGCATTGGTCATCACAGTTACATCATGCATTGGCACAGCATCTTGTTATTCTGGCCAGGTAAGCCAGTCAAGTGCGGAATATTAATTTATTTGAGTGGGTTTGTGTCAGAGATGCTCTGGAAGAAACAGAGGTGTTGGTTTGCTGTCTTGGCATATACCTTCCAAAAGAAATCACTAAGTACATGATTTTGGTATTAAACCAATAATATTGCACTACAATTCTTTGTGAACAAACCATGCATTCTTCCATTTGATTGAACTTATTAAAATATAAAAACATATTAGTGCAACCCCCCTAAAAAAGAACATAAACCTTAAAAAATAAGGAAGCATTGGCAAATTTGCTAGCACCCCAAGAAACAATTGAGTAAGACTTGATCTACTGGAAAATGGCATGATTTCAGATTCACTAGTTGGACACCTTCCAGAAGGAAGGCATCATAATGCTCCACCAATTCAGGTAATAATAGTACATATAGATACATGATAGATCACCTTAAGTGCCAAAAATACTTAACTATCTGAATTGTCGAAAGTTTATTGAAGTAACTAATCTATGTGGAAGCATCCTTAAAAGTAATAAGCCTTATTTGTATAAGTTTGATTTTTCATATCACTGAAACCACCTATTAAGTATTTGCTATGTGCAGAAAGTAATATTAGGCACTGGGTTCACCACGGCTTATGACAACATCTTCCACATCCTCACTAAATCACATGAACCCTTAACTTTTCTAGAGACCTCTCACTTGCTTTAATCAGCACTCATTTTTCTCTAGACCTACTGGAGAGCTATCATAATTGTTGTTTTCTTTAACATTATCATGTAATTTCCTCACTCTGTCTCAGTTTATAGTTTTATTTAAGTGGGAGATTGGTTAGAAGAGTAGGTACATGTTTGACAATATCTTTCTGTCTTACCTGTTTAATAACACCTTGTCTGGATATAGAATTCTAGATTGAAAATAATTTTCTCCCAGATACTTAAAGACTTGACTCCATTCCTTCAAGCATTTATCAAAACTATATCTTTCCCCAAACATAGGTTTAATTTCTTTAGTGAAAAGATAAAGAACTTTACATTAAGATAAATAAAAATGGCCCAAAATCTATGCGTGTGTTCAAGGGGTGGGAGGCAAGAAATGGATGATGATTCATGGAGGTATAGGACTGACTTTAAATTAAAATTCCTTCCAATATCCTGACCTATTGCTCAACTACATTCTCCATTATAACTTCTGACTCCAACTCCAAATGTCTCAAAGATTCCACTGTACAGATTGGCCCCCATTTCTTTTGCAGACTCAGTTGTAGCATATCTCCGAATGTGATTTTATCTCCTTGTGTCAGTCTGTATTCTTCCTCCCCTTGTCTTTCAACTCTTAAAAAGTTTAGTGTCTGTTCTGTCTTAACGAGTTCCTTGCATTTGTTTCCTTTTGTTTTATAGATGTATTCCTTTACTCACTTTGATTCTTTAATTGTTTTGGACTCAGGAGCAACAGAAAGCCCACATGTGTTATCTTATCCCTCCTGCTGAACCATGAACGTTTATCTTACAATGTGTATTTTCTTCAATCATTTGAATTGGACTTATATAACATTGAAAGTATTTATATAACTCAAATCCATTAACTGCATGTTTGAGCTTCATACACTTGTATTCCAAGATAAATTTGAAATCACTTTGACAGTCCCTCTCCAATTCATAAAATTATGTTGGACTGCTGTTACTGAGTTAATTAATAAATTGATTTGTGTCTATCATTATTTTTTCAAAAACTTAATTTACCTCACATTCAATCTTTCCTTCCTTGAAAATATGGTCCACTTGGCATCCAGAATTATCATTTTACAATTCAAACCTGATCATGTGATTTCCTGCTTGAACTTTCACTAGACATTCAAGAAATCTTTACGAAGCCCATATTCTTGGCCTGGCATTAAAGGTCCTTTGTGATGTGGTCTCTGTACTACCATTTTATTCTCATCTCTCACCCTTGTTCTGTAGGTATTCCAAGCTTAAGGCAAACAAAACTTGTCATAGTACCCTTTAACATGATTGATCAGAGTCTGCATTTGTTTACATGCTATTCTCTCCTGGTATACTACCTTCCATCCTATCCATTTTCTGACTGATGACCTTATTCATACTCAAATGTTGCTTCCTCAGGAAAGACTTTTTTGGCCTCTCCAAGGAGAAAATTAAGCGCTTACTCCAATAGGGGCTTGCCCTTAACTCTGTAAAAGTGTTTAATGCATTGCTATAATTACAGGTTTATGTGTCTGTGTTCTTACTAGATAGTGAGCCCTAGAGGTCAAGAATTGTATTCACAAAACATGCACTTAACACGTTTACAAATTAGAAGAAAGTAAAAGAACGGAGGAAAAGGGGAAAGACAAGATGGAGGGAGGAAGGGAAGGAGGAAGGGAGGGAGGGAGGGATGGAGGGAGGGAGGAAAGGAAAGAAGGAAGGAAGGAAGGAAGGAAGGAGGAAAGAAAGAAAAGAAGGAAAGAAGGAAAGGGGGGAGGGAGGGAGGGAGAAAGGAGAGGGGGGAGATCCCAGTTCAGAAACATTTGGTATGACTATATATTGTTTCCAAATACTCTTTGTGACTATAGAATAGGGCCTCTAATCTGAAAAGAATACTTATCACATGTCTGTAATAAAGTAAATTTATATACACATTTCATTTGTAATTTGAATACCCATTCATTCCAGAATACCTGTCATCTTTTGTTACATCCTTCATCACATCACAATATCCATGTAGTCTTTGTCATCATTGTGGTCTGTCCTCATTTGAGCTCTTAATTACAAAAATTTCATTCTCTGGTCACATCTTTTTTGTGTGTCTAGCTTTTAGTTGTCATTGTCTTACTCTCTCTGAACTGTTTTTTAATTGTTGAAAATGCCTAACCTTTACAGAGTTCTACTTTCTCCTGCTCTCTTTTCCTTGCTCATCATCACTTTTTTCCATATCCAGTCAGACACAAAGATCCATTATTTCAACCAGTATCTTATCAAAATTTTCAATACTCTTCTCCTCTGTTGTATTCTTATGGTAATATTTTGTTCCAATATTAACTGACTGTCCATTTTCTAAGTTCTATACATAAGCTTCTATATATCTCGAGAGAACCTTACAACTGCACAACTACTTCATGGTTTTAACATCAACTATGTTTCCTATACTGTCTAGTGATATTGGCGTATTTCTAGATAGCATGCATATATTCTCCAGTGCAGCTAGTTAAAAAACTTACCCAGATTTTCCAAAATCTATCATACTAAGCCTGCTTACCTCAATCATGAGAATACACTTAACTTTCAATTTTATTGAGAAAACATTGTCATTTACAAATATCTACACTTACCCTTTCTTCTTACACTGGTGCATGATGTGTCTCTTTTTCTCTCTGATGCCTCACCTATGTCTCTTTTTCTCTGTGATGCCTCACCTATTTTTTTTCTTTTTTTTTCTTCCTATATAATCAGTGACATTGCTTCATTAATTACCTCCTGTCTTCTTCCTAGGACTCTATGTCTGTTTTTCCTCACCATCATTTAAGCATGCTTAAATCTTTCCTATATTAGAAAATTATGTTGACCTGGTATTCCTCTCAATCCTCTTTACTAATGTCTAATTTTCTTCTCAAACACTGAAAAGTTACCTACATCTTCTTCACTTTTTATCATGCATTCAACTTTTAAACATCTTGTAACCTGGCGTTTCCTATCTGTCATCTGAAAACATCCACGATAAAATTTTCATATACTGCTGTTGCTAAATCCAATTAAAAATTTGTAAGCCACATTTGGTTGACCTCTAGGCACATTAATTTATAATATACTCTTTGATACTGCTTTCTTGGTTTCTGAAATGCAAGTTTCTTTCTTGCTTCTGATTTAATTCCATTTTGTTTGTCATTCATATTGAGTATCCTCAAAATGTTCACTCTCAGATCTCTCTAGTTCCACCCTACACATTTTAGTTGAGGGAAATCTTCCACATCCATAGCTTTCCATTTTTACTTATAATCAAGGCACTCCATAACCTTGACCTTTAATGAAGCAAAATTTCTTAATTCTAAAACCCACAATCAAGTCAATCTGAAGATGTCCAAAATTATATTAATCTCTCTCACACTCTACTTCCCTATTTCATCCTCTACATAGTATAATACACATTGATCCTGCAAGTAGCTTATCATGAGGATAATGCTAGACTTACTCAGTTCCCTTGACATCCACATTTAATTGGTGACTAAGTTCTATAAATCTCTCTCTGTAAAAATTTTTAAACTGTAAATTCCCTACTTTGGACAATTATCATCTCTCACTTGAGTTTTTTCAAAACCTCCTAAATTATTTTCATCTATCTAGATTTTCCCTCACTTATCCTGCAATTGGAGATTTCTTTCTAAAACATAAGTATGATGATGCCACCATCCTGGTTAAAAATCAACAATATTTCATTAAATTTAAGACAAAGGGCAAGCTCTTCAGTTTAACATATAAGACTCTTCATGATGTAGTCACTGCTTTCTTGCCAAGCTTCATCTACTTCTCAGTTTTTTAGCCTACATATTTATTTTCTTTTGGTAATTTTACTTGAAAAAGGTATAATTCACTCCTCCAACTATGGGTTATACAATCATTATCATCAGTAAAATATAAACTTGTGGATGGGAAGGATCATACCTTAATGTCTTGGTATCTCAAGGACTTTTAGCACATGTTATTTAGAACGAGAATAAAAGGGACACATTTTGAATGCGGAAAGAAAGGGAAAATGAATGAATAAAATCTATAACCTGTTAACATTAATTCATTTTTATTTAAAATAAACAGCACAAAAAGATTGAATTCAAAGTGTCACCTAGTTTAAAATAACCTGTATATCTTTTGAAAACCTGAATGATTTTGGTGAGATATTTATTTTTGCTGTCAATTCTCATAGAAACTAATTGAAATCTGTTTCTTCATTGTTTATCAATAATGTAATAGTGAACTGAATTATGAGTATATAAAATAAACTAGTGATTAAGTAAATTTTGATTATACATAATGAGTATATGAAAGCAGTGTTAATTTATGGTTATTGTCACATGTTCTACAATCATAAAATTGTTGTTACTGGAGGAACTTGGTTTCTGTGCTCTAAATGCATGCTATGCTAGCAGAATTTTTAAAATATTGATGGATTGGAGGTATTGTTTTTATTATGACACAGACTATTTTGAGCTTTTGAGACTATTTTGAATTATTCAAAAATATTAGTCTCCATTGATATTGGATCTGACAACATAAAACCCTCTGTATTTTAAGGAGTTCCAGATCCATTATCAATTTGAGCTAATGGGCTAACTCTGTAATGGAAAACTTTGACTGTGCCAAAATTGACTCTAAAAAATGAGATCTGAATGTATTCCTATTGAATTGCCATGATTTAACTTAATAGAATTCAGTATTTCTGACAAGTTCTAAATGGAGGCGTCCAAAAGGTTACTATCATTATTATCTGGGCTTTCACCCAGCATTTAAACTCACAAATCACTGTCATGTTTTCTGCTAAATTCAGCATTGATTCTGGCCTCCACATTATTATTTTTTTCTTTTGGTATGTTTATGTAGCATGAGAGTTAAGAGAAGATAGTATTTTATATTATGTTTAGCATTTATTTAGAGAGAAAAAATGCACTTTTAGTTTGAGTCTAACAACAGAAAAACGTTTTAATACGTCTACATCTATATTTACATTTCTGTCAACCTCTTTTTCTAAGTCTCTTCAAAAAGAATCAGCATTTCCTAAAAGACACAGATATATCCAAGAGGCCAATTTCTGAGTTGCATATACAGAATAACATAGACGATAGAACTTTTAGCATTACATTTTAAATGAAAATATTTTACAAAGCATATTTTAAAATCATAGGTGAGAGTAGCTATAGGACAATATTTTTACAATTAGAGAGAGGTAAAAGCATTCTCAAGGTTTCCATAGATGTGGTCAATGCCACAAAGCTCTTCTGAGGATTTTAGAATCCTAAAACCCTCTCTCTTTCACTCTCTCTCTCTGTCGTGTGAGGATGCAGCAAGAAGGCAGGCAAGCCTCTGCAAACTGGTAAGAGAGCCCTCACCAGATACTTCATCTGCTGGCATCTCATATCTTGGACTTTCCAGCCTCCAGAACTGTAAGAAATCACTATGCATTGTTTAAGCCACCCCAGTCTATGATATGGTGTTAAGCCACCCAGTCCATGATACAGCCTCCAGAACTGTAAGAAATCACTATCTGTTGTTTAAGCCACCCAGTCTATGATATTGTTTAAGTAGCCCAAGAAAACTAAGACAAGGGAGGCATCAATTTACTGTTGGATTTCTTGACCTTTTTTTCACCTTACTATAATTTTATCCAGCTTCTTTAAAAACTTAGGTCTCAGCATGGCCTTTAATTCCTCCTGAAAACCTTCCCTGCATGCTTTGGGATTGTATTGGAAATCCCTTCCTTATATGTTCCCAAAGCTTCCTTTGTTTTATTTTAGCATTTATCATGCTGGGGCATAATTGCCTGTTTATTTGTCTGCCCTCTTCATTAGACTATATGCCCTTTATATACAGGCTGAGGATCTCTAATATGAAAATCTGAAATGCTCCAAAATCCAAAACATTTTGAGCACTGCCATGATGCCACAAGTGAAAAATTCTGCACGAGTACTTAATGCAAACTTTGTTTCATGCACAAAATTAATTAATATATTGCATAAAGTTACCTTCAGGCTATGTGGATAAGGCTAAGTAAAGGATTAATAAATAATTGTGGAATTAAAAATAATAATTTAAATAAATCTGCAATAAAATAAATCTAGCAAATTGTGCTCCATATTATTCCCAAGATACATTTATATCACCCCAAGGCATACGTAGATGAGTTGTTACAATTACATCAGGACATAATTTCAAAATCCTAACACCTAGTATAAATCAGCACTGTGTCACTGACAACACTTTGTATTATACCATGATTTCTCAAACTAACTAAAGTATTTGTTCCAGAAACAGAAAACTTCCATGTTTCATCACTTTATCAAGAAGGTCTGGGATTCAACCAAAAAAAAAATAGAGGTGAAGGGTAGACTATGATTATCTTAACAACATTGCTCAAGTTTAAGAGACTAACACATTGTTCAGTAAGTAAATATTGAGGAAGACAATATAATCATTCAGAATGGTGATCTAAAGTTTTTCTACAGAAGAAATATCACAAACTAAAGTACCTAAAAATGTGCGTTGAGAAATAATAGATAAAAGCCAGTATGAGCACTTTTAAAGTCAAAGGCAGGTTTTCTTCAAAATAGGAGAGAATAAAGGTCAGGGAAAAAAATAGCTCATAGTTTTATTGGTGAGCAGGTCCGGAAACCTGGTAATATGTGTTTGTAAAGATAACATAGACAATAAATAAATGAGGGAAGAAGATAAATTATTCAAAGAAGAATTTAGAAAAGGAAGCATAAGATAAATTCTTTGAAAAACAACAATAACATTTTAGTCAAACATATTTTAAGTTAAATAACATAAGTAATGTGCAAAAATGTATTGCAAATATATAAGGAAAACACTAACACCCAAATAGAAAATAATGTAAAGGGCATAACATGTCTCACTAAAGAAAAAATAAGCCAATAAAAGTATAAATGGTATTCAACCTCTGCATAAAACAAAATTTTAAAACAAGCTTTAAAATGAATGGTTTTTAATGAGATACCATTTTTCTACAAGCATAGTGGTTAACTTGGAATATATTATTCTGTTGAGAACGCAGAAAAAAAGACACTCATTCACTATTGGTTAAAACATAAATTATATAAAATGACAATAATACATCAGTATTTCCAAAATAATCCATATACTTTGAGGCACCTATAATCCCAGCTACTCAGGAAGCTGAGGCAGAAGAATTGCTTGAACTTGGGAGGTGGAGGTTGCAGTGAGCAGAGATTGTGCCACTGCACTCCAGCCTGGGTGACAATGAGACACTCTGTCAAAAAAAAAATTCATATACTTTGAAATAGCAAATTAAAAAGTAAAAGCCAGCTTTGTGAAAATACTCAGAACTGTGGCCAAATAATGTACATAGGGTGCTCAGGGTAAATCAGTGAAAAAAACAGAGATTTCTACTATTGTAAAAATGAAGAAGTTTACATTCTATTGGGAAAAGGGGCATAGACAATAGACAGTAAACAAAATAAATATATTAATTATGTAGAATGTTAGCAGATGCTAAACTTTATGACCACAACAATGTCAAAGCTGAGCAATGTCAGATCAGTTAACACAGATGGCTTGTCCGAAGAGGAACAAGGGTTTGAGCACCTGCAATACAAAATGGGATTATCAGTACATCAGCACAGGTAGGCCTCATTTTTAAAAAGGTTGGATAAGGTGATAGTTATCCGTACTAATTCTGAAAGAAAAGAATCACAGTGAGAGAGATCAACCAATGAATGTAAGGGTCCTAAAGTGATGCATGTCTGGCATATTCAAAAATGCTAGGCAACCAGTGTGGCCAGAACAGAGTAGAAGAAGCTTCCTTAAAACTGAAGCCAGAGAAATATAATGTGTGTGGTGTGTCTGTGTAGATTTTGTGCAGCAATACGAAAACCTTACTAGTGAGTAAAAGTTAGCTAAGAACAATGAGGAATAAGTAAAAGTAATAAAGAATAAGCTGAAGAAGGCAGGGCGTGGTGGCTCAAGCCTGTAATCCCAACACTTTGGGAGGCCGAGGCGGGCAGATCATGAGGTCAGAAGTTCAAGACCAGCCTGGCCAACATGGTTAAACCCGTGTCTCCTAAAAATACAAAAATTAGCTGGGCAAGGTGGCACGTTCCTATAATCCCAGCTACACAGGAGGCTGAGACTGGAGAATCTCTTGAACCTGGACCCAGGAGGCAGAGGTTGCAGTGAACAGAGATCATGCCACTGCACTCCAGCCTGGGCTACAGAGCGAGACTGTTTTAAAAAAAAAAAAAAAAGAATGAGTTGAAGAAGAGAAATGAGCTCGTGAAGAGTCTGGCAGTGAGATGTCCTGGTGTGTGAGTGACTCCTAAAGAAATTCAGTATAGCATCTGAAAACGAGTGTGGAAAGGAAGGGGAATCAGGGTAAAGAGAATGGGCTGCAATTAAAGATTATATTGGAAGCTTGAACTATGAATGACTTTAGAAGCCTTATTTAGGAAAGTAACAATATTATCTCATGGGTTTTGAATAGGGAATGAAATGGCTAAGTTTTAATTTTAGGAATACCATCCCTTTAACTACATTGAATAATTAATTGTAAAGGAGAAAACATAGCTAAGATGGAACTGACTCCAAATTGTTGTTGGAATAGTTCAAGCTTCAGATAATGATAAGCTGATGCTGTGGCAGAAGAAATAAAAGGCAATTGAAGAAACAGAACTGACAATACTTGATGATGAACTGGATGCAGAAGACAAAGAGAAGGAAAGAGGCACAGTGGCTCCTAGGTTTCTAATTGTGGTATTTAGGTAGGTGGAAGCATTCAACACTCAATATAGGAAATACAAAGCCATTTTAAGAGGAAGAAGAACAGGATTTCAGTTTTGGACACTCTAAGTGGGTCACAGCTTAACCCATTGGAAATATCCTGTAGGCAGTTACATACACGTATATCATGTCCAAAATTATAGAATAAAAAGCAAAAGTTCTCCTCTTTATAGTTGTCTTATATTTTTAACTAATCATTTCACATACCATTTCTTCTCCTAATATATTCTGGAAATCAATGACAGAATCAAAAACAGATTAAGCTTTCCATAAAAATCTCTGATCAAATAATCTCTTACACAAAAACTTCTAATGACTTACCATTTTCTCTGGAATTAAGTAAATCATTCTAGCCTATGAGGGGCTCATACTGCCATGCTCGATGTGCTGAAATAAGCTCTTCAACGTACTCCTTGCTTATGACAGAGTTATTTGCATATACTCAAATATACCTACCCATGGTTTATACATTTCCACATTTTTTTTAGTGAAAGTCCACATCACCAAATTGCATTTATTATAAACCTGCTCATTCTTCTACATCTAGCAACCTTTTCCATGAAGCTAATTCTAATACAAAAGTTATCAGTGGTTTCTCTCCTGACACCCCATGCTTCCATTCTGTAGTTTTCATAAGCTGGTTTGTGTTATTGTTTTAATTAAGTATTTTATATGTTTCTCTAAGTTTTAATAACTTGACATAACTCTAGCTTTTAATACATATTTTTTAAATAACAATTGCAATAAGTAGATAGAGCAACATATCCACTGAAAACTCATTAAGTTTGAGCATTTGAATGTCAGCTGGAAGAGATGGCATTTATATAAAAGGCTGTCAGCCTTCAAAAAAGAAAGGGTGGGCATATCAGAGCTAATGGCTTGTTCTGAGATTGAGACACTCAAATGAGAAGGGAGGACAGAGATCATATCTTAACTCATGAACAATGACTGAAATGGAAATTAAAATAACTAGGAAGGTCAAGAATAAATGTCCCGGGACAATAAATATGTTTTTAAACTTGAGTCTGATTCTATTCAATGTTATTAACAACATGTTTTCTACTTTAGTCCCTGATCATTTTTCCAGAGTCAGTAGACTGTAAGAAACCTACAAAGGAAAACAATTAAGAGAGATCATCAATATTATAAATACTGGATTAAATACCTCATTTGGTAGGATCCTAATACAATTAGAAAGTGTGTAAATAGTTCTTGTAATATAACTAGCATCTTTCAAACACTATGTCATATGAATTTTGAAAATTATAATTCTACACATTCAGAAAGCCCTAACCTAGTAGTTCCATTATTCGAATGCTAGAATGTAAGGCTTAGAGTTTAAATAATGTTTGTTTCATGGCAGAGAATAGAACAGAATCACCATTGCTATACTGCCTTACTAGGGACTAACAGTTCAGTAAAAGCTACATGAAGCCTACATTTTAAAAAGGTGAAGAGAGATTCTGTAAATAGGAAAGCAAAACACATTCTGGCATTGACTTATTAAGAGACCTACAGAAGAATAATTAAAGCCATGCACTGGCAGAAGAGAATTTGGCATCAATGGCTGCTGATATCTCTCATGAACACCAACAAGGATGTATATACCACGTTTTCTTCCTGT
This sequence comes from Homo sapiens, assembly GCF_000001405.40. NCBI lineage: Eukaryota > Metazoa > Chordata > Mammalia > Primates > Hominidae > Homo > Homo sapiens. Next base: position 45,481,297 of record NC_000005.10, read on the forward strand.
CAGGAAACAGAGATTTAAAGAACCTGGATCTCACTGATTCTTCTAATCTTGGTTTCAAACTAGATATGAATCTCATTATATATGGCTCCTTTGCATTTTTTCATGATTTGGGCGATGGAAACTAAGAAGGCAATGGATGCAGAATGAATTAAGAAGATAGGATCAAACCTAAAAAGGACTGGTGAGAAGCTGACATAGTTTGGAAAGAAATGAGAACTGATTTCAGTTGTGACTGAAAGTTGTGGTTAGACTAGTGACTGGAGGACTGATGAATGGAAAGGAACGTGTACTCTGACATAGCAGCTGAAGCTACAATGAAAGGAAATAATCTGGTATGTTGACAGATGATCTAGAGTGAATAGTGAGATGAAGACTTTTTTGGTGGTATGTGTCTGGGACAGACTGGCTTTCCTCTCTCGCTCCATACCACATGCACCTATTCCCTTTCCCTTTTGTAATCTTTTTCTTTTCCATGATGCCACTTATGGCAGAGTCAAAGGAACATAGCTTTGAAGTCAGATCCAGGTATGAATTTACCTTTGTCTACTACCAACTGTAATTTTGAGAGGTTTACTCTCAGTCTCTGTTTTCCTCATTTATAAAATGGGGATGACAAAATATCTATTTCAGAGGGTTGTATTGAGGATAAACTGAAATCCTAAAAGAAAAACAAACAAAAAAAACAAACAAAAACAAATGTAGTTGGGTATGTGATAGGTGTTCAGTAAATGATCTTGGTGAGGCTTGTTTTCATTTTCCTTTCAATTGCCAATCTGTTTCCTTTTGGTCTTGTTACCAGTTATCTGATAAATTAAACTCTGACTCCACTATTATAAAAAACCTGGAAACGATTAAACCAGAAAGAAGACAAAGGCTGGGTGTGAGTTTAAAGGATTTCAGAAATTTGCTGATCTTCTGTGTGCTTCAATGTCAGGAATTAGAAGGTAGGCAGGTTCACAAACAGTGGCAGCACCAACAGTGGCAGGGAAAGGGGCTTCATGCCCTCAACTCACAATATCCACCTGTCCAATTCTTTCATGTGGACTAGAGGTATATTCTCAACCTCACGTAAAGTGTAGCTTCCAACACTATGTATGCTTCCCTCCCCTTTCAAGAGATTGATCCCCTTAACATCCTGGAGTTGTCACAGTTTAGAACAAAAAATGAAAGAAAGAAAAATAGCAAAAAGACTTTCCACAGCAAGACATCTGGGGGACTATCAATAAATGTAATATAGTTGAGACACCTCCAAAACGATTTCTGAGCCTCTCCCAGCCCCGTGGAACCAGAATTTCTGAAAGCTGTATTGTTTTTTTAAATTTCAACTTTTGTTTTAGATACAGGGGGTACATGTGCAGGTTTGTTACATTGGAATATTTCATGGTGCTAAGGCTTGGAATATGAATCCCGTCACCCAGGTAGTGAGCACAATACCTATAGGTAGTTTTCAACCCGCCCCTCTTCCTCCCTCTACCCTCTAGTCCACAGGGCCTATTGTTTGCACATTTATGTTCATGTGTGCTCAATATTTAGCTCCCACTTGTAAGTGAGAACATGTAGTATTTGTTTTTCCATTCCTGTGTTAATTTGCTTAGAATTATAGCCTCCAGCCCCAACTATGTTGCTGCAAAACATATGATTTCATTTCTTTTAAATGGCAATATAGTATTCTATGGTGTATATGTACCACATTTTCCTTATTCAGTCTAACATTGATGTGCATAAGGGTTGATTCCATGTCTTTGCTATTGTAAATAGCACAGCAATGAACATACGAGTGCATCTGTCTTTTTGGTACAATAATTTATTTTCTTTGGGGTATATACCCAGCGGTGGGATAGCTGAGTTGAATGGTAGCTCTGTTTTAAGGTCTTTGAGGAATCTGCAGATTGCTTTCCACAGTGGCTGGACTAATTTACATTCCCACCAATAATGTATAAGCGCTACCCTTTTTCCATAGCTTTGCCAGCATCTTTTGTTTTCTGACTTTCTAATAATAGCCATTCTGACTGGTGTGATATCTCACACAGTATTCTGAGTGGTATTCATTGTGGTCTTGACTTGCATTTCTCTCATGATTAGTGATGTTGAATTTTTTTTCATGTGTGTTGGCGACTTGTACATCTTCTTTTGAGAAGTTCATGTAGTTTGCCCATTTTTAAAATGGGGTTATTTGATTTTTGCTTGTTGATTTGTTTAAGTTCCCTGTAGATTCTGGATATTAAGGCTTTGTCGGATGCATAGTTTCGAATATGTTCTCCCATTCTGAAGGTTGTCTGTTTACTTTGTTGACGGCTTCTTTTGTTGTTCAGAAGCTCTTTAGTTTAATTAGGTCCCACTTGTTTATTTTTGCTTTTGCTGCAGTTGTTTTGGGGGCTTAGCCAAAGATTATTTGCCAAGCTGATGTTGAGAAGAGTACTTCCTAGGTTTTCTGCCATGATTTTTGTAGTGTGAAGTCTTATATTTAAATCTTTAATCCATTTTGAGTTAATTTCTGTATATGATGAAAGGTAGGAGTCCAGCTTCAATTTTCTGCATATGGCTAGCCAGTTATCCTAGCACTATATACTGAATGGGGAGTCTTTTCTCATTGCTTATTTTTGTTGGCCTTGTTGAAAATCAGACGTTTGTAGGTGTGCAACTTTATTTCCAAGTTTTCGATTCTGTTCTGTTGGTCTATGTGCCTGTTTTTGTACCAATATCAAACTCATTTGGTTATTGTGGCTTTAAAATATAGTTTGAAATTGGGTAGTGTGATGCCTCTGGCTTTGTTCTTTCTGCTTAGGGTAGTGAAAGCTGTATTTTAAACAAATCCCCATTACATTTTTCTGCAAAATAAAGACTCTAAAAACTTGGCCAGGCTCAGTGGCTCATGCCTGTAATCCCATCACTTTGGGAGGCTGAGGCGGGCAGATCACAAGGTCAGGAGATTGAGACCATCCTGGCTAACACGGTGAAACCTGCTTCTACTAAAAAAAATACAAAAAAATTAGCCAGGCGTGGTGATAGGTGCCTGTAGTCCCAGCTACTTGGAGGCTGGGGCAGCAGAATGGTGTGAACCCGGGAGGTGGAGCTTGCAGTAAGCCAAGATTGTGCCACTGCACTCCAGCCTGGGCAACAGAGCAAGACGCCATCTTAAAAAAAAAAATCCGTCTAAATATAAACAGAATTACTTCATTGGACTTCCAGGGAAGCCCTTTGGTGCAGACATGACTCAAAGAGGGGGTCCCCTTGCCCTCCCCCTCTCTTCCTTTTAAAATGAGAATGTGACAGTGAGGTCATCGGCAGTTATCTTGTGAGTATAATAAACTTGATGCCTCCACAGTCTAAGACTAGTGGAGCTGAGAATAAGTAAGTTTATTCTGCTCCTGATGACCTCGGACATTCCACATAACCCCTGGACTCTAGATGTTATCTTAGGTCTCTAACAACAGTAGCTAAACCTAATCCTAATTGACACAGTGCTTATACTTTTATTAAGTTATTAATTTTAAAAAAGACATCAGAAAGTGTTCAAAGTCAATGTGAATGTCAGTGTTTGGTCCAGAACTGAGTACTGATTTTGTGCATGAGCTCACATTCATGGGGTGGGTGGAAGCATGCTTGGCACAGAAATCTTTAGAAAGAAAAGCAGCTCTGAAGGCCGGAACACCTGTGATATATAGGGCACAGGTGGTAATTTGGCAACTGTAAGCCTGGCCTTTTGAGCTGTGGCCAAAACTAAATTTGGATAAACTCATTATCCATACATATGCCCTAATTTCCTGATAGATTTCAGTCAGATGTGGTAATTTTCTGCTCAGCTTCCTTATGTTATCACTTATTACATTTGCTAATGGGGGCGGAAAAACTGTTCTAGGAGAATATCCAAAAGCAATTGATTGGTTTGTATTATAATGTAGGCGCTAAAAGAATTAGTTTATTTCAAATAAGTGACGACTTGATGCCTTGTAAATATCTTCCACACATGCCTCATTTTAGTTCTTCCTACTAAGGCATATGACTATCAACACTGTTAAACTTTGCATGTAAACCATGTTCCTTTCCTCTCCATCTCCTCATTCTTCTGAATGTCTCCACTCTTTCAGGTACATAAAAATTTTTTAGAAATTACCCCCAAAATGTGAAAGTACAAAAAATGGAAGCAAACTTAAATTTTCCTCTTATTAAAAATTATGACTAAACAATAAAACAAAACAGTTTTTTCATCTCATCTGCATAATTACACATAATTTCTATTTTATGAATTCCCAACACTTACGCAGAAGGGAAATACTCATGGCTTATAATTTATACTTTCATAAAAGTGATATGTTTCTTTTTTTCCAAAGAATCAAAGAGTTAATATATTCACTACTTGTAAAAAAAATACAACTCAGGATTAGAAAAGAGGAAAGTTGTCAAAAGATAGTACGATCGTTCTTAGCCTTGCATAGTAGAAAAGATCCAAGGGTTCAAAACCAAGTATTGTTAAGGCATGATGTTATATTCTCATGTGGTGTGCAGGGGGTGAAGGTCACTAAAGAAGCATCAACAGATGGTATCAGCAATGATAACTACATGTTTTCAGAAGTAGGTTCAGGAAATTATCCTCCTACATGGAGATTAGTTAGGCCCCATAGTTAGGCCAAGCTAAGTGACAATAATACAAGTAGCTACCATATGAGTGTTTACCATTGTATTTGAGTTATGCACTATCAGTATATTAATTCACAAGTTAGAAAATGAGGCTTACAGAATTTGAGTAAATTGCTCAGGACCTCACATACTAAGTGATGCATGTAAGGTTCACATCCATGCAGTCTGACTTTGGAGATCATGTTCTAGGCTTCACAAAATATTTTCTCTATTTGGCATGTAAGACATTCTTCTTGTTGAAAGCCATATCAAGACTGGGAGAAAGGTGTTTATGTCATCCAGAATGTCTGACTAGTCTCCCATACAAGATTTTGCGATAGGAGGAATCATAGCTATTGATTAATTGGTAAGTGCTTATATTTATATCCACTGTCAAAGCCTCAAAGGTTGTGGAAATTAGGTAACTTGTCAAATTGTACCATACTGGAAGAAATAGAGCTAGATTTTAAATTCATTCTATTACAAAAACCTTGTTTTTTACCCAACATGACATGGATAAAGAACTACTATTCTCCTACTAAACATATAAAGAGTAACTATTGCACATGATATTAAATATACTCTCATGGGGTGTATTCAGAAACATACATCATCAATTTTTGTTGCACTGGCTACATCTTCATCCTTCATGTGGCCATCACGTTCTATTAATGATGATTTTTAAAGAAGTTTCAAAATAAATTTTAAAGTCATGCAATAGAATTAATAGCAAAGCTACTTTAAAATATAACAATGTACTAACAAACAAATGATGAAAAACTATCTTCATAGCTCATCAAAATCTTTAAAGTATAATTTGTTAAATATTTTAGGAATATTGTACAAGTATAATATCACAAGAAAAGATATTGTAAGGGAATACACCTAAGTCTATGTATGCAATTAAATATTCATGAACTTTTATAATCAGAAGATAATTCATATAAATCTTCAAATATGAAGTCAATAATAGTAACTGACCAAACCAAACCATCTATGTTAGGTGGTAAATTAGATGTTCACAATTATCACAGTTGTCCTAAATACAGTCTCTACTGCCTAATTTTCACAAGTGTCTCTTCTATGTTTCCATTGGTGTTTCCTGTAAGTCGTCAGATGTTTTACATCCTCTTTAGCAGTAATTGTTTCTTACTTCCTTAAGCAGTATAATTGTAAAGGATACAGCAAAACTTTGAACAGTCCTCTGTACCTAATGCCAAAACAATCTGAAACAGAAATGTCAGTATTTTAACAACTTTAGGTCATTAATCACAGTCTATTCAATAGTAATTTTCATTGCTGAAAAATGTTTTTGATTAATATACTTAAACTGAAAATCTTGTTCATAATATCAGACAGATATTTAAGAATTTGAAAATGATGAGCACATAAATTTTGCTGTACTCTTCATTTGGTAACTATATAGGAAGAATAAAAGTTTTCCTAAAAATATTTCTTGTTCAATATAAAGTATATTTTTGAGAGCGGCATTGTACATTTAAAAGGTTAGTAGGATGATGGAAATTGTGCAGTCAGCTCTATGTATTCTGTTGGTTAGAGCAATGCATGGTGGCCCAATCACTATTTTTAATATATCTAGGCCATTTCAAAATTAAAAGGCATATACTGTCAGAGTTTTGCCCCTGTGTGCACTTCACAAACATGAAAATCCACTGTCATAGGGTGACTTTTCAAAGACATATGTGCACATATGAGGGCATTTTCTGATTTTTTTCCAATTGAGAAATTATACAAAATAATGTAAGTTCATGTTCCAATGTCTATGGCTTTAATATTTTGCATTTTCAAAATAATGCAAGAACAGTATTATGAAGTAGTATGTTACACACAACAAGGTTTGAAGAAAATTTAGTAAAACTTAGTCAAGTTACTTCTTTCAAAAATCTTGAAAGTCTGAATTAAGTAAATGTGTAGCCAGATCTCATTTGCTGAGCGACAGAGAAGAAACAGAAGGGTTTCGATCTAAAAATATTGATTTGATATCTCCTCTTTTTAAATGATAAAACACAATGGATTTTCATACTTATGAGAAGTTGAACTACACTGTGAATATAGTAATCTTGACTAGAGAGTATACAACGTGTATTAAATGTGAATCATTTAAATTTGGATGAATACATATGCAACCTAATACTAACATCTGCCCTTATTCCTTGTTCAAGTCTTGGCTCAAATTTTACATTCTCATTGAGGTCTTCCTTGACCACCTGGTTTATTATTGCAAACTACCTTCTCCCAACACTACCCCAACGACCTGTCCCTACACTTATAATTCTCTTATGCTTCTTTTAATTTTTTACATAAAATTAAAAATTGATTTCATGAAATTATGTAATTTACTTTTGATTATGCTTATTTCTGTGTGCCTCTGCTAAAATATAAACTTCAGAAGAATGGGGAACTTAGACACTGAAAGGCATTTAGTAGCTCAATAAGTACTTGTTAAAAGACTAATAATATTGGCATTGAGGAAAAACTGATGAAAATACTTAATTTCTCCATATCTCAATAATTTATATCAAACAGCAGGGACTGTTTATATTCTGTTGTTATATAAAAATAACACCAGTCAGTTGTGCTTTCATTGAATTCCATATAATATTGCTTTAAAAGATATACGGCATTTTCGTATTTTCATAAAATATATTGAAATGCTCTAAAGAGCTGCCAGAGTTCATAAAAAACAATCTTGCAAACTGGCTATAGTACTTGGAAAAGTGGAAGCAATTCAGAAACTTCAAAGGTTGCAGTCCTACTGAGAAAGATGTAGTAAGTTAGAGAATATTGGAGAAAGCATAGATAACTATTTAACTATATGATAAATAATTTCACAGCCACTGCTGTTCCTCCAGCCATTCCTATTCTTCATGTTTTGGTATTTATATTTAGTTTATATTTTATACTAGGTGTTTTGACCACAATTGTGTCAAGAAACTGAGGAAACACACATCTTCAAAGCTCACCTGAAGGGCACTGCAGTTTGTGTTATGAAAGGCTTTTGCCTTAAAGCCTTGATTTTACAATTCACTGAATAAAACAGTTGCTGAATGCCTGCCACAAATCTTGTCCCGAAATATGAAAGTCTGGCATGTACTCAATGTACCTGACTCTCAGACAGGTAAGGCCTCAAGAAATTCCTGAGCAGGGAATCGTTAACTTGGAGTTCAGAAGAGTTGGGTGTTGGACACAGGCTTCAGAGAAGGCAAAATATTTAATCTGAGTTACATTTGGAGTAGGATTTCTAAGCGAAGATGCCAGAGGTATAGCAAGAAATTGCAGAAATGCAAAGTTTTGTTGCATTTTGGGGAGAATTAATAGTTTTCTGTGTTGGGAAGCTAGGGCATGTAGGACAACTATAAACATTGTGCCTGAAAAGATAACTTGGGGTTAAGAGCCTTGAAACTCATGGCTAGCATTTAACTTTTATTCTGGGACCAATAGTGGGGAATCCCTGAAGCAATTTAACAATAAAATAAAAATGTATTTAAATCAATTCCAGAATAAAAGTGTTTTTCTGTTAATAAGAAGCTTGAAAAGTACACAAGAACCATGGCTGGAGTGGATTGGTGATTCTTCAGAAATTCCATGCATCTCCCACACTCTAATTCATGACAATAAAGTGCTCTCTGTTTCCACCATGATTAAAGCTGTGGTCAAACTGAACCTTAGCTTCTCGTTAGCCAGATCCTTAGGCAACCAGCTTCAGTTTCTCCAGTAAAGGCACCAAAGTATTTAGCATGGTCAGCTTATAACGAGTCAATCTATGATGAGCCAGGCATTGTCTAGGTGAAGTGTTCTCCAAGATGTGGTTCCTGGTCTATAGAAGCTTCACATTCTAACTTTAGAGACAGCCAGTGAAGGTACGAAGTAGTAGGCAATGTGATATAGGCTACCATAGTGGGTGCTATGACAAAACATGACAAACAACTAACCTAGTCCATCTGGGGCTGACAATTAGGGATGTCAGGTTTAGCAAATACAAATATAGTTCATTCAATTAGCGTTTCAGATAAACAGTGAATAATTTTTTAGTATGAGTATGCCCCAAATACTCAAATTTTACTGGGCATTCTGTATTTTACTTGGCAAACCTACTGACAATACTTTTTGGATAAGACATTGCTGGAGCAGCATCTTTACGTATAGAAATTAACCAGGTGAAACATGTTAAAAAGAAAATTTCAAACACAGGGAACAACATGTGCAAAATATGAAGCAGGGGAGAAAATAGCTCATTTGGAAAACTGCAAGGAAATTCACTATAACTAGGTCATAGAATGCCAACAGTGCAATACAGATACATTTGCAGGTTAGTCAGGAGTCAGATCATGATGAGATTGGATTGTTTTCCTGAAAGAAACAGATACCAAAGGTCTTGCTGATAGATTCGCTATAAATTTGTGTTTTTCCAAAACTGTTGGTCCTTCATTGATGCCTGACAAATTTATGGGTTTTGCTTTCTTTACATAAATGTAATGGTATTATTTATTTTCTCCAGTTATTTCAAACATTTGTGTTATCTTCCAGCCTCCTTGTCCCTTCCTCTTTCTGAGCATTCTTACCAAACTGCTTCTTTCTTCCCAGAAATAGATAAAATGTGATGCCACAATTCCCAGTCAACCCTTACCCATTAACTCTCCTCCAGTTCACACCTACCACTTCTGCTGCTGACGTAATCATAAATATTAAAGTGTTTGACCAACTTTTCTTATGATTCTTACTCTTTTCTTGGTCTTATTTCACATTGCATGCCTGTATCAAAACATCTCATGTGCCACATAAATATACATACCTACCATGTACTCACAATTTTTTTAAATAAAAAACTTAAATAAAGATGAGTCTCCCCTTTCTTCCAACTTTCATACATGTATAATTCCTCAATTTTTGCTCCAGAATAGAAACCATCCTTTCCTAAGTACCCTTGACCTTTCTATACCAATCATCCTTTGCCTAGCTCATTTTATCCACTTCTTCCTCTCAACTGGCCCTATATTCCAGGCAGGAGCATGTTCAAGGCTCTTCCATCTTAAACCAAAAACTTTCCCTCAAATTGCCCACCTTAACCATACATCAGTTTTCCTATCTTTATGAATCTACCCTTGCTATATAAACACTTTCTCTCCTTAAGTCACTAAGGCTTGGCTTCTGCCTCCTCCATTTATCTAAACCATCTTGCAGCAAAGTAATAAGCGAATCACACTCGGAATCTGTATATGAAAATTAAATATTAACATGTATTGCCCTAGAACTCTACAATATTAGGATATACATATTTTGGAAATAAATTTTATATTCTGTTATTCCCAGCAACATATACAAGCTAACTCATACTTGGTAAGTCTTACGTCAAGCTTTATCCAAAATCAGCATCAAATTTTCCCTTTAAAGTCTCACAATGTTTCTACAATTGGTGTCCATACTCCAACAAACACATAACACTCTGTGAGTATATCATAATTATGATATCAGTTGAAACATTAAAAAAAACAAATTTGAAATTTGAGCAGGTAGGGGCCTTTAACTTACCTTGTGCGCTCAAGTATTCACACTGTCCAAACCTTTGCCACTTTTTCATAGACTTGCTAGTTACTTATTAAGAGACTTCATAAATTGCTCAACCTCTTTGAACTTTTTTGATTTCCTGTATGCCTCATTCATTTGTTTACTTACTTATTCTGCCAGTAGTTTATGGGTGTGCTTTGTATTTAGACATGTGCTATGCTATAGGACATTTTCAGTTGAATAACGTAATTCCAACACTTCGTGTCCTTTATTTTAGCTGGAAAAATTAATGGATTATTGTGAAGAGTGAATGAGAAAAATAATATGTGCAAGCAAGTTACAGAATAAAATTCCAGGTCTTGAGGAAATTATGCAGGGCCTCTATAAGAAGGTAAGGAAGTGGTGAAAGCTAGGCTGGGGTTCTCTATTTTTCATGAATTCAAGATCTGACATGGTGTATTCCTAAATGATTAATAAGTACTACCTATATATAAATGTCATGTTAACACTTATGAAATTTTATCAGAACATGGAAATACATAACCAAGTATAACAAACCAAGACAAACACTTCATTTGTCCAACCTCATCTAAAAATTTTAGATAATCACTGAATTTCTAGGCACCTTTATCATGCTTCACAAGCAGCAGATTAAGCTAACACACATCATATGTCATGAGTGTTACACCAGCTACTCCTACATCATGTCTAGCTATCATATCCAGCATTTTACTACAAATCATTTCTTAGAAGAAACCCTTCAGTACAGGCAGAATAAGCACTAGAGATGCACTAGAGGCAGGGAGCCATTTTTACCCTCCCAAAACCCACTCTCTCTCTCACCAAAACTCTGTGTATGTGTGTGTGTGTGTGTGTGTGTGTGAGAGAGAGAGGATAGGTGTGACAAATAAGCTAAATCAAGCTTTGAGAGGATCTTAGACTTCTTTAAATGAATATATATATATATATATATATATATATATAAAATTTGAAGTAAAATCTTCTTTTCTTATCCATGCTCGTCAAAGTTCTTTGCTAAAACTGTGTGAGACAGTGGCGTTACCAGCAACAGTTTTTTTGTTTTTTTTTTTTTTTTTTGAGACAAGAGCCTTGCTCTGTCGCCCAGGCTGGCACTCACTGCAACCTCCACCTCCCCGGTTCAAGTGATTCTCCTGTCTCAGCCTCCAAGTAACTGGGGCTACAGGCTCGCCCCATCAAGCCTGGCTAATATTTTGTATTTTTAGTACAGACAAGGTTTCACCATGTTGCCCAGGCTGGTCTTGAACTCCCGGCCTCAGGTGATCCACCAGCCTCAGCCTCCCAAAGTGCTGGGATCACAGGTGTGAGTGTTACATTACATTTTAACACATTTCTTTTTAAGATGTAAGTACTTGTTATCATACCTTTATTTTGTTTTTTGTTCTTAGAAAAACTCTTTGAGGCATGAGAAGAAACTAGAGTATGGAAAGCTTAGAAAAGTCTGTGGATTGGTCAAGCTGGGACCTTCATACAATTTAATATAACTTTTAGTCCAGGATAACTCATAAAATGTCCTGGAAGTGAACTGTAAAATATAGAGAGAATCATTCTTTCTTATAATGCAGTATATATTAATTGTAGACTATTTCTCATACAAATTCTTGTAAAATATTTTACTAGGCACACCTTATAAATATACTGAGACTAAATATGAGTTTAGTCTCAAAAACTACTGAGTTTTTGCAGCTCAACTGATTCTGGATTTTTAACTATTTATTTATTTTGCATAATTGAATGACAAATCTGCAATGACATATGTATATATAGATATATATATTCACAAAACACAAACATATATATAAATTTCAGTCACCAAGAATAAAGAAATAATGAGGCGTCACGATCATCTGAAAACTTATCTTATACTCTAACAAAAAATAAATCGAGTTAAATATAATTTTCTAATGTCTCCAAGTCCATGATTTTTCCTCATTAATGTAATAGTTTTATATATTCCTTTTACATAAATGAATGTTTTTACACTAAAATATCTATGTTTTGTGAAAATTTATAAGGAATTGCAATTTTAAGTTCCTTTTTGTGTCTATGTTTCTACTTTTATTAGAATATATTTACCAATGTATTTCAATTGTGTTTCTTTTTTTTTAGCTTTTATTTTTTTTTATTTATTATTATTATACTTTAAGTTTTAGGGTACATGTGCACAATGTGCAGGTTAGTTACATATGTATACATGTGCCATGCTGGTGCGCTGCACCCACTAACTCGTCATCTAGCATTAGGTATATCCCCCAATGCTATCCCTCCCACCTCCCCCCACCCCACAACAGTCCCCAGAGTGTGATGTTCCCCTTCCTGTGTCCATGAGTTCTCATTGTTCAATTCCCACCTATGAGTGAGAATATGCGGTGTTTGGTTTTTTGTTCTTGCGATAGTTTACTGAGAATGATGATTTCCAATTTCATCCATGTCCCTACAAAGGACATGAACTCATCATTTTTTATGGCTGCGTAGTATTCCATGGTGTATATGTTTCACATTTTCTTAATCCAGTCTATCATTGTTGGACATTTGGCTTGGTTCCAAGTCTTTGCTATTGTGAATAATGCCGCAATAAACATACGTGTGCATGTGTCTTTATAGCAGCATGATTTATAGTCCTTTGGGTATATACCCAGTAATGGGATGGCTGGGTTAAATGGTATTTCCAGTTCTAGATCCCTGAGGAATCGCCACACTGACTTCCACAATGGTTGAACTAGTTTACAGTCCCACCAACAATGTAAAAGTGTTCCTATTTCTCCACATCCTCTCCAGCACCTGTTGTTTCCTGACTTTTGAATGATTGCCATTCTAACTGGTATGAGATGGTATCTCACTGTGGTTTTGATTTGCATTTCTCTGATGGCCAGTGATGGTGAGCATTTTTCATGTGTTTTTTGGCTGCATAAATGTCTTCTTTTGAGAAGTGTCTGTTCATGTCCTTCGCCCACTTTTTGATGGGGTTGTTTGTTTTTTTCTTGTAAATTTGTTTGAGTTCATTGTAGATTCTGGATATTAGCCCTTTGACAGATGAGTAGGTTGCGAAAATTTTCTCCCATTTTGTGGGTTGCCTGTTCACTCTGATGGTAGTTTCTTTTGCTGTGCAGAAGCTCTTGAGTTTAATTAGATCCCATTTGTCAATTTTGGTTTTGTTGCCATTGCTTTTGGTGTTTTAGACATGAAGTCCTTGCCCATGCCTATGTCCTGAATGGTAATGCCTAGGTTTTCTTCTAGGGTTTTTATGGTTTTAGGTCTAACGTTTAAGTCTTTACTCCATCTTGAATTAATTTTTGTCTAAGGTGTAAGGAAGGGATCCAGTTTCAGCTTTCTACATATGGCTAGCCAGTTTTCTCAGCACCATTTATTAAATAGGGAATTCTTTCCCCATTGCTTGTTTTTCTCAGGTTTGTCAAAGATCAGATAGTTGTAGATATGTGGCATTATTTCTGAGGGCTCTGTTCTGTTCCATTGATCTATATCTCTGTTTTGGTACCAGTACCATGCTGTTTTGGTTACTGTAGCCTTGTAGTATAGTTTGAAGTCAGGTAGTGTGATGCCTCCAGCTTTGTTCTTTTGGCTTAGGATTGACTTGGCGATGAGGGCTCTTTTTTGGTTCCATATGAACTTTAAAGTAGTTTTTTCCAATTCTGTGAAGAAAGTCATTGGTAGCTTGATGGGGATGGCATTGAATCTATAAATTACCTTGGGCAGTATGGCCATTTTCACGATATTGATTCTTCCTACCCATGAGCATGGAATGTTCTTCCATTTGTTTGTATCCTCTTTTATTTCCTTGAGCAGTGGTTTGTAGTTCTCCTTGAAGAGGTCCTTCACATCCCTTGTAAGTTGGATTCCTAGGTATTTTATTCTCTTTGAAGCAATTGTGAATGGGAGTTCACTCATGATTTGGCTCTCTGTTTGTCTGTTATTGGTGTATAAGAATGCTTGTGATTTTTGTACATTGATTTTGTATCCTGAGACTTTGCTGAAGTTGCTTATCAGCTTAAGGAGATTTTGGGCTGAGACAATGGGGTTTTCTAGATATACAATCACGTCGTCTGCAAAGAGGGACAATTTGACTTCCTCTTTTCCTAATTGAATACACTTTATTTCCTTCTCCTAACTGATTGCCCTGGCCAGAACTTCCAACACTATGTTGAATAGGAGTGGTGAGAGAGGTCATCCCTGTCTTGTGCCAGTTTTCAAAGGGAATGCTTCCAGTTTTTGCCCATTCACTATGATATTGGCTGTGGGTTTGTCATAGATAGCTCTTATTATTTTGAAATACGTCCCATGAATACCTAATTTATTGAGAGTTTTTAGCATGAAGGGTTGTTGAATTTTGTCAAAGGCATTTTCTGCATCTATTGAGATAATCATGTGGTTTTGGTCTTTGGTTCTGTTTATATGCTGGATTACATTTATTGATTTGCGTATATTGAACCAGCCTTGCATCCCAGGGATGAAGCCCACTTGATCATGGTGGATAAGCTTTTTGATGTGCTGCTGGATTCGGTTTGCTAGTATTTTACTGAGGATTTTTGCATCAATGTTCATCAAGGATATTGGTCTAAAATTCTCTTTTTTGGTTGTGTCTCTGCACGGCTTTGGTATCAGAATGATGCTGGCCTCATAAAATGAGTTAGGGAGGATTCCCTCTTTTTCTATTGATTGGAATAGTTTCAGAAGGAATGGTACCAGTTCCTCCTTGTACCTGTGGTAGAATTTGGCTGTGAATCCATCTGGTCCTGGACTCTTTTTGGTTGGTAAACTATTGATTATTGCCACAATTTCAGAGCCTGTTATTGGTCTATTCAGAGATTCAACTTCTTCCTGGTTTAGTCTTGGGAGAGTGTATGTGTCGAGGAATGTATCCATTTCTTCTAGATTTTCTAGTTTATTTGCGTAGAGGTGTTTGTAGTATTCTCTGATGGTAGTTTGAAATAGTTTCAGAAGGAATGGTAGCAGTTCCTCCTTGTACCACTGGTAGAAGTTGGCTGTGAATCCATCTGGTCCTGGACTCTTTTTGGTTGGTAAGCTATTGTATTTCTGTGGGATCGGTGGTGATATCCCCTTTACCATTTTTTATTGCGTCTATTTGATACTTCTCTCTTTTTTTCTTTATTAGTCTTGCTAGCGGTCTATCAATTTTGTTGATCCTTTCAAAAAACCAGCTCCTGGATTCATTAATTTTTTGAAGGGTTTTTTGTGTCTCTATTTCCTTCAGTTCTGCTCTGATTTTAGTTATTTCTTGCCTTCTGCTAGCTTTTGAATGTGTTGCTCTTGCTTTTCTAGTTCTTCTAATCGTGATGTTAGGGTGTAAATTTTGGATCTTTCCTGCTTTCTCTTGTGGGCATTTAGTGCATAAATTTCCCTCTACACACTGCTTTGAATGTGTCCCAGAGATTCTGGTATACTCTGTCTTTGTTCTCATTGGTTTCAAAGAACATCTTTATTTCTGCCTTCATTTCTTTATGTACCCAGTAGTCATTCAGGAGCAGGTTGTTCAGTTTCCATGTAGTTGAGCGGCTTTGAGTGAGATTCTTAATCCTGAGTTCTAGTTTGATTGCACTGTGGTCTGAGAGATAGTTTGTTATAATTTCTGTTCTTTAAATTTGCTGAGGAGATCTTTACTTCCAAGTATGTGGTCAATTTTGGAATAAGTGTGGTGTGGTGCTGAAAAAAATGTATATTCTGTTGATTTGGGATGGAGAATTCTGTAGATGTCTATTAGGTCCACTTGGTGCAGAGCTGAGTTCAATTCCTGGGTATCCTTGTTGACTTTCTGTCTCGTTGATCTGTCTAATGTTGACAGTGGGGTGTTAAAGTCTCCCATTATTAATGTGTGGGAGTCTAAGATTCTTTGCAGGTCACTCAGGACTTGCTTTATGAATCTGGGTGCTCCTGTATTGGGCGCATATATATTTAGCATAGTTAGCTCTTCTTGTTGAATTGATCCCTTTACCATTATGTAATGGCCTTCTTTGTCTCTTTTGATCTTTGTTGGTTTAAAGTCTGTTTTATCACAGACTAGGATTGCAACCCCTGCCTTTTTTTGTTTTCCATTGGCTTGGTAGACCTTCCTCCATCCTTTTATTTTGAGCCTATGTGTGTCTCTGCACGTGAGATGGGTTTCCTGAATACAGCACACTGATGGGTCTTGACTCTTTATCCAATTCGCCAGTCTGTGTCTTTTAATTGGAGCATTTAGTACATTTACATGAATTTGCAGCAGCTGGTACTGGTTGTTCCTTTCCATGTTTAGCACTTCCTTCAGGAGCTCTTTTAGGGCAGGCCTGGTGGTGACAAAATCTCTCAGCATTTGCTTGTCTGTAAAGGATTTTATTTCTCCTTCACTTATGAAGCTTAGTGTGGCTGGATATGAAATTCTGGGTTGAAAATTCTTTTCTTTAAGAATGTTGAATATTGGCCCCCACTCTCTTCTGGCTTGTAGAGTTTCTGCCGAGAGATCCGCTGTTAGTCTGATGGGCTTCCCTTTGAGGGTAACCGGACCTTTCTCTCTGGCTGCCCTTAACATTTTTTCCTTCATTTCAACTTTGGTGAATCTGACAATTATGTGTCTTGGAGTTGCTCTTCTCGAGGAGTATCTTTGTGGCGTTCTCTTTAGTTCCTGAATCTGAATGTTGGCCTGCCTTGCTAGACTGGGGAAGTTCTCCTGGATAATGTCCTGCAGAGTGTTTTCCAACTTGGTTCCATTCTCCCCATCACTTTCAGGTACACCAATCAGATGTAGATTTGGTCTTTTCACATAGTCCCATATTTCTTGGAGGCTTTGCTCGTTTCTTTTTATTCTTTTTTCTCTAAACTTCACTTCTCGCTTCATTTCATTCATTTCATGTTCCATCGCTGATACTGCTTCTTCCAGTTCATCGCATTGGCTCCTGAGGCTTCTGCATTCTTCATGTAGTTCTCGAGCCTTGGTTTTCAGCTCCATCAGCTCCTTTAAGCACTTCTCTGTATTGGTTATTCTAGTTATACATTCTTCTAACTTTTTTCAAAGTTTTCAACTTCTTTGCCTTTGGTTTGAATCTCCTCCCATTGCTCGGAGTAATTTGATCGTCTGAAGCCTTCTTCTCTCAGCTCGTCAAAGTCATTTTCCGTCCAGCTTCCTTCCGTTGCTGGTGAGGAGCTGCGTTCCTTTGGAGGAGGAGAGGTGCTCTGCTTTTTAGAGTTTCCAGTTTTTCTGCTGTTTTTTCCCCATCTTTGTGGTTTTATCTACTTTTGGTCTTTGATGATGGTGATGTACAGATGGGTTTTTGGTGTGGATGTCCTTTGTGTTTGTTAGTTTTCCTTCTAACAGACAGGACCCTCAGCTGCAGGTCTGTTGGAGTACCCGGCCGTGTGAGGTGTCAGTCTGCCCCTGCCGTGTGGTGCCTCCCAGTTAGGCTGCTTGGGGGTCAGGGGTCAGGGACCCACTTTAGGAGGCAGTCTGCCCATTCTCAGATCTCCAGCTGCGTGCTGGGAGAACCACTACTCTTCTTCAAAGTTGTCAGACAGGGACATTTAAGGCTGCAGAGGTTACTGCTGTCTTTTTTTGTCTGTGCCCTGCCCCCAGAGGTGGAGCCTACAGAGGCAGGCAGGTCTCCTTGAGCTGTGGTGGGCTCCACCCAGTTCAGGTTTCCTGGCTGCTTTGTTTACCTAAGCAAGCCTGGGCAATGGTGGGCACCCCTCCCCGAGCTTTGCTGCCGCCTTGCAGTTTGATCTCATATTGCTGTGCTAGTAATCAGCAGGACTCCATGCGCATGCACGTAGGCCCCTCCAAGCCACGTGCAGGATATAATCTCCTGGTGCGCCGTTTTTTAAGACGGTTGGAAAAGCGTAGTATTCGGGTGGGAGTGACCCGATTTTCCAGGTGCCCTCTGTCACCCCTTTCTTTGACTAGGAAAGGGAACTCCCTGACCCCTTGCACTTCCCAAGTGAGGCAATGCCTCGCCCTGCTTCGGCTCGTGCACGGTGCGTGGACCCACTGACCTGCGCCCACTGTCTGGCACTCCCTAGTGAGATGAACCCGGTACCTCAGATGGAAATGCAGAAATCACCCGTCTTCTGCGTCGCTTACGCTGGGAGCTGTAGACTGGAGCTGTTCCTTTTTGGCCATCTTGGCTCCTCCCCCTGTGTTTTGATTCAATATATTACTAGCACAGAGCAGAGAAAGCACTCAATATATATTGATTTAAGTAAAATTAATGATTGGATAAAATAGCTTCACTGTCACACTATACATGACACTGACATATGTCTATGTATATCTCTATGTCAGGAGACAGAAATATAACAGTATTTCCACATTCTATTCATAGTAGAAATGAAAGGCTTGAAAAACCCAGGTATTTTAATTCCAAATTTTGTTTACTTTTAGCATCTATCTCTTCCCAGCCTACTCTGTTGATAATTTTTACTCAGACCTATACACATAAAAATGCTAGCATATGCACATACACATAAAACACACAAACACAGTCTGCATTGTCATTTATAATTTTGAAATAAATTAAAGATTCTAGAAGTAATTATAATTTTATAATATACATGTTATATAGAATATGATATTGACAAACATCTTCTCTTGAAACAATGTTATGCTTATTGGGAAAATTATACCATGGATGTTTCCAGGGACAACAATATAGATGCCATGACTGGTGACATTTAAAGAATTTGGGTAATTTAAAAAAAATAATTTTTCTTATTTTAAAATTAATATTCTAGCTAAGACAGGTAGCCTATGTCCAGCCCTGGCAAAACTCTGGAGTTCAGGATAAACAGAAGGTTATGCCATTATCTGGTGGATTTTGACAGTACAAAATATCAATAGCTTAGGTGGAAAATTTTTGATGAATTCATTTGGAATAATTTTCCAAGATTTTTCAAACTAAGTTGAAATTACAAAATATGGTTTTTAAAATAAAATGTTTATGAAGAATTCTTATGTCCTGGTCATAGAAACAAGTGATACTTATGAGGCCTAAAATTAGTGGATAATATGTGGCATGCAAACATATGGGTAAAGGACTTTTGGATTAGAGGAATAAATGTTAGATCTGGTAGAACTAATTGGTAAATTATCAACTTGTTATTTTACAATATAGTTTAAATAACCCATAATATCTGTTTAAAATTGGAGTATATTTCTGCAATAATTTATCTCATCTTAACATACAACCTAACCCTTATCCGTCAGCATGGTGATATAGGTCACAAGGTTTGCAAAATCACACAAAAAGTTTTAAAATTAATAACTCTGGCATACTATCCTTAATTCATTCTGTTAGGGGATGTAAATCATTTTATTTGAGAAAAAAATAATGTCTGTTGATAATTTTCTGGAGGCTAACTCACATTTTTGCATGTTAATTCTCAGCAAGGAAGTTTCTCCCCAATTTACTAAAATTTCTAGTGACATTTTTTCTAGAGTTTAACAAAATTCACATCAACAAATGTGTCACTTCTTTTGACAAACTTTTATCCTATTTATCTCATTCTTTATCCTAGGAGTTACTGTGACATAAAATAAAATGCTAACAGAGCAAGTAAAATATCAGGGATGAATGACTAGTAACATTATACAAGGTTTGATAAGCCGACTCAAACTTGAAGAGGTGGCAGCTCAAATAATAACTGACTGGGCAGCAGAAACAAAATGATTACAGTCTTCCAAAGGGCAATATCTACTTTCAGGGAGAAAATGTGCTAAACAATCCTGATTCTACCATATTATACTTGAGAGAAAATAATATTTTATTTATCATTATATCTCCAGGGCTTAGGACAGAGGCAATGTTCAAAAAATAATTTTAAAAAGCTTTATTTTGAAAAGCTAATAGCTAATTTAATGCTATCTTAATGTTACATTTATTTTCCTAAGAATAAGACATTAAAGTACCTGAAAATTCAAATTTTTGTTTCTTCTGAAACAAATTTCACTTTTTTTTTGTTTGTTTTGTTTTTTGAGACGGAGTCTTGCTCTTGTCGCCCAGGCTGGAGTGTAGTGGCGTGACCTCGGCTCACTGCAACCTCTGCCTCCCATGTTCAAGCTATTCTCCTACCTCAGCCCCCTGAGTCTGAGTAGCTGGGACTACAGGCACCCGCCACCACGCCCGGTTAATTTTTGTACTTTTAGTAGAGACAGCGTTTGACCATGTTGGCCAGGCTAATCTCAAACTCCTGACCCGGGAGATCCGCACGCCTCGGCCTCCCAAAGTGCTAGGATTACAGGCACGAGCCACTGTGCCCAGCCACAAATTTCACATTTTTTAAAGCATAGAGTTATGATATGCCCCATATGCCTAGCCTTTGATTATGTGCTCCTTTACCCCATTTCCTAACGATTTCATTATTGGAATTGTCCCCTCAACCAGATTTTAAATTTCAGAGTAGATACAGCGTTTTATTAGACTCTTCTTCTCCATGTTGTTTGGCCAGGTGGGGTGCATGTAATTTAGTTTAGATACATTAGGAACTTAAAATAGCAATATATTGTTTGTATTATTTTAATAATAATGTCAATCTCAGGACAACTGTACAAAAGATACCATATCCTTTAGTGTTTACTAGTCACAGTCAGAGTATTATTTGGATAACTTCTTCAAGGTTCAGAAGGATATAGCCTCACAAATTAAAATCCAAATGCATAGAAAAGAATTTTATGACATCTATACTTTATCCTTAACAATGACAAAATGAAGCCGGGTGTCGTGGCTCACATCTATAATCCCAGCACTTTGGGAGGCCGAGGCGGGCGGATCATCTGAGGTCAGGAGTTCCAGACCAGCCTGATCAACATGGTGAAACCCCATCTCTACTAAAAAAAAAAAACAAAACAACAAAAAAATAGCCAGCCGTGGTGGTGCACACCTGTAATCCCAGCTACTCGGGAGGCTGAGGCAGGAGAATGGTCATAAATAAATGTAAAGAGGTTCAATATACCTAAAAATCAAGAAATACGAATTCCAACTATTGGGATCCACTATTATTTCATGATTAAACTATCTTGGCTAAAATATTGACTCTGCCACTCACTAGCCATGTACAAGTTATTTAATATTTCTGGCCTTCATTTTTCCTTTTTTTCTTCTTTATATTAGATAAATGATAACTATAATTCACAATAAAAATGGAAAGAACTTTAGTTACTCAGAGTAATAATAGCAGCTACCTAATAAAAATATTTGTAAATAAAATAAAATTGTGCTTCTAAATTGTCTAAATGAAGGCCTGGTATGTACTAATCACTCAACAAATGTTAGCTATTAATAATGATAAATCATTCCACGGCTATGAGATTAACAATAATAATAATAGTTTAAAAAGTAAAGCAAACACAAAAGAATGTTGACTGAAGAGGAATTTTAACGTCCTGCATTGAGGAAAACTTCGCATTTTTAAAGTAGAAATTGTCAAAATATGTATAAGCATTTATATTACAGTATTGTTTATATCTATTAAAAATTAGAAACAACACTATGTTGGTATATACATGTTATAAAATACAACACAATAGTTAAAGTGAATAAACAAATAAATTAATGGGAAGACTCATGCATTTATCTCTCCTTTCTTATATGAAACTTATTGTAGGATAACAAAGTATTTTATAAAATGTTAGGTAGGAAGGAGCACGTGAATCAGAATATCACTGTTTTGCAACCTTTAATAAAATAATAAATGTTGGTCGTGGCTGCAAACATCACAGATAGGGCAACATTCTGATGTAAGTACACAACACCACCTATGATATAGTCTTGCCAAAAAACAACCCTGAATTTCACTACTAGTTTATAGGAAATAAAGGGGAAAAAGGAACATTTTGAAGTTAGCAAACTCCAGATCTCGAGAAACTCTAAAGGCAAATGAGTAGGTATCTCTAACGAATAAATAGCTAGGGAAGAAGAGAAAAAGAAAGAAACAGAGACACAGAGAGACAGAGATTGCTTTTAGTTCTAGATTTAGCTTAAAATGTATTTAAAATGTATCTTTAATTCTAATTAGAAAAAAGCTTTAAATTTTTTGAAGAAAGACAATCCAAAAATTTTTAACATTGAGTATTTGATGAAAATAAATAAATATTCTTAATTATTTTGTGAACAATAATATTTTTATATGTTTTAAATCCTATTATTTTTACAGTTATATATTCAAACATTTCATAATTAAATTATATTCTATTTGTGATTATCTTTATAACCATATGGGGCGGTGAGTTTTTATATGGATGAAACAAGAATACTTAAGCATTGAAAATTATTATTCCCCCCTCCCCCCACGCCAACACAAATTCCCTCCACCCCCTTAACCCTGCCCCAGGCGGAGTTTCATGCTTGTTGCCCAGGCTGGAATACTATGGTGCCATCTCGGCTCACTGCAACCTCCACCTCCCAGGTTCAGGCGATTCTCCTGCATTAGCCTCCCAAGTAGCTGCAATTACATGTGTGCACCACCACACCCAGCTAATTTTTGTATTTTTAGTAGAGACAGGGTTTCACCATGTTGGTCAGACTGGTCTTGAACTCCTGACCTCATGTGATCCACCCACCCAGCCTCCAAAAGTGCTAGGATTGCAGGCATGAGCCACCATGCCAGGACCACATTTTATTATTATTCTTCTTCTTATTATTATACATTAAGTTCTAGGGTACATGTGCACAATGTGCAGGTTTGTTACATATGTATACATGTGCCATGTTGGTGTGCTGCATCCATTAACTCGTCATTTACATTAGGTATATCTCCTAATGCTTTCCCTCCCCTCTCCCCTCACCCCACAACAGGCCCCGGTGTGTGATGTTCCCCTTCCTGTGTCCAAGTGTTCTCATTGTTCAATTCCCACCTATGAGTGAGAACATTCGGTGTTTGGTTTTTTGTTCTTGCGATAGTTTGCTGAGAATGATGGTTTCCAGCTCATCCATGTCCCTACAAAGGACATGAACTCATCCTTTTTTTTGGCTGCATAGTATTCCATGGTGTATATGTGCCACATTTTCTTAATCCAGTCTATTGTTGATGGACATTTGGGTTGGTGCCAAGTCTTTGCTACTGTGAATAGTGCCGCAATAAACATACGTGTGCATGTGTCTTTATAGCAGCATGATTTATAATCCTTTGGGTATATACCCAGTAATGGGATGGCTGGGTCAAATGGTATTTCTAGTTCTAGATCCTTGAGGAATCACCACACTGTCTTCCACAATGGTTGAACTAGTTTACAGTCCCACCAACAGTGTAAAAGTGTTCCTATTTCTCCACATCCTCTCCAGCACCTGTTGTTTCCTGACTTTTTAATGATTGTCATTCCAATTGGTGTGAGATGGTATCTCATTGTGGTTTTGATTTGCATTTCTCTGATGGCCAGTGATGATAAGCATTTTTTCATGTGTCTGTTGGCTGCATAAATGTCTTCTTTTGAGAAGTGTCTGTTCATATCCTTCGCCCACTTTTTGATGGGGTTGTTTGTTTTTTTCTTGTAAATTTGTTTGAGTTCATTGTAGATTCTGGATATTAGCCCTTTGACAGATGAGTAGATTGCAAAAATTTTCTCCCATTCTGTAGGTTGCCTGTTCACTCTGATGGTAGTTTCTTTTGCTGTGTAGAAGCTCTTTAGTTTTAATTAGATTCCGTTTGTCAATTTTGGCTTTTGTTGCCATTGCTTTTGGTGTTTTAGACATGAAGTCCTTGCCCATGCCTATGTCCTGAATGGTATTGCCTAGGTTTTCTTCTAGGGTTTTTATGGTTTTAGGTCTAACATTTAAGTCTTTAATCCATCTTGAATTAATTTTTGTATAAGGTGTAAGAAAGGGATCCAGTTTCAGCTTTCTACATATGGCTAGCCAGTTTTCCCAGCACCATTTATTAAATAGGGAATCCTTTCCCCATTGCTTGTTTTTCTCAGGTTTGTCAAAGATCAGATGGTTGTAGATGTGTGGTATTATTTCTGAGGGCTCTGCTCCTTTCCATTGGTCTATATCTCTGTTTTGGTACCAGTAACATGCCGTTTTGGTTGCTGTAGCCTTGTAGTATAGTTTGAAGTCAGGTAGCGTGATGCCTCCCGCTTTGTTCTTTTGGCTTAGGATTGACTTGGCAAAGGAATTGAAAATTATTGAAGCTGGAGAAGGGTAAATTATAACATTCTATTTTTGAAGACATTTTAAGGTTTTCATTAAAATCTGGATGCATATATATTTAGTTAAAAAATGAAAATGCCAACTAGAAAAGCACACATATGGAAGCTTAGTTTATTAATATTTTTCATATATAAATATACATGCATATAGGTATATGTAAATATATAAATACACACACATCCATGTTGGAGGCTATTCATAATATTTTTATCATATTCAAATACTGGTATTATTTTTCATCAGTCTAATATGACTCTGGACACCTATCAGAAATAAGGAACATTAGCTAATCAAGCTTGCCTCAATATGTTATTATCCTGACATAATAAAGGTATCATTATATCTTGGTAAGTTCAAATGTAAATAATTCAAAGTGCAATCTTGCTTGCCTTCTCCTTGCTGATGTAACAAGGATAGTATAGTTATGTTCACTAGAATGAAATAAAATCGGCATTTCTTCTTTATATTAGATAAATGATAACTGTAATTCACAATAAAAATTAAAAGAACTTTAGTTACAGATTACATTTATCTGCTAAAATATATCTCAAACTTAGATTGTAAAATGATCATTTTTCTTGTTTAAGACCCAAGAAACATTTCAGAAATTAATTATGGTATTGTCATGCTTCAAGTGCATATGTTCTTAAGACAACTTACATGCTTTACCCTGGGAGTCTATGAACAACCACATTTTCTTATCTGTCAGCTAAATCAGAGACACCATCTACCAGATGACTCATACCAGCAATTTAGAAAATAAAATCCACCTCAAATTTGGTCTTCAATTTAAAATTTCTTGAAAGTGTAATGTTACCTCATCAAAATATTAAATAACAACTGACCACATTATTCCATGTCTGTACCTCTGTTTTCTAGGATTTTTTAATTTAATAAAAAATTTAAAAATGCAAAACACAAATGCAAACTGGGTTACAAAATAAAAATAAAAAATGAAAAACACAAATGCAAACTGGGTTCATCAATAAGAGAGGAAATTACCACTCGGATGTATTTCTTAATTTTTTATTTTGCTTTGTATTGCTATTTTTATTCATGACTAGGAAAGGCTTTAAAGCCTCTCCTTCAGGAAAAATTGTTTGCCTAAAAGTACAGCTCTGTATGGAGATCTGAATTTTATTACTAAATCATTTGTTATTCTTTTTATTCATTTGATATTAATCTTGATTATTGTATCATAAAAGCTCACTGAGAATAGGAAATTCATGTTAATTCTAAAGAAACATCATTAATATATTTATAACAAAAATGTTATGCATTTAGTGGCCTCAAACCTGCATACTAAAAGTGACATTTCTTAATGGAAAGAAAAATTCCACTGTCACCAGCAACAGTAAAGAGATATATTGTATACTGTTAATAATAAGAATTCACAGGGCCATTAGTTGAAAGACTAGAGGGATAGAATACAATATCAATTTGTAGAAGGAATGTTTCACAGCAAGTCAATTAGAACAGAAATTATGTCACAAAGCTTGTTTTTTAATAGCATATAGATATTAGCATGTTTTACATATGTTTTTTAAACTAGGTAGGAAATTTAGATTTCCCATTAACATGGACAACAATCCTGTGAACGACTGCTCAGCTTATGTGGTACTCCATAGTCTCTGCCCTTTTCCTTCCCTTTCCATCTTGCCTATCTATTGGAGAGGAACACAGCCAAGTTCCAATTCATCACTGCTATACACAGTTTCCATGCAATGCTGCCACTGGCACCAACTCCCTCCATCTGGCCTTAGTCTGAGCATGGTTTCCTCTACAACTGTTGCCAGTCTGTTGCCATAGCAGCAGCTAAGAGGACTATGACAGGATGGGAAAAGAATAAAGCACACTCCATTTTCATGCTTCTTGTTGAGATTTTGTAATGGTTCCAAGGTCCCACTAAAACTATGATGGAAAAAATAAAAACAGCTTCACCAAAGATACAATAAACATCCTTTTCAAAGAGAAATAACAGTATATAAATGAGAAACATTGAAGCCTGCAAATTGAGAATAAAGGAGCACACACACATGGTCAGAAGGTGACCCACGGATTACACGAATATCAAATTATGAAAATAATAAAGGATAATTTTTAGGTCTTTGTTAATGAAAGATTAGAAAGACAAGCTATAAACAAACATGTTAGATCAGTGTTTGGAAATTCTTATTAATGAAAAATCTGCAGTAATTCCTTAAATAGCTACATCAATATTTGAATAAATATAAAGGTAAGCATTTTCTAGGTAGTTTATTATAATTCCATGATAAAAATCATTACCTATGTTTCTGACTTAAAGAGACATATAACATTATATGTGTGCAGGAAAATACATCTTATCTGAATTTCACCAAAAACTTATTTTAATTCTATAAATTCTGAAGATTATCATATATATACACAAATATTGTCTACAAAAAGGCAACTTACCATAAACAAAAGCACTGAAAATTAAAGGACAATAAAAATCAATGAATTCTAATCTTAAGCTTAAAAGCCTACTGTGAAAGCTTTTGGCAAATAGAAATATTACTAACTCTTAAGGTTCATGTGATGAATATTGAATTGGAAATGTATGTGAAAAGTTCATCATATTTTTCTCCATTCTCCAAGTACGATTACAGAAAATTCCCAAAGGCCACTGTATCTTACTTTTGAAACCATAAGGAGTTAGATTACACCACCTGTTTTACAATCCAGGCTATCCTCAATGTTCACAATTTTCACCTGTTTGTAACTGAAAACCAAAAGGAGTTAGATTACACCACCTGTTTTACAATCCATGCTAGGCTCAATGTTCACAATTTTCACCTGTTTATAATTAAAGCTCATGGTGAGCTTCAGCTCACCAACATTTCCTCAAATATTTAGTATTATCTCTGCTTCTATACTCAAACATTAGGCACTGTCTTTTCTGGGAAAAAAATAGGGAAAGAAAAGACAAAGGGTATGTCCTACTTATAATCATGCCACTGAAAAGCTTCAAAACTCAGGGCACTCTCAATGAAAAAAACTGACATTTTCAAGCATCTCATTTCAAGTCAGACTTTTCTATATAGAATGTCTGTGATGTAATATCAACCAATAATATAAAGCTTCCTAATAAAAAAGATTGTTTTAAATTTATGATAGATACATTTGAAACAGATGATGCAAGTAGGCTATATTGTATTATTTAGTTTGATAAACTAATAGATAAAACCACAAAGTTGTGCCCAAGGGTTTGGCTTCCAGGTTGAAACCTTGTGAAAGCCAAACAAGCTAAGCCTGGTGAACAAATGGTTTTCATCATCATTTTTATTCGCCATAATTCAATTTATCCTACTATTCAGCCTGCTTGTAAAAAATACCACTATTATAGTCAAGTCTGCAAATATTTACTAAGTTCTTACCCTGCCCAAAGCACATGAGTAAAATAATGATTTTCCTTACTTTCAAGTCCTTTAAACATGACTGATACACAACATGCTTCCTTCTTTGAGCATTACAAATGATTACTGGTAAGGTTGGTGTTTAACATGTCAGCATTGTATCATTTTCTGCTAAATCGATCTTGTTCATTTGTAACTAGGAGTGCACCTCATAGCAGAGCGGAGAGATTGCCACATAATATCTCAGAGGCGAAAATAATTCAAGAGATTTTGTTGTGCCAGGGAGTTAGACACATTTATGCTCTTTGGGTTATGTAGAGCTGTATGATAAAGTAGATGATATGTCTTTATAAACTTACACATTTAACTATATATGCTCACAGGCTGAGGAGGAGAGAAAAATAAAGGGAAAAAAAAGCATTTGAATAGTGCAGAAGACTTCAGTCACCACCACATTCTAAGCCTGCATGCTGCAGGTTGAGCATGAACTGCACTCATGAAAGTTCAGATTCTTCTCAGTTTCTGTGTTCCTCCAACAGTAGGAGCATCTCAGTGGGCCATGTGTGATTCCAGTGTTTAAAGATAGGACTTCATTTAAAATGCTCCCAAAATTCAATCCAATTATGTCAACTCATTTTCAACTAGGAGAGACTGATATATTCTAATTTGAGAGGAGAGACGGGCTACGTTGGAGCTATTGACAGATATAGCCAGTATGTGGCTGTTATGAATATTTTCAAGGAATTTTTTTTCACTATAACAAGATGCAATTTAGAATCTAAAGAATATCATTGAAATACATTTTGTTGTGGAACAAGTAATTATTCTTCAGGCCTCACATGGCCTCGTTCAAATACCATCCAGGCCATACAGCAAAGCTGTGTTTTTGATTCCAAAAATCATCATGGAAACTTCTGATCATTAATCTAGATCCCCTGCTACCTGAATAAGTAGAAGGAATTCCCCAGATATTAGACACTAAAATTATCCTCTCTCAAATGGACTATCATCCATGTAAATTAACAAAATTGAATTATACCAAACACTTCACATCCGACATCATTTTGGCAAATAATAATAACACTTGAATGAAAAGACAACCTGTCTTCAAGAGCTTATGGTCTATCCAAAAAATGGTATGACTTGATATCAGATGGAAAGTTTGTAGGAGGTTCTCCAGAAGCATATATGAAGGAGTGACTAACACCATATACATACATAAGAGAAAATTTCCCCCAAAAGGTAAGTGTTCAGATGAGTCTTCCTAAACAATTATGAGATTTCCATGCAGATAATAAGAAGTGAAGAACATTTTTTTCAGAAACATGAATGTGCGTATGACACAAGAATTGAATTGAGTGTTCAGGAACATTCTATTATATGACTAGAGTATCGACTCAATAGGGCTGGGGCTTGTTAACTTGTTCATTTTCAAATTCCCTCCTAGCTCCTACTATAGAGTCCGGCTCACACAGAATGCTTAATCAATCTTTATTTGATTAGAGGTAAGTGTCTGGAACACATAATCATCTGAAGTGGGTATACCAAATATAGTGAGAATTAGGCTGGAGTGTAATTTGACAGGAAATATTAAATGAAAAATGATTAGAAGAGAAAATTTTACTCCTCTCTCGTTTAAGTTTTGGCATCCCAGCCCTGTTTTGATGACTAACTGAAGAATGAGGACCTGATTCTACCATGTTGTCAAACTGCTCTGTGTTCTGCCATCATGTCCACATTCCAGGTGGGCAAAAGAAGAAAGGAGTAGAAGAAGGGTATGTCTCCTCCATTTAAGAACAAAAAAAGTTACTTAATGATATCTGTTATATCCCATCCTCAATAGCTGTCACATCTGACTCTAGGGACCTTAGAAATGTTGAGTTTATTGTTGGTGTCCATATCCAGTTAATATTTAGTGGCCCTATTAAAGGGAACAAAATACAAAATAAACACTGGGGGAAATTAGCAATCTCTTTCTCCCATTTTAATGGATTTTGAATTTCATCATGTAGGTAATATGATGTAAGCAGTTACTTAGGTTAATGATAAATTTTTAACTTTATAAAAGTTAATAACACCTCCAGTAGCAATGAGTATACCCAGTACCTAGATGATGGTTTCTAATGCCATTCTCCATGAGCTCTCCATGGCCAAAAATGAAACAAGTTAAGAAACAAAATAAATAATGTATTATTAGAATATAAGCCAAAGTATAAAATAAATTTCCATGAGTCCATTATAATATAAATAAATGATTGAATCAAGAGATAAATGGAATAAAAATATCCTGTGCAGAAGAATTCCAAATAAGTTACGTAGGTACACTCCCCTAAGGAAGATGGAGTAAACTTCCAACCCATTAAGTGTACGCTGCATGTAGTGACTTCCTTCCAAGATACAATATGGTAAGTGGAGAAAAAGATAAACATTATGGTAGATAAATCTGAGAAACACACCCTCAGCCAGATGATGAAGGTTAACTTCAATGATATGTAATATTCAGAGAATGTACCCTTGATATGAATGTTTAATTAGAGAATGGTATATTACTTCTGTGGCTTTTCTCCCAAAGACTTACAACCCCTTTGTAACAATACAAAAATCAGACAAACCTAATTTAATGACATTTTATATAACAGCTTCTTCAAACTGTCAAGGTCATAAAAATTAAGGAAAGTCAGAGAAAATGTTAGTTAAAAGGAGCCTAAGGAGACATGAGGACTTAATGTAATGTGGTTTTTGGTTGGGATCCCAGAAGAGAAAGAGGACGTTAGACTAAAAAACTAAGCAATATGAATAAAAGTATGAGCTTCAGTTAAAAATAATCTATCAGTATTGGTTCGTTAGTTCGTCAGATGTATCAGAGTAAGATGTTAATAAATAGAAGAAACTATGCACAGTATATGAAAACTATATTTACACATTTTTGGCAAATATAAAACTATTACAAATTAAAAGTTTACTTGAAAAGTTATAATGCTCAATGTAATAAGTTCTACAAAAGGAAGTAGTATTTAGTTCATGGCCCTTAAAGTTAAGGATAAGATTATTCATCTTTATATAACTTACTACCATCCTGTAAGGCTCTGTGTGAGCAACTAGCCAGCTTTTCTAGCTGGATTCCTTCTATCGTCACTTTCTATTTACAAAACCCTATTTTAACTCTCATAAATTTGAGAATAAAAGTATTTCAATCACATTTAATTCATTTTACATATTCCACTAGTCAAAATAATTTTTTCCAAAATGCTATTTGCTAGGAACACTGTAATGTCTTCTGAAAACTTAGTGATCTTGTCTTCTGGAATATGGTATGGTTAATGAAGTCTAAAGTGCTAAAAAATAAGTTGAACAGCACTTATGTCAGATGTAACTCATCTTTTTACTTTTTTTCTAGTTGAGGAATTAACTAATTTCAGGCTCAAATATTAGAAAGCTGGCCCCATAGGGCTACTTTCCAGACCTAACTAGTTATTAACAGATTAGTATGTATAAAAAATATTTTATTGGTAATCATCTAGTCAATAATTTAAATATAGATTACATAATCTACTTTTTTCTAAGAAAATAATTTTTAAAAAATCCTGCCCCATGAATATTTTTATTTATTTATTTGTTGAATTGGCATTCTTTAAAAAAATATTACTCTAGAGGACAATGCCCAGGTCATGGTGTGGCACTGAATTCCACAGTAGCCACGGTTACATTGTTGAAAAGATTCTACATGAGCACACTCTGAATCATACAGAGGAATTCAGAAGATAAGATAAAATACAAAATGTGATTAGAAATACTACCCAGTTGTACCAACTTAAAGTAAAGCAAGCTTGATTTACCAAAATATAAACAAGTAAACCTGATGGAAATGAAAGGCAAATATGAGGTTTTTAGATAGAGTGAAGTAATATTTAATAGAAAAAAATCTTTATTTATCAACGCCCATTTACTAAGTTCCAACTCACGCCAGAGCCCGACTTTAAAAATTAATAAAGTACATCTCCATATTTTAATAATGTACAGTTCTGGTGAAATATGGAGACATAAAAACACAACATTATAACATAAAGTTGATTATATTTCGAAGACACCCATAGGGCGTTAAGGACACATATGCACAATACACATATGGCAAAACCCCTAGATTTTGGCATTACCAGTAAACATAAATACATCGAGAAAGTAACTGAAATTTAAATTTTGCAAAAGAATAGTGAATCAAATATATTACCTACGTCTGTTTTAGAAAAGGGAATTATTTATGATAAAACAAAAGGTAAAATCATAATACATATAACTCTGAAGAAGCCTAGAATGAGAGCTCATAGGAAAGTTACATGATGTTAAAGAAGAAGGAGGGGTGCAGGAAGGTATGAAAGAAATATGTAAAAAACACATTTTCCTCATGATAAATTATAGAATCAAGATAATTCCTACCTACATTAAGGAAACTCCATTCAAAGGTATAAACCATCAAAGCCAGACAAAGTAGTTATATAGACCAGGCCTGGACTGGCATTGGTCCCTGGACTGTTAGGAACTGGGTTGCATGGCCTGTGGTAAGTGGCAGGTGAGCAAGCACCACCTGAGCTCTGCCTCCTGTTAGAACAGCAGTGGCATGTGATTCTCACAGGAGCGTTAAACCTATTGTGAACTGCACTTGCAAGGAATCTAGGTTGCACGTTACCCTTATGAGAATCTAATGCTTGATTATCTAAGGTGGAACAGTTTCATCCTGAAACCATTGCCCCACCCCTGACTGTGGAAAAATTGTTTTCCATGAGACCAGTCCCTGGTGACAAAAAGGTTGGGGACTGTGGCTATAGCCCCATTATCTATAAAGCCTCATAGATTTCAGACCCACATTAAGGTAGATACATGAAATTTAGAAATTTGCAAGAATTTCCATAATGATAAACATTTTTAAAAGGACATAAACTGTCCAAATGTAAGGGGATACCAAGGGACAAGAAGAAAACATCAAGCACTGATCAACCTCTTGTTATTTTCTTTGCTGATAAGTTTTCACCTGCTAATTTTTCCCTGAAAGTTATAGGATAGAAACTATACGTCAAAGAAAGGTTAACAGTGGGAACATCCTAAGACCAATGGGCAGTCTTAGAATACATTGAATGAAATTTCTCAAAATTTCTTCTCCTTATTTTCTGAGTTTAAAAAAGCCATAACAATTTATATATCCATATATCCTATGAATTCTGATTGAAAACCTAATGCTATTATTTAACATTATTAGGAAATAATATCCTTATTTTTAAAAGTCTACCTCAAACACATTGCGCTGTCTTTCCTAATATTTCATTATTGCCACAATCATCCCTTATGTGAATCATGAAAATAACCTCCAAAGCCGTCTCTTCCAATATTTCTCTGCTCTAATCCCACAATCTGGCTGTAGCCAGACAATCTTATTAAAATACTGACTGGATCATGTAATTCAAAACCTTTAAGGACTACTCTTCAAATAAAAATTAAGACCAAATTTCTTGCCGAGTTCAAAACCTGGTACAAATAGTTCCAATTCTATTTTTCAATAATTTTACATTTATTTCTACCTCAATGTTTAAGCGTTCTTTATCCGAAAACCAACCTTCCCAAAATTTGTTCCTGCTTGTTGATCTGACCACACTGAAGTGATCTTGGCCTCATCCTGCCTCAGCTTGGAATTTCTACTCATCTCTCAGAATACACCTACAGAGGAAACCTTTTCAATAAAGCCATGAACAGAATACACATTTGGCAAATGTTCATGGGATTAATTTGAAACCTGTTTAGGGTATTTAGTCTACGAAACTCATGACAAAAAACATCCAGACTTTACTTGAATATTTCTGAACTAATTTACTACTTCATGAGGCATTCATTGCAAATATTTTTTTCTTTCTGTTGAATTGAAATTTGTCTTCTGGAAATTTCAATCCTTCTATCCTAAAAATCCTGCTTTAATTTGAGTGTTTTTAGATGTTTTTATTAATTTTTATTGGTAATATGCTTTCTTATTTATTTCTTAATTATTATGATAATTTAGAGATAAGAACTATACAACTAGATGTATGCCTACAAAACTTTTTCATGATATATAGACCCTATGTGCACAGTTTTCATTTTAACATATCGAGGACAGAAGAAAAATCACAGCTGATGTTAAAATATGTGATAACTGCTGCTACACTTCTACATCAGATTCTGAGAAGTCCATCAAGCTGTAATAGGTTTTCTTTTTTTCTTATAGATAACCAAATTACTTGCCCAAAGAAGCTCTCATTATCAGAAGGTATACTATAATACTTAACTACATAGTATCAAACTAGGAAACCTAAAAAACTTAGCGTTTTTACCCAAAAGCATCAATAAAGTCACTGTTGAAATTGCTGAACTCTCATTTATTCATTCAACAATTGCTTACTGAATATTTGTTGATGTCTTAGAGAAACATGAACAAAATCATGTAGCAATAAGTACCATTCAATTCAATTCAAAATGTATTACACTTTTATTCTATGCAAACCACTGTCTTAACTAAAGAGATACCAAATTTATCTTCATAGTTGTTATCACATACCAGGAATGCCAAGTATATAAGTTATAACAGGTTGGCTCATGTACAAATAAATAGAGTATTCCTGCAATGATACCATAAGAAAATGAGGCTACAATTCTACTAACGTCCCACATAGAGAGAATATAGACACAGTTCACCTGTCCATCCAGCTACTTTATACCCAACCTATAACCACATTATGAAACATCATATCTTTTCAGATTCTAAGAATGCCTGCTACTGGTTTCATGACAAACATATAAACTTTGAATTGCAACTTAAAAAAATGTCAAAATTATCCCACAGGATAAAATAAAATATAAACCCATCAAAATGCTGTATTAAATCTACCACCAAAAATGCCTCTTTCTTTTCAGGAAAAAATACAAAACTGTGATCCACAGAGAATGACCCTTTCTGATATGTATACATGCATGTCAACTTTTAATTCATGATTCTAAATTGAGAAACCTCAAACAGCTATTTTTAATATCCCAGCCCTATTCTTATTTTGCATTTATATCCATCATATATCTCAACCAGTGTTATTGTTTATTGTATCATTACACAAATACATAGATCATTTCCATGTTTGCTCTTTTGGAAGGGGTTTCCTCAATGGAGTTGACTTATCCTCCAAATTTGACCCATTCTTTTAGGCCCAGTTCACATCTTCTCTCCTTCTAGCCCTTACCTCCCTGTTTAAACATTGAACACTTTTTTCTCCTTAAACTACTAGAGTACTTGTATTCTGGAGTAAAACTTTTGAAATTTGATTAAATACAGTGTACCATCCATATCCCCAGAAGAACAGTTTATATAAAGTGATGTATATTTTAAAAAGCTAACTTTTTAAAGAAAGAAATAAGAAGTGATATTTTCTTCTTTTGTTTCTCTTTTTCTTCTAGTCCTTTCAGTAGTTCTTTGGAATGCAAGGATAAGATAGACAATATTCATAAATAAAACTTCCTCCAATTAAAATATGCCATAATTTGAATTTGGCAAATTAGTTTGTGGTATTAGATATATTTTTGTAACTCTATTGGAAATTATTTTCCTGGTTTTATAAACTGCTCTCAACTTTGTCAACTCCAGGATTAACTGCATATTGATCCTTAGAATAGTCCACCATAGAAAAATTTGATTAATAAGCCAAAGCTAATTGTGTCTCTGAATATTTTTTATTGTCTTGAGGATTACTGAAGTCTCTCTTATACTTTGTATTTGATCAGACTTGGTATCTTATTAAATATTATTAGTTCATACTGTCTTATTACAGCCAGAGTCCACTATGCATTTAAAATTATGATGTTCTTCATATCATGTCCCATATATTATAGATGTTAACTTATTAGTTATCTCATTGAAGTAAAAAAAATTCTTCTGCTAAGTTTCTCAGGATAATATTCAGGAGCAGAAGTCTGCAGACTCTAGACACAGTTCCTTCTTTATTGATTTATGCATAAAGAGAATCATAGGACTTTGTGGAAAACTGTGTTAGGAAAAAAATTGTAAGACTGCTTTGAGCCTTTATTGACATATTCTGAAGGCTTTGATTTCATAAATGCTAACAAGCCATAAGTATAAGTTGTGTGACTTTAATACAGACTCCTGGATATTGATAGTTATTAAGAACCTGCACCATAATTAAACCACGATAGTCAGAACAGACAGGAATAATCTCTAATCAGACACAATTTCTAGTGGGGTAAAAATGGGAATACATTCATACTACTCCCTTATTTTTACTTCTTTATTAATAAATTGATTCTACTTTTTGGATGAGTTTGTTTCATGGCTTCCTTTGATCCCCACGCTATCCCCATCATACACACACATATGCATGTATAAATATTCATGCATACATTCATATTGTAGAAAACAAAAAGATATTTTCCTACGTATACATTATCACATAGCCTCAAATCTGATCTTCTGTGGCAGAGATTGTATTCCCAATTTCCCCTTAAAAAAAAAAAAAAAAAAAAAAAACATGATTTCACTGGGGTCAGAACATTGCCAAGATAAAAAAGCTGTATTTCCCACCCATCCTTATAAATAGAAATGTCCGTGTGATGTCAGTCAAAATATCGGCTTTGAGCTTCCAAGGAGGTTGACTCAAATAGTCTATACCCTATTACCATTGGTTCTTCATCTTTTCTTCTTTTTGAAGAAAAAACTACCTGAATTACAGCAAAGATCTTGTAAAAATAAGAACAAGAACCACAACCTGAAAATTGTGGCAAAGAAAGCTAAAAGGACATGATAATATCCCCAATGAAATGATGTTGTCCCCATACCAGCTTCTTATGGCCTATCTTTGGGCTTCTCTTTATTTGGAAAAAAGCAAATCAAAAATCAATTTTTAGCCACTGTAATATAAGTTACTTGCTATATGTAGTCCACTGCAATTCCTACTAATACACCTCCTAAATTTTGTCAGAAATAAGAATTTCAGATAAATGAATGCTAAAATTGAAGCAATCAATTGTGGTTGATGACATTTCACATTTAACTGGCTCACAGCTAAAAGGTGCAAAGTGTAAGTTAATTTATTGATTTGCCCAGAGTGATAGACTGAAACAACTTTATCTTAGAGGATTTACCGGGAGGTTACATCACTTCAGATTACTGAAACCATAGTCTATGATGTACAACATTTGGCACATCAATCATTTATTTGCATCAGAGTAGACTCTAAATTGTTGTGGGCAAAATCTTGACTTTGTTTTTGGGCATTCCATGGTTCCATATCTACCAAGCAGTATGAGAGGCCTCTCTTTAAACTCATGTCTCCATCAGTCTCCCCACATTGTTCAAGATGTCAGCTCCTGGGCAGAAGCATGGTGGTGTGGCAGCCTGATCACAGGACTGGCAGGATCATGCTGGCTACTAGGAAGAATCTCCTGATGGCACAGGGATGACTGGGGGTCTGAGTAAGATAAGCAGAAATTGGAATAAGATAAGCAGGTTATATTGAGAGTGCAGGAAACCTAAGATATGCACAGCCTGAGGAGGAGGCCCAACGACGTAAATACTGTGACCCTGATAGAAGAGACCATTTGATGGACAATCCCTTCAGGGGCTGAAGAGAATCAAAATGGAATGTGAAGAAAGATTAAAACAAATGAAAAATTCATCCTGGGGGTCATTTTTCATCAGAAAACAACAGAAAGAATACAGTTAGATAATGAAGTTCTTTCAGCCAGTAATTTGTTGAAAAGAGGGAAGGGAATCTTAGCATATGGGGACCAAAAAGTAAACCTGAAGAAATTAGAAAACTCTGTATTACTATCCAGAAAACAACTGAGTTTCCTAAGCTAAGAAAAACTTTAAAAATGCCTTCATATAAGATCTCAGCAGCCCAAAGGTACTGA
Source organism: Homo sapiens (assembly GCF_000001405.40). NCBI lineage: Eukaryota > Metazoa > Chordata > Mammalia > Primates > Hominidae > Homo > Homo sapiens. The sequence goes on from NC_000005.10 coordinate 45,518,930, forward strand.
TGTAAAAGGTATTTATATACATATAAAATGTGCATATATATACATAAATATATAAAATTTAAAACAAATATATATAATTTTCACAGAGGGCCCTAAGACCATTTTGGTAGCTGATTGCCAGAACAAAAAGAGGGCCATCAAAATCAAGTTATGCTAGCATAAATTATGGCCATATATATTAATTATAGGAATCACAACCAATTTTATTAGAAGGAATTTAATGCTTACATTTGAACAACAACAACAACAAAAAGTCTGGCTACTGGGAAATGAGAATCTGAGTTTTCTCCTCCTAAGTAATCAAGATAATGAGAAGATCACAGACCACTACAATGAGAAGTTCAAGAAGATGATCAGGTAACACTGAGAGAAGCTTGTGGATCCTGAAAACTGTGTTTATTGTTTACATTGATAAGTATAGGATATACTCTAAATCAAACACACAAACATACACACACTGTCCTTTCTAGAGGCCTGCTAATTTTTTAGTAGATAAGTCCGAAAAGTAGGCCATAGTAGTTCTACTTTTTACATGCTGGGATCTGTGATATTGAATTTGTAATATTTTGAGAAAAAAACAATGTGCAGTTTTCTCAAAATGACAAGCAGTGAGTATTGTGTTTACTTCCCACTAACATGTTTTCCCCCTCAGTCAACAAAAAGAAATATATGTAGGGTGTGAGATTTTATCACATCAATTTTTAAAAACTATTTATTCAATAATGTCTTTCATTCCAAATAGCATGAGATTTTGAGTCTCATTATTCATAGAATCTCATTATTCATTGAAACCTGTCTTGGAAAATCTAAGAGGGACCAAAAGGAAAATTTTATTTTCTGTCTTTTACAAACTTGCTGTATTCATTCATTTTAAAATGTATTTTTTTTTTTACCATTTTAGCTCTTATTTGTTAAACATAAAATAAACTTAACCAGGTAGTTAAAAATATTTATAGGTGATTTTTACCTAATAATTAGGTTGGCTTTCTATAAAAACATGTGTTTACCCATAAGAGTTGACAACAGTTATCTGCATTCTTAGTACCTGTAAGACTTGAATTCATTGCCACAAAATACTGATCAAAATCTTAGTGGATAAAAATAATATTTATGTATAACATTTATGAATAAAGATATGGGCATTAATCACTATATTATCAAAAGTATAAGCAGTTCACATATGTGTGCTTAGGTTGGTCCATTCTGTCACAGTACCTCATCTATATTGTTTTGCTTAGCCTGCTCCCATTGGAGTAATCTTTATTGAACATTATTTGGGCATTACTGCATTGGTCATATGAGAATGTGGCACAAAAAGTCTTAGGAAACTCATTTTTAATTATCTTTAGGAGCATATTGAAAGCATTGTTCATTGCATGACATGCTTATCTCTTCATAGGGATTAATTGGAAATTAATATTTGCATCTGCTCCAGTCTCAGTCTTTGGAATATGTGTATATCACCTAGTAATTGGTTTGTATTTAACTTATGGACACTGATTTATGCAACTTGTCTTATTTAGCCTTCCCATTGTCTGTTACATAGCACAGAACTGTATTTGTTATCCACCTAGTGCCAGTACATTGCAAATTATAATATTTCATGTATTAATCTTATTTTCATGTTCACTTTCCCTGACCCTATTATCTTTTGAATTTCTTTACATATTAATTTTAATATTATTCTATGATGCTTATTTTATTAACTATCCAAAGTTTCTCTTTTGTAAACAAGGCAGTATATAGCAGCATCTTAAAAATAAACATTCATCTATGCATTCATTTGGTAAGTATATATTGAGGACTTACATTATGGCAGAGCCTGTATAAAGTGCTGGTTTTACAATGGAGAATAAGCAGCTTCAAGGAACTTCTTTTAGAGATGAAAAGACATACTACTCAGGCAAGTCATTATAATATAATATAAGTGTTATCACATGTACAATGTCCAGTAGTAGCATAAAGGATAAACAAGTCTCTTTTAGAAGACAGATGCTGTATCAGTCATGGCCCTGCCAAGAAAAGCACGTCATATGCAAACCAGCTACTTTCCTAAGAGGTTTTTTTTTTTGTTTTTTTGGCTTTTTAAAAAATTATTTTAAAGGGCCTGGGAAAGATTTAGTAAGAGATGACATAGATCCTTGAGGCTTGTACCATCTGGGAGCCCTTGAACACTTGGACCTGAAGAGACGAAAAGAGAGGTTCAGGAATCCAAAGAAGATAAATATATAGAGAGAGCACCCTAAAGGAGAGTGAAACCAACCCTCTTTGCAAAGAGGGAGCCAAGAAAACAAAGGCTCTGAACTCCCTTGCAACCTTCTCTTCTTCTAGCTTCTGGCGCCTCCCATTGGCCAAACTTAACATGAAGCCACAGAGAAAGTGTATTAGTTTCCAAGGGCTATGGTACCACAGACTAGATAGATTTGAACAACAGAAATTTATTGTATCACAGTTCTGGAGGCTAGTAGTCTGAAATCAAGGTATCAGCAAGGTTGGTTTCTTGTGAGGTTTGTGAGGAAAAATCTGTTCCATGCCTTTCTCCTACATTCTGGTAGCCTCAGAAATTGCTTGGCTTGTAGATGGCATTATGTCTTTTCATATCATCTTCCCTTCTTTCATCTGTGTCTTTGTGTCCAAATCAAATGCTTTTATTAGGATACCAGTCATGCTGGATTAGAACCCATGCCAATGACCTCATTTTAACCTGATTACCTCTGTTATGACCCTATTTCCAAATAGGGTCGCATGCTGAAGTACTAGGATTGAGTACTTCACCATATCTTTTGCAGGGAGGGGATAAAATTAACCCATAACAGCAAGGAGTTCCAGTAATGTGGTCTAAATATTAAATAACGTTATAATATAACTTATTATCAGCAAAGATACAGCTCCACAGTTTTCACTAATCATTAATCAGCTATGTTATTAAATAAGGGAATTATTATGTTTGGTAGAATAATTTTACAGAACATTAGGGTAAAGACTTCCAATTTAACTAAAACTCAGAAGGTTTTAAGAATATTCTAGAGTCTTACTTGTTATAGATGAGATTGATTTAGTCAGTTTAAATCGTTCTTAAATTTTAAAACACTATAAACTAAATGACTTTGCAATTTTATTCAACTGTATGTTTCTGTTTCTTACCTAATAGTCATGTATCTTACCTAATAACCTATAGTTAGAAACCTTGATTTTATTCCACTTCTTTAAAATATAGAAATTTACTTTCTTAACAGTATTTCTAATTTTATTCCCCTAAGTTGTTAAAAAAAGTCATGTATCCAGAATTACTTTTGCTGTTATTACCGTCAGCTTCATTTTAAGCTATACACTTAAACTTACTGTGTAAATAATTAAATGTATGTGGTCATTTTCATAGGTTATAGAAATGATCATTAAAACCTTTGTTCAAAATCACCATGTGAAAAACTAGTGTCAGATTTACTGATTTGAATTAAATTATGCATTGAGTTTCAAACCTGTGCAAAATGAAAGCACAGTATGGCCCTCAGCATCAATCTCAACACACAAACATTCATCAGTACTATACCCCTACAATTACTTAGAAGGAAATGTAATTTGAAGCAAAAATTAATCTTACTTAAATTGCCTGCAGTTTTACCCAAAAGATACTCTGACTTAGTAGAAATCCTTAAAATGTAAGTCTCTTTTCTTTTTTTTTTTTTGTTTTGTTTTGTTTTGCAATCTGAAAAATAGCTTTTATTTTGCACTAATAAAACCATCAAAAAATATCTTTTGGAAACGACAACTCTGCTTTGAATTGACAACATAGACCAGGGGCTGGTCAACCACAGCTTCTCTATCACATCCATCCTGCTGCTTGTTTTCCTAAATAGTTGAAACACGCTCATGTCATTTATTTACATATTGTCCAAGTCTGCTTTCACATCTTTTTTTTTCCTTTTTTAAATTTTATTATTACTATACTTTAAGTTTTAGGGTACATGTGCACAATGTGCAGGTTAGTTACATATGTATACATGTGCCATGCTAGTGTGCTGCACCCATCAACTCGTCATTTAGCATTAGGTATATCTCCTAAGGCCATCCCTCCCCACTCCCCCCACCCCACAACAGTCCCCAGAGTGTGATGTTCCCCTTCCTGTGTCCATGTGTTCTCATTGTTCAATTCCCACCTATGAGTGAGAACATGTGGTGTTTGGTTTTTTGTCCTTGTGATAGTTTACTGAGAATGATGATTTCCAATTTCATCCATGTTCCTACAAAGGACATGAACTCATCATTTCTTATGGCTGCGTAGTATTCCATAGTGTATATGTGCCACATTTTCTTAATCCAGTATATCATTGTTGGACATTTGGGTTGGTTCCCAGTCTTTGCTATTGTGAATAGTGCCACAATAAACATACGTGTGCATGTGTCTTTATAGCAGCATGATTTATAGTCCTTTGGGTATATACTCAGTAATGGGATGGCTGGGTCAAATGGTATTTCTAGTTCTAGATCCCTGAGGAATCGCCACACTGACTTCCACAATGGTTGAACTAGTTTACAGTCCCACCAACAGTGTAAAAGTGTTCCTATTTCTCCACATACTCTCCAGCACCTGTTGTTTCCTGACTTTTTAAATGATTGCCATTCTAACTGGTGTGAGATGGTATCTCATTGTGGTTTTGATTTGCATTTCTCTGATGGCCAGTGATGGTGAGCATTTTTTCATGTGTTTTTTGGCTGCATAAATGTCTTCTTTTGAGAGGTGTCTGTTCATGTCCTTCGCCCACTTTTTGATGGGTTTGTTTGCTTTTTTCTTGTAAATTTCTTTGAGTTCATTGTAGATCCTGGATATTAGCCCTTTGTCAGATGAATAGGTTGCGAAAATTTTCTCCCATTTTGTAGGTTGCCTGTTCACTCTGATAGTAGTTTCTTTTGCTGTGCAGAAGCTCTTTAGTTTAATTAGATCCCATTTGTCAATTTTGGCTTTTGTTGCCATTGCTTTTGGGGTTTTGGACATGAAGTCCTTGCCCATGCCTATGTCCTGAATGGTATTGCCTAGGTTTTCTTCTAGGGTTTTTATGGTTTTAGGTCTAACATTTAAGTCTTTAATCCATCTTGAATTAATTTTTGTATAAGGTGTAAGGAAGGGATCCAGTTTCAGCTTTCTATACATGGCTAGCCAGTTTTCCCAGCACCATTTATTAAATAGGGAATCCTTTCGCCATTTCTTGTTTTTCTCAGGTTTGTCAAAGATCAGATAGTTGTAGATACGTGGCGTTATTTCTGAGGGCTCTGTTCTGTTCCATTGATCTATATCTCTGTTTTGCTACCAGTACTATGCTGTTTTGGTTACTGTAGCCTTGTAGTATAGTTTGAAGTCAGGTAGCGTGATGCCTCCCGCTTTGTTCTTTTGGCTTAGGATTGACTTGGCGATGAGGGCTCTTTTTTGGTTCCATATGAACTTTAAAGTAGTTTTTTCCAATTCTGTGAAGAAAGTCATTGGTAGCTTGATGGGGATGGCATTGAATCTGTAAATTACCTTGGGCAGTATGGCCATTTTCATGATATTGATTCTTCCTACCCATGAGCATGAAATGTTCTTCCATTTGTATCCTCTTTTATTTCATTGAGCAGTGGTTTGTAGTTCTCCTTGAAGAGGTCCTTCATGTCCCTTGTAAGTTGGATTCCTAGGTATTTTATTCTCTTTGAAGCAATTGTGAATGGGCGTTCACTCATGATTTGGCTCTCTGTTTGTCTGTTATTGGTGTATAAGAATGCTTGTGATTTTTGTACATTGATTTTGTATCCTGAGACTTTGCTGAAGTTGCTTATCAGCTTAAGGAGATTTTGGGCTGAGACGATGGGGTTTTCTAGATATACAGTCATGTCATCTGCAAACAGGGACAATTTGACTTCCTCTTTTCCTAATTGAATACCCTTTATTTCCTTCTCCTGTCCAATTGCCCTGGCCAGAACTTCCAACACTATGTTGAATAGGAGTGGTGAGAGAGGGCATCTCTGTCTTGTGGTAGTTTTCAAAGGGAATGCTTCCAGTTTTTGCCCATTCAGTATGATATTGGCTGTGGGTTTGTCATAAATAGCTCTTATTATTTTGAGATACGTCCCATCAATACCTAATTTATTGAGAGTTTTTAGCATGAAGGGCTGTTGAATTTTGTCAAAGGCCTTTTCTGCCTCTATTGAGATAATCGTGGTTTTTGTCTTTGGTTCTGTTTATATGCTGGATTACATTTATTGATTTGCGTACATTGAACCAGCCTTACATCCCAGGGATGAAGCCCAGTTGATCATCTTTTCATTAGCAAATTGAGAAAAAAATTATTTAAGACAATGAACACTTAGTATCCTAATTTTAATAAAGGTAAGATTTTTCCTAACTTAAAAAGCAAACATACAAAGTATTATAGTTTCTTTGTAAGATATTAGACTTGTAAAAGAAAATTATCTTTGTCTGCAATGAATATACAAAGAAAAACTGGGTAACATTTTATTTTGCCTTTAATTTAGACATGGTTTAATATCGACATCAAATAAGTATGATAAAATGAATATAAATATAATTATTTTATATACTAATTAATATATTCCGTCTGTACAAATCCAATTGCTTCTTTAAATTCTATTTTAAATAAGAACAAAATAGGGAGTAATAAATAAATAAAAAGCAAATTAAATGTTTAAAATTATGATTACCCCAAACTAAGTTCAAGTAAACATTATTGCTCCATTCTGCAAATGAGAAATAGGAGGATGAGAGAGAAAGTAATTGATTTGCCCCAGTCTACAGAATTAGTCACCTACATACAGTAGAATTTAAGTCCACTGCTACACTGCTCTGCCTCAGTGCTCACTATAATATTTAGTTTAGGTCTTCTTAGGGACTGCATGTTTATGTGCCTGAAATTCATGTGTTGGGGCCCTAACACCCAATACAATAGCATTAGGTGGTGAGTGCCTTGAGAAGTAATTAGGTCAAGGTGATAGAGCCCTCATAATGGGATTAGTGTCCTTATAAGAAAAGAAGGAGAGCTAACCCTTTCTAGCCCCTTCTCTTTCCACCAGGTGAGAATACAGTGAGAAGTTGGCAGTCGGCAAACCAAAAGAGGCCCCTCACCAGAACCTCACCATGTTGGTACCCTGATCTTAGACTTCCACCCTCCACAACTGCAAAAAATAAATGTGTGTTATTTATAAGCCACCCACTGTGTGGTAATTTGTTAGAGCGGCCCAGATTGACTAAGACATGTCGGCTAACTCAGTGAATCAAAAAATTTACTATAAAATAGCAGATTCTAATTCCCAGTTTTTGTCAACCATGTTTCCCACTGTTGAGGTCATTTGAGTTTCTCCTTTGAGTTTCTATACTAGTGCTTACCTTACATAGGAAGGATAAGGGAGACTCCTTTATCCTTCCTAAACTAAACTCCCTGGGAGACAACAGTGAGTGGCCACTGTTTACTTCACACTGGTTCCAGTTTCAGCCACTGGCCTTCGGCCTTCATGCACTTTTCATCCTGATAACCTGTCTAGTGCCTCTTAGGACCTGCACTCTCTACCTTTCTCTTATCTGTCCCAATCCCACTACTTCCTCTATTCAAAACTAGTTTCCTGTCCCTTCTGTGCCTACTGACCCAGCCAAAGAGTGTTCTGAGGATAACTACTTGTTCTGAACCTTGGGTTTGGAGAAATCCTTTTTTCTAGAGATATCACTTATTTTGGTTTTTCCATTGCTCCTATCTTGCAGATACACAGTGCAACTACTAAGCTAGATTTCCTTCTCCTGGGGCCTAGAGCTGGGGATTTCATGTCAACCTCTCCTGTACTGCCAATCCACTTGAGCTCTCTTTCTCAGATACTTATCCTCATATTGTAATCCTTGCTTTAGGTTCTGGTCTGTTCTGAGCCAAGCTACCATGCTCAGCCACAGAAGCTGATAGCATGTTATCAGCTTAATTACCCCTGCCACACAGAGGTATGCTCCATCTTATTTCCTCCAATTTGCAAAGAAGGAAAGGGAAGCCAATTAAAATGTCTATGAACTAACTTGGGTTTCAGTCGTCTATCAGAAATCTTTCCTTTCCTTCCTTCTCTGCCCATCATTCTCATTCTCTCTCTCTTTTCTCCCTCTTTCTCTCTCTCTCTCTCTCTGTCTCTCTCACACACACTGACATTCACATCCTTTCCTACACAGACTGAGATAGATACTATTCTTTTGAGCCCAGAAACTTCCTTCACATTTTAAATGTCTCTTCTCATCTATCTCTCTGAATAGAATGCGAGGGGACTGAAGGCAGAAAGAACATGTTATATTAATTTTTTTATATCTTCATTTGCATGGCGTATAGTACAGAGTCAATAAATGTTTAGTGGTTTAAATTTCTGAAGGTGACATGGCCAGTAATGGTGGAGATAGGATCTAAACAGAAGCTTATACCATGTTATCATCAGCTTAATCACCCCTGCCACACAGAGGTATGCTCCATCTTATTTCCTCCAATTTGCAAAGAAGGAAAGGGAAGCCAATTAAAAAGTCTATGAACTAACTTGGGTTTCAGTTGTCTATCAGAAATCTTTCCTTTCCTTCCTTCTCTGCCCATCATTCTCATTCTCTCTCTCTTTTCTCTCTCTTTCTCTCTCTCTCTCTGTCTCTCTCCCATCATTCTCATTCTCTCTCTCTTTTCTCTCTCTTTCTCTCTCTCTCTGTCTCTCTCTCACACACTGACATTCACATCCTTTCCTACACAGACTGAGATAGATACTCTTCTTTTGAGCCCAGAAACTTCCTTCACATTTTAAACGTCTCTTTTCTCATCTATCCCTCTGAATAGAATGCGAGGGGACTGAAGGCAGACAGAACATGTTGTATTAATTTTTTTATATTTTCATTTGCATGGCATATAGTACAGAGTCAATAAATGTTTAGTGGTTTAAATTTCTGAAGGTGACATGGTCAGTAATGATGGAGATGGGATCTAAACCAAACTGTGTCTGATTCTAAATTTAGGGTTTTTTTTTTTTTTAAACCCAAAAATACTCTATAGTCCTAGGGGAAAAATAAATATTAAATTAAAAATAAAATCAATAAGTTTGCTTTAGTTCCATTTATTTATTTACCAATAGAAGGAGGGTTACTCTGGTGTCTTAATCTTGTAAGTAAATTTAGGGTAAGCAATGAAAATCTTTATTCTCAGAGTATTCTCAAACTTATTAGACTAAAAGATGAACTTTTTAAGCAATCTGATATAATAATATATTCTGGAAGAATACTTTTCCTTCAAATATCTGTCTGACCTAACTTCCCTAAATCCTACTATTACTGATGTGTACTTATAAATTAAGGTTCTCTGTTCTGAGATTCATCTATTAATATTCTTGTGAATAATATCACTAATAGCTTATATTTCATATATTTAGTGTTTTAGAGTTATATAGCAAGTATTTCACCCTAGGGCTGACTAGTAGCCTGTATGCACCATTACTATAGACCAAATAGTTTTCATTGTTGAGTTTTACTGGTTGATAACATATTTTGATTAATATCGCTTCTGACAAAGAATTTTTCATTTTGATTTTTGGTTATTTGAAAAAGCTTAAGAGGAGGGAAAAGCAGACCTCATTATACCAGTTTTATCAATATGGAATTCAGATCTCAAGGAGATGAAGTAACCTTCCAAAGCAGCATATTAACTATGCTGCTTAATAAATCTTAAAAATATATAAGCAAAAATCTCCAAAAAGAGAAAACAGAAAGATATCCCCAAAAATTGTCCCTTTCCAAATTTTGCCTTAACCCCCACACTATCTTCAAAATCTATGAACTCTGACAAGATAATTCTTCCAAAATGTCTTTGCTTGTGATTTTGAGTCTCAATCATAAGAAAAATATAGACCATGTCATTAAAATTGAAAGTATATGTTCTAAAGGCAAATCTAATTGGCAAAATAATTAAAGATCACAGGCATGATTAGGAAAGTAAAGACAAGTAGAATTTAGTGAAGTTGCCCTTAGCTTTATGGAATTCAAAAGTTTAATAGAGACAAATGTGGCAAGAAATATCCTACTCTTATGATGAATTAAAACACAGTAAAGACTGGCATCTACTTTTGAGCTTTAAAATAAAAAGCAGGTATTTTCCTCCTTCATTCCAGTGGCATTAATGCTTTTTAAAGTTCTCAAGATCCTTTTTCATTCAGCATAAAGAAGAAAAAGAAGTTCACTGTTATCTATTAACATATTGTTTTTATCTGGTTCAATGCATCCAAGAACACCTTTCCTAAACATGTCTTTGTTTTACTACACACTAACTAAAAATAAAGCAGAATACACTGTCTCCCTCCCTCATGCCACCACTTTATTCTTTCAATATTTATGAGCTAATTAGTCCCTAATTAGGTAAATAATAAATAATGACGGCAAATCAGAGCCCAGGTAAAGCCCAATTTTCATGATTTCATTAAACAATTAAGAAGTAGAAACTAGCATGAGTTCTTGGTGGAGGTTTATTCTAATAGTGATTCTGTCTGATGTATTTTATCTGAAAAGCAGGCTCCTGCTCACCTAAAATATGTCAAAGTAATAAGGAAATATTGTGTAATCTGCAGGGAAGGCGTTAGAAATTAATGATGACTCTGGAAAAATCTAGAAATCAGGAGTGTGTAGAAACCAAGTCATTTTGATCAAATCCAAATGGTGTCTTTGGCGGAATACCAAATTAAAATAGACAAAATGAAAAGTACCCACTTGAATTTAAAAACAGATGAACATAAATATTTTCTCAAAAGTTAAGGTCTTAAGGAAATCTAGTATTCCCCACAGCTGTCAATCACTTTTGATGTTTCATTATGAAGATTTACTTTTTGCAATTTTACAGCACCATCAATTGCAAATAATCAATTATAAATCTCTTTGTTTTCAAAACTGGGTTTATCTTTAATATTTTCTACAAATTTGCCAAATTATCCCAAACCAAAGGTGATAAATTATAGATGTGACAGTTTTACAGTATTGTGTGGTTATTTTAGATTCCTCATAATAAAGATATGTAACATGCTTCTGGATTTTCCTGTTTTTCACATATTTAATTTCTTCTTATCTGTATTTCTATGTCTAATCTGTTAAACATAATAGAGACGAATTAAGACAAAATTCTGCAAACAAAGCAAGACTGACCTAGAAGTCAGAGTATTTGGGTTGAGTTTTGACTCCAGTGATTACGGAATCTGTAACCAGGTAAGGCTTTTGCTTCTCAGCTCTTTTTTTCAGAGCAGTGAGGCAAATCAGGTGCCACTCCTAAATCATGGGCTTAACTCATGTTTGAAAACACTTTATAAATCATACAGCACTGAACACACTAAAACAAAAATAAACAGAAGCCTGCCTTAAGTGACATTGTACAACAGCAACACAACATTAGCTTTCAGTAAACCTGAGCAAATTTAAATTTTTTAATATGTCACTTTGTGGCTTGGGGAAATGATTGTGTTTTTATATATATATATATACATATATAGTTTTTTTTTTTAAAATAAAGGGTGCTTTTTTGAGTGGCAAAACTATTGGCTATTACACAATTAGTAAGGACTATACATTAGGCACTTTATGATGTTTCATAGTTACAGAATCCTAATATGAATTCTAAGAACAAATATTTTGGGGTAAAATTTTAGCCAATGAACCTCTTAGGTTCTTGGCTTCCAAGATAATTATGATCTAAAGAATACTCTTCATGCTCATACTAAGGACCTTTCAAAATAACAAAGTTTAACTTTAATTAATTTCCATTTTCCAAAAAGTGAATAAACTAAGCACTTCCTGTGTGCTAACAAATTTAAATTTTGCACTGACTCTGTGTGGTAGGTTCTATTATTAACATAACCATTTGACAGGTAACATAAATGATAGAATGGACAAATTTCCATATCTTTCCCAAGGTCACACAGCTAATAACAAGTCAACAACAGGAGTTACCCAGACATCCTGGATATAGCTGGGAAAAGAAGCAAGGATAGACAAAAAGACTAATGGTGGTGGTGGTAGACAGGTTTTTCTAAAAATGGAATTTTGGATATAAATGCCAAGAAATATGGGGTGTAGTTTCTGGATGTAAAATTAAAGAAATGCTAACACACATACACACACACACACACACACACACACAATCATCACATGAAAAAAACAGCAATAATGGTCATGCTTACAATTGTATCATTACTTCTACTCCAAATTCAGTTGTTTCACATGAATAATCTATGGCAACAGTGAAACTGAATAATCCCTGATAAATTTTTCTTCTTATTGACTCTTCCCTTTGAACTGGCACTGTTATTGCTACTTCTTAAATGTTTCTCTAATTTGTTCTGTTCTTTTCTCATATCTCCTTCTACCATTCCTTAATTGCTTAATTAATTGCTTTTGTTTGGGGCCTTGAAATAGCCTTCCCACTGAAATAGGGGACTCTGCTCACTTCAGACTCCTCTGTTGCTATTGCCATTATTGAGTCTTTGTAATGCCTTCAAGGTTATCTTTGTCCATAAATCTGATCCTGGTACTCTACTAGTCCCGTGTTTTTAAAGAACACCCTCTGTTGTCCTCAGAATACAATTCAGTAGCCATTGTGTTGTGTAAGTATCCCCTACTTCCCTTCCCCTTTAATTTATCTTGCCCTTTCTTCATCATATGGACCCTCTGTCAGCCACACTTGCCAGTACCTCAAGCATACAATTCTCTGTCATTCTGATTTTTTTGCCTGCTAGAATAATTTTTGTCTTGTAGTTTACTTTGTAGGCTCTGACACTTTTTTTTTCAAATATGTTCCAACATGACATCTCTGAGGCTTGGCACGGTGGCTCACACCTGTAATCCAAGCACTTTGGGAGGCCAAGGTGGGCGGATTGCCTGAGCACAGGAACTCGAGGCTAGCCTGAGCAACACAGTGAAACCCTGTCTCTACTAAAATGCAAAAGAACAGCCAGGCGAGGCAGTGTGCACTTGTGGTCCCAGCTACGCAGGAGGCTGAGGCAGGAGAATTGCTTGAACCCGGGAGGCAGAGGTTGCAGAGAGCCGAGATCGCACCACTGCACTCCAGCCTGGGCGACAGAGCAAGACTCCGTCTCAAAATAAAAATAAACCAACCAAACAAAAGACATTTCTGAGATGCTTTTCCTCATCATAATTAATCTTTCTCTCCCCTATGTTTCCATAACACTTTGTTCATATGATTTTTAGCACTTGCCTCATATTAATGATTTGTTAAATACAATTTACTTGACTAGACTGTAGGCTCTTCAAAGGCGAGGACCACAAATCTTATTATTCTTAACAAAACAGAGGCTAAAACAATTGTGGTCATGCTCTATAGCATAGAAATGTGAAGCTACAATACTTTATTGCTTTTATGTTTGAGCAGACAAAAATGTTTCAAGATAATATTGATCATTCTAGCAGCCTTCTATGTGGGCATTTTTGTTAGTTTACTATAACTTTAGAAAAGAATGTGATTTCCAACCTTTAAGCTATTAAAAATTTGTTATTGTAAAATATAGCCAATTATAACATAAGAATCATTTACAGTCAATTTTTTAACTAAATTGAGAGAAATTATAATTATGGAGCATGGCTTTAATTAAGTGTGTTCATTCTATCTATCATCTCTTCTTGGAATGAGGCAAAATCTACCCTTAAATTAAAACAAATAATCAGAGTTTTATATATGTTTATTTATATCACAACATATGGTACTAAGGCACTTCTAAACTGAGTATTAAGAGATTATCCTACAGTACTTGTTGTCCTTGAGCCAAAGACAGTGGTCAGAATCTCTGTATTATTTTCATTTGAACCAGTGTACAGTATTCTGAGTTTTTTATAGAAAGGATATTTTTATTATGCACCATTTAATTTATTTAGGCAGTGCTTAACCCGCACTTTTCCTTGCAAATGGAACTTTGTGAAGAAAAATTTGTGTAATTCATTGAGATACAAAACATTCCAAGGAATAGGTTCTCTTTTCTCTTGTAAACTGCCCTTATTCAAAGTGGCTGTGAGACAAAGGAGGTGGCATGAACTGGCTCTAGAGAACATGTCACTGACAGAGACAAATGAGTCTTAATGAGTTCAGGGGAATTCTGACAGCTAAGATTTCGAGCTCTGAGGAAAGAACTACTGCATGGAGGACACAATTCTGAATCATGCCAGGTTCAGAGTAAGCTTTGCAGAAATCAGCACAATTGATGTGTATGGTGTGTTTGTTTTTCTGAAAAGCTTTTTACTTTTGTAGAAAACATTGCACATTTGTAAAATGAGGACCAATTAGAAAAGTAAAAATTCTTACTTGTTCACTATAACTCAAAAATATAATCAATCCACAAAAAAAAACTCATAAAAGCAAAATCATCTAACTAAAATCTTAGACTCCAAGTCAGTTCCTTTCTCTCTCCTCTGAGTTTAGGCTTATTCCAGGGAGCTGCCTAATAAGGCCGGTTCATGGCACCTGCTTTGTGTCACCGCCACTTTGAATAAATGTCATTTCCAGTTTCTGTAACTATAGTGATATGATGATGCCCAGCTCTTCCTTTGTCAAGGATTCTGATGACTGTCTCATATGTACTGACTAGCCTTTCCAAGGTAGGTGATACCCCTTTAGTTAATATATGCATTAATTTACTCCAACATTCTGTAAGAAATAGAAAGTGTTTTTATTATGCCAAAATCCTATGTGCCCACTGAATGGCCCATAGCTATACCATATGGAGGGCACAGCAAGAATTGGAGAAAGGCTCTCCCTTCAGGCTAAAAAATATAGGAAAAAAAGTGTTCCCATAAAGAGCAGAGGCTGAGCTGGAGTTCAGTTTTTTCTCACCTCTCAGGAAAGGGCTTTTTATGTGTTTTGTAAACTACACAATTCCTAGTGGTGACATTGTCCCAAGAAGACAAAGAGACCTGACAATAGGGTCATTAGTGGAGTGCAGCAGGGCACAGTTCTGTGGGCTCGAAGCCATCTGCTAAGTGGGCAGTGGAGGGGAGAAGAGAGAACAAGGATTGGCATAATGTTGGCACCCAGCTTTAAGATGTATTATCTAAAAGTTTTTGAGATTTATAAGAAAATCCTGTTCTACTGAGCATAGATTTCTCATTTCAGCCACCTATTGATTACTACCTAATATCCATATTGTGCACTGCAAGATGTTGAGCCGGGTATGGTGGCTCATGCCTGTAATCCCAGAACTTTGGGAGGTCAAGGTGGGTGGATCACCTGAGGTCAGGAGTTTGAGACCAGCCTAGCCAACACAGTGAAACACCCGTCTCTACAAAAAATACAAAAAGTAGCCGGGCATGGTGGCAGGCGCCTATAGTCCCAGCTACTCGGAGGCTGAGGCACGAGAATCACTTGAATCACGGAGGCAGAGGTTGCAATGAGCCAAGATCCCGCCATTGCATTCCATGCATTCCAGCCTGGGCAACAGAGTGAGACTGCATCTCAAAAAAAAAAAAAAAAAAAAAAAAAAAAAAAAAAAAAAAAATTAATACAGGGGTTTGACAGAGGTTTGCTGTGAGACCATTTCTGCCTGAAAATTTAGAGCAATCCTAAAGGGCTCCTGAAGTGTATAATGTCATAACTATTAATAATATGTACAATATGTCAAAGACCAATTGTTAAGCAATGGCCTGATAAAAGTTTATGGAGGAAGATAACGGAGACAGACTTATGAATGTAGCTTAACAGCCTATACGAGATTCTAAGCCAAAAAAAAAATAAACATTAGGCTCATCTTGTATCAATTTGTTAAGCGAAACTGGTTGGCATAAGTGATTTTGATAATAGAAGAGCTAACCTGCTAACCTTATATTTTGAATTCATTTGCTAAATAGCCAAGGTGAATTAATTACAAGCATATAGTTTCTTTTCAGAGCAGAGGGAGAAAAAAGGTATTAATCCAAATGGAACATTTCTTCCAACCTATAAAATTAAAAATGTGAAAAACCAATTTAAGAATAACAACATACTTTAACAGGCACATACATTAATCACATGCCCGACTTGAAAGCTATTGAAACAGTAAGACTTGGCAATTCTATCCACCCAAAATAAAACATCAGCATTCTTCTCAGAGTTACAATTTATATGCTGTGAAATTAAATCACGCACTATAAAACCAAAAACAATAGCAATATGCCTTTATTTTAAAAAATGCAAATCATAGGATCTTTAAATAAAGTAAAAAAATAAATCAGTGCTATTTAGACCCTCTTACATTGAAATATAAAACTAGGGACTATCTTATAACACAAACATAAGAAATATGTTTGGCCCTAATTTATATAATGGAAGAGAACGTCTTAATATATTATTTGATGATATCTTCTCAAATGAGAAATATAATAGAGAAGCAGGCTGGGCATGGTGGCTCACACCTGTAATCCCAGCACTTTGGGAGGCCAAGGTGGGCGGATCACTTGAAGTCAGGAGTTCGAGACCAGCATAGCCAACATGGTGAAACCCCGTCTTTACAAAAAATACAAAAATTAGCTGGGTGTGGTGGTGGGTACCTGTAATCCCAGCTACTTGGGTGGCTGAGGCAGGAGAATCGCTTGAACCTGGGAGGTGGAGGTTGCAGTGAGTTGAGATTGTGCCACTGCCCTCCAGCCTAGGGAACAGAGCCAGACACCATTTCAAAAAAAACACAGAATGAAAGGAACAAAAAAGAAGACAGGAATATAATAAATATAATAGAGAAGCAAATATAACTCAATAAGTCTCAGTGTTCATTGTTCTGCATCAAATAAATATTTTTAATACCAAGGAATTTTCCATCATCTTTTCAGTGATAAAGTTAAACAATATAGTCTGCAATATGAAAATATACATACAGATTATATGCATTATATACACTGATTATTTTTAATCCTTTCTGGTAATCCGATTCCTTCAGACTCTTAAGTCTTCAATGTCTTGTAACAAGGGTCTCTTAATGAAAAAATCTCTCAGTTTTTGTCTAACTAAAAATTTCTTATTCACTTTTACCAGTTAAGGATAATTTCTATGGATACAGAATTCTGGTTGACAGTGTTTTGGTTGTTGTTTTTTAGTTTTGCTCCCCATCCCTTTAACTTTAAAGATATTATTATATTGTTTCTTGTGAAAACTCCACTTTCATTTGTATTCTCCTCTCACTCTATGTAATTTCATCATTTTCTCCTTCATTTTAGATTTCAGCAGTTTGACTATGATGTGTCTATATATGGTTTGGTTTTCTTCCTTTGCATTTATTATTTTTGGTGTTTACTGTATTTTTGGATCTGTAAATTGATGTCTTCTGGGAAGTTTTCATCTAATTTTCCTTTAAAACATTTTTTCTGCCCCAATTCCTCTCTCATCTTATTCTAGAATTCCAATTACATTATGTTAGACCACTTGCATTGTTTGTGAGTCCATGCTCATTATTCTTCCATTTTTTTCTTCTCTTTCACATGAGAAAAGTTCCATCTTCAACTCAACTGACTTTATTTCCTGTCACCGCCAATCTTCTTTTAAACCCACACAGTGTTTTCCTTTTTTCATTTCAGTTACTGCATTTTTCAGCATTAGAATTTTCATTTCATTCTTTTCATGGCTTATATTTCTTTGTTGAGATTAAATTCTGTGTGTATTCATTATATTCCTTTTTCCCATTAAGTCCTTGAAAATGTCACTTCTCTAACATTCTTGTGTGCTAATAGAAACATTTTAATTATGTCATTGTCACATTCTATCCAACTGCTTGTTTTCTTGAGTATAGGTTAATTTTCCTGTTTCTTCATGTAGCTACTAATTTTTAATTGAATAATAAATAGTAATAATAAATTGAAAGAAAATCTGGATTTTGTTATAATTCTCTGAAAATACATTTTATTTCAAGAGGTGGTCAATTTCGCTAAACTAGAACTCCAAGCTCAGCATCCCATAAGGTTGGCAGCAGGTAAAGTCGCCAATCAGTTATTACAGTTGCTAACAGCTGCTTTCCCCTGTTTCCCTGCAATTGCATGCACAATTTCTCAACCAGCATGCATAATTTCTAGGTCAGATGAAGTTTTAGGGAGATTTTGTACTAAAATTTGGGTGTTCCATCCCTTCTGAGGATCCCTCCTTCTCAAAGGATTTGCCTTTAAATTTGTGGCTCTTTTTCCAGTTCTAAGGTATGCCCTCTGACAGCCCAGGCTGGTAATGCTGCAGCTTTCTGTTCTCAAGACTGTAATAGGGTACTGCCTTAGGCATAAAAAACAACATCACAAGGTGCAGTTTCTGTCTTTTCCAGTAAATCTTATCTCTGACTAACCTCAACTGCCCTCAATTTTTAAAAAAAATATTTCTTTCAGTTTATATGATAGTTATCTGCTAAAGTTTTACCAAGTAAAATCTTCATTATTAAATATTTTACATTGCTATTTAAGCTATTTTCTGGAAAATCCTGGTACACAGCTGATTATGCATTTTTTTTTGTTTTTTTTTAACAATACCTCTGTTTGAAAACATTTGCCAAACATGTTAGATATTGATTCTCCTGCAAAAAGGTTGGTGTTTTACTGTTGTTTGTTTCACTAATTTAAAGCAACTCTAAGTCTTTTTTTTTTTTTTTTTTTTTTTTTTTTTTTTTGAGACAGAGTTTCGCTCTTTTGCCCAGGCTGGAGTGAAGTGGCGAGATCTCAGCTCACTGCAAACTCTGCCCCCGGGTTCAAGCAATTCTTCTGCCTCAACCTCCCGAGTAGCTGGAGTTACAGGCACCCGCCACCATGCCTGGCTAATTTTTGTATCTAGGTCTTTTATTCACTCTGTTACCTTCCTATCTTCTTCTCTTCTTACTTGAGTATTTGATCTGGTCCTTCCCTTTTTCCCAATCACTCTTTGTGCTGTTAGCCATTTGACTACAACTATGTAAAGAACCTACAGAGAATCACCTAGGAAACTGAGAATGTCAATTTTAAAAGATAGTACTGACTTTGTAGTAGACTCCAAGGTCAATGGATCTTTGACAGAAAGTACCGTCCTTTGGCTGTGATATGAAAGGAGAATTAGTATTATTGATTTAACAGTCCTAGTAGAGATTATACTCTCCTTCTGTGCAATAACAGTTAAAAAAAAAAAAACAAATCTGCATAGTTAATCTGTGTTAAGAAAGGGGTGCAAAATCATTATTAATGCCACTAACTGATTTCTAAAGTATTCCTAATTCTAGGTGAGCTTTCAAAATCCAAATGAAACTAAGAAGTGATCTTCTAATTCCAATTCCTATCATATACAATTTAGAAATATTAAATTCATACTTTTAGTAGTAAATTAAGCAATGGGTTTAAGGTTGGAAATAGAGATCCTCTAATTGCTGTGATGCAAAGATCTCAACTTTTAAGTATTACATTTAAAATAAAATTAAAATATCCTCTCTATCCAATCATCATAATAATAAGAAGCATGTATTGTATAACAGCTAAATAGAAAGTAATATCTAAGATGGTCTCTACGTACATTACTATTTATTCTACAATTCCTTGAGGTAAATACTTGTCATAATTTTGCTTATTAGGAAATGCAATTTCGTGAATCTAAATCATTTGCCCAAGGTTACATAGTAAGTAAGTGATGGAACTAGGATATGATATAACTATATATCCCATGCTCTTTCTAAATGCCTGATAAAAAGGCTTGGTCTGAGTTTATTTACTTCATTTGCAATAGTCAATGAATGTTTTTAAAAGAGCTGTAAGATTAAAAATACCCAAATTGTATAAAGAGGTCAGATGATACATCCAAATTATAAAATCAATGTACATTATCGAATTGACATACCAATAGAAAACACACACACACAAATTTAAAAAAAAGATTTCTTGTAGCAAGTGAAGAGCCAAAGAAAAATCATGTTTATTAAATTGCACTCAAAAACAATTTTAAAGTATTCCCTGGTCCTGGAGTGATTTGCTCCAATTGCTAGTTTCCAGGTTTCAGGTACTGTGAAATAAGATTCCTAAGTCACATGTTAATTTTGTACCAGTGGGCTCTCTTTCCTTTCTCAATGAAACAATCGATATTTTTCCCCATCCTTGTCTTCCTAAAGAACCAGATTTGGAAAGAAAAATCAACTGCTTAAGATTTAAAGCGTAGGTTCAATACTTTCTATTTGTAACTTAGCAGCAGTCACACAAATCTCAAATTCTACTAAATTGATTCTAAGCATGAATATCTGCATCTGTCAAATGCGGATGATAATATCTACTTCTTAGACTTATTTTATGTATTAAATCATACAGCTTCTGCCACACAGTATATTTTCATAAAGCTTAGTTGCTTTCTTTTCTCCTTCCTTATTTCCATATGGTCTATTGTTATTTACAAAACTTTTTATTTTAAAACTTTAAAATGAGATTATATATAATAGAAAATATTATTAAAGTAGAAATAAAATATTATTAAATATTTTAAATAAGGCCGGGTGTGGTGGCTCACGCCTGTAATCCCAGCACTTTGGGAGGCCGAGGTGGGCGGATCACGAGGTCAGGAGATTGAGACCATCTTGGCTAACACGGTGAAACCCCGTCTCTACTACAAAAAACACAAAAAATTAGCCTGGCGTGGTGGCGGGCACCTGTAATCCCAGCCACTCGGGAGGCTGAGGTAGGAGAATGGCGTGAACCCGGGAGACGGAGCTTGCAGTGAGCTGAGATCGTGCCACTGCACTCCAGCCTGGGTGACAGAGCGAGACTCTGTCTCAAAAGAAAAGAAAGAAAACAATATTTTAAAAAATATTATTTTAAATATTTTAATAAAATATTTAATATTATTATTTTAAATATATAAAAATAAATGTACAATTCCACTATTTGAGTTGAATATAATCATTTTCATACACACATATGCACACATATACATACATACATATTTTTGCATAATTCTAGGCAAACTAAATGTATAATTTTTTTACTTGCATAAACAGCATAAGGAAATCCCATTGTTTTAAATTGTGAGATATATATATATATATATATATATATATATATATATATATAAAATGTTTATCATTGTCAGGATAGGCCTTAGTTTACTTAATCAATCTCCAATTTTAGGGTATTTTTGTTATTTTCAATTTTACATAATGATAATAAATGCTGTAAAAAACATCTTTGCAAATAGTGCTATTTATCTCTTTTGTTGTTCATTCAGATAGAATTTAAATATTGAATTAAAGCAGTATACAAATTTTAATGCTCGAGTTTCAACTGCTTACTGACTTTTTCAGAGACTTATGCCAACAAATATAACTACAAAAAATGTATGAGTGATTTTTTCCATGTAAGTACTCCAGCTTTGACAGCTCTTATCTCATAATCTTCTGCAAAAATGAATAAAAAAATACTGTCTTACTATTTTACTGATTTTTTTTTTTTTTTGAGAGAGAGAGAGTCTCACTCTGTCATCCAGACTGGAGTGCAGTGGCATGATCATGGTTCATTGCAGCCTCAACCTCCCCAGGCTCAGGTGATTCTCCCAGCTCAGCCTCCCAAGTAGTTGGGACCACAGGCACACAACACCATGCCTGGCTAATTTTTACATTTTTCTGTAGAGACAGGGTTTTGCCGTGTTGCCCAGGCTGGTCTTGAACTTCTGTACTCAAGGGATCTACCTGCCTTGGCCACCTAAGGTGCTGGCATTATAGGCAGGAGCCACCATGCCTAGCAGATTTTTTACAATTGAATTTCTATAATTTACCCTGTGTTTGTTATTTCCATGTATTTCATAATATGTAAATAGCACATTTCCTTTATTGTTTGCATTTTTCTAATGGCATTTTATTTACTTTTTTCTAATTGAGCTGTTCAAACTCTACATATCATAATTTTAACAATCTGATAATAATAGCCAATGTGTTCTCCTTGATGAAAATAAGTCACTGTGTATTTACCTTTAAATTCTAGTAGGCATTTTCAATCGCATGTTCTTAAAATTTACAAAGAAAAAAAGTATGTCTATAACATGAGGTGAGAGTATGTATTCTATTTGTCTTTCTTCTATATAATGGAATACAACTGAAATCCAAAGGGACCGACTTATCCTGATGAAACACACAAAACTTATTTAGTGCTCACCACAAACTTATTTTAGCCATGCAGAAAAAAGAAAAAAAATATTAATCTAAGAGGAGAAGACCTAAACTATTGCCCTATTACAAACTGAAAAAGAATTTGTGGGCTGTACTCCACGTACAATGGTACAAAATGTTTATAGAAATTAATGTATAGAAACTAATGATGGCAGTGTCACGTTGTATTTATAATTTTCCCTTAAGTGCTTTCCTAATTCTGAAAAAAAATGCAGCAAATTATTGATGATCAAGTTGTACATTATCACCAGATCTCCAGAGCTCTGTTCTCTAGTTATCCTGAACATGACTTGCCATGCGCTGCATAGTGTTACCCTGCCTTCTTGTACACTCCTAGAACACCTAGCCCCGTCCCTGTTTAAACCTACCTGGCCTCAAATCTGTTTAATTATCCCTTCCTTAAAGATGCCTTCTATGATCCTTTTGTACTTGGTTAAGTTAAATTGCTGTGTTCTTTCATTGAATCTTGAACTTGTAACCATTGCACTTATCACACTTTATCATTTATTTTTTGTCTGTCATTCCCAGTAGGAAGAGAATTAAGCAATGGTTTAAAACATGTAAAATACTGAACAGAATTACAAAATCTGTAACACATAATGTGCATTTAACTTTGAGATCTTCAAATATTTTCTTTTACAAAACTTAAAAAACAGAACACTGTGGCTTACTGATGTATCTTTTCTTCTTCTTTGGGAAGGGGATAAATAGTAATTAAATCCTAAAGATAATGGGTAAAAGAAAAAGTATAGAGAATTCATGAAATGCAAATTCAAATACAGAATAAAAACAAATAACCACAAGTTAATTAGCTTAAACATAATGAATAACTTTAAATCTTTCCCTTGATCAGCTGTGACTTTGAAACAAGAAATAAGCTACTGAGTTGCCACATTATAACGTAAACATATTTGTGGACAGAAAAATATAAAACACTGAGCAATATATGTTTAAACCTACATTAACCATAACATAGATTAATTAATTAATTAATATATTTTTCTATAATTCCACTCAAGTGAAAGAGCCAGATAACTGGAATTAAAATACGAATTAAATGTTTAGTCAAATAATGTTGAAAAAATAACATGTCATTAAATTCAGGTTAAATTCAGTCAAATTCTTTCACACATTTTTCCTTCCTAACCAGTCATATAAAGGCTGAAACTACACACAAGCAATGTCAAAATAACCAATTACTGTGCAATAAAATATAGTTTTATTCTATAGTATTCATAATGCTCCAAACTCATTTTTGCAATTTCCCAATAAGTTGATTAATGCTTTTTCTTTGTATTTTGGACAAGGGTAAATATTTCTGATCACATCCTGGTATTTGACTCTGCTGTATGTCAGAATTTTTTTTCTGGTGCATATTTTTTCTTCTTACATATCTGTTAACATAGTTTTAGCACTATTTTTAGCCAAGGAAAAGAAAAGTTAAAAAAAAAAAGATTTTCAGATTAGCAGTTCTCTGGGAACATTGCTGTGCTTTCTAAGGTGTTACTTTGATGAATACTACAGTGGTGACAGCGAGCAGACCAGCAAAAGTGTTGCTGAAGGACAAATGCCCTCTAATAAACATAGCTAAGAACTACTACACACAACAGGCGTGAAATTCACCCACGAGGACTGACTTGTCCTGTGTACTTTCCAGTGACAGGATTTCTACTGTTTAGGTTAGGTTTGTGTTTCCAACAGAGCTTAGCTGAAATCACAGATTTTGATAAAATTGGGAGAAGCTATTACACTGAAATATTTAACATCACTTAAAAGAAAATGCTATAGTCAGTGTATGTTCAAGCAATTGGAGACTTGTTCCATATGGGACAGATTGAAGCTGTTTTTAGAATATGTTTCATTGAATATAAACACACAATAGAAAGATACAGAGGTATGCAACCTTATGCCTTTGTGTTATAATTCTAAAGTATGACAACATTTTTAACCAAAGCCAGCTATGATTACATTTTGAATAGAAGATGGTCCCCAAAGTTGCCAACTGACATCTTACTCTCCCTCTCTGAGAAGTAATATGCATTTAATTTTATGTTCTTTTTATACCCATAAGGCATGGACAAACATTTTAAGTTTATATGTGTATTCATAATGATTGTTGCTTCAATGAATTTGGTAAATTAACAAGAAAGCATTTCAAAATGAAAATGACAATCAAAACTAATATGTACCAAGAACCAAAGATTTACTTTCAGAATTAGGAAAATTAATTACGATCTATCTATAACATAGAAGGAGATAAAAAAAATAAAAAAATAAAACCTCCCCAGAAAATATTGGGAAAAAGCCATTGGAATTTTGTTTTCTTCCAAACTATGATATACTATGACTTGCTTTAGAAATGACATCTCATCTGTCATTCCAATTCTGTTACAAGATTTTATCTTCTTGCTAGGATATACACCATTGAAAATATAATCTTATACCTTGAAACCCATAAACATTTAAAAATAACTATATAAAGAAATTAATGAGTAAACAAATAAATGAATAAATTTGCTGTTTTTGCTTACTTCCAATCCAGCTCTAAATAATCCTCCAGATGTATGGCAATCAATTAAAATTTCCTAATCCTGGTAAGCTGAATATCAAGGAAGTACAGCTTCCATACAATGTGTATTAAATCACTGAGGTAATAGAAATGCTGGCACCATTTTTAAAAGCCTATGTAAAAATCTAAACACAGGAACATGTAAAAGTCCTTCTATGCTCATACTGCTTATTTCCTTTCCAGCCAGGGCTTAAGTTATTTTCTGTGACATAGTTAGAGATACTGCATATTATGCAAATACTCTTGCCTAAATAATTCTTAGATATTATTTTTATTTCACGAATATGATCAATATATAAAGCAGATAGAGAAGAGTCATGGTGGGAAGGTGAGTTGTAAAGAGATTAAGAGAAGATGGGTACAAAAAAAGGGGCAGATTAAATATGTATGGCTACATTTTCTGACTTATAATTTCAACTTCCATTATTCCATGATTTTGAAATTGTTTAAAACAAAGGGCATCAAATACTTATCTGCTTCCAAGAGTCTGGAGTACCTTAGCATTCTGAGGAATAAAATGTATTGGTACTATCCATGTACCATAGAAAGAATGCCTTTTTAGAATATACTTATTTTGCTAAATAAAAAATAATGTATGTACAGATTATTAAATATAAAGTAGTACAAAGTTCAGAATGAATTAGTTTTCATTATCCTTAAGAAATAAAAACCTAGTAAATCACAGAGAAATTTCTAGAATCTTGTTAAATCAATAGGTTAGTTTTCTATGTAAAGATGAGTTTCTAGAATTTTAGGTTTTCTACTTGTTCGTATTTAGAAAATCACCAGTTACCTCCTATTTGACAAAGCAAATGGCATCTTCTGAATTTTTTTTTAATTATACTTTAAGTTCTAGGGTACATGTGCACAATGTGCAGGTTTGTCACATATGTATACATGTGCCATGTTGGTGTGCTGCACCCGTTAAATTGTCATTTACATTTACATTAGGTATACCTCCTAATGCTGTCCCTCCCCCCTCCCCCCATCCCACAACAGGCCCCAGTGTGTGATATTCCCCACCTAGTGTCCAAGTGTTCTCACTGTTCAATTCCCACCTATGAGTGAGAACATGTGGTGTTTGGTTTTCTGTCCTTGCGATAGTTTGCTCAGAATGATGGTTTCCAGCTCATCCATGTCCCTACAAAGGACATGAACTCATCCTTTTTCATGACTGCATAGTATTCCATGGTATGTATGTGTCACATTTTCTTAATCCAGTCTATCACTGATGGACATTTGGACTGGTTCCAAGTCTTTGCTATTGTGAATAGTGCCGCAATAAACATATGTGTGCATGTGTCTTTATAGTAGCATGATTTATAATCCTTTGGGTATATACCAGTAATGGGATGGCTGGGTCAAATGGTATTTCTAGTTCTAGATCCCTGAGGAATCGCCACACTGACTTCCACAATGGTTGAACTAGTTTACAGTCCCACCAACAGTGTAAAAGTGTTCCTATTTCTCCACATACTCTCCAGCACCTGTTGTTTCCTGACTTTTTAATGATCGCCATTCTAACTGGTGTGAGATGGTATCTCATTGTGGTTTTGATTTGCATTTCTCTGATGGCCAGTGATGATGAGCATTTTTTCATGTGTCTGTTGGCTGCATAAATGTCTTTTGAGAAGTGTCTGTTCATATCCTTTGCCCACTTTTTGATGGGGTTGTTTGATTTTTTTCTTATAAATTTGTTTAAGTTCTTTGTAGATTCTGGATATTAGCTCTTTGTCAGATGGGTAGATTGTAAAAATTTTCTCCCATTAGGCAGGTTGCCTGTTCATTCTGATGTTAGTTTCTTTTGCTGTGCAGAAGCTCTTTAGTTTAATTAGATCCCATTTGTCAATTTTGGCTTTTGTTGCCATTGCTTTTGGGGTTTTAGTCATGAAGTCCTTGCCCATGCCTATGTCCTGAATGGTATTGCCTAGGTTTTCTTCTAGGGTTTTTATGGTTTTAGGTCTAACATGTAAATCTTTAATCCATCTTGAATTAATTTTTGTGTAAGGTGTAAGGAAGGGATCCAGTTTCAGCTTTCTACATATGGCTAGCCAGTTTTCCCAGCACCATTTATTAAATAGGGAATCTTTTCCCCATTTCTTGTTTTTGTCAGGTTTGTCAAAGATCAGAGGTACCTTCTGAATTTTTAACTCTTCACAATATGTGGGACACTGTTGACTATCACCTCCTTCTTGAGACACTCTTCCCCTTTCACTCTGCTAGTAAAATATCATTGGACTTCCTACTGTAATATAGACCCCATTTTCTCTGACACCTCAGATGTGTTTTAGCTTCATTCAGAATAAATATGTATATACTTTAATGCTCCGTGTAATCTTCATTTAAGCATTACATACATACTCTCTGCTTCAATGATGGTTTATTTACCCAATTTAACTCATTACAATGTAAATGATTTGTAAATCTGTATCTACATTTGTAACTTCACCTGTAGCCTACAATGTTACATTATAATTATTTGATAGACATTTTCTCCTCAAGATTTCCAGTATCTTCTTAAAGCTCAACAAGTCTACAAATAAATGCATAACAATTCTTCATGTCCAAACCTATTCCTCTTCTTTTCTTCTGTTTTCTTAATGTTTCCCACATTAAATTTAGACTCCAATTGGCCTACTGATACATAATAAAAGGAATTTTCCTCAATACTTTCTTTGCAATTTATTTTATATATCACTTTTTTTTCATTTCTACTTCAAATCAGCAAGTTTTAAAAATTTGCCTTGATGTTTAAATGTTGCAAATGCTTTATAATCAGCTTCTATATTTACACTTACCACAGTGTAATATCCAAATTCTGGACCATTTAGAAATTCTACAATGACACCTAAAGTGACTTTCCGGACACAGCTCCTAAAACTTATCTGTCTTTCTTTGCTTCAAAGAAATTAAGACTGATGATTCCCTAAGTGATTTTTCATTTCCCATCTTAGTTCTATTACTTCGTTTCTTTATAATTTCACTTTTATTAATTCAAATAAAATTTCCTCCATAATATTTTACATCTCTGTCTCTCTCTCCTTTCCTGTATTCTTGGGGGATTTTGCTTTATTAATTTATAACGCACCTATCCTATATGGCTTCAATGTTGTTTATAATAGAATCATAATCTCTCAGACCAGAAGACACCTTAAATATCGTTATTCCAACTATACTATGCTATTTAAAATGATCTTGTAACATGGCAGTTCAATTCTTCAGAAACAAGTTGTTTTCACGAGTAGAATACTTTACTTATTAGAAAAGTATTACTTATATTGAACCAAAATCCTCTACAGATTTTCAAATGTATGTTTTCAGTCCGCATCGTCTTAGTTTCCCTCTCTTCTATGTCTCTCAGTCTTCATTTCTGACTTGAACTATTTCATTAACCTTTTAACCGGTCTCTATGATTCTCTACATTAGTACAATTTTAAGAATGCACATTAATCATGCAAATGATTTTACTAAAATATTCTTATGACAAAATCTTTAATAGGTTCTTTATTGCCAACTGAGTAAAATCTAAATTGTTAATCTTTTAATAGATCCTTCATGATATGTCTCCAACTATATTGACAGAATATACACGACACATTGACTATATGAAAGAAGTAAAGAAAAGGAGGCTAACTCATACATTTCTGGATTGAGCAATGAAAGACAAGGAGCTACTAGAATAATAAAACACATTGGAAGGGATAATTTGTGAAGGTGAATTTCTGATTTTTGCTCTATTCAATATGACTTAGCAATTTATATTAAAGTAGTAAAGTAAGTATTGACAGAAAATACTAGCGGAGAGAGTATCCATTTACTACTAGCGGAGTATGCGTTTAATACTAGCGGAGAGAGTCTGCAAGATCAAATTAGCAGTCACCCTACTCATTTCAGGCTGAGCTTTAATGTAGAATTTGCTGCTCACCTATCCTCTTCATATGAGTTATTCCTTATCTATATTTAACAGTTTACGTTCTGAGCCCAAGTGCAGAACAAATATCAATGTATATTAAAATGTATCTCATTTGATTTAACAAGTCATTATTTTGTACTGCAATTTTTTAGGTTCTGATACTGTGTGTCAAGCCATTTTTTTAATACATCAGAGATATGTGTCATCTGTGAATTTGATAAGCAAATATTCAATGTCTTCATGTAATAAACATATAAAATGCTATAATGGATAGGTCAGAGAAAAGAGACATTCCACTAGAAATTGCCTTTCAGACTGATATTAATCCTTTTACGCAGAGATTATATTGATATGTTAATCCAATATTTACTAGTAAATACACTATTAATCACCTATTCGTATCTGTCTTGCCACAAGATGATTTTTCAAATCACTATTTGTGTTCTAGATATAATACATCATATCTTTTCCTTTGGTTGACCAGAATAAAACATTATCAGAGATATAACAGGATTATTTTAATATTACATGCTCAAGTAGTAAAATATCATAAGCCTCTACTAATTTCCTTTATTCAGATATTTAATAATTGTGTTTTAATAATTAACTCTAGAATTGCCTAGGTTTTATTAACAATCTACTGATACACATTTCTTATCCTGCCAATTAACTTATAAACTTAAAAAAAACACATACTTTCTGTATTACTTTACTTTTTTTTCACCAAGACTACAATCAATGCCCTAAATATAGAGTAAGAATTCAATGAATATACTTTATGTAAATGAGTTTTCTAAGCCTAGATTTAACACAAGAAATAAATGATGATCATCTGGATTAAGAGATGATATAAGAGTTTCAACTTTGTGTGAATAAAGAGAAAAGTCAATGAACCTCTTATTTATCAACAGCCCTTCATGCTAAAAACTCTCAATAAATTAGGTACTCACGGGACATATCTCGAAATAATAAGAGCTATCTATGACAAACCCACAGCCAATATCATACTGAACGGGCAAAAAACTGGAAGCATTCCCTTTGAAAACTGGCACAAGACAGGGATGCCCTCTCTCACCACTCCTATTCAACATAGTGTTGGAAGTTCTGGCCAGGGCTATCAGGCAAGAGAAGGAAATAAAGGGTATTCAACTAGGAAAAGAGGAAGTCAAATTGTCCCTGTTTGCAGATGCCATGATTGTGTACATAGAAAACCCCATTGTCTCAGCTCAAAATCTCCTTAAGCTGATAGGTAACTTCAGCAAAGTCTCAGGATACAAAATCAATGTACAAAAATCACAAGCATTCTTATACACCAATAACAGACAAACAGAGAGCCAAATCATGAGTGAACTCCCATTCACAATTGCTTCAAAGAGAATAAAATACCTAGGAATCCAACTTACAAGGGACGTGAAGGACCTCTTCAAGGAGAACTACAAACCACTGCTCAATGAAATAAAAGAGGATACAAACAAATGGAAGAACATTCCATGCTCATGGGTAGGAAGAATCAATATCATGAAAATGGCCATACTGCCCAAGGTAATTTATAGATTCAATGCCATCCCCATCAAGCTACCAATGACTTTCTTCACAGAATTGGAAAAATCTACTTTAAAGTTCATATGGAACCAAAAAAGAGTCTGCATTGCCATGTCAATCCTAAGCCAAAAGAACAAAGCTGGAGGCATCACGCTACCTGACTTCAAACTATACTACAAGGCTACAGTAACCAAAACAGCATGGTACTGGTACCAAAACAGAGATATAGACCAATGGAACATAACAGAGCCCTCAGAAATAATGCCACACATCTACAAACATCTGATCTTTGACAAACCTGACAAAAACAAGAAATGGGGAAAAGATTCCCTATTTAATAAATGGTGCTGGGAAAACTGGCTAGCCATATGTAGAAAGCTGAAACTGGATCCCTTCCATACACCTTATACAAAAATTAATCCAAGATGGATTAAAGACTCAAATGTTAGACCTAAAACCATAAAAACCCTAGAAGAAAACCTGTGCAATACCATTCAGGACATAGGCATGGGCAAGTACTTCATGTCTAAAACACCAAAAGTAATGGCAACAAAAGCCAAAATTGACAAATGGGATCTAATTAAACTCAAGAGCTTCTGCACAGCAAAAGAAACTACCATCAGAGTGAACAGGCAACCTACAGAATGGGAGAAAATTTTTGCAATCTACTCATCTGACAAAGGGCTAATATCCAGAATCTACAAAGAACTCAAACAAATTTACAAGAAAAAAGCAAACAACCCCATCAAAAAGTGGGCGAAGGATACGAACAGACACTTCTCAAAAGAAGACATTTATGCAGCCAACAGACACATGAAAAAATGCTCATCATCACTGGCCATCAGAGAAATGCAAATCGAAACCACAGTGAGATACCATCTCACACCAGTTAGAATGGCGATCATTAAAAAGTCAGGAAACAACAGGTGCTGGAGAGTATGTGGAGAAATAGGAACACTTTTACACTGTTGGTGGGACTGTAAACTAGTTCAACCATTGTGGAAGTCAGTGTGGCGATTCCTCAGGGATCTAGAACTAGAAATACCATTTGACCCAGCCATCCCATTACTGGTATATACCCAAAGGATTATAAATCATGCTACTATAAAGACACATGCACACGTATGTTTATTGCGGCACTATTCACAATAGCAAAGACTTGGAACTAACCCAAATGTCCAACAATGATAGACTGGATTAAGAAAATGTGGCACATATACACCATGGAATACTATGCAGCCATAAAAAATGATGAGTTCATGTCCTTTGTAGGGACATGGATGACCTGGAAACCATCATTCTCAGCAAACTATCGCAAGGACAAGAAACCAAACACCACATGTTCTCATTCATAGGTGGGAATTGAACAATGAGAACACGTGGACACAGGAAGGGGAACATCACACACCGGTGCCTATTGTGGGGTTGGGGCACGGGGGAGGGATAGCATTAGGAGATATACCTAATGTAAATGACGAGTTAATGGGTGCAGCATACCAACATGGCACATGTATACATATGTAACAAACCTGCACACAGTGCACATGTACCCTAAAACTTAAAGTATAATTTTTAAAAAAAGGTAATGGATGAGTTTTTCATTTTAATAGATGATTTCTAAAGTTTTCATTGTGAAACACATATATTTGGACTTACCTAAATGTTAGCTTAAACTTGAAAATGTGACCATCATCTTCAAAAAGCATATTTAATCCATTGTGGTAGCAACAATAAAAATTCACAAATCTCCCATCTGCACTTGCTTAGAAGAGAAGTATAAAACTCATTTGTATATTAAAGTTTTCTTTAATGTAGTTTCTAGGAAACCATTCATAAAATCACAGCTGCAGCTAATTTCCATTTCTATGGATTTTGCATTTGTTAGAAATAGAGAAAACCGATCATACTATTTTTGAAAGCCATGCACAGAAAGCCAAATTACATAATCTTAAGCATACAGATCTTAATAATTCACAAAATGACAACTCATTATCCCTATTCTTAAGGAAAACTCTGATGCATATTAGCATTTTATAATAATCCATTATATCTATCTACTTCGCTGGCCTAAATTTTGGGAAGTCACTTCATATTCAGTGATACGCATGTCTGATTGTGAGAATTTTCTGCCCAATTTCCTGGCTAGGTATTACAATGAAGAATTGGTCAGTAAGCACTAATAGACAGCAAACTAATGACGAAAAAAGTGAAAAATATATTATGCTCTTATCTATTGCACATCTAATGTCATATCAAGCACATGAACAAATGAAAACAAAAGCAGACTTCAATAAAATCTCCCAACCTTTTTTTTTTTAGTTACATGTAGAAATATATCCAAGAGTTTAAGTTTCTAGACAAAAATGAATGATATCCCAAGATACTAATAAAACTCTCAATGTCAACAAGGACATGATATATTTGAGCAATCATGGAGAATTAGAAAATGATAGAAGATTAAAGATGGATAAAAGTTTTCTTTATTTTCAAAAAAGAAGGTAAAATACTGCCTCACAAAGGGCATTGTTTATTCAGATTATAATCAATATCATAATACGAAATTTCATTGCTAAAGGAAACTTTCATATTATATTCTACTTAGCAGTAATACCTGTTTCCAACAATTATCTTTCTGGTGTTTTATCTGTACAATTTTGTGATTGTGGAGGATTACTCCGAACAACTCTATAAAGGATTTATAACAAAAACAATCTTGAATATAATGAAGAAAATTTTCCATCAATTAACTACTGTTCAATTACGTATAAGGTATAAAAACTGTCTGGCTATTTTTAAAACTAATTTAACCTATTATTTGTAATTAGCCAAAATGGTAATAGATTAAGATGCACAATGCCATTGGTTTTATAAAAGAATATATCCAAGCCACAGGATAAATTGAAAATATATACACAGTGACCATTAATTGTCCACTCTTAGAAATTTTTGCCACAATTTTAATTACACCTCAGGATTATCTTATATTCTTTGAGAGAAATTCATGAAGGAGATAGTGGTTAACACAAGCAGATTCATCCTCAAATTTTGCATCTGAGCTTGAGCTAAGGGAAAAGCTGGTCTATAAATAACATCTTTGGCGAAATCTGTCACATATCTCCAGAAACTGCAAAGGCTTCATTAAATCTGACTTCTCCATTAACTTCAGCAGCAGTACATTCCCTCTTTAATGTACTTCCCATTTCTCAAACTGTGAATTTATAATGAAATGATTGTTTACATAGTATACCTTAAAAAACAGGCAGCCATGAACTCGCATAATATGGTAGTCAACAAATTTAACAGTATTTTATTTCAAGTAGACTTTAAAGTTTTCCTTTGCAGTGCAGCAATATAATGCAACTGTGGAACAAAAAACTTATCATGTCCACATATTATTTTAGTATTATTTATTTAGTATTTCCATCTATAAGTATCATCAAGAGAAAGTCCTGAAGTCTGCTCCTTCATTAAACAGGACAGACTTCTATGGTAAAGCTATCATCATTGCATTTGATTTTGGACTGGAAATGTAACATCTGAAAGAGCTTTTTGCTTTTAAAGAGTTAACAGCTTCAGTAAGCATAATTGGAAAAGTCTAGAAACATGGTATATATTTTACTCATCCACTCAAAAATAGCATTTAGCTTACAGAAGTGAAATCTCAGGAGGGTCATTACAAATTTTTGTAAGCTTATCATTAAAATTCGTAACTAAGAGTTGTGTTGAAGACAAGCAAATTTTGGTTCAATATAAGGATAAATGGACTCTACATGGCATAATGTATATGATAAAAGGAAGACACTGGGAATACGAAATCTTTTAACAGTAGATGGAGACACAAATAGGAGATCAGATAAAATAAGAATAACATTAATCACAATCAAAGTGAAGTTCAGAAAATTGCACCTCAAAATATGCCATTTTGATATGCTGATTACTTCAAACTCAGAGCACCTGGGAAAAGCACAAGCATGAAGGGGCTTTCCCTGAACTCTGCTTATTTACCTAAAGAAGTCACATCCTCTGCCTCCTCTGAAGGAAAGAAATGTAATTGTCCTAAATCACCTGCCCAGAAATCTCATCAATCAGGAAAGATTAACTCCTATCACAGGAACGGTGACTGGGGTGGACGTCCATCCAGACAGATGTTGTCACAGGCTGTCACATATTCTTCTGAGGCCCCATTCATCTTTCTCAAAAATCATTTACCGTCCCCTAGATTGGCTACATCCTCTCTTGCTTTTCCCCTAAGAAAAGGGTATATGTAAGCTTCTAGATCTCACTGAGGCTGTGAGTAATCATTTTTTGGTCATATGATGCCCCTGGACACACTATAAATGCGTATACTGTTTTTCTTGTTACTCTGCCTGCTGTCAGTTTACCTTATAGACTCAAATTTATCACTCAGATGATAAAGTCTTCCTTCCCTTACAAAATAATATAAAGTTGTCCCTTGGTATCCATCCCCCACCCATAGGGTATTGGTTCCAACATCTCCCATAGACACCAAAATCCACAGATGCTCATCACTGACATAAAATGGCATAGTATTTGCATATAACCTATGCACAGTTCCTCATAAAATATGACATAGTATTTGCATATAACCTATGTGCATCTGCCCATATACCTTAAATCATCTCCAGGTGACTTATAATACCTAATACCACCTAAATGCTATGTAAAGAGTTGTTATACTACATTTTTACTTGTTTTTTAATCCTTTCATGCTGTTTTTTATTGATTTTTTCAAATATTTTTCATTCTCAGTTGTTGAAATCCAGAAATACAGGACCCATGAATGGGAGGGCCAACTGTACCTGGAAGTCACATATGCCCCTTACTCTAAGTATGGCAAAAGTGAAAGATTCTATTAGTCATATTCTCCCACCATCTGTTACAGATCTGTGTTTCTTACACATTAAATTATTACTAAATCCCAACATCCAAGTTAGCTATGGAATTCCTGGCCTTTCCTCACTACAGCACTGGCTCATTTCAGATTTTAACCTTTTCTCCTTCACTGATAGTTCATTGCAGAGTCCAGATAGGCCAAAATGAAGTTCTAAATTTTGAATGAGTCAATAAGCAGTTATTGTTTATTATCACTGACAGATAGGCCCATTGAAATAATGATTAGGTATCTTCATAAAATTGTGACTACCCATGCATTAAGTACTCATAATGGGTAATTAGAAGTCACAGACATTCTCAGGTTAGGAGGAAGGTTGAATTAGAAGGCTACTAAGTTCCCTTATAATCCAAATATTCTGTTTTTCATGACCCTGATAAAATGTAATCTATCAAGCTATTATTAAATAAATGTATTACCATCTTGCCCACAGTATTTACACTTAATGAAAAAATAAATGTAATCCCTCCTAAATGGAACCTAAATCCATTTAGGTTCAGGCTTGATCTGAGAGAAAAGGCCTCAACCTAGGGTTATTATAATTGCTCTCTTCACTACAGAAACAATGTCTGATAGATCTGAAAACCTGGTTGAAACAACTAACAAAAGCTATTCCACATTACTTAGCTAGGCCCCCTACAGCCTAATCCAACCTGTGGGGATTCAGGATAATACTTAAGGCAAGCAGGAGAAAATCAACAAAACCAGTCATATCGGGCAAGGAGTTATTTAATTGCCCATGAATAATCAGTGTATGTGAAATTTTGCTAAGGGCAATTTGACCTTAAAATGTGGTTATCTGATCTGAAAAACTTTCTAACTTTCTTCTGTATTAAAGAAGAAGGGGTGAAATACATACAGGAGCATCTCACCCCTTCTTTGACAATTAAGCTTTCTCTGAGATTCATGGAGGCTCAGAAACTATGGAGCTCAGGCATAAAATGTAAATAAGAGATTTCCTTTTAATGAAACACATTTTACTGCTGTTTTGATATGGCTGCTCCAAAATCCCCCTAGGGCAACACACCCAAAGCAAAATATTCTAGGAAATTATTGCTAGAGCAATCAGACAAGAAATAAATAAGGGGCATCCAGATTGGAAAGGAAGAAGTCAAATTATTCTTATTTGTAGATTATATGATTTTATATTTGGAGAAACCTAAAGACTCCACCAAAAAACTAGCAGAACTGATAATTTCAGTATAGATGCAGAATACAAAATCAACATACAAAAATCAGTAGCATTTCTATATGCCAACAGTGAACAATATGAAAAAGAAATAAAAAAAGTAATCCCATTTACACTTGCTACAAATAAAATACAATACTTAGGAACAAATTTAACCAAAGAAGTGAAAAAATCTCTATAATATAAACTATAAAACACTAATGAAAGAAATTGAAGAGGACACCAAAAAATAAAAATATATTCTATGGTCATGGATTGAAAGCATCAATATTATTAAAATGTCCACACTACCCAAAGCAATCTACAGAATCAATGCAATCTTTACCAAAATACCAATGACATTCTTCAAAGAGCTAGAAAAAAATTCTAAAATTTATATGAAGGCACACACATACACAGAGACACTAGCCAAAACTATCCTGAGCAAAAAGAACAAAACTGGAGGAGTCATATTACCTGACTTCAAATTATACTACAAAGCTATGGTAAGCAAAAACAGCATGGTACTAGCATAAAAGCAGAGACATAGAAAAATACAACAGAATAAACATACACACAGAGACACTAGCCAAAACCATCCTGAGCAAAAAGAACAAAACTGGAGGAGTCATATTACCTGACTTCAAATTATACTACAAAGCTATGGTAAGCAAAAAAAGCATGGTACTAGCATAAAAGCAGAGACATAGAAAAATACAACAGAATAAAGAACCCCAAAATAAATCCACATGCCTACAGTGAACTCATTTTCAACAAAAGTGCCAAGACGATACACTAAGGAAAAGACAGTCTCTTCAATAAATGGTGCTGGGAAAATTGGATATCCATATGCCAAAGAATGAAACTAGATCCCTATTTCTCACCATATACAAAAGTCAAATCAAAATGGATTAAACCCTTAAATCTAAGACCTCAAACTATAAAACCACTAAAAGAAAACATTAAGGAAACTCCCCAGGACATTGGACTGGGAAAAGATTTTTTGAGTAATACCCCATAAGCACAAGCAACCAGAGCATAAATGGACAAATGAGATCACATCAAGTTAAACAGCTTTTGAACAGCAAAGGAAACAATCAACAAAGTAAAAAAGACAACCCGCAAAATGGGAGAATCTATCCTTCACCTGTTTATTAATACATTACCAAGGAACTCTAGATGTCGGCATAAAAAGTGAGAACCTATGATAACATCCCATCTTTTCTCCTACTAAAATTACCTTGATAAGGCCATTGTTCTCTGCCTATAACTTGAAGTCCTTTTCTAATTCCTTCATGTTATTAGTCATATTTCACCATGACTATACATAAACTCCTTTATACCCTTGAGCTTCTCTTTATAGCCCAAAATCTCTTGAATGACATTGTACTACTATAACATTCATCCTTACATTCCTAGATTCCTTCTTCCATTTTCTCCATTCCTATTTAATAATGTTTCAAGCTCAGAAGATGCAAAGATGAATGTTTTAGTCTCCTCACCCCAAGAAGCACATTTGCCTTAATTGCCTCTTACTGCTTTCAAAGGTTCATTCTCAAACTCTCTAATGCACTGTTCCCCCAAACTGATTCTTTCCCTTATATTCTTTCCCCTCTATGTTTCTTCTCCCATCAATTCTTATTCTTATTGTTTCTCATATAATTCTGTGTGAATAGCGAACACTATTCTCCTAGTGCAGTTCCCTCCCTGAATTGCCAACAGAAAGATGGAGTTCATCTTTTGGAGATCCTATTGACACCTGAAATATCACACGTTTAAAGCTTGACTAATCTCTCAAGCTTTCCTTCTACCTACACATGACTTTGGACTTTCATAAAATTTCGATTTCCGTTCTCTTGTCACTTCAATATCCCCTGATAATAATCTGTCTCACTTCTCTTTTGAAAGACTTACAACCTTCAAATATCACAGGAAAATTCAGTGTCATTTTTGTTTCAACCACAATTAATGCAGAAATATCAAATCTTCCCAATTCCTCCCAAAGCTCTCTGCTGTTCACATTTGGAATTTGAAAACTTTTTTTTTAATTGTCTTTGTTCTTATTTTGCTTTTTCTTTCTTATTCTGTTTTCTTCAATGCAATACACATTGATCTGGAAACCTAAAATTCTCAACGGTTCTCGTCACTGAGCCATGTACATTTTTAGTGGGAAACAACTGCAGCTTTTACATTTTCAGTTGTCAACTGCTTTTGTAGTGCTGCTGACTTCTTGTTCTACATTACTGGGCAGACAATTCAGAATAAAAAGTTTTATTTCATCACATATTTCTTCCAAATTGCTTGAAATGCTTTATCATTGCTCCTAAGTAAAGAATACAGAAATACCCTCATTTTATGGTGCATGGCTTTATTGCACTTGGCAGATACTGTTTTTGTTTTTAAATAAATTGAGGCTTTTGCAACCCTGCATCAACCAAGTCTACTGGTCCCACTTTTAAAACAGCATGTGCTCCTTCATGGCTTTGTGTCACTTTTTGGTAATTCTTGCAATATTTCAAACTTTTTCTTTGTTACTATATCTGTTATAGTGATCTGTGATCAGTGATCTTTGATGTTACTAATGTAATTTCTTTGAGGTGCCATGAACTGCACTCATATAAGACAGCAAACTTAATAGTTAAATGTTGTGTGTGCTCTGACTGCTGCACCAACTGGCCATTGTTTCATTTCTCTCCCTCTGATTGGACCTCCCCGTTCCCTGAGACACAACAATATTGAAATTAGGTCAATTAATTACTCCACAATGGACTCTAGGTGTCCAAGTGAAAGGCAGAGTCACATATCTCTCATGTGAATCAAAAGCTAGAAATGATTGAGCTTAGTGAGGAAGGCATATTGAAAGCAAAAACAGACCAAAAGCTGGGCCTCTTATGCCAAACACTGAGCCAAGTTGTGAATGCAAAGGAAAAATCCTTGAAGGATATCAAAAACTCTATTCCAGTGAACACAGAATTAATTTAAAAAAAAAAAAGAGAGAGAGAGAGAGAGAAACAGTCATATTTCTGATATGGAGAAAGTTTGAGTGTTCTGGATAGAATCAAACTAACCATGATGTTCCCTGAGCCAAATCCTAACCCAGAGTGAGGTGCTAACTCTCTTTAATTCTGTGAAGCCTGACAGAGGTGAGGATGCTGCAGAAGAAAAGTCTGACGTTAGCAGAGGTTGGTTTGTGAGGTTTAAGGAAAGAGGCTGTTTCCATAACATAAAAGTGTAAGATAAAGCAGCAGATGTTGATGTAGAAACTGCAGCAAGTTATCCAAAAGATCTAGCTAAGATAATTGATGAAGGTGGCTACACTAAAAAATAGATTTTCAATGTAAATGAAAGAGGCTTAAATTGAAATATTGGAAAAATATGCCATTTTGAACTTTGATAGGTAGAGAGAAATCAATGTCTGGCTTTAAATCTTCAAAGGACAGGCTTACTCTCTTTTTAGGAGCTTATGCAACTGGTGAACCTAAATTTAAGCAAATGCTCATTGCTCATTCCTAAAATCAAAGGGCCCTTAAAAATTATGCTCAATCTACTCTGCCTGTGCTCTACAAGTGGAATTTAAAAATAGGCCTGGATGACAGCACATCTGTGTCTATAGTATTTATTTATTTATTTAGATACAGGATCTTGCTCTGTCACCCAGGCTAGAGTGTGGTGGCATTATCATAGCTTATAAGATCACTGCAGTCATCCCATCTTGGCCTCCCAAGTAGTTAGGATTATAGGTACATACCACCACATCCAGCTATTTTTTTTTTTTTTTTTTTTTTTTTAGGGATGGGATCTTGCTAGATTGCTCAGGCTGGTCTCAAACTCCTGGCCTCAAATGGTCCTCCCACCTTGGTCTCCAAAACTCCTGGGATTACAGGTATGAGCCACCACACCCAGCCTACACCCAGCCTACAGCAAGCCTATGGTTTGCTGCATATTTTAAGCCCACCGTTGAGACCGACTGTTCAGAAAAAAAAGATTCCCTAACACGGCTCACTGCTCACTGACAATACATCTAGTCGCCCAAGAGCTCTGATGGATATGTACAAGGAAATTAATGCTGTTTTCATGACTGATATCAAGGCATCCATTCTGCAGCCCATGCTTCAAAGAGTATTTTCAACTTTCAAGTCTCATTATTTAAGAAATATATTTCCTAAGTCTATAGCTGCCATAGATAGTGATTCCTCTGCTGGATCTGGGCAAAATAAATTTTAAACCTTCTGGAAAGAATTCACCATCCAAGATGTCATTAAGAACATCTGTGATTCATGGGATGTCAAAATATCAACATTACACAAGTCTGGAAGAAGTATTCCAACTTTCATGGATGACTGTGAGGGGTTCAAGACTTTAGTGGAGGAAGTAACTACACATGTGGTAGAAATAGCAAGAGAACTAGAATTAGAAATGGAGCCTGAAGATGTAACTGAATTGCTGCAATATCATGATGCAACTTGAGAGCAGAGAGTCATTTCTTAAGATGGAATCTACTCATAGTGAAGATGCTGTGAACATTGTTGAAATGAGAACATGAAGATTTTGAATATTTCATAAACTTAGTTGCAAAAGCAGCAGCACTGGCAGTGTTTGAGAATACTGACTTCAATTTTGAGAGAAATTCCAGTGTGGGTAAAATGTATCAAATAACATTATGTGCTTCAGAGAAATATTTTATGAAAAAAAGTCAATCAATGTGGGAAACCTCATTGTTGTCTTATTTTAAGAAATTGCCACAGCCATTCCAACCTTCGGTAAACACTGCCCTGATAAGCCAGTTGCCATCAATATTGAGGCGGAACTTAGACCAGCAAAAAGATCAGGACTTGCTAAAAGTTTAAATGATGCTTAGCACTTTTACCAATAAAGAATTTTTTAATTAGGGTAATTACATTGTTTTTAGACAATATTAGCACATAGTTTATAGTATAGTGTACACGTAACTTTTTTATATACCAAACTGATACAAATTGGTTTTATAGAAAACCAAAACTATTGGGTCACTTGCTTTATTGCTATATTTGCTTTATTGCAGTGGTCTGGAACCAAACCTGCAATATCTCCAGGGTATACGTATATAATGTTTGTATGCATTCTTGTTATTTGATAATATGTTAATTCCTTAGTCATATACTGAAATTTTATGTATTTTTAAAAATTTATATCTATATAGAACCAGAGGAAAGTGATTAAGCAAAAAGATAACTTCCATTTTAACATCATTTATAAAAATTACCACAAGCCTACAATTTCTAAACGGTCATATTTCATAGCTCATCATTATGTAGATAATTATAAATAGGCATTTCATAAGTAGATTAACCATTAAATCTTTGTTAAAAATGGGACAATTTTGAAAATTTAAAGGAGACCCTAAATATTTTAAAAATATATAATTTTTGAAATAGTGATACATTGACCAAAAAGTTGGTTTCATTGTATTAACAAAATTAAAAATTATCCTGTCCACATTATTTTCAAAAACACAATTATATTTAACAAATAAAAACAATGTGTTTATATTCATAAAAAACTAAGTATAACAAAAATTATTTGTATATATTCACACACTTAAATCAACTGCTCTATGAGTCTAATGCTGTTTATCTAGTAATAATCTGAAGACTTAACACAGTCATATTGCTTTTAGTATTTTTCATATTTTCTTTAAAGATTCATTTTCTGGTTCGTAAATACGACACTGCTTAAACCTTCCATTGGCTTTTCTCTATAGCGTGGAAGTTTTTTAACTGAGGAAATAAAACCTCTTTACAAATGCTAAGGTATCTGCTAAACTAATATCAAATTCTAAACTTTTCATATTCAGGATGTGCAATTCAAACATTTTTGCAGATTCTGTCTTTGTTTCTACTTAGAGTGCCTTTCTTTAACAAATTTTTTTTAAAGAGAAAACATGCTGAAATGTCATGCCTTCTTAATTTCATCCCAATCAGATTTATATTTTTAAAAAACTTTACTTAAATATAGGAAAGTTATTCATTCAAATCAAGATAGTCCAAAGCTTTTAAGCTATGGTAATTTAATATGTTTAGTTGATACTTAATTTTATAGGAAATCTTTATGTTTTCCTCTTTGCACACTTTTTTAAAAAATAATTTCTATTCATTGAATCCTCCTGAGTGTAATTTTTTGGCATATTATTTATTGAATAATTTGATTAAAATTTCCAATTCATCTTAAACAAATGCAATCAATTTAGAGTACTTCTAATACCAAAAAAGTTCAATACCATTATGGCACACTTAAGTTGACTTCTAAAGTCATTCTTCAAAGGCTAAAATATTTTGTAAATCAGACTTTTAGTGGGTAGCAAAAAGAGAAAATGTGTATTACTAAGATAAAATACCTAATTTTATATTTAACATTGCATAGAAAAGAATTTGACTGGCCTTTGTCCCTGGCTCCTGAGAAAAAAGAAAAAAAAAAAACCCAGGTAAGACGAGTCTCTTTGTTATTTATGAGCCCCTTGAATTACGCTTGAGTTTATGCTAAGGAGATATCTCAGGATGGGGGCTGGTCACTGAAATGATCAATAATGTGATTAGAAAATTGGGGCTTTGAGTTAGCCTGACTTCCAGGGATAGGACAGGGTTACAGATTGAGTTCAATCACATGTCCGGTGATTAATCATACTTACTTAACAAAATCCTAACTCTGGACATGGAAACTTCCCTGGATGGTGAACACATCAATGTGCTGTGAGGGTGATGCACTCTAATTCCATGAGGGGAGGGCTTGGAAGCTTTGTGTTTAAGACTTTGCATTTGGCTGGTCCTGGTTTTTATTCTTTATAATAAAACTGTAATCATAAGTATAGTGCTCTCTTCAGCTCTGTGAATCATTCAGTGAAGTATCCAACTGGAGGGCGGTCATGGGAAACTACCACATTTTTAGTCAGTTGAACAGAAGTACAGGTGGCCTGGTGACTCCCAAATTTGTGGCTGGCATTTGAAGTGATAACAGTTTTCTTGGTGGCCCTGTCCTTAAACCTGTGGAGTTTGACACTAACTCTGGAAGGTTAACAACAGAATGGTATGTCTGTCTACACATTTTGTGGTTTCATAATGCTTTATGTGTATACCTGTCATACCTTCCCAATTTACCAAAGTGTGTTTTCCTAACATCTTTCTCTTGATATCCAACAGCAGAATGATATCAGAGAAAAAACCCTAGAAAAATCTCTTGATTTAAAATTTAGGTAAATTCTAGCTGGGTGCAGTGGCTCATTCCTGTAATCCTAACACTTTGGAAAGCTGAAACAGGAGGATCACTTGAGCCCAGCAATTTGAGACCAGCTTGGCCAACACAGTGAGACCCCATGTCTACAAAACAAACAAACAAACAAAAAACCCTTAGGTAAATTTTATACACAAATAGGCACACACAGAAAGACACATATACAAACACCAATATGAAGCTATTAATGAATATCTGGGTAAAAATAACAGGCACAAAGGTAATTCCTTGAGATGAATCCTGTGATTTAGAATATTAAGAATGTGAGAATTGTCAAAGTGGAAGTGATAAAAAGACTAAAACCAGAATTGCCACTTTTTCTTTCTACACGTCACTCAGAAAAAAAATTGCTTAACAAATGTACGCAAAACCCTCTTGAATAGATGATACTTCATGTAAATTGAATGGTTTCCTAACACCAAGACTGACACTTTGTTCTCAGAATGGACGAATAATAAAAGGCAACATTAATTTGAATTAAGCAAAATACATAGGATATGTGATGGACCATTTAAAACTAGAACTTGAAGAAAGGACATATTTAGCATAAACCTGAATTGGAGAATTCTGTACTGAAACATAGTTTTGTTTGTAGAAACAAATTCATATAAACAAATTGTAAACATTTTGAAGTTTTTTTCTGAAACAGTCCCTTAATAAACCTAAGGTAAATTTAACATTTATCA
This sequence comes from Homo sapiens, assembly GCF_000001405.40. NCBI lineage: Eukaryota > Metazoa > Chordata > Mammalia > Primates > Hominidae > Homo > Homo sapiens. The sequence continues at coordinate 45,563,105 of NC_000005.10, forward strand.
TACCTGGATTTATCTTTCTTTTTTATAGTGAATATATGTAGTGAATTTAAAATATATAGTGAAGGCCGGGTGCGGTGGCTCACGCCTGTAATCCCAGCACTTTGGGAGGCCGAGGTGGGTGGATCACCTGAGGTCAGGAGTTCAAGACCAGCCTGGCCAACATGGTGAAAACCCGTCTCCACTAAAATTACAAAAAAATCAGCCAGGTGTGGTGGCGGGTGCCTGTAATCCCAGCTACTCGGGAGGGTGAGGCAGGAGAATCACTTGAACTTGGAAGCGGGGGTTGCAGTGAGCCAAGATCATGCCACTGCACTCCAGCCTGGAGGACAAAAGTGAGACTCCATCTCAAAAAAATAAATAAATAAAATAAAATAAAAAATATATATAGTGGAATCCCTATAACATTTCATTTATGAATTGAACAATATGTTGAAAGTGATATAAGATTTACAAGTATAAGACTTACAATAGAATTCCTACACTGAGAGGAAACAGTGTTAAGTATTCTCATATCAGGAAATTAAGATAATATAAATTATTTCTGAAACAATTCTAACAACACTTCACATCATTGATAAAATGTTGAAAATGTTAAATTTATTCAACCTCTTTTTAGTGAATTTACAGCAATTATTTAATGAATAGTCATCATATACAACACTTTTTATAAGGTGCCTTACAAACATTTTGTCTAATTCACCCAATAACCCTGCATTTTGATCATTTACAGCTGAAAAATCTGAGTCCCAAAAATATATAAGTCCACTTCCTATTTTTGAAGAGCTTTCTTCTCCAATTTCTATCTATGTCAGTTTCATTTTGATTTGATACTAGTTCTTCCAACTATGCCCATAGGTTAGAGCAACATTGTAGCTGTGAACTTACAACTGAGGTGACATATGACACCTGAGCAAAACTAGTAGCCTAATTATTACCATCTACATCCTCAGACCCAATCATAAATGTCGTAAAATTCTTCTTGACAAAATGTAATTTGTTAAGTAATGAAAACTTAAAACACTGAGTTAATCTCACTTCATTCTGCTCCACAAAGGAAATTTAAATGATTAATCCCATCCTGATACCTCAAAAACTTTGTCTCCCACTAAGTAAAAATAATGTGAACAAGGAAATTAAATGTGGGTGAACCTTTAGGAAGCTTTTTTTTTTTTTTGAGACGGAGTCTTGCTCTGTCACCCAGGTTGGAGTGCAGTGGCGCCATCTCGGCTCACTGCAAGCTCCACCTCCTGTGTTCACGCCATTCTCCTGCCTCAGCCTCCCGAGTAGCTGGGACTACCACGCCTGACTAATTTAGTAGAAACGGGGTTTCACTGTGTTAACCAGGATGGTCTCGATCTCCTGACCTCGTGATCTGCCCGCCTCGGCCTCCCAAAGTAGGAAGCTTTTACCTACAACTCCTATCCTCCTAAAAGTGTCATGCCCACACAGAAAAGTCAATGTATGTTTCCATGGCTGTTTTAAGGGTAGACTATTAAAGCAACAATTTTGCTCTAACTATGTAATCCTTTATGCCAGTCTCATTTTATAAGAGCAAATACTCCTATTATCTTCATTTCTATAAAGAATTATATTTTACAGACAATCTGATATTAACATAAGCTTTCCATAATTGTCAGTAGTAAGGAACATGAGATGATAAAAAGGAATAATCGCAAATAAAGAAGGAGTAGCTGGCAGCCTGAATTACGTCTGTTATTAATCTGTCTCAGAAGGGAAGAAAAGAAATGACAGCAGAAAAAAAGCATAAAGGGATTCGTTGGGCACACTGGAGCTACACATTTGTGTTTGTTAACAACTTCCTTTTTTCCTCTGCCCTGTAAACTCAAAATACCTTTATAAAATAGCCCAAAATAATTATCTTGTCAGAAGAATCTTTGTGTTTTTGTCAAATTAAATTAAACTGAAATTCATCATGGGAAGAAGATATCAGAGAAAAAGCAATGAAAAGGTAAATTAAAATTGAACTGTCAGATTTAAGGGCTGGTCCAATGGAAATGACCAATAAACTCATGAGTAATGATAAACAGGGTAGATATTTTTCCTTTGATCTCACTAAATCTACACCCTATTCCCAAATGTTCTTTTAAGGGAATGATATTAAATTAACTATAGATTTTTCTATCTGCAGAAACCAGTGGGAGCAATGAATGGAGGAAGTGTCATCATTAAGCTGCCATTATTCCTAGTGCATAGCAGGCTCAACTCACCCTGTAGCCTTGTGTGGCCTTAAAATCCTCCAACACACACTAATAGTTTTCCCTATAGAATATATTTGCATGTATAATCATGCCTGTTCCACCATTAAACAATATTTTAATGGAAAAGGCTGTGCCCTTGGGTAGTTATAACTTGTAAGCACAGGAGTCAACTTTATTGTGATATTATAAAAGAGTGGTAAAAATAATTAAGCAGTCATGCCTGGCACGGTGGCTTGCACCTGTAATCCCAGCATTTTGGGAGGCTGAGGAAGGACAATTGCTTAAGCCCAGGAGTTTGAGACCAGCCTGGGCAACATAGAGAGACCTCACCTCTACAAAAAAATCAAAAAAATAGCTGGGTGTGGTGTCACACGGGAGGCTGAGGTGGGAGGATGGTTTGTTCCCTGGAGGTTGAAGCTGCAGTGACCCATGATCACACCACTGCACCCAGCAAGGGCAACAGAATGAGACCCTGTCTCAAAACAACAACAACAACAATAATAATAATAATTAAGTATTCTATTTGTTAATATCATTCTCATGGTTTAGAGATTAACTTAATTGAATATGACACAGTTTTGAGAGAAAATTACTTTGAAGAGTATCCTCATTTTGGCAACAAAATAAAATTGAAATGTGTTCTCAGAGTAACTTGAGATGGTGGTATAATGATTTGTGTATAAACAACAAAATCTGAATACTGCTAATTAGTCATGGTTCTCTTAAATTGAGTAGTTCTATCACAGGTCAATATCATTCTCTCTCCAACAGATGACAGAATTTATTTTATCATTCTAACAATGTAATTACTGAATTTTTCTCATCTCTCCTAATCTGAGATTCTATTAGCACTGCCCAGTATAATACCACCTTAATTATATGCATATTTGATTTCCATTTTTAAACTCTATAACTGGTTGTCTCTTTTTTAGGTTGAGGTAGGTCTAATTAACTTAATTTAGGAAAGGTATTTTATTTAAAATAATATCACTTTCTTGTCATTACTCTCCCACATTTGTAATCTAAAAGTATCAAATACTCATTTTTCATTACACAATATTTTTATTACTAGATAGTTTACTATTTCAGTATTTGAGATTATAGTATTTTTCATTTAGGTCACAATTATATTTCCATAAATTTTAAGTTAGAATATTAAATTTTGCATCATTTAATGCCTCATATCAAAGGGCAGCTGCAGCTTTATACATCAAAATCCAGATTATCAAGAGAGTTTATATGCTGGGAAACACACAAAGCAATGATCACAAATGGAAATTGATAGTAATTTTTTTCAAAGAGAAAATAAAAGAGGAAAGAAAAATAACAATAAAATGAGAGGAAAATGGAGACAGACTAAATAAAAGACTCCCTTGACTACAGGTCCTCATACGTAAGTGAAATGATCCTGCACAATGGTTTTCTGGAAGATTAGCCCTTCTGCACTCTGGGACGGGTTCCTCCCTATGAGGAAAATGCCCAAGCAAGAACTCTCATATGGTTTCTTGTGCAACGAATAGGAGCTTTATAAAAGCAGAAAACTTTGAACAAGGACAAGTCAGTATTAGGTGAGCCATACACATGAAGTAAAAGTGTCAGTCTGTTCCCCTCACTATTACTTTCTCTCTGATACAGGTTATAGGTTAAGAAAATACACAGGCATTCCTTCCAGAGGAATTGAGTTGCTGCAAGTTTGTCCACTTCAAGTTCATGAAATGTTTTATAACTTAATATTGTTGTCAATACATAGGGGAATTTCACTTAATTGGTTTTAAAATTATGGATAATATACAAAAGAAGTAAGACAATTAAGATGAACTAAGAATGGAATTAAGATATATCAATTGAATGGAAATTTATTCATCTGCCAGCATCACAGATTTTTCTTTCATTTTTTTTTTTGTCTTTCTACCTCCTTTTCTTCTTCAAAAATTATTTGACACCTACCGTGTGCCAGAAATTGTTCTTGGCTCTGCTAACACAACAATAAACAAAGAATGTCCCTTTTCCATGTAAAGGAATGGGGTGACTGGTAGGAAACAAGCAACTTTCTTACAGGGTGAAAATGCAGTGAGGAATATCCATAAAAAAGGAAGGAGCTGCAGGAGTACAGAGCTGAAAGTGAATAGCACTGAGCTGCTTACAGAGCTAAATGTTGACATGCAGAACTAAATCTTAAAGATTAACACAGGTTAACTAAACCCAGATGGTGAAAAGGAGAGGGCATTTTAGGCTACACACACACACACACACACACACACACACACACACACACACACACAGAGTTATATACAGTTCAAAAACATGGTGGCATGAAAAACATAGCTTTTAGATTGAATTTCAAAAAGTGCCCTTTGGAAAATATTGACCAAAAATAGTCCTCATCTAACACAGTGCTTGCCAACTAAATGAGGGTAAAATTAAGTTCTAACTCTGACCCTTCACTTGAATGGCCATTTTAACTGTCCCTGGAAAGTTTTTAAAACACACCTGGATTTTGGATTCAGCCTCCTTAACATGATTCTTAAAGGATGTGCCTTTTGCTTGTAAAATGCATAACACCTCTATCTTACTTTCATATGTGAAGTACACACACACACACACACACACACACACACACACATATACACACACTGCTATCTATGGTAATTAAAGTTTTCACTAAGAACTTGCTCAAAATTATAGTGTTAGTAAAGACATAAAACAGGTATTAGCTTCACATATAACAGGTCTTTCCACTCTACTCACGTGCAGCCAGGATTTTTGTTTTGTTTTTGTATTGGCTATTTTCACTATTTTAGTCATCAGTAACATTTGTAATCATATATTTAAAAAATAATATTAAGAGTATTTTCTCTTTCTTGAGCAAATGTTACGATCATCAGATTAAAAAATCCACAAATTACCCTTAGCTCAAAGTTTTATCCTTAAAAATATTTAATAATTTGTAGACTCTCTACCTTAATAAGGAAGACTGTCTCATTAATACAATTAATCTTCTTTAGATGATTCAGAAAAGCTACAAGACCTTGGTTAAATTTTCTGATCACATCAATTTTTAGGAATGTAAAGTGCAAAATTTGAAAAAAAAAGCATAATAAATTGGAATGAAATAGAACTGGTCCCAGAATAACGCTCTGTGCCTTAGTTTCTTCATCATTTAATGGGCATACTAACAGTGTTTAACTCAGTTATTGTGAAAATTAAATTATTTAATATGTGTAAAGTAGAAGATTTCCCAGCACAGAGTAGAATTTCATTAAATGTTAATGACTGTTATTATTATTAGTTTTAAAAATCAATCATTTTTTATTCTGTTATCCATTAAATTGGTAAGCAAAAAAAAATTAACACTCGTTATATTTTAAAGTGTGCTTTAAAATCTTAGAAGTGTCATGACAATGGAAGAATTGTTTACTTATTCAAACCACTAGGTTCTTTTTTTAAGTAGCTTTATTTTAAAATTATGTACGTAAGGGCTCGGAAAACAATACATCAAAATATGGTATCTTGGCAAACTAAGTATTTTAAACTGAAGGAAACTGATAAAATCACAGAAGTTGAAAGGTCTCTGATCTTTTTCCACCCTTTCTCTCCTGAACTAAGGCTCAGAAACCGAAATTCCCCTTACCCCTTTCTCTCTGAAGCAGGTCATAAAGCCTAGACAGGTTACTCTCTGACAGTCTCCTTCCCACTCCCCTGGAGATCCTTTTATGACTGGTGTCCTGCCCTACACCCAGAGGGAAGAAATGTCACATACAGACACAGGAAATAATCTGAACAGACAGACCTTGCTAAGTTACCTCCAGCTAATGACCTTTAGATCATATCCTTTTGTCCTCCAATCATACTTCTACATGATTGTCCATTAAAATATACTATTTTCCCTGGGTCTCTGGTTCTTCATTTCTGTAGGTTTCAATGTCATATGAAACTTTATATGCTTTGTTTTTCTCTTATTAATCTTTTCTTGTGATAAAGGAATTGTCCATGAACCTTGTTGTAGATAAGGAAAAATTATTACTTTTCCTCCTCTAAATGTAATATTAAAGGTTTTACCCATGTAGAAAGATTTATATTTTAAAAATTCTTTTGAGAAATTCAGAAATAAGACAGTTACATATGGCTGAAAGTTTGTTTGATATTTGAAACCTCAAGACTTCTGTGAGTTTACTCTTTGGAACTTTAGGGTGTAACATTTCACCATGTTTAGAGTTCTATTTAATTAATTAATTTAATTTAATCTCAATTACTGTTTTGGTTATTAATATTACAAAAGAAATAAAAACTGCTCACTATATAGTTCTCAACTAATACAAGATTTATTTAATATTCCCAGTCTTTATCTGTTTTTACAAAATTCAAACATCCATTTTTTTAACATTCAGGATATAACTTTATATCTAAAGTCTTAATATAGTTTAAAGTTTAAAATTAGTAAGTACAATTTTAATTAATCTATATTTTTACAAGTAGATTATGTGGGCATCATTATTATCATCATCATCATCATCATCCTTATCCTCATCATCATCATCCTATGATTTGGTGCCAAGAATATAACATAACTTCTCATGCTAGTATATTTTAACATACAGGAAATGACTTAGATATTTAACTTGATGGGATAACCTAGCTTAAGCACAAATCTTCCAGACAGATTTGACTAAAAGCTACCAAATGACTGAAGTAAAAAATTTGTAGGTATTTGCCAGATTATCTAAAATTAATGTCATGAAATGTTAGTGTACACTGAAGAATTCCTATTGCTATTTTTAATTACCAAAGCTATATTTTCTTTTTAATTATGTCACCGTGAACATCTTTTATCGATATTTAATTTAATCTGATATTCTCTTTCTTCCTTCTTCTCTTCCTTTGTTCCTCTCTCGCTTTCTTTTTCTATTTCCCCTACTTCTAAGGTATTTTTATTGCATCTTTAAATTCTCATGTAGATTCTTCTGATGACTCTGCTTATGTTTCTTTTATTACACATTTTTCTAGAGTAGATATCATCTGGAACATGGAATCTACTGACACATTTCTTTTTTCACCTTATCATCTCCATGTTTATTAGGCAGGCCAATTGATTATTAACAGTCTTTTGGCAATAATCTTTTCACCACCATACTACCTTACCAGCTGGGAGAGAAACTTCAGCAAAGCAATAATTAAGACACTGATAAGACAAGCTATTTTGTTGCTTTCCTGGTTTACACAGAGGACGCAGAATCGGGAGCTAAATATCTTTAATACTCAATATCTAAAACATTACTCAGATCATTTGACTTTTATACCTACATTGTATCCAACCTAATTTTTAAACTGGATAGTTGATCTAGTCTAAAAACAAAATCTAAAAAAGTAAACAAAACACACCTAACATTGTTAGTGCCTTACTTTTAAAAAGATTAAAACTTTCAGTAATATGGATAAGTAGATAAATAGAGTACTAATTCCTTATTATTACCCTCATTCTAGAATTAGATGTTTCTGACACAAATATACAAAGAAATTTCACATGTAAAAACCTGCTGCGGAATTTAAAATTCTTTTGTGACAATTTGCTCCTGTGACAAGTATATTTTTCTATTCTATCATGCTCATATTTCATACTATTAAAATAAATACTTATGAGGATTATGGACAATATTGCTCACTTGATAATTTAATACCTGATATGATTGTACTGTTGAAAAAATTGTACAAGGGACAATTCATGCTGTTTCCCATTTTTGACTTCTTCCATGTCTACATTGGTTTAATTAAATATGCTTAGTTTCTAAAACTCTTTTTGGTTCCTCTAGCAGGCATAATAGATTGTCCCATTATGGTCCCTTCCTCTTTCCTTCCTAATGACATACAGATGATGACTTCATTGGTGTGTCCACTAGTACCCATGTGATTCACGTAAATCCAGATTAGTAAACAAACCCAGTAATCCCATTCCCCCTGACAATTATTGGTGTAAAATTGGGTATGTAGGGTTAAGTTTCATGGTTTTTTCTTGGAGATGTTTTCTGACTCTTAAAAAGAGAATCAGAGAACACGCTGTTTTTCTCTTTTCTTTTGGATATTTTATTATCTGGACACGCAAACTGGAGTTGCTATACCATATTGTGACTTGGGGCAAGATAGATGAAACGCCAAAATAGACAAGCTAAGAATGGTGGGGATGAAAGATGTCATCAAAGAACCTGGATGCTTCATGGGAATTTTGAGTTATGATATTAATTAGCTCCATGCCTGTTCTACTCAGGATATTTACTACAGATTTTTACAAATGTCTTTATTTTAAAGCCAATATGAGGACAGACGCGGTGTCTCATGCCTGTAATCCCAGCACTTTGGGAGGCCAGGGCAGATGGATCACCTGAAGTCAGTAGTTTGAGACGAGCCTGACTAACATGGTGAAACCCCGTCTCTACTAAATACAAAAAATTAGCCAGGCATGGTGGCACATGCCTGTAATCCCACCTATTTGGGAGGCTGAGGCAGGAGAATTGCCTGAACCTGGGAGGCAGAGGTTGCAGTGAGCTGAGATCATGCCATTGCACTCCAGCCTGGGCAACACGAGTGAAATTCCATCTCAAAAATAATAATAAAAAATATTTTAAAAGTCACTATGAGTTATGACCATTGATATTTTGTTTATAAATGCATTTGAAAGCATCCCATGTCCTTTCTCTTTAGACATTGTGGTGTTAGATCCAATCATAATAGAGAGCCTGATGGTTTCTAAGCAGTGATTTATCTTCCACTCTTCTCTCCATTCATTTGTACACATTATATCTATTGTTATCCTCCTTTCAGCCTCCACTGTGGAAATTGCTTTGATAACTTATTAATGCCAAAGGATAAATAAAAAATATATACCCTTCAAGAAGCATTTTCATTCTAAAGGATTTTAAATCAGACCTTAACCCTGAGGAATGAAATATCTAATAAAGTAAATTACAGAAATTGCATCAGACTCATGAGAAGCACTTCTCATTGTCCTTTCATGTTCTCCTTATTTGGTATCTTTATGCTTAGTCCATTACTTAACCATAAAACTTCATTCTTTCAGGAATGCTCAAAGTACTTTAAAGAGAATTAACCTGGATATAGTGCAATCTGCTCAGGGCTAATAATATTAAGGATTCACACACTTGGAAAATATCTATAAATGATTTTTTAAAAAGATAAAAAGAAGTGTGGCTGTGTTTTTGTATATGTGGACATACAACTGTTGCATTTTAGCCTGGTCTATAGCCAAGATTGAGAGTGATATAATCATATTACTTTTCTAAATTGGGGAAATATGTTTCTTCTCTTTTAATGGTAAAATGGTCTTACCATACATAAAAGATTGGTGATACAGAATTTCAGGAACTAATGATTGACTCTGTATTCATTAATTTGTTTAACAAAATTGTGAGCACGTACTGGCACCAATTTAGCTATTGAGGATACAGCACTGAACACAAGCCCTTCCCTTAATGGAGGGACTTTGTAGTGTTGTGAATAGGGAAAAAGAGATAAAAAATAAGTTCAATATATTAAATGTCATTGTGATTTGTGATATGGAGAAAAGATGCATAAAATGTAGAATAGGAAGTGTGTGGGTAGGGAGGAACATTTCATTTTTTTTAAGGTCGTCAGGAAAGGATCTATTGAAACATAACATTTGAGCAAACACCTGCATTAGCATTTGTTTTGCTTAGCTGCGCAAAATGTTTTTGGCATACAGAAATTCATGCTTGGAAGGTTGATGATAGAAACTTACTTGTTTTAAGAAATTTCTATGTACATAATAGAATATTATCTATGCATATAAATGTCTCTATTCAAATTTCTTCAAAGGACCTCAGCTTAAACACATTTAAAATTAAACTCATCATTTTCTTCGAAATCTATTACTCTTTTCTGCTCTTCTTCCCCAAACAACTTAGTAAGAACATAGGCACCACTGCAGTTCAAAAATCTGAACATCATTATGAAAGTCCTCTTCTAATTCAATACCCAGGCTGACTAAGGTATTGTCTCATTAGGGAAACTGCATTTTCTGCTACCAAAATCCCATTGCTAATAGTGTCTAGTGCAAATACAGCTGTGAATTCACTTCATTTATTTATTTTCCTGAGGAGGGTTTTCCAATAACCTCCCCCCACCCCGAAAATTGTTAAAAAAACACTGTAACACTATCCTTTTCTTACTTTTTTGTACATTTACTTTATAAATGTTGTCCTTTGGTCAGTGAACCAAAACCAACAGAAGAGGACAAAATGGTCTTATGTGCTATTACCATGAATAATGTCTTCCAGAAATAGACTTGAAAATTGCTCCCCTAATGCCATCCCATTCACTATATACTTAAAAAAAATCTATGAGGGTTGAAAATATTGAGATGATTGATTTAAGATACCTATTATTACTGACTGCTGACATTTGGCCTTGGGAAATTACATTCGCAGTAGTATTTTTAAAATGATTAAGAGAGGTTTCTGAAAAAAAGTATTTACATTATAAGATGTATTTTTAGAATTTGTTTCTTAAAAACCATTATATAAGCTTTCTGAACAAAAAAAGATATTTATTTTATGAGAAAAATACACTGAATTTGCCCTTATAAATTATAATTTGTAAAAATTAATAAATGTAAGATAAGTAGATTCCCAATAGCATATACAAAATAAAACTTGCTTACAACTGATCATAAAATGTAATGTGCCCATTGAATATGGTAAAAGGGAAGTATATGAATCATAAAATTTTATTTTTCCTATCCTATCCACAATACCATGATGCTATATAGCTATTAAATTTGGAACAGTTTTCAGGAATATCTTGGTTTATTGGGCTTAATGATATTGTGCTTCTCAGATAAAGTAATTTTTACAAATTTAAGATTTTTGCAACTCTGCATCAACCAAGTCTATTGGTGCCATTTTTACAATAGTATGTGCTCACATGACACTTTCAGGTGTCACATTTTGGTAATATTCATAATATTTCAAACTTTTTCATTATTATTATATCTGTTATGGTGATCTGTGATCAGTGATCTTTGATGTTTCTAATGTAACTGCTTTGGGGTGCCATGAACCATGCCATGTAAGATGACAAACTTCATCAATAAGTGTGTGTTCTGACTGCTCCCTCAGTCAGCTCAGCTGTTTCTCCATCTCTCTCCCTTCCTTAAGGACTCCTTATTCCCTGAGACACAACAATATTGTAATTAGTCCAATTAATGACTCCACAATGGCCTCTAAGTGTTCAAGTGAAAGAGTCACACATCTCTCACGTTAAATCAAAAGTTAGAAATGATTGAGCTTAGTGACAAAGGCATGTTGAAGGCCAAAACAGACCAAAATCTACGTTTCTTATGCCAAACAGTTAGCCAAGTTGTGAATGCAAAGGAAAAGTTCTTGAAGGAAATTAAAAAGGCTACTTCAGTGAACACAGGAGTGATAAGAAAGAGAAACAGCCTTGCTGTTGATGTGGAGAAAGTTTGAGTGGTCTGGATAGAAGATCAAATCACCCACAGCATTCCCTAAGCCAAGTCCTAATCCAGACCAAGGCAGTTACTCCGTTCAATTCAGTGAAGGCTGAGAGAAATGAGGAAGCTACAGAAGAAAAGTTTGCAGCCAGCAGAGTTTGGTTCTTAAGATCTAAGGAAAGAAGTAATGTCCAGAACAGAAAAGTGCAAGGTGATGCAGCAACTGGTAAGGTAGAAGCTTCAGCAAGTTATTCAGGTATAGCTAAGATAATTCATGAAGGTGAACGAAGGTGGCTACACTAAACAACATATTTTCAATGTAGACCAAACATCCTTCTATTGGAGGAAAATGCCATCTAGGAATTTAATAGCTAAAGATGAAAAATCAATGCCTGTTTAAATCTTCAAAGAACAGTCTGACTCTCTTTTTAGGAGCTAATGTAGCTGGTGACTTTAAGTTGAAGCCAATGTTCATTGACTATCCTGAAAATTCTAAGGTCCTTATTCTCAGCAAACTATCGCAAGGACAAAAAACCAAACACCACATGTTCTCACTCATAATTGGGAACTGAACAATGAAACACATGGACACAGGAAGGGGAACATCACACACCAGGGACTGTTGTGGTGGGGGCGGGGAGGGATAGCATTAGGAGATGTACCTAATGCTAAATGACGAGTTAATGGGTGCAGCACACCAACATGGCACATGTATGCATATGTAACAAACCTGCACGTTGCGCACATGTACCCTAAAACTTAAAGTATAATAAAAAAAAGGAAATAAGCTCAATCTACTCTGCCTGTGCTCTATAAATAAAATAACAAAGCTTGGATGTCAGCACATTTGTTTACAACATAGTTTACCAAATACTTTAAGCCCACTCTTGAGACCTACTGCTCAGAAAAAAAGATTTCTTTCAAAATATCACTGCTCATTGACAATGCACCAAGTCACTCACATAAGAGCTCTGATGAAGATGTACAAGGAGATTAATTTAATGCTGTTTTCATGACTGCTAACACAGCATCCATTCTGCAGCCCATGCTTCAAAGAGTATTTTCAACTTTCAAGTGTTATGATTTAAGAAATATATTTTTATATATTTATGAAGTATAGCTGCCATAGATGGTGATTCCTCTGATAAATCTGGGCAAAATAAATTGTAAACCTAGGATTCACCATCCTAGATGTCATTAAGAACACTGTTGATTGATGGGAGGAGGTCAAAATATAAACATTAAAAGAAATTTGGAAGAAGTTGATTCTAACCACCATGGATGACCTTGCCGGATTCAAGAATTCAATGGAAGAAGTAACTGCAGATGTGTTGGAAATAATAAAAGAACTAGAATTAGAAGTGGCGCCTCAAGAAGTGACTACATTGCTGCAATCTCATGACAAAAGTTGAATGAATGAGAAGTTGCTTATAGATAAGTGAAGTGGTTTCTTGAGATGGAATCTACACCTGATAAAGATGCTATGAATATTGTTGAACTGGCAACAAAAGATTTGGACTATTACATAAACTTATTTAATGAAGCAGAAGCAGAGGCAGTGTTTAAGAAGACTGACTTCATTTAGAAGTTCTACCATGTGTAAAATGCCATGAAATAGCATCATAAGCTACAGATACATTTTTCTGAAGGAAGAGTAAATTGATGTGGCCAACTTCCTTGTTGTCCTATTCTAACAAATTGCCACAGTCACCCCAACTTACAGCAACCACCCTTCTGGTCAGACAGCAGTCATCAACATCAAAGCAAGACCTCCCACCAGCAAAAAGTATCACTAGTTGAAGGCTCAGATGATCTTGTTAGCATACTTTAGCAATAAAGCATTTTTTAATTAAAGTATGTATATTTTGTAGAGATACTGCTATTGCACACTTAACAGACTACAGTATAGTGTAAACATAACATTTATATGCACTGATAAACCAAAATATTTGCGTGACTCTCTTTATGGTGATATTAACTTTATTCTGGTGTTCTGGAACCAAACCAGCAGTATTTTGGAGATAGGCCTTTTTGAACCAATTCATCCCAATTTCTCCATCAGCCCACCTTTCAAATTTGTGAATCATCCTGAACCTAATCTTTTATTTTCCCCTTCCCCAGGAGGTATGCTAAGGCTTTTAACCCTCTATGCAAACTTAAAGCATTCTTTTTATAAATGTTTTTGATGTCTCTGTACCAAATGAATGACCTACATTCACCAAGTTTATATTCTCTACCTGAATGTATATCTTTATTTTGGAAGGGTTGGAGTTAGCTATTTGCTAACAATTACTCTCACTACAAAGGCATTTAATCAATAAATATTATTAACCTGCTAGTACAATCAGAATATTGTTGGAGCTGAATAAAATTATTCTTGTTTTCAAGGTTATTACAATTTAATAGGTGGAAAAAACACATGGAAATAATATTAATAGCATCATGAATTACATATGCATCAATTGCTAGAAATTAGAACAAGACGAAAATCTTCTGATTAGAATGATCCAGAAAGCTTAATAGAGGGCTGACATCAGTGCTGGGTGTTGGTGGTAGGGTATGATTTTAATATGTCAAAATGGGGAATTAGCTGTGCTATGTCATATTGTATTTGTCTAAATGTACATAAAACTAGTTTCACAAATTATCATGTATTCAATTTGAAAAGCATCTTGTAACTTAAAACATATTTTCATAGGAATGTAAGAAATATAAAATTATAGGCCTAGCATAAATTTGTGATTATTTATGTATTAAATAGTTCCCAATTTTACAAAACATTTGGCCTCCAGTCCTTAAATAATAATCCATTGCAGGATAAATATATCATTAAAAAATCTAGGTAGCATAAAGTTCTAGTTATTTTAACAACTATATAAAGAAATATATGCAAATTATAAAATGAGCTTTATAAGAACTTTTCTGACATTATAAAACTTATCACATGAAGTAGCTTTTCTTATACTTGAGGTTTTATTTCCTTAAATGTACTTAGAAATACGAAGCAATGCATCTGTTCTTTGAACTGAATTTGAAGAAAAAAATTAAGAAAATGATATTGTTGCCTAAGTTGATATTAATATTAGTAATTTTCAAAATCGCATTAACCAGAGAGTAGGGTGGTTGGAAGTAGTGTCACTATTCTTTTGTATGCCATCTGTAATTCATGGTTTTTGAACACATGCTTAGAACTCACAGTAGTGATGAGACTTACAAACCTAGCTTACTATGATTGATGACAGCAGAGTTAAGCAAAATTAAACAACTGAGAGGAAGGATATTTTTGTCACAGGGATGGTAAGAAAAGGTTTAGTTGTTGCCATTGCTAATGTTTACTCTAGTTCTCTTTTTAGATGACCCACCACAGTGTCCTGAGAAGCCAAAATGGGATAATTGGGGTCTAATGGAAGGCCAACTTAGTAAGACAAAGGTCTATCTAAAGGGTCTCAAATGAGGGTATTAGGGATGTCAACACCAGGCTGGAAACATATTCCAAGCAGTGATTAGGCGGTCTCTTCTTGGAAGTGAATATGAACTGGCATTAGATTCAGGCTTGACAGTGAAATATGTGGAGCCTTCTGACTCAACATGCAGCACATATTGTTTATTTTCTGTTGCTATGGAGAAAAAAAAAATGCACCTAGTCAACTCCTCTCCAGTGTGTTCAAAACTATATGCCAGTGTTTCCAGGAAGCATTAGATAAGAGTGGGAGGTGGTGAGGCAAACATCTACAGTGTCACACTGTCTTTAAGCCAATTTTAGAGATTGCATGACTCCTGAATCATCATAGCTCAACAGTACGGAGCATTCACTTTGTCAGTGCTATATTCTAAGTGCTTTACATTTACTAACCCACTTAGTTCTCATAACACTTTATAAAATAAATAATATTAATATTCCCATTTTACAGATGAAAAAAAATGAAGGCATAGAGCAATTAACAAACAGCCGAAGTTACACAGTTAAAATGTAATATGACTAAAATTCAAATCAGGCACTTTTGCTCTAGAAAGAAGAGCAAAGGGAAGTAATATATTTTTAGTATTCTCAGACTTGAGGAAATATATGCAAAAATAATATAATAAATTAAAAGCAATACCTGTTATATGTCTACTATACTGGCTTTCACTCACCTGGATGGGATTAATCAGTATCTACAATTAATTTTGTGCAAATGTCATCGTTATCTCATGACATTTTCAAATTTCCTAAAACAACCTCTCATATCAAAAGTAATGTTTTTAAACCAAACTTTATTATTTGTATTAACATATAAGTATCTGTTTATAAAATCAAGTATAATAATTAAATATACACAGAACTATTGAATAAAGAACAAATGTAAGGCACGAAGCTACAGATTTTTAAACTTAAATCCTAAAAATTTAGTCAAATTCTCAAAGTTTACAAATGACAAACGGAAAGGTAATCTTATTGGTAGTCAGATAAACTCTTAATAGCTGACTCAGATCAGTATTGTTTCCTTTATACCAAGCTGTAGGTACAAAGTCTTATTTTTCCTACAGTCATCATCAAGTTCCAGATTGTAAACTGCCTCATAAATTGAACCTCACCAACACAGCTCAAGACCAATCTCCATGCCTTGTCTCTTGAGACACACAGTAAATGAACCTCTTCTCCTTTTCCCTTTGGTCATATTTTCGTCTCCTGCAAGTATCTACCATGGTCTCGCAAAGATCCTAATACTTAAAAAACAAAGAGTGAAATTATCAAGGAGAGAATATAGTAGTAGTGAGAGCTTACAAAAATTAAAAAGAGCCAAACAAAAAAGTGAATAAGTGCTGATTTATAATTGGGTTTTTAATTGTTAACATTTCAATCTAAGGTTTAGATATTAGATACAGAAATATTTATACATTTTCATAGTTTGGAGGAAGGGAAGGTATAGCACATCAAGCTGAATAATAAATTAAAAGTAATAAGTAATCTCTGAAATACACATCTATATAAAAAGAGAGAAAAAGAAAAGATGATGGTCTTTGTCTTTTGTTTCTGTTTTTTAAGCAGTGCAACAATGGAATAGATTATGTGAGAATTTCTCTTCCTGGTAAAAGACTGATTTATAGGAGATGATAAACCTCTAAATGTTGACATGTTAACTCCTTTCGGATGGTCAAAGTGTCAAAATATGCCTGCCATTTAGATGCAATATCCTTCCACCACATTCCTCTGGAATATTAATTGAAAGATATATACTGGAGTCGCCTATTCAAAGCCACAGTCCCGCTGAGACCTTCAAGGATTCAGCCTATTCAGAAGGCTGAATATATTGCCCTGAAAGGTTCCTATGTCCTACTCCCTGGACCTAGGAAAATATTAGATTACATGGCAAAAGGAAATTAAGGTTGTGGAGGTAATTACGGTTGAAAATCAACAGGCCTTAAAATAGGGAGATTACCTTGGATTGTCCATAAGGGCCCATTGTAGTCACAAAGGACCTTAAATGTGAACAAGGAAGGCAGAAGAGGAGAATCAGAAGAGCTGTGACTAGAATTAAATCAGAGTGATTCAAAGTGAGGAGAATTTAAATTTCTCCTGGGGGTCACAAGCCAAGGAATGTGGTGGCCTCTAGTACCTGGAAAAGGCAATGAAACAACTCCCCCACTGCAGATTACAGAAAAAAATGCAGCCTACCTACATCTTGATTTAACTCAGTGAGAACCATATCAGACTTCTGATCTACAGAGCTATAAGATTTGTTGTTTTTTTGTTTTGTTTTGTTTATTATACTTTTAAGTTTTAGGGTACATGTGCACAACCTGCAGGTTTGTTACATGTGTATACATGTGCCATGTAGGTGTGCTGCACCCATTAACTCGTCATTTAATATTAGGTATATCTCATAATGCTATTTCTCTCCCCTCCGCCCACCCCACAACAGGCCCTGGTGTGTTATGTTCCTCTTCCTGTGGCCATGTGTTCTCATTGTTCAATTCCCACCTATGAGTGAGAACATGCGGTGTTTGGTTTTTTGTCCTCGCGATAGTTTGCTGAGAATGATGGCTTCCAGCTTCATCCATGTCCCTACAAAGGACATGAACTCATCCTTTTTATGGCTGCATAGTATTCCATGGTGTGTATGTGCCACATTTTCTTAATCCAGTCTATCATTGTTGGACATTTGAGTTGGTTCCAAGTCTTTGCTATTGTGAATAGTGCCACAGTGAACATACGTGTGCATGTGTCTTTATAGCAGCATGTTTTATAACCCTTTGGGTATCTACCCAGTAATGGGATGGCTGGGTCAAATGGTATTTCTAGTTCTAGATCCTTGAGCAATCGCCACACTGACTTCCACAATGGTTGAACTAGTTTACAGTCCCACCAACAGTGTAAAAGTGTTCCTATTTCTCCACATCATCTCCAGCACCTGTTGTTTCCTGACTTTTTAATGATTGCCATTCTAACTGGTGTGAGATGGTATCTCATTGTGGTTTTGATTTGCATTTCTCTGATGACCAGTGATGATGAGCATTTGTTCATGTGTCTTTCGGCTGAGAAGTGTCTGTTTGTATCCTTCACCCACTTTTTGATGGGGTTGTTTGTTTTTTTCTTGTAAATTTCTTTGAGTTCTTTGTAGATTCTGGATATTAGCCCTTTGTCAGATGAGTAGATTGTAAAATTTTTCTCCCATTCTGTAGGTTGCCTGTTCACTCTGATGGCAGTTTCTTTTGCTGTGCAGAAGCTCTTTAGTTTAATTAGATCCCATTTGTCAATTTTGGCTTTGGTTGCTATTGCTTTTGGTGTTTTAAACATGAAGTCCTTGCCCATGCCTATGTCCTGAATGGTATTGCCTAGGTTTTCTTCTAGGGTTTTTATGGTATTAGGTCTAACATTTAAGTCTTTAATCCATCTTGAATTAATTTTTGTATAAGGTGTAAGGAAGGGATCCAGTTACAGCTTTCTGCATATGACTATCCAGTTTTCCCAGCACCATTTATTAAATAGGGAATCCTTTCCCCATTGCTTGTTTTTGTCAAGTTTGTCAAAGATCAGATAGTTGTAGATATGCAGTGTTATTTCTGAGGGCTCTGTTCTGTTCCATTGGTCTATATTTCTGCTTTGGTACCAGCACCATGCTGTTTTCGTTACTGTAGCCTTGTAGTACAGTTTGAAGTCAGGTAGTGTGATGCCTCCAGCTTTGTTCATTTGGCTTAGGATTGACTTGGCAATGCGGGCTCTTTTTTGGTTCCATATGAACTTTAAAGTAGGTTTTTCCAATTCTGTGAAGAAAGTCATTGGTAGCTTGCTGGGGATGGCATTGAATCTATAAATTACCTTGGGCAGTATGGCCATTTTCACGGTATTGATTCTTCCTACCCATGAGCATGGAATGTTCTTCCATTTGTTTGTATCCTCTTTTATTTCCTTGAGCAGTGGTTTGTAGTTCTCCTTGAAGAGGTCCTTCACTCCCTTATAAGTTGGATTCCTAGGTATTTTATTCTCTTTGAAGCAATTGTGAATGGGAGTTCACTCATGATTTGGCTCTCTGTTTGTCTGTTGTTGGTGTATAAGAATGCTTGTGATTTTTGTACATTGATTTTGTATCCTGAGACTTTGCTGAAGTTGCCTATCACCTTAAGGAGATTTTGGGCTGAGATGATGGGGTTTTCTAGATATACAATCATGTCATCTGCAAACAGGGACAATTTGACTTCCTCTTTTCCTAATTGAATACCCTTTATTTCCTTCTCCTGCCTGATTGCCCTGGCCAGAACTTCCAACACTATGTTGAATAGGAGTGGTGAGAGAGGGCATCCCTGTCTTGTGGCAGTTTTCAAAGGGAATACTTCCAGTTTTTGCCCATTTAGTATGATATTGGCTGTGGGTTTGTCATAGATAGCTCTTATTATTTTGAGATACGTCCCATCAATACCTAATTTATTGAGAGTTTTTAGCATGAAGGGTTGTTGAATTTGTCAAAGGCCTTTTCTGCATCTATTGAGATAATCGTGTGGTTTTTGTCTTTGGTTCTGTTTATATACTGGATTACATTTATTGATTTGTGTATGTTGAACCAGCTTTGCATCCCAGGGATGAAGCCCACTTGATTATGGTGGATAAGCTTTTTGATGTGCTGTTGGATTCAGTTTGCCAGTATTTTATTGAGGATTTTGGCTTCGATGTTCATCAAGGATATTGGTCTAAAATTCTCTTTTTTTTTTTTGTTGTGTCTCTGCCAGGGTTTGGTATCAGGATGATGTTGGCCTCATAAAATGAGTTAGGGAGGATTCCCTCTTTGTCTATTGATTGGAATAGTTTCAGAAGGAATGGTACCAGCTCCTCCTTGTACCTCTGGTAGAATTTGGCTGTGAATCCATCTGGTCCTGGACTTTATTTGGTTGGTAAGCTATTAATTATTGCCTGAATTTCAGAGCCTGTTTTTGGTCTATTCAGAGATTCAACTTCTTACTGGTTTAGTCTTGGGAGGGTGTACGTGTCGAGGAATTTATCCATTTCTTCTAGATTTTCTAGTTTATTTGCATAGAGGTGTTTATAGTATTCTCTGATGGTAGTTTGTATTTCTGTGGGATCAGCGGTGACATCCCCTTTATCATTTTTTATTGCATCTATTTGATTCTTCTCTCTTTTCTTCTTTATTAGTCTTGCTAGCAGTCCATCAGTTTTGTTGATCTTTTCAAAAAACCAGCTTCTGGATTGATTGAGTTTTTGAAGGGTTTTTTGTGTCTCTATTTTCTTCAGTTCTGCTATGATCTTAGTTATTTATTGCCTTCTACTAGCTTTTGAACGTGCTTGCTCTTGCTTCTCTAGTTCTTTTAATTGTGATGTTAGGGTGTCAATTTTGGATCTTTCCTGCTTTCTCTTGTGGGCATTTAGTGCTATAAATTTCCCTCTACACACTGCTCTGAATGTGTCCCAGAGATTCTGGTGTGTTGTGTCTTTGTTCTCGTTGGTTTCAAAGAACATCTTTATTTCTGACTTCATTTCATTATGTACCCAGCAGTCATTCAGGAACAGGTTGTTCAGTTTCCATGTAGTTGGCAGTTTTGAGTGAGTTTCTTAATCCTGAGTTCTAGTTTGATTGCAAAATCTGTGGTCTGAGAAACAGTTTGTTATAATTTCTGTTCTTTTACATTTGTTGAGGAGTGCTTTACTTCCAACTATGTGGTCAATTTTGGAATAGGTGTGGTGTGGTGCTAAAAAGAATGTATATTCTGTTGATTTGGGGTGGAGAGTTCTGTAGATGTCTATTAGGTCCGCTTGCTGCAGAGCTGAGTTCAATTCCTGGATATCCTTGTTAACTTTCTGTCTCGTTGATCTGTTTAATGTTGACAGTGGGGTGTTAAAGTCTCCCATTATTATTGTGTGGGAGTCTAAGTCTCTTTGTGGGTCTCTAAGGACTTGCTTTATGAATCTGGGTGCTCCTGTATTGGGTGCATATATATTTAGGATAGTTAGCTCTTCTTGTTGAATTGATCCCTTTACCATTATGTAATGGCCTTCTTTGTCTCTTTTGATCTTTGTTGGTTTAAAGTCTGTTTTATCACAGACTAGGATTGCAACCCCTGCCTTTTTTTGTTTTCCATTGGCTTGGTAGATCTTCCTCCATCCTTTTATTTTGAGCCTACAAGTTTCTCTGCACGTGAGATGGGTTTCCTGAATACAGCACACTGATGGGTCTTGACTCTTTATCCAATTTGCCAGTCTGTGTCTTTTAATTGGAGCGTTTAGCCCATTTACATTTAAGGTTAATATTGTTATGTGTGAATTTGATCCTGTCATTATAATGTTAGCTGGTTATTTTGCTCCTTAGTTGATGCAGTTTCTTCCTAGCCTCGATGGTCTTTACAATTTGGCATGTTTTTGCAGTGGCTGATACTGGTTGTTCCTTTCCATGTTTAGTGCTTCCTTCTGGAGCTCTTTTAGGGCAGGCCTGGTGGTGACAAAATCTCTCAGCATTTGCTTGTCTGTAAAGGATTTTATTTCTCCTTCACTTATGAAGCTTAGTTTGGCTGGATATGAAATTCTGGGTTGAAAATTCTTTTCTTTAAGAAGTTTGAATATTGGCCCCCACTCTCTTCTGGCTTATAGAGTTTCTGCCAAGAGATCAGCTGTTAGTCTGATGGGCTTCCCTTTGTGGGTAACCCGACATTTCTCTCTGGCTGCCCTTAACATTTTTCCTTCATTTCAACTTTGGTGAATCCGACAATTATGTGTCTTGGAGTTGCTCTTCTCGAGCAGTATCACTGGGGCATTCTCTGTGTTTCCTGAATTTGAATGTTGGCCTGCCTTGCTATGTTGCGGAAGTTCTCCTGATAATATCCTGCAGAGTGTTTTCCAACTTGGTTGCATTCTCCCCGTCACTTTCAGGTACACCAATCAGATGTAGATTTGGCCTTTTCACATAGTCCCATATTTCTTGGAGGCTTTGTTCATTTCTTTTTATTCTTTTTTCTCTAAACTTCTCTTCTCACTTCATTTCATTCATTTGATCTTCCATCACTGATACTCTTTCTTCCAGTTCATCAAATCGGCTACTGAGGCTTGTGCATTGGTCATGTAGTTCTCGTGCCATGGTTTTCAGCTCCATCAGGTCCTTTAAGGACTTCTCTGCATTGATTATTCTAGTTAGCCATTCGTCTAATTTTTTTTCAAGGTTTTTAACTTCTTTGCCAAGGGTTCGAACTTCCTCCTTTAGCTCAGAGTAGTTTGATCGTCTGAAGCCTTCTCTCAACTTATCAAAGTCATTCTCCGTCCAGCTTTGTTCTGTTGCTGGTGAGGAGCTGCGTTCCTTTGGAGGAGGAGAGGCACTCTGATTTTTAGAGTTTCTAGCTTTTCTGCTCTGTTTTTTCCCCATCTTCATGGTTTTATCTACCTGTGGTCTTTCATGATGGTGATGTACAGATGGGGTTTTGGTGTGGATGTCCTTTCTATTTGTTAGTTTTCCTTCTAACAGTCGGGACCCTCAGCTGCAGGTCTGCTGGAGTTTGCTGGAGGTCCACTCCAGACCCTGTTTGCCTGGGTATCAGCAGTGGAGGCTGCAGAACAGCGGATATTGGTGAACAGCAAATGTTGCTGCCTGATCGTTCCTCTGGAAGTTTTGTCTCAGAGGAGTACCCAGCCGTGTGAGGTGTCAGTCTGCCCCTACTGGTGGGTGCCTCCCAGTTAGGCTACTCGGGGGTCAGGGACCCACTTGAGGAGGCAGGCTGTCTGTTCTCAGATCTTCAGCTGCATGCTGGGAGAACCACTACTCTCTTCGAAGCTGTCAGACAGGGACATTTAAGTCTGCAGAGGTTTCTGCTGCCTTTTTTTGGCTATGCTCTGCCCCCAGAGGTGGAGTCTACAGAGGCAGGCAGGCTTCCTTGAGCCGCAGCTGGGCTCCACCCAGTTCGAGCTTCCTGGCCACTTTGTTTACCTACTCAAGCCTCGGCAATGGCGGGCACCCATCCCCCAACCTCGCTGCCGCCTTGCAGTTTGATCTCAGACTGCTGTGCTAACAGTGAGTGAGGCTCTGTGGTGTAGGACCCTCTGAGCCAAGCACGGGATAAAATCTCCTGGTGTGCCATTTGCTAAGACCATTGGAAAAGCACAGTATTAGGGTGGAAGTGACCTGATTTTCCAGGTGCCATCTGTTACCCCTTTCTGTGACTAGGAAAGGGAATTCCCTGACCCCTTGCGCTTCCCGGGTGAGGCGATGCCTCACCCTACTTCAGGTCACACTCGGTGCACTGCACCCACTGTCCTGCACCCACTGTCTGACACTCCCCAGTAAGATGAACCCGGTACCTCAGTTGGAAATGCAGAAATCACTCATCTTCTGTGTCGCTCAGGCTGGGAGCTGTAGAGTGCAGCTGTTCCTATTTGGCCATCTTGGCTCCTCCCTCCTATTGTTGTTTTAAGCCACCAAATTTGTGGCAATCTGTTGCAGCAGCAATAGAAAATGAATATACAAGCCTAGAATCATCATTTAGTCTCTTAGAGCCATTATTTAGTCTCTTAGCACCAGAGACTAAATTAATAAATATTCGTGATTCCCCAAGTTTATGTGGTTTTGCTGTATGTAATAGACTATCTTAATAAACCTTTTGAAATACTCCTATGTTTTAAAAATCAATTCCAGAGTCAAAAAATATGCACCTCAATTCTGTGGGCCATCACTAACCAAGGTTGGCTATAATCATTCCATTATATCTTTAAGACTACATAACCAAGTTATTTTCAAACCTGTCAGATCAATGCTTCTAAAAAAGTCAGGAAACAACAGGTGCTGGAGAGGATGTGGAGAACAAGGAACACTTTTACACTGTTGGTGGGACCGTAAACTAGTTCAACCACTGTGGAAGACAGTGTGGCAATTCCTCAAGGATCTAGAACTAGAAATACCATTTGATCCAGCCATCCCATTACTGGGTATATACCCAAAGGATTATAAATCATGCTGCCATAAAGACACATGCACACATATGTTTATTGTGGCACTGTTCACAACAGCAAAGACTTGGAACCAACCCAAATGCCCATCAATGATTGATTGGATTAAGAAAATGTGGAACATATACACCATGGAATACTATGCAGCCACAAAAAAGGATGAGTTCTTGTCCTTTGTAGGGACATGGATGAAGCTGGAAACCATCATTCTCAGCAAACTATCGCAAGGACAAAAAACCAAACACTGCATGTTCTCACTCACAGGTGGGAATTGAACAATGAGATCACTTGGACACAGGAAGAGGAACATCACACACTGGGGCCTCTTGTGGGGTAGGGGGAGGGGGGAGGGATAGCATTAGGAGATATACCTAATGTAAATGACGAGTGAATGGGTGCAGCACACCAACATGGCACATGTATACATATGTAACAAACCTGCACGTTGTGTACATGTACCCTAGAACTTAAAGTATAATAAAAAAAGAAAGAAATATTAACACCATGTTTATTAATTAAAATTAAAGACCCAGAACATATGTCATTAACTGAATACTTGTGCCTACTAAATTTCATACATTGAAATTTAATCCCCAGTGAAACAGAATTTGGAGGTGGGACCTTTAGGATGTAATTAGTTCATGAGGTTTGAGCTTTCCCAAGTAGGATTAATGCCCTTATTAATGAGGTCACAGAGAGCTCTCTTTCTCCTTCTCTTTCTTTTATATGAGAATGCAGATAAAAGATGGCAGTCTACAACCCAGAAAAGGGCCCTCATCAGAACCTGACCATGAGGGCACCCTGATCTCAGACATCAAATCTTCAGAATTGTGAGAGATACATTTCTGTCGTTTATGTGCCACCAAAGTACCAGCATTACTTTTCTTTATACCAAGTTGTTACAGTATCTTGAACTAAGACAATATAAAACCTACCTATACACATAAATTCAAAAAATATATAATCCCCTATAGATAAGATAAATAGCAGGGAAGTCAAGATAATATAATAATGTACATTTATATTCCGGCAAGACTACACTAGAAGACACAATGAATTAATAAGTTTGTCCCCATAGGTAGAATCACAGTGAGTACTTCAGACTGAAACAGTTATGTTGCATTGGCCACTCGAATACTGAGAATGGAGTGGATATTGTGTAATTTCGAACAACACTTGTTTAAATTCCAAACAAAATGTTATAGAATCTCATCATTTGTGCAGCAATTCCTTTACTTCAAAATGCTGTGTATGCCAAATCCTAGGTAATCTTTACTTGTGCAGCACTGCCTAAGTTGCAGGATAGCTAGAATTCCTGACCCCCTCCTCTAAATGCCGACACCCTACTCACCTCCTGCCCCACCAGGCATTATGATAATTTTAAAAGACCCAGAAATCCCTTTACAAACTCTTTATCTTTTAACTACTACTAACTCATTCTTCAAGTTAGGAGTCACCCCCTCCAGGAGGACTTCACCGACTACTCACCAGGCTAGATGAGGCCTTTCATACCTGTCAGCACCCAGAAACCTCTGCTTTTCTCTATTACTGCTAACAGTAACGAATAAGAATGTCATATAAGCAATGATGAACATTACCCTGAAAGTTTACCACTTGCTGGGCATGCTGAGCTCTCCTGTGAATTATCTCATTTATCTCACGCCTGATAAAAATAGTTTGGTTATAACAGTTAGACAAGGCAGTAGCTTGAAAGACAGTTTATGTGCAGAAAGAAGAGATTATGATTTTGTTTTGTTTTATTTTATTTTAAGGTAGAGGAAATCAAGCTTGTGTGTATGTAAAGACAAGACAACAGTGGTTCTGAGAGAGAGCTTTATGTTACAGAAATGAGAATAAATTCCCAGAAAAGATAAAAGAGAGAGGGTAACCTTAAACCAAAAGAAGATTCCCTCTCTAGTGTAACAGCAGCAATTGGAGATAGACTGTAAGAATCAGCCTCAGAAGCTGTTTTCAGCATAATACACTGTGTGAGTAGGTGTGATTGAAAGAGAAGGAGCAATGGGTGTCAGTAAAAGAGAATATGATTAAAAAATCAGTTGTGGGGTTTGCAGCAGTAGGGAAGAAATAATGTGATATAGGGGCTAGAAAACTGGCTGTAAAAGGAGGATTCCAGGTTTGAAGTCTTACATAGAGAAAAAGATCAGGTTTAGTGAGTCAAGTTTAGAGTTGTATGAGATGGCTGAAGCCATTAGTGCAGGTGTAGCTTTTGGGATGACAAGTAAAGGTCATAGCCCATGTGTGGAGAATTGACTCTGTTAAGGTCTTTGTTATGAAAGAGGTACAGGAAATTAGGGCTTTTGCATGTTGGTTGATTATGAACAAAATTATGACCAATGATCATAAATAGAATGAATAGGAGATGGCAGAACACAAATTTTAAACTCCAAAAGAGTAAAGTTTGCCTTGTCCTATATGTGCTTTCTAGAGAGTTCTATAATTCCATGTGAATGGCAATACATGTTTTTAATGGCCAATAGTAATATTTCAATAGATGCTAGCATTTCATTTAATAATTTTTATTTATCTGATGGTCACAGGAATCAATAATTAGAAGAGAACATTGCTTAATAGTTAATTAAGTTCCTTTAATAATGTGACAGTTAGACAAGTTGTCTAAAGGTGACATCTCCCTGATCTATAAATTTTCAGGCTCATGGGAACATTGGGCACATCTTTTGATACACTGCAGCTTCCTTATCCTTGACACTACCTAGTCTATTTAGAAAATGTCAATCAGTCATCAAGGCAAGATATCAATTGGATGACTATGATAATTACTCCACTTATACATATTTTTCCTTTCAATTTTCAGGTATAGATGCAAAAATTTATTGTACTGGTGTATTTTTTCAGACTCTACAATTCTAAATCTCAGGGTAGTGTCTGTAGTTTCAGTTATATTCTAAATGAATTGTTTATTTAATGCTAGTTAATTTCCAACCACTTTTATCACATCTCTGGTTAAAAGTTCATTCCATAAAATACATTAGCTAAATTTCCTTTCATATTAGGTAGAATAATACATCAGGAAAACAGTCCAAAAATGTTTCATAGAATTTTTAAAGACTAATTTAGGTTCATAGCAATATTGAGCAGAAAATACAGAGATTTCCCATCTACCCACTGCCCTCACACACACATAGCTTCCTCCAACATCAACATCCTATGCTGCAGTGGAATGTTTGTGAGGTTATCAATTGTTTATTTCATAGATTGTGGCTTTGGTATAGTTACAGTTGATGAATCTACATTGACACTTTGTTATTACCCAAAGTCCATGGTTTACATTAGGGGTCACTCTTGTACCTTCTATGGGTTTGGACAAGTGTATAATGACCCCTTTAGTATTATACAGAGTAGTTTCCTGCCCTAATAATCATCTAGGCTCTGCCTATTCATCCCTCCCTCCCACAAACCTGTGGAAACCACTGATCTTTTTACTGTCTCCATAGTTTCACCTTTCCAGAATGTCATATAGTTGGAATCACAAGGTATGTAGCCTTTTCAGATTGGCTTCTTTCACTAAGTAATATGCATTTACTCTTCCTCCATACATATTCATGGCTCGATAGCTAGTTACATTGTATTGGTTGGTTTGTTTGTTTTTCACAGATAAGGTCTTGCTCTGTCACCCAGGCTGGAGTGCAGTGGCACAATCATAGCTCACTGCAGCCCCAAACGCCTGGGCTCAAACAATCCTCCCACCTCAGTCTCTCGAGCAACTGGGACTACAGGCATGTGCCACCATGACTGGCTAATTTTTTTTTTTTTTAATTAGTAGAGATGGGGCTAGCTTCAAGCAATCCTCCCACCTTGGCCTCTGAAAGCACTGAGATTGCAGGCATGATTCACTGTGTTTGGCCTAGTTTCTTTTTAGTGCTGAATAATATTTCATTGTCTGGATCAATCAGTTTATTTATCCATTCACCTACTGAAGGACATTCTATTTCCTTCTAAGTTTTGGCAGTTATGAATATAGCTGTTATAAACATTTGTGTGCAGATTTTTGCACTAATGTAAGTTTTTAATTCTTTTGGGTAAATACCAAGGGATAGGATTGCTGGATCCTTTGGTAAGAATGTTTAGTTTTTTAAGGAACTACTTGTTGTCTTCCAAAGTGGCTGTGCCATTTTGCATTCCTACCAGCAATGAATGAGAGTTCCTGTTGCTCTGCATCCTCTTCAGTATCTGATGTTGTCAGTGTTCTAGATTTTTAGTCATTCTCATAGATGTATAGTGGTATCTCACTGCTGTTTTAGTTTGCATTTCCCTGAGGACTTATGACATGAAGCATCTTTTTCATATGCTTATTTGCTCTCTGTACATCTTTTTGGTGAAGTGTTTGTTAAGGTCTTTGGCCCATTTTTAAAATCAGATTAAAGCAAAGACATTCTTATTGTTGAGTACTTTGTACATTATTCTTGATATATTTTGGATAACAGGCCTCTATCAGATGTATCTTTTGATGCATTTCTTTCAGTCTCTGGCTTGTCTTCTCATTCTCTTATTCTCTTGACATTGTCTTTCACAGAGCAGAAGTTTTAAATTTTAATGAAGCCCAGGTTATCAATTGTTTATTTCATAGACTGTGCCTTTGGTGTGGCATCTAAAGAGTATCACTGAATCCAAGATTATCTAGGTTTTCTCCTATGTTTTCTTCTAGGAGTTTTATAGTTTTGTATTTTACATTTAGCTCCGTGATCCACTTTGAGTTAATTTTCATGAAGAGTGTAAAATCTGTGTCTAGATAGATTATTTTTTTTTTTGCCACATGGATGTCCATTTGTTCCAGCACCATTTGTTGAAAAGATTATTTTTTTCTCCATTGTGTTACCTATACTCCATTGTCAAAAATTACTTGACTCTATGTAGGTCTATTTCTGGGCTCTGTATTCTACCAGATTGATCTATTTCTCTCTTCTTTGGCCACTACCATACTATATTAATTATTTTAGCTTTATAGTAAGTTTTGAAGTCAGGTAGTGTTAGTCCTCTAATCAATTGTTTTAAGTATTGGAAATCTTAAAGTATGCGGAGTTCATAATGAAAATAAACCAAGAATAAAGGAATCTTTAAGTGTATGTGTAAATGATTAAAGATATTTGGAGAATGAGACTAACCATGGAACACTAATAGGGAGCTCATTATTTGATTGGCTTTTGATATTAGCATAATATTTTATTTTTCATGGGAACTATATTAGAGAAAGAAAACAAATAATAGATGATACTAATTAGCTATTGATTTTCAATTAATCTATGTATTATCATATTTATACATTTCTAGGCCTTTTCTGAATCTTATTTCATTATATCATATGTTCTAAATGAAAAATATTAGGTTTGCTTAAGAATCTTTCTTTTCCTTGAATGAATTTGTTTCTTGGACTGTTTTTGAGCTCCTTGAACTGCAATCAGTACTTATGAACTTATGTAAAGAAATGTTGTTAGTTTTAACATCACTGTACGAATCCAAACCATCAATTATTTGAATAGTTTAGAGGGATATGTATTTACATAAACATATTCACAGAATAAGGCCTTATAAACCACCCTAGGTAATGTCTTTTTTAACATAGGTACAAGAACCAAACCATTGAAGATTTAGAAGCAATGAAAAGTTATCTTATTGTTTGCCTAGATAACTTCACTTAGGAAATGTGAGAAAATACTGGTTACTTCATTTTTAAAAATAACATGAACCACGTTGTTTTCATTTTGGAAATTTTATGAAAATACAATAGCCAGTAATGTGCCCAAATATTTTTATTTTAAAATATTGTTTAATAAAATATCTACTTGTTTATTTTTCCAAAAGGATAACTAATTTGGAAATTACAAATCCCTTCCTCTCTAAATCATTTGGGTCACCAAACAAAAATGTTTTTCCTATATTCTGTACATACCTTTTCTTATTTTCAGAATAATGACTTTGTTAGTCCTTACAGTTGCACGCGCGCATGCACGCACGCGCACACACACACACACACACACAGACACACACAAACACGCACACTAGCAGAGAAATCCAGAGACAAAGGTAGAGGTATATTCTCTCTCTCTCTCTCTCTCTCTCTCTCTCCCTCTCTCTCTCTCTCTCTCACACACACACACACACACACACACACACACCCCACATGTAAGATGCAGGACACAGTGTGCTACATTTATATTAGGAAACTACAAATTGTAACCTCTTATCCCTGATGGTAGGCCATATTTAGCAAGACAGTGAAGCTGGTAAATTTCTATAACACCTGGGCAGAGTTCCAATGGGAATATCCACATGTTTAAGAGACAGACAAGGAACCTCATTTAACCTTGTTACTGCCAATATGAACAAGCAGAGAAGCAAAAACAATGTGTTCTGGACTTTTAAATGGCTACAGCGGGGTAGCTATTTTCATTATTATTATTATTATTATTATTGAATTTTATTTATTTATTTATTTAAAGACAGAGTCTTGCTCTTTTGCCCAGGCTGGAGTGCAGTGGCACAATCTCAGCTCACTGCAACTTCCACCTCCCCGGTTCAAGCAATTCTCCTGCCTCAGTCTCCTGAGTAGCTGGAATTACAGGTGCATGCCACCACATCTGGCTATTGTTTTGTATTTTTAGTAGAGATAGAGTTTCACCATGTTGGTCAGGCTAGTCCCAAACTCCTGACTTCAAATGATCCACCTGCTTCAGCCTCCCAAAGTGCTGGGATTACAGGCATCAGCCACCATGCCCAGTCTATTCCTGAATTTTAAATTTAGAGTACTGCTGTTCTTCTCTGGGCCTAGGTCAGACACTTTGAGAGCTACATTAAGACTTGCAGACCTCTTAAGGGACCCTTAAAAGCCTTTCAGTGGCAATTTACTAAATGGTTTCCCTTAGCGGAATGAAAGTTTCATGTCTCCCCAAGTGCCTCAGCCTCTCAGGGCTCAGAGGGAAAAAAGTGTTCTTTCTGTTTGATGATGATAGTACCATTATTTTCCATTGCTTTTTCAGATGCCAATATTACATCAAGGTATCATGATGTAATGATTCTACTTTCATTTCAGATAAATTAGTGCCTCTAGTATCCTCTCTCTGAGATGAAGGAAGAGGTAATAGTCTTGCTGAATCAATCACAGATAATAGAAATGCTAGTGAAATTACCCACTGAGGCTTTCCCAACCTCTCTACTGAATGAAAAGAGCCCTGAAAAGCAGTCCTTGCTCAAAATGTTCAAAATGTTACCACACTTTTCTGGATCCTAGCTTTCTCAAATGAAAAGTAAAATCATTGAACTGAATGACTGCTATGGAAAATTCTAACCAAAGCATTCCCTGATTTTTAGGTTATTGAATATCACAGTCAGCAATGTCACGAGGGAAAGGGAATCTTCCAGATTATCACAAATAAAAAAATTCATTAAAAATAGATACATTTTTCATTCTTAGATTTTCTATTTCTCAAAACCACAATTCTAGTACAATATCCAGATTTTTACCATAATTGCATAAGGAGATGTCTCCTTAAGTAACCCACATCTGACATTAACCAAATTCATCACTTTCTTCATCCCTAAGTAACCTCCCCCTACTACCTTCTGTTATTTAGATTATGGTGACAGTACAGAAGTTCTATCAGTGTAGGTATAAAGAATGAAATTAATTAGTCATGACAAGGAAAGTTACTTGGAAATTCTGGCCTGTGGAGTGTTTGAGTTAAAACATCTAAGAGTAATCTGAAATTGGAGCTCAGGGCAGATGTGGTGGTGAAATACTTGTGGGAACCTCTGTCATGGAAAGTTATGGATGTGGAATGACTTTATCCAGGAAAAGAAAGACAAATGGTAAAACAGGTAATATAGCAAAAAGGCAGGATATTTTTTTCCAAGTAATAGAGAACAATAGAAATTGAAATGCAGATATATACAGTGTATAAACTTCTAAAAGCTAAAAGCCTGAAGCCCTCTAACATCTAAGCTGTCAAGACCAGTCATGCACAAGAAGAAATTCAATCCTCAGGGCTGTGTTTCCCAGCTGGGTTACCTCACTTGGATTCTGGCCAAGTTGGTAGCTCTGAAGACAATCAAAATATATGCAAATTAAGAATTTGATGCTCAAACACCCTGTTTATTTATTTAAAGACAGAGCCTTGCTCTGTTGCCCAGGCTGAAGTGTAGTGGCACAATCTCAGCTCACTGCAACTTCCACCTCCTGGGTTCAAGCAATTCTCCTGCCTCAGCCTCCTGAGTAGCTGGAATTACAGGTGCATGCCACCACATCAGGCTATATTGAAGCTGTGGAGCTTCAATTGTTTTGTCTCATTTTGCTAAAATATGTTTTATTTCTTGGTGATTCCATATTTAAATTTCAGTAAGTCATTCTATAGTCTAAAGATATATTTAAGGTATAATTTAGTTAAATGAATAGAGACTTTGAAATCCTGTGGTCCAGCATACTATGCTGGCTCTTCCCCTTAAGGAGCTATATGACTTTATAATTTTTATTTGACTCTATATGAAACAATTAAAAAAAAACCAAACAACCAAATGTCATTCTGTGTCTCAGTATCTTGTGGATGATATAGCTATTCCCTGAATTATGATGGTTCAACATATGACTTTTTTTTTTTACTTTATAACGAGTTTATCAGAGTGTTAACTGTACTTTGGACCTATGATTTTTTTTTTTATTTGACGGAGTCTCGCTCTGTCACCCAGGCTGGAGTGCAGTGGCACGATCTAGGCTCACTGAAAACTCCTCCTCCTGGGTTCACGACATTCTCCCGCCCCCGCCTCAGCCTCCCGAGTAGCTGGGACTACAGGGGACCACAACCACACCCGGCTAATTTTTTTTTGTATTTTTAGTAGAGACAGGGTTTCACCATGTTAGCTAGGATGGTCTCTATCTCCTGACCTTGTGATCCACCCGCCTTGGCCTCCCAAAGTGCTGGGATTACAGGCATGAGCCACCACGCCCAGCCCGGACTTATGATATTTTTGACTTGCAATAGGTTTATCAGGACATAACCTAACTGTAAGTTGAGAAGCTTCTGTAATGGTATTTGCCTCATTGAGATTATTGAGGCAATTAAAAAAGGCAGTGCATGAACAGGGACTTGCACATAGTAGATAATTAAAAAAATAGTTATTCTAAATTGCTCTATCACAGTAAATACACATAGTGACAATGACTTTCACAAAGACTGAAATCTATAATTTATTTAATCTGACTTCCCATTCAAGAGAAATTCAGCTGATCAAATAGGAATGTCAATGAATAACAGTTTGTGTACATAATCATGCACAGGGAGAAAGGCATGAAACACACAGGGGCAAGCAGCAAAACTCCAGCTGTTATTGTATTGGAACAGGGAATTAGAACATGGATTGTCTAGGTGAAGCTATAATTTCTCCCTGTCAAATTGCCACTTAGTTAGAGTTTTTAAACTAGGATCCCTAGGTGAGGTTGAAGTTGTCCATGAATCATGAAATTATGTGCAAAGTTCTGTGTTAAGCTATGCACATTTTGTCATGGCAAACAGTCCATAATTTACATCAGAATTACATACTAAAGGAACAGTTGCTGACTGAATAAACTAAATTAGAATAGCTCTAGAACTTTTGTATTATCCAAAATAAAATTAGAAGAATATCTTAAGTGAAAAGGCAAGGAACTAGAGAAAGAATAGGTGTTTAATATTTCCCTCAAAATAAACAGTACATTTATCTGCTTCATTATTTGTTTACCTTAAAAGATAACGTTACCTCTTACAAAGAGGAGCTGCTACCATTCCTTCTGAAACTATTCCACTCAGTAGAAAAAGAGGGAATACTCCCTAACTCATTTAATGAGGCCAGCATCATCCTGATACCAAAGCCTAGCAGAGACACAACAAAAAAAGAGAATTTTTTAGACCAATATCCCTGATCAACATTGATGCAAAAATCCTCAATAAAATACTGGCAAACAGAATCCTGCAGCACATCAAAAAGCTTATCCACCACGATCAAGTCAACTTCATCCCTGGGATGCAAAGCTGGTTCAACTTACGCAAATCAATAAACGTAATCCATCACGTAAACAGATCCAAAGACAAAAAACACATGATTATCTCAATAGATGCAGAAAAGGCCTTTGACAAAATTCAACAGCCCTTCATGCTAAAAACTCTCAATAAACTAGGTATTGATAGAACATATCTCAAATTAATAAGAGCTATTTATGACAAACCCACAGCCAATATCATACTAAATGGGCAAAAACTGAAAGCATTCCCTTTGAAAACTGGCACAAGACAAGGATGCCCTCTCTCACCACTCCTGTTCAACACAGTGTTGGAAGTTCTGGCCAGGGCAATCAGGCAAGAGAAGGAAAGAAAGGGGATTCAATTAGGAAAACAGGAAGTCAAATTGTCCCTGTTTGCAGATGACATGACCGTATATTTAGAAAACTCCGTCATCTCAGCCCAAAACCTCCTTAGGCTGATAAGCAACTTCAGCGAAGTCTCAGGACACAAAATCAGTGTGCAAAAACACAAGCATTACTATACAGCAATAACAGACAGACAGCCAAATCATGAGTGAACACCCATTCACAACTGCTACAAAGAGAATAAAATACCTAGGAATCTAACTTACAAGGGCTGTGAAGGACCTCTTCAAGGAGAACTACAAACCACTGCTCAACAAAATAAAAGAGGACACAAACAAATGGAAGAACATTCCATGCTCATGGATAGGCAGAATCAACATCGTGAAAATGGCCATACTGCCCAAGATAATTTCTAGATTCAATGCCATCCCCATCAAGCTACCAATGACTTTGTTCACAGAATTGGAAAAAAACTACTTTAAAGCTCATATGGAACCAAAAAAGAGCCTGCATTGCCAAGACAATCCTAAGAAAAAAGAACAAAGCTGGAGGCATGACGATACCCGACTTCAAACTATACTACAAGGCTACAGCAACCAAAACAACATGGTACTGGTACCAAAATAGATATATAGACCAATGGAACACAACAGAGGCCTCAGAAATAAGACCACGCATCTACAATCATCTGATCTTCAACAAACCTGAGAAAAACAAGCAATGGGGAAAGGATTCCCTATTTAATAAATGGTGCTGGGAAAACTGGCTAGCCATATGTAGAAAGCTGAAACTGGACCCCTTCCTTACACCTTATATAAAAATTAATTCAAGATGGATTAAAGACTTAAATGTTAGACCTAAAACCATAAAAAACCCTTAAAGAAAACCTAGGTAGTACCATTCAGGACATACGCATGGGCAAAGACTTCATTACTAAAACACCAAAAGCAATGGCGACAAAAGCCAAAATAGACAAATGGGATCTAATTAAACTGAAGAGCTTCTGCACGGCAAAAGAGATTACCATCACAGTGAACAGGCAACCTACAGAATGGAAGAAAATTTTTGCAATCTGCCTGTCTGACAAAGTGCTAATATCCAGAATCTACAAAGAACTCAAACAAATTTACAAGAAAAAACCAACCCCACCAAAAAGTGGGCAAAAGATATGAACAGACACTTCTCAAAAGAAGACATTTATGTAGCCAACAGACACCTGAACAAATGCTCATCATCACTGGTCATCAGAGAAATGCAAATCAAAACCACAATGAGATACCATCTCACACTAGTTAGAATGGCGATCATTAAAAAGTCAGGAAACAACAGATGCTGGAGAGGATGTGGAGAAATAGGAATGCTTTTACACTGTTGGTGGGAGTATAAATTAGTTCAACCATTGTGGAGCACAGTGTGGCGGTTCCTCAAGGATCTAGAACTAGAAATACCATTTGACCCGGTGATCCCTTTATTGGGTACATACCCAAAGGATTATAAATCACTATAAAGACACATGCACATGTATGTTTATTGCGGGACTATTCACAATAGCAAAGACTTGGAACCAACACAAATAGCCATCAATGCTAGACTGGAGTAAGAAAATGTGGCATGTGTACACCATGGAATACTATGCAGCCATAAAAAAGGATGAGTTGATGTCCTTTGCAGGGACATGGATGAAGCTGGAAACCATCATTCTCAGCAAACTATCACAAGGATGGAAAGCCAAACACCACATGTTCTCACTCATGGGTGGGAATTGAACAATAAGAACACTTGGACACATGGCGGGGAACATCACACAGCAAGGCATGTCAGGGGGTGGGGGCTGGGGGAGGGATAGCATTAGGAGAAATACCTAATGAAAATGACGAGTTGATGGGTGCAGCAAACCCATGTAACAAACCTGCACATTGTGCACATGTACCCTAGAACTTAAAGTATAATTTAAAAAGATAAAGTCACCTCTTTCAGATAAAAACTGCTGAGGCTACCACTTAAAAAAACAAAAGATAATCACTGTAAGTTTGGGCTTTAAAACAGTTAAAAGTTCTGTCAGTATCTGATACTTCTTAGTTAGAAAAATAATAGTCGAGTTGCTTTTTACTATTGTTGTGAAAAAAAGTTGTGTGATATTTAGACTCGTGATGTTTGCCATGGATAAGTGGCTGTGTTATCAATTAAGTTGTCTCTGCAGGATGACCACACATTGCACACTAGAGTAGCATTTTCTGTTTTTTTTTTCCATCTTTT
Source organism: Homo sapiens (assembly GCF_000001405.40). Lineage (NCBI taxonomy): Eukaryota > Metazoa > Chordata > Mammalia > Primates > Hominidae > Homo > Homo sapiens. The sequence goes on from NC_000005.10 coordinate 45,599,845, forward strand.
TTTATCCTATGCTATTTCACTGAAATAAATGTGAAACTGAATTCACTGCAGTTCTTAACATGGAAGTTTCTTCTTTCTCATCAAGACCACACAGAGACAACAAGCTTAGAAGGAAAAGTAAAACATTACCATTTGCCTAGGCCTGTTCATAACTCAGCACCTATTGGTTTCAGCAGGCTAAAGACTAAAAGCACTATCAAGCTAGCAAGGAAAAATCACTGTAATGTGTTTAGATGTGTGGTCTTGTCATTTTTTCCTGACTTGCTCTATAAAAGTAATTATAGTTTTAGGCATAATCTCCCAATTTTAGGCTTGCTTCCATTCTCTCTCTCTCTCTCTTACACACACACACGCACACACACATGCACTTTATCTCTCAATAACCTCATCAAAACAGCAACAAGGCAGAAAGAGACAGGTGAGTTCTGAGTAAAATATTTGATTAATTGACCCCAAAATATTTTTCCTACTTTCTCTCTTTTTACCAGAAATCATATATACCCTGGATCAAAATATGTTAATCACTCATATTCTCTTAAAATCCTAATATGTTCCCAGTATTTAATAATGGAAACATTGTAGAGTCATTGGAATTTTCATATGTGATAAAATTTTTAGTTGCTGTAAGAACTTCAGAACCTGTGAAAATATTCTTTTGCATGTAAAATTATACTACCAGTATACTAGCCATTAGTAGATCCCTCCAAAAATTCTCAGGCCAGCTCATCCGCAAGGAGAGATCTTAACAACATCTCACTTCAAAGCTATCACACTGGAAACAGTTGGAGGAGACAAAAATGCACTTCACTGGCAATTCCTGATCTGAGAAATGGCCAATTCATAGAGATGTTGAACAAACCCCTTTCTGTCATGAGGTCTGTGACCAATTTAAGAAAAAGGCATACATACACAAGATGAATGTCAAATAAGTATTCCAGCCAGTGACTGTTATTGGGGACTCCTAACTTCTATATGGGTTAGAGAAGTTAGGAAGCACTTCCTGCAAAAATAGTATTTAAACATGGTTTTGCAGAAAGGCTAAACTTTAAATAGCAAAAACTGTTGTCTGTGAAGAAAAACAGTCAGAAGTTGGGTGGGAAGAATCCAAAAAGTGAAGCTCAATCACTTTACTTCTCTCCTATAGGATTGAAATATAAAGGATATGGGAGATTGAGTAAAAGTTTGGAAGAATATATATTTTTTTTCCTATTTATGTTTTCTAGTCTCTAGCCAACTATCAGAAAAAGCTGAAAATGGAAAATGCTTCTGCAAATTAGAGGACAGGTGAAGACTCAAATTGGGTAGTCCACCTTGGAGAGTAGGTGGGCACATCTGGATTTTGTTGTGTGTCTATGTCATTTGACTTGTCTTAATGAGTAGGTGTTTCTTTTATGGTTTGGAACAAAAAAAATCTAATGAAGTGTTTTGTCACACAGTAATTTCAACATCCTTTTCCAATAATGAATAGATTCTACTGAGGCTCAGATGCTAGAAGACAATCCCAAATCATCAGCAAGCAGCCCATGTGAAAGCTCCGGTTATACAACTAGGAAGGAAAGTTTTACTGTGGATTCTGCCATTGACCTTTGGGGCCTGTGTTTCTCACCTGTAAAATCAGAAGCTAGGAGATGACAGCTAAAATCTAGGAAATCAAATCATAATTTTTGTTACAAACATGTATAAACTTTAAATAAATCAGATTGGAGTAAGGGCCTAAGATGTGTTCCTGTGAGGAAAGCACATGATCTTTTGTACACGGACTTTTTGATATTTGTTTTGGCTGCCCAGAGTCCTTTAGAAACGCTGTCTGAGCTCCAGTTATTCATGATTAGTTGTATTCAGGCATTCTAACTACTGCACTATTTTTGTTTGTTTAAAAGGGCTAAAGAAAGCATTTATACGTTCTGACAATGCATCTATATTTTCCAAATATTAAGTGAGAAAGAATGGAAAGTGTGCCCTTATGGGCTGGATTGTGTCCTCCCAAAATTCATATGTTGAAGTCCTAATCTCCTAATATGGTTGGGCTGTATCCCCACCCAAATCTCATCTTGAATTTTAGCTCCCATAATCCCCAGTGTTGTGGGAGAGACCAGGTGGAGATAATTGAATCATGGGGGTGGTTTCCCCCAAGCCTGTTCTTGTGATAGTGTGTTAGATCTCACAAGATCTGATGGTTTTATAAGGGGCTTCCCGCTTCACTGGGCATTCATTCTCTCTCTTGCCACCCTGTGAAGAGGTGCCTTCTGCCGTGATTGTAAGTTTCCTGAGTCCTCCCAAGCCATGCAAAACTATGAGCAATTAAACCACCTTCCTTTATAACTTACCCAGTCTCAGGTATTTCTTCCTAGCGGCATGAGAATGGACTAATGCTTCCCCAGTACATCAGAATGTACCTGTATGTGGAGATAAGGTCTTTGAAGAAGTAACTAAATTAAAATGAAATTGTTACCATAGGCCCTAATCCAATATGACCAGTATACTTATAAGAAGAGGTCATTTGGACACACAAAGAGACGTCATGGATGTGCACACAGAGGAAAGACCATGTGAGGACACAGCGAGAAGGCTTCCATAAGCCAAGGGAAGAGGCTTCAAAAGAGACAAAACTGGCCGACATCTTTATCTTGAACTTTTAGCCTCCAAAACAGTGAGAATATAAATTCCTGTCGTTTAAGACACTCAGTCTGTGGTATTTTCTTGTAGCCTAGTAAACTAATACATGTGCCTTTCTCATCTTCCATTTATCTAAAATAGTTGAGAATATTGCTGCTTCTTATTGGGTACTTCTATGATTGCTGACCAAGAAAAAGTGACAGAATGTGTCTTTATTTTTCCTGTGATTAAGATAGAACACTTATTTATAACTTTGCAATCCACTCTTCAGATTCAAGTGCTTGAGAGGCACCTTCTCCAAGTGTTTGTTAAAACTCCAGCGAATACACATGTACACAGTTTTGATATAGTGGCAAAAAATTTAGGTTCTTTTGTGATCAGATTTCACTTCTATTCTTAATAATCAGTGAAAGTAGACGTGTGCTTAAGCTCATTATTTCTAGTGATCAGAAGCAATCTGAACCCACATAATATCAACAAAAGTAAACTAATCCAATCAAATATCTGTCCAATTCCACAGGGAAAAACAGTTACAGTGGTTATACAGTAAAGTATGAAATTTTAAAAACATGGTTGAATATCTTTCAACTAATTATTTCTTATAGTTCGATATAAGTGGCATATTGTTCCCTACTTTTCATCCCTTTAGGAGTTTAGGAAGGCAGGAAAACACAACCTATAATATTGTAGGTGATAACCCAAGTGTACCCTGTTATAATATCTGATGCAGTCTGAATCCATTTGCTGTTTTAGTATTGCCAAGCATACCTTTTCCAACCAATTTTCTTCCATTCTCAGACATCCCTTCAAGTATATACTTTAAGATATATATGGATCGTAGATGTTCTAATGGCTAGAACAATTGCCAGTATGTTTCCATCACTTCTCTGAATAAATCACATTAAAAAGTCATAAAATGCTGCTATCTAGTGATAAATAGAAGCAAGACAATTTGCCTGCAGTGTTTGTTAAAAGATTATGTAATCTGGCATCTAATTTTTACAGATGAATATTGGATGAAAGTGGATGATGGCATATCTTGCAGGGAGCTTTTTTAATTTAATATTTATTTTATGCTCTTTCTACAGAATATTTAAAATGGACTCTAAACATAGCATTGAATGGTTGAATTTGTTATAGGGAAAATCAGATACAAGGCTTCCTGTATCCAATTCATAGCTGCAATTCTTGCCTACAAAATCTTTACTGCCAGAAAAACCATTAAAACAGTAATCAATTGTGGAGTGTCATGCCCAACAGAATAGCATAACACAAAATGAAACTTTGCCAGTTATTGAAAACATGCCCCAATATAGATTTTTAAAATATGACTAATTGTATGATAAAATTTCCATATTAGTTACTGTTTGAAGCTACAATGTTAAGCATTCTTAGAGAAACAGAATGGCTCCTGGTTTTCCTTTTGATCAGTATGACAAAATACGGTGTTTATTATTGAATAGGTTTATTTCCATTTTCAAAAATAGCTTTTGAATAGCTTCTTCACATTCAAAGAAAAGTAGATCATGAGTAGATAATATAACACAAAAACTTAGCCAATCAAACCTTACAAGAAATGAGCCCTAAAATGATGTTTCACAAAATTATTCAAATGAATTCAAAACTCAAGTGGAAGTGATTTTTGAAATATACTTTCCAGACAGAATTGACAGAATGACAAGTAGAAATAACCCAGCTGCCAATAATTTTCTAAGTGGTCAGACCAAACACTTCCTTGATCTTTACAACAACTCTGTGAGATAGATAAGACTTTTGTTTTTGTTTTATAGATGTGGCTACCCAGAGAAGATAAGCAAATTACCAGTGTCTAAAGTGATACCGCCAGCAAGTGGCAGTGCCAAGATTACAGCAAAAGCAGTCTGCAGTCTGGGTGGCGCTTACACACTCTTAATGATTCTGCTTGTAATGCCATTATTCAACTTTCCAGTTAGGAACATGAAAGAAAGTCTGTGCTTTTGACACACTAAAAAGGTCTTACTAATAAATAATGGTATTGTTAGAAATTAGGGAGCCAGCCATACAGGTGACAAAGCGTCTATGAACTACTGTTCTGTGGTCTGCTGATAAATGATTATTCAAAATGTATTAATAATACAGGGAGATAAATTACATGTCATAGGCTCACAGAAGCTAAATATATCAACCTTTTTAAAAAAATGATTCACTTGAGCTAATGAATGCTTTAGCTGTAAGAACTGGCAACAAAATGTAAATAGACAACTTTCTCAGATAAGACATGTACAGATAATTGAAAGAGCAGTAACAACAAAATTAAAGACACAACTTTAAAATATGATAAAATAGGTACAAAATGACTTTCATACTTAATTCACAAATGTAAGCAAAGAGGAATATGGCTTTATAGTTATAAAGTTACCCAAAGACCGCATCTAAACAGTGATTTACTTTAGTTAAAATTTATCAGATAATACTATTTTGCTGGTGGGGAGCAGGCAGAGTAATAAGAGGAGTTACCCACATCTCAGCAAATATGCAAATCTTTATTTTGCTTTGCTATATTTTCAGGTATATTACCTGCTATTAACATTGCAGATTTTATACACTGAAGGCTTATTAAAAGCCATTGAAAATGAAGTATAAAGTCTTCCTGTTTGAGCATATAACCTAAATCAAACAGGCAATAAAAGCAAGCCAAATATTTGATTACTAGTATATTTTTGAGACCAGTGTTTGAAGTGTGTAGATGCTTAAAATTAAATGGGTACCTTTATTTGTGAATCTAACCTACTATCTAACAACTTAATATGTAATTTTAATCATATCTCTTCAAAATTAAAAACATTCATGTCTTTAACTCTAGAATTGTTTTTCTAGAACTTATTCTCCAAAAAGAATTGTAAAATTAATTAGTTATGCAGGAGAATAATTTTGTAGCATTGTTTCTAATAGCAATGAATTAGAGTCAATCTAAATGCCAATAAGTTAAATAATCATTTATTATGTTGTGTAGAAACACAATAAATTTCTGCACCATTACTTAAAATATTAAGGTAGTTCTCAGACTAATGGTAAGATGTCCATAATATATTCTTAACTGAAGAAAACTAGTGTCAGAGTAATGTGGACAGCATTATCAAAATTAAAAAAAAATTGTGCAGATTTTATAAAGTTTTTGTACATTGTACATGAGTACATAGCCAAAGAGACTGGAAGAATGTAGATAAATCAATTAACAGTTGTTATCTGGTGAATGAAACTATTGGAGTCAGTCCTCATCTGAATGAGGACTTTCATTTTTCTCTTAGCATAATTATATTTACAATTTTAAAGAGTAGATGTATCACTCTGGTAATATTGTTTAAAAATGATTACAAATTAAAGAAAATTAACTCACCTGTGAAGATTAAAAAATAAGTTTGAAAAGACATTTTGTGAGAGAAATTAATACATCTAAAGAAAGAGCTAAATTAACATTTCTGACTTGTGTGTGAATAATGAAACTTATAAGCAAAATTAAAATTCAAAGGTAAGCATACTTGATGGGAAATATTAGCTTCACATCCTTTAATTTTTTAACACAAACTTTCACCTCAAACTTTGTCAAATATTCCCCAGGCAGGGTTGGAAATGTTAAGTCAGCCAACTCTTTCAGTTTATGGTTCCACCATCAAGAACACCATGACTCTTATACTACTTAAGCAACCATTGCCAGAAAATTTCTCTCACTTTTATACCTTAAAACATTTTCCTTTGCATTAAACCTAGTGAAAAATAGAAAAAGAACAAACGATTTTTGTTTTAGACAGTATAACAAAGTGAGTGTATACAGAAACTCCACCTGGTACAGAACAGATTGTGTGTGGGGTAGGGGTGCATATATATGTATATCATGTCTAAGCTGATGTAAAACAAAAAAAGAAAAAATAATTAAAAATAGGAAAAAAAGAGAATATGATTTCACAATGGTAAACTTAGGGGCTGGCATTTATCCTGAGGAAATATGCTAAGCTCTAGGGGCTTAGAATATTTTTGAAAGGAGTATTTATCCTTAGTGAAAAAGCTGGAGTTGGGGGAAGCACAGGGCTTTCAAGCAGGTGGAAAGTTGGATCAAAGAACCCTCAATATCTCAAAGTACAGGACAAAAGTCACAACTCCAGCACATAAACCGGATTAAAACCCATCCCACAAAAGCACACCATCTATCTAGGCCTGGCTTTGGAAAGAAAGACTCAATCCCGAAAGGTAAAAAAATGAAAATAAATAAACAAACAAACAAATAAACCCCACTAAAGTACAATAAGTTTTAAGAGCTCTCATAATAGAAATAACAAAACAGTCATCACGAATGAATCTAAATATGCATGTAAAGTTAAGGAGGATAAACTAAATATTCAGATAATAGATTTAAAACTAAGGAATGATAAAAATGCTATATATGAAACTTCTATAATGTATTAAAGTGGTATGTAGAGAAAGACAATCTTTAAGGCTCACATTAGAAAAAATATGAGAAATTAATAAACTAAGCATCTGATTTGAGATGTTAGAAAAGGAACAGAAGAGTAAGTTCAAAGAAAGTTAAAAAAATATGATTAGGAGTAGGTATTAAAATTACCATATGAAATAAGCCATGAACACTGTTATGCCTTCAAATTTGAAACTTAGGTAAAGACATATTTTGGAAAATAATATACATCATTAAACATGACTAAAGTAGAAATAACACGATTTAAATAACAATTTGAAAACTGAATTATTAAAAAATTTTCAAAAATATCAAATGAAAAATGGGACATTATCAAGGAAGAAAGGCATTTAATTTAAAAATACCTTTTTTAAGAGAATAGAACAAGAAGGGTAGTCTATTTTATGTGGTTCTTATAGTCTTGATTCCAAAACCAGAAGAGGTCATTTTGATAAAAGAAATCTCAAATTTTTGCAAATATACTAAAAATAATAGCACACCAAAATGGTTAATAAAAGAAGCATAAGACATCAAGACCAAGTTGGATTTATTCCAGGAATGTAAAATACAAGTTTGTCTCAACACTAGAAATTTCCTTATTTAATTAGTTTAAGACATTTTAGATTAAAACTAAATGATATTGGGATATAGACAAATAGATCACAATATCATTATATATATATATATATCTATAGATAGATCCAGATATATCTAGATATATCTAGAGAGAGAGAGTCATCTTGATAAATACAGAAAGGGTATTCAATACAAACAGCTGATGGATGGTGAAAGCTCTTAGAAAACTAAGAATAGAATCAGGGAAATGCAACTTACTGCCTTTAATAAAAATTATTGGCAAAAGCAACAGGGATAATATTGATGGGATAATATTTAAAGCATTGTCTTTAAAATGAGAAACAAGAAAGAATACCTGCTGTCACCTTCTCTACTCAACATTATACCTGAGATCCTAGCCTGTGCAACAGACATTAAAATAAATAATAATACTGGTCATAAAGAAACAAAACTCTAATTAGCCACAGATCTGATTATATATAATGGGAGCCCAAAAGAATATAAAAACACATTATTAGAATTAATAAGGGAATTTAGTAATGTTGCTGGATTTAAAACCAATTAACAAAAATCAACTGCATTTCTACATACAAGCAACAAATATTTAGAAGTGAAAGTTAAAATAAGATACTATTTAAAATAAGAACTTCAGTATTAAATATTTTGGAATATATCTAACAAAATGTGCAAACTGTATTTAGAAAATTGTAAAATTTTATTCAAAAATGATAATAAGTAATACCTAAATCAATAGAACACATACCATGTTCATAACTAAGAAAATTCAATATTGTAAAGACATCAATTTTTCCCTAATGTATCAATAAATTCATTACAATTTTAATCAAAGTTCCAAATGGGTAGGATGGGTGTATGTGTGTGTGTGTGTGTGTGTGTGTGTGTGTGTGTATGTGTGATGTCTGTGTGAACTGATGAAGAACTACTTCTTTATATGGTGATGAAAATAGCTAACATAGTTCTAAATGAGAGGAATTGAGCAGGAAAATTTGCCTTCTTAGCTTTAAATGCTTAATATAAGGCTACAGTAATTAAGTTAGTTTGGTGTTAGCACACTTACAAAGATCAGTGGAAGAAAAGATAAAGTCATAAAATTAAGATATGCATTTAAGAAATGTTTACACAGTATATGAAAATCAATTTTGATGGAAAATGACATAACCCATCATGAAAGGTATATTTTAAATTAAAAATTCTTCAAAATCTTTATGATTCAGGGTAGAAAATACATTTTTAAAAGCACATATTAATAATGGAAAATATTAATAAACTGACTACTATCAAATTAAAAACTTCAGTATATCAAAAGACAAAATTAAATAAGTACAAAGAAAAAAGTACAAATGCAAGCTGCAAACTAGTTGAAGATATTTCCAAACTGTATAAATGTGTCTTATAAGTGACTCCTATGAATCAGTAGAAGAAAAAAATGGCAAAAGACATTTAAGAAATTTAAATGACTCACAACCTGAAAACATGCTTTACCTTCTTTGTAATCAGGGAAATGCAAATTCAAACCAAAACCTGATACTATTTCAAGTCAGAGTGGCAAAAATGAAAAGAAGACAGTATTATGTGTTTGAGAGGACATGAGGCAACAGTAACTCTCTCTCCTCTGCTGATGGGAGAATACTGTATCGATTTCTTGGAAAGCAATTTGGCATCATTTTGTAAAGCTGAAACTGCCCATATCTTGTAACTTGCAATTCTACTCTTAGGTATACTCCCTAGAGAAAAATCTTAGAAATGTACACAAGAAGACATGTAAAATAAAGTTTGCACAACAACGACAGCAAAATCTGGGGTAATATAAATGCCCATCAACAATAAGATAGATAATTTAACAATTACAGCTCTGTTGTAAAATAAAATATTTCAATAAAAACAAACAGCAACTCTCCAACTGTTGCATTTTTTCCCTTTGTCATGCTGGATTATGGGGAATATTAATGCTCAAAATACTGTCGATATGGTTGCTGTCTCACAATAGTAGGATAAATTGAACAATGTGTATAAGTCTCTGGGCATATCTTAATATTCTCTATTAGATTCTATAGTAATTTTGACCATAAAACCTTAAAAAGAATCCAACTATAATAGCTACAACATCATTTCTACCTTGACTGGTGTGAATGTATTATATAAACCATGATGGAGTCTCTGTGCCATACTATATATTCACGCCAAGAAATGCACAGGTAAATGAGGCAGCCCTTGCCCTCCAAGATTTTTCAGTTTAAAGGTGAAGACAGACTTGTAAACAAAATTTAAGGAAGTTATCACAGTGTTATAACATGCAGGAGAAGCAAAGAGGAAGAACCAACTAACCCTGCCTGAGGGGATGAGTGAAATTTCACAGGAGGTGTGACCAACCTGATGAAATGGCATGGCTCTTTTGAGGAATGTTGAGTAATTGTGTGAAGCTGATATAAAAGACCTTGGCATTAGATGTCAGCAAAAATTGATGCCAGGATAAATTGAGGTCAGATCAAGAAGCGTCTTGTGTATGATGCTAATAGGTCATGATTGCATCCCGCAGAAGATAGTAACTCATGAACACAGTTTAAATAAGGAACTGAGAGGATAAGGTTTGTGTTATAGAAGAGCTTAGCAGTAATATAGAGGGTATACTTAAAAGAGGTGTGATTTTTATATATAAATGTCCTTTCCAGAATTTAATCCCTCTTTAACTTGAACCCTTTTTTCTGTGGATTATATATTCTAGCAGAAAATAGCCATGAGAATGTAAGAAACATTCAACAAAGGACATTGAAGTAAATACCTCCCTATAGAACTATCTGTGAAAATATAAAGTCATATGTCTGCATAACAATAAATACAACTGTGGATACAGAAAGAATAGAGTCTAAAATCGAAAAATAAAACTTCATGCTGAAATTAATACTGTTGTCTGAAATGAAGACTGAAAGTATTTCAGTTTTATATATTTCAAGAATATACATTTATATATTGCGATATGTGTGTACATTTATATCTTTATAAAATATAGAATATCATATATAATCTCTATATATTTTAAATACATTGAAATATAAAGTATATATGTATATATGATTAATATATATATTCAAATGCCAGACATCTTATGGTGAAATATTTTTCTTAATTATTAGATTTAATGATATAATTTTTATTACTTAAGATATTAATCTGTACTTTTGTATCCCATAATTAGCTTAACAGCTTAGTGGAGAACGAAGAAAATACTAGATGGATAAAGAAAACTTAAAATATTCTTTAAATTGCACACTTACTATGTTTTGTAATAGTCAAATTACTTCTGCATAAATAAAAGGCATGTCCATAAAACAATTACTATGAAATTTAGAATAGTTGGAAAATTCCTTAAGACTCTTTTTATCTAGAACAATCTAAAAGAGAAGTATGTCTGTTCAAAAACTCTGGCTTTATTTTGGATTTGTTTAATAATAATAAAAAACAACTTGTAAAAGACAATTAAGAAATTCAATGAATATTTTGAATTGTGACCTATGTTTGTCCACTGAAATTTAAGTCCTACTATTAAATTCTTTTCTTTTTTTTTTTTTGACAGAGACTCACTCTGTCACCAAGGCTGCAGAGCACTGGCATGATCTTGGGTCACTGCAGCCTCAACCTCCCGGGTTCAAGACATCCTCCTGACTCAGCCCCCCAAGTAGCTGGGACAACAGGGACGCATCACCACACCTGCCTAACTTTTTGTATTTTTTGTAGAGATGAGATTTTTCTTTTTTTTTTATCTTTTTCTTTTTTTTTTTTTTTTTTTTGAGACGGAGTCTAGCTCTGTTGTCCAGGCTGGAGTGCAGTGACACAATCTTGGCTCATTGCAATCTCCACCTCCCGGGTTCAAGCAATTCTTCTGCCTCATCCTCCTGAGTAGCTGGGATTACAGGCGCCCACCACCATGTTTGGCTAATGTTTGTATTTTTTGTGGAGACAGAGATTTGCTATGTTGCTCAGGCTGGTCTTGAACTCCTGAGCTCAAGTGACTTGCTCGCTTCAGTCTCCCAAAGTTCTGGGATTACATGCATGAGCCACGGTGCCTGGCCCCTACCATTACATTCTTAATAACATAATAAATATTTATTAGTTTTATCACAACCTGACATTTAAATAAGAGCCATGAAGTCTTATAATGCATATATTGTACCACTACAGTAGCATGCTATAGAGAAGATATTCAAATATGATTCTTTCTTTTAAAAATTCAGTTAACTGTTTTGTAGGCTAGGAAGACTATCTTTGCTAAAATTATTCTATTTTAGCATAAAACATGCAACAACTTGGACAGTCAATTTTAAGAAAATTATCATGGAAAAAGTAACTACATTGGAGACAAATCTTAATATAGAGCAGAGAATTTTAACCTTTGGGAGAAGTTACACCTCTTTGGGAAGCTGAAAAAAAAATATAGATCTGAAGTGCATCTTATAAATATGTATGTTGCCCAAAAACACAAATATTTACAAACAAGTTTTCAGAGTTTATGAAATATTTGAATCCTATTCCAAGTTTAAAACCTTTGACATACAGAGTAACAAACCCATCACACTCACAAGGGTGATAACTGATCTCCCAGTAGTCAATATGTTATTTCTGCAGTCTTGATTTAATTTTCTGGAGTTTCTATGTTATTTCTGGAGTCTTGATTTAATTTTCTCAATTCTACTTACCCAAGAAGTGTTTCTATTTTCAAGTACTAGATCAAGTCCTAATTCCTCCAGAAAATCATCTTTGATTTTAAGTGTCTTCCAAACTTTAATGGCAATTATTATCTGTATCATTCATTTATCTTTCAACCTATAAAAATTATTCTAAGTTTCCGACTTCATAGGCACTAAGTCTCTTGGAGGCAAGGTTTGTGTATTACAACAATTTCCATTTCCAGTGCCTAGCATAAAGGAAAGCACATTTATAATGACAGCCAACACATACTGATTAATATTGAAATCATTTTATTATTTTAAAAGGTAACTACATACTTTTTTATGCAATCCCAAATATTATGAAGTGATACCATTAAATATTGGTTTCCTGAGGCCCAAGTGTTCGTAATTTGGATTCCATTGACTTGTATCAGATCATGTTATTTTGTTTCCTTATACTTCTTTTGGTTTGTATGCATTTACTCAACCTTCCTGCTACACTGATGAACCCTGAAAGTGAAGAGTACATGTCTCAAAGCCAAAGGATACCAGCTGATGTCACTGAAAAGTATAGTAGCCATTCTTCTTTATTATAGATCACTTTGCCCCATTCTGTTTTCAAAAAGCTAAATGGAAATGACCTCACAAGGAGAGGTACTTAGCTCTCCCAATTATTGTATTCCAGAGAAACAAAGTGTGTGTTCCAGAGAAACAAAGGGAAACTAAATATCGGAAGATGCATATTTATATTTTAAGCTATCCTCAACTGGCAGCTATCCCTATGATGATTTTCAAATAGTTAATTATTTACAATACAAACGTTGGAGGAAGGAATTCTTTTTTTTATTATTATACTTTAAGTTTTAGGGTACATGTGCACATTGTGCAGGTTAGTTACATATGTATACATGTGCCATGCTGGTGCACTGCACCCACTAACTCGTCATCTAGCATTAGGTATATCTCCCAGTGCTATCCCTCCCCCCTCCCCCCACCCCACAACAGTCCCCAGAGTGTGATATTCCCCTTCCTGTGTCCATGTGATCTCATTGTTCAATTCCCACCTATGAGTGAGAATATGCGGTGTTTGGTATTTTGTTCTTGTGATAGTTTACTGAGAATGATGTTTTCCAATTTCATCCATGTCCCTACAAAGGACATGAACTCATCATTTTTTATGGCTGCATAGTATTCCATGGTGTATATGTGCCACATCAGAGAAATGCAAATCAAAACCACAATGAGATACCATCTCACACCACTTAGAATGGCAATCATTAAAAAGTCTGGAAACAACAGGTGCTGGAGAGGATGTGGAGAAATAGGAACACTTTTACACTGTTGGTGGGACTGTAAACTAGTTCAACCATTGTGGAAGTCAGTGTGGCGATTCCTCAGGGATCTAGAACTGGAAATACCATTTGACCCAGCCATCCCATTACTGGGTATATACCCAAAGGACTATAAATCATGCTGCTATAAAGACACATGCACACGTATGTTTATTGTGGCATTATTCACAATAGCAAAGACTTGGAACCAACCCAAATGTCCAACAATGATAGACTGGATTAAGAAAATGTGGAAGGAATTCTTTAATGTAATTTTATTTTTATTAAAAATTCTTCAGTAAAATTAGAAAAAAAAACTTGCCATATCAATAGTCATCACCAAATTAGTATGTTTTATACTCTGTGGTAGAAATAGTCTCAATTATGATTCAGGGTATTGCAGATAATCCGCAGTCTTATGAGCACTCCAAATTCAAGTGTAGGGAGAAATGGTTACTGTAATAAAATAAGTCCAGTAATCATTTTTAAAACATAGCTATTTAGCCTTAGGTTTATTCTTGTTATGTATAGCAGGTCCGGAAAAATGATGTACCAATGGCTCCCCAAATACTGTTTTTCCTGTATGGCTAAGGCAGTTAGTAACAATGGACATCTGTTGTTCATGTGATACTCATCCATGACAATCAAGAATCCTTTAGTAACCCAGACTGCTATTTTCCAAAAGTTCCTCCCTCAATATCTTATCTTGCGGATCAGAAGTCTATATTTTCATTTGTATCCTGGAAGATGATGAATTCCCCCATTTATTAATTCCTGTTATACATAACTATTTATCCGTCTGTCTCCTAATTTCCTAGGAAAACATAAATCCGTCATATTAATGAAATCAGTGATAAACTTCAGTTAAAAAGTAGAAATACACTTGTAATATCCATGTCTGAATACAAACTAGAGTTCTCTGTATTTTGTAATGCTGGTGGCAGGTCATGATATTCATTCACAAAAGCTGCCAAAGGAGACACAAAAAGAAAGCGAAAACTTGAAATAGGTCACTTCTTCACGTTGACAATGGTTGTGGTTTAAAGTTACCTCAGGCTTTTTTGCTATTGATAAATCTTTCAAATATATTCATCTCTCACTTATTTAGGGACTGATTATCCAATTTGTGAACTATCCCTGTGGCTTCTCCTCTTTTCTCTAATGATTTCTCCTCTGCCTATTTCCTTAAATCGTTTTAATACTAAATGAGCTGCATGAAAACAGAAAAGAAGCTAAAGCAGCAAAATTTGATACATATAAACAGTACTGCAAAAGAATTTCATTTGTGCTCATATGTTTTTGAATTTTCAATTTTCTGTTACCCCACTTCCATATTTCACACTCCAGATTATGTCACCCCACCCAACTCCCAATAATTTGAAATTCAAATTTGGAAATTCATCTATTGGTTCATTTAGTTGGAAACTGCATATTCACAGGTGGAGAGTGGAATATATTTCAAAACCACAGAGAAAAAAAAAAAAACGTAATTCAACTTCGTTAATTTGTTTTTAATTTTCCAAAGCTGGAAATTGTCTCTATATCTCAATTGATGAGTTTCTGAGCTAAAAACAAAACAAAACAAAACAAAACATCATTTCCTGTAACCAGATTTCACTGCTTTCATTCTAAGCAAGATGATATAAATAACAATGAGTAGTCAAGTATTTATTCACATAAAACAATCACATTTACATTAATTGTTTAACAGAAATCTTTGCAAATTAAGCACTCTGACCTGATAATTCTAGGCATCTCAATATAGTGAATCATGATCTTTTGGGAATAGAGAGTGAGAGAAAAAGTGACCTCAGAGAAGTAAAGTATAAACATTCATTTTACGCAGATGGCTATAGGTTTTGCTCTGGACATTTAATATCTTATTCCAAATATAAACCAAAGCCAGAAACAATACTGGGATATGTTTTATGCCTCAATTGCAGAAAGGCTTATTGAAAACACACTGAAACTTCATAGAGATGCTAGTGTGGGTACAGAATGTAGTGTTTAATTGCAAGACTACAGAATAAAACAGTTGATTGAAAGCATTCTCAGTGGATCATTCTAGCCTCTTCTCACAATTCTCGCCTGAAGCCCCTTGATAAAATTTGTTATAAGCTTAAGGAATAAAGCTATATTAATGATTTTCTGAATATATCTAATTTAAAAAGTACAGCTGTTTCTCAAAATCATGAAACTAACTTTAAAGCCAAATACACGTGGTTTGAGGTTAATTACTATTTTCAATTATCTATGTCTTGGCTCTTCTCTGATCAGAAGAAAGATGAAGGAAGAGTATTATGGCCTGATCTCATTTCCGTCCTCAAGAAATTCTGATTACAAACGAATCTTCTATGGTGATGACTTGCAAAATAGCTTGAAATGCAACAGTTATTCAACTCAAAACACCAAAATTATTTTTCCAAAATGACTTCAGCAAATCATGAACTAAAATAAAAGAACGTCTATAAAGACATTTTTAAAAGCACTATGCTAAATAATTTTACATACCCAGGAAGTATGCAAATGAAAATGACTAAAAGAGGTATTTGGTATATAACAATGTTTTTCTTGAAAAAAAAAAAAAAGATGGCATTTTTTTTCCTCCAAAGGCTTTTATGGCCAAGTATTGGAAGACTGGCAGTTCATACACATTTTACATTTAACAGGAAAGAATAAACTGGGAATAACTTCTCAGATAAATCTTCACAATGCAATGCCAAACTGTGGGCATAACGTGATAATACATGGAGCACTTATAATCTATGAGATCACCCAACTTTCAGGAAACGAATAATGGAAAAGTAGAAAAACTTATCAGATGCTCAATTTGAAGTTTGAGAAAAGTTAAGGGTATTTTAAGGGCTGAGAGTGCGCCTAAAATAGTAAAAAATTAAAATAACAACAATAGTCACAAGGACAATAAACACTAATATCATGTACTGATTTGGCTCCTGTATGTTAAGAACTATAATTAAATAGTTTATTCTATTTAATCTTCTATGAGTAAGATATTATTATTTTTACTTTACAGAAAATAAGATTTTCTCAGCGTTTAAAGAACACTTTCAAAGTGATATATTCAGTAATGTTGGAAGTTGGCCACAAAATTTAAGTCTTTTGCATTGATAAAACCATAATCTTTGTTTTACATTACATTGAAGATCCAGGAAAAGAAGAAAGAGAAGTTAATGAAAAAATATCCTTTGGCTCTTCCATTAAATAAAAAACAAACTTGGTTGATTGAAATATATGTGTGATACATCCAAATAGGAAAAGAAAATAGGAAAAATAGCTCCATTTTTCCTTCGATTTTTTAATCAAAATAAAGTAACTATATTACCATAAACATACAACCATGCTTCCAAACACAATCAAAAACCTAGAAATGTTGCTTACTCTACTTATCCCGCAAATGTGTCCTAAATACCTCAGCATTTATTGTAGTCTTAAAGATGCCTGTGACAAAGGCAAGTCTGTGGAAATGTTGTTATCATTTATAATGGCAAACTTTTAGTAGGAGCTAGAGGTGGGAGCAGTGATTTCAAAAATACTTGGCAAGCCCTAAATCAAATTTTGAAAAACAGAAAAACATATATATTTATACTTACTAACGGCTGCCATATAAGTTAAGAGAACACAAGCTATAAAGTCAGACCAAACCAGCTTTCAATTGCTTGCACATGTTTTATAGAAATGTTAGAAATGTGTGACCTTGGACAAGTTAATAATGTCTGTCAACCTCTGCATTAGTTAGGGTGATGCTAGGAGTTCAACAACTAAACACTAGTATCTCAGGTTTTTAAAACACAAGTTAATCATGTTCATTTAAAGTCCAACGGATGTACCTCATGGACAACTGTCTCTTCTCCAAGTAGAAATTCCAGGACTCAAGTTCCTTCCATCTGTGGTTCCACTGTCTTCCACGAGTGGTGACCATGGGTTAAGTCAGAGAATGGAAAGGAGAATGGAAGAGAAAGTGTGGTGAAGTTTTATGGGCCAGGCATAGAAATAAAGCATGCTATTTCCATTCATATTCCATTGGCATGAACTTGGCCCTGCCACTTCATTTCCCACTTTTTAGGTAGAGTGAACAAAATGGTATGGTGAACTCTAGAGGAACCTCTTAACAATTTCTGCCACAGCCTTAATTTCCTTTTGTAAAATTGAGAGAAAATCTAATTTGTAGTGTTTTGTGAAGGTTACTTGAGAAAATGCAGATGACAAATTTAGGAGAAATGTTTTCATATTGTAAATATTTACTAAGGAGTAACCATTATTAGTTGTTTTACTAGTTCTCATCAACATCTTCCTAGCAGCAAGCATTACCAATTTCTAGGAATATAAATTAATTTAAAAAAAGACATTCCAATGAGACTATAGCTTTTCCCTCCCCAACCCAACCTGTTCCAGAGTCTACTCATTCATTTGCTACAAAGTATATTGTAGACTTACTATCTGTCAGAAACTGTTCTCTCTGGTGAAATAACAAAGCGTAAGCTCTGATGCATTTTCTCAGGAGCTCATTATACTAGAAGAGGCAGAACACAGATGGGAAATTCAGATATAATAGTTTAGGAATGATGAAAAAGATAAAGTAGCTAATGCACTTAGTAGATTTCTTGCCATGTTATAAGCAATCAATAATACTAATAGTGACATAAGTGCAGGAAGCCATTGTTGCACTGAAAATCTACTAAACAAGCTTACAAAATGAAGTCAGGGAAGGAATCCTGGAAGATACGGGTGTGTGTTGTGGTGAGGGGTGGGGATGAATACTAAAGAAAGGGACACGGAGGTATTCCTCCTGCTAAGAGGATGTGATAAGCAGAAGCACAGAGGCATTACAAAATGGAAATAGCTTATACCTGAACTAGAAGCCTATAGTGATTGTGGGAACAAAGAGGTTTAGAATGCTTTGTATGATATTTTAAGGAGCTAGATTGATTTCTGTAAACAATGGGAAGTCATTTGAGAGGCTTTAAACAGAGAAGTAGCATAGCAAGATATTTGCTAGAGCAGTGAGAATAACGGATTTGAAAAACATAAGGCTAACATAAACAAAGAGCAGTTAGAGAACACGTGTAATTCACCCAATGTAAGGAAGGCAATGAAGTTATGAGCTAGAGCAAGATGGTCTGTAGTATTCTTTCTAAACATTAATGACTCAAGTCTAATCATGAGAAAACATTTTGAAAGAACAAATTCCATATTATATTTAGGAAGTAAAATAATCAGGACTTAATAATTGATTGTATAGGTGAGCTGATAGAGAGTCTAACTTAAATGGCTAGATGAATGGTGCTGCAGTTGAGACTGATCAAAAAATAAAATAAAAAAAAAGGAGAGACAGCAATCTAGACGGGATATAAAGAGTTCACTTTTTAACATATTGGGTTTGAAGCACCATGCAGACTTACAGGTAGGAGCATTCGGTGGGGAGTTAAACATGAAAGTCTGAAACAGCAATCTAGGGTGAAATTATCATTTTGAGAGTAATTACTATTTTAGTAGTAGTGAAATCTTATTCCTTCCTGGTATTTGCTTTGAAAATGGTTTTAGCACTTAACTGGTAGAAAAATTGATTTTTTTCTTAAGTGAGGAATCTATAATCAGTCACATCAAACTCCTAAAGTAGTAGAAGTAATGAGAAGAAGTAGAAACCAAGCCTCCTAAGAAATATTTTCATACACAGGCACTAATCTCGTTTAAAATTGCTTCCATTGTCTTGGAAGGGCCTAGAAGCAGTGCCACTTCTATACCCTGGTAGCAATGAGCGTATCTGGCACCCACATCACAATTCTAAATACTGTTCTTCAACAAAAATAACTATGGATCCCTAGAAAAATTGCAGATTCAAACTGGGGAAGAGAGAATACACGGTGAATCGAACATTGTGTAGTGCCAGAAAATAAGGAAGTGCTAAAAAATATACGGTATCCTAACAAAAGAATTAGCTAAAGCTAGATCAATTTGAGAAACAAAATAAATGACAATAGTATCGAATAGGAACTGAATAAATATGAATCTACGCTGATGTAAATGAATGAATGAATGAATTAGCTGGGGAAGATTTCATTTATAGAAGAATTTCAAATAATAAATGCAGAATAAATGAGGGAGATAGAAGAAATGAGGGAGATAGAAAAAAAATCACCACTAGAATACCCCAGTAATATTTGCTACAGCCAAGCTCCATTGAAGAATGTTAAAATTAGTGGACTAAACTTTAAGGACAAACAGGATATTTGCATAACCTAAATATAACTTCCCCAAAATACTTATTAATTAATGTGGTGATTTGAACTCAGGCCCACAAATTCTTTGATATTCCTCTCTCGGGTGGTAGAGATTAATTTCTCTCTCCTTGAGTATAAACTGTACTTAGTGACTTTCTTCTAATGAACAGAGTATGGGAAAGGAAAAATAGTATCTTTACAGTGGAGAAATCTGGTAAACATCACCTTAATCAAGTGATGAAGGTTAATATCACCAGTGATAAGTTATGTTGATGTTATGTAACCCTAGTTAGATACAATGAGAAGAGCACTTCATCTAAGCAGCATTTTTCCTAAGTGAATAATGCAGTCTAACCATAAGAAAACATTGTAAAAGAACAAATTCTACAAAATACTTGCCCAGTACTCTTCAAGGCGTCAAGGTGGCAAAAAACAAGGAAAGACTAAGAAACATCATATATTCCTAAAGAAGCATGACAACTAATAGTGATGTGGTATGCATATTTAATCCTACAATAGGAAAAGGACATTAGTGGAAAAACTGGTGAAATATAAACTCTGTAGTGTAGCTAGTGTTGTACTAATGTACAATGTACAATATACCCAATCTAATTTCTTAGATTTGAGAAATATACTATATTTATGTAAGATGTTAACATTTTCAGAAGCTGAGTGAAAGTTATGTAAGTACCCTATATAATATTTTACTATTCTATAAATCTAAAATTATTTTCAAATTAATTTTTTTAAATTTTCTGACTAGTATCAGAAGACAAATACGGAGAGCATTATGGAACTAAACTATGTGAGGAAACTTTAAAATACATATATATATATAATGATTATTATTATCAAAGCCAGTTCTGTTATATAAATTCATTTACAGTCGAAAGGGAGGGAGGATAGGAACATAAATACAAAAAATGACCAAGCAAATCTCAGCAAAATTCCAATAGCCTCCCCCTCCACTTCATGTTTGAGCAAGTGAGAGAAAATCATTAGTTCATTCAAACTTCATCCCCATAATATTGCTCCTTTACAAGTATCCTTGCAGTCCCTGTATCTGACAAGTCTACAGTACCCTATCTAACAAACCAAATGAAGGTACTTTAAGGATCTATTCATTCATTCAATCTATTATTTATTGAGCATCTCTTATGTGCCAGGCATCCTTCCAGATGGTTGGGATACATCAATCCTAGTTAAAACTGGATTAGACAATACACAGTACATAATCCAATCCTCTGATTATTCAGATAAGGAAACTGAGATCACAGATGTAAACCAAAGTCACAGAGAAACTTAATGTCAGAACCAGATTAGAAACCAGTCTCTTTTTCACCAGCCTTCTCAACTCAAACAATGATTCTGGGTTGAGGACAGACATTGAGAGAGGTGTAAATGTGTTTGTTTTCTCTATAACTAGGAAATACTTCTTCAATCTAAAAGGGTGATTTCAGTTCAAGATAATGATGCATTCAAAGAGTTCTTGCTTCTAGCAATCTTTATTCCAGAAACTGGAAACTCACACTTCCAATTTCTGAAAATTCTTGTTAGGTAATTCTCATAATTGTTCCACCTTTCTTTTTTTTTTCCTCCAGAAGTGAAAAGTCAGGCTTGGAAGGTTAAATGCTTTTTTGAGCTCATTTAATGAGATAGTGACAAAGCTGAAAATAGAAGTCTCCTGATTCCTCATGTTTGCCTTATTTCACCTCATGTTATCACACTGAATTAAATTATATTTTTCTGTAGTACTCTATCAGGAAAAGGTGTCCTGAATAATTGTAAAGCATGGGGGATAAAAAATCTAATGGAGCTTTATTATTTATTTATGAACCCAAAAACATGAGGATATTCAGTTTACGTTCAGAGGACAATTAGTAAAACGTAATTTGTAGAACTAGGTCTATATGACTACAGTAAGTGGGAATTAAATATTTGATAAATAAAGCATTCTGGAAACATTTTGAATACCACATAAATACAAACCTTTCACCCAAAAAACATAACGAATCTAGTAGTTTGAATCTTTGATTTTGCCAACAAGAATCAAAATACATTATTTGGCAATATAAGTGGATTTTTTAATAAATAGTTTAACCTAATATAAGCATTTGAGTATTAACATTTGAATAACCTAAGCAGAAAAAAAATTGTTTTACTTATCATTTAGTGAAATCCACTAATTAGGAACAACTGTAGACGACCAATAGTGTATCTTAAGATTAATTCTTTTTCTTGGGAGGCTGAGGCAGGCAGATCACGAGGTCAGGAGATCGAGACCATCCTGGCTAACACGGTGAAACCCCGTCTCTACTAAAAAATACAAAAAAATTAGCCAGACGTGGTGGCGGGCGCCTGTAGTCTCAGCTACGCAGGAGGCTGAGGCAGGAGAATGGCGTGAACCCAGGAGGCCGAGATCGCGCCACTGCACTCCAGCCTGGGCGACAGAGGGAGACTTCGTCTTAAAAAAAAAAAGGGACCCAATTTTAAATGGATCTAAACTTTCTAAAAAGAAAAGAAAGTAAATAATTAAGCAACAAATACAAGCCATGTGAAAGGAATTGTTTTAAAAAAGATTTTTCTGAGTGCTATGGGTCAGTTTGTGGATGGGATGAATGCTTTAAAAACTGTTGCTCACCATAATGAAAGATACAAGGTACTAATCATCTTTTATAATTTCAAAATTCACCATTAAAGTCTAGCTGTGCCCATATTTAGACACTCACATTTTCCTAATTTTAAAAAATGCACCTGTAGCAGAATTTTTTCTCCAAAAAGACAGAGCCAGCTGGAGAGAGAGAGACAATTAAAGCTGATTGGATGACTCAGCAATAAAAATAGGAAGCTAGCTGGATGAGAAAGGATGAGCTGCAAGGAAACAGATTGCCAGGGAGGGGTTTCTTTGAAAAAAAGAAAAAGAGATAAAAAGGAACCCATCAACATGAAAGAAAAAGAGATAAAAAGAAGCCCATCAACATGAACACCAGGACTGAAGTTAGACTTTTCAGCTAATGGAGAATCCATTTCTGAAATTAAAAGAGTAAACCGTTTATTCATGGTCAAATTGTATATAAGGTTATACAATTAATACCTATTATGCTTTCGTAAGTAGTCGATAGAACAATAATGATACCGAAGCAGGAGTCTGGTATTTATCAAAGGACAACTAGGCCTTTCTTCCATTAAGTGAT
Organism: Homo sapiens; assembly: GCF_000001405.40. Taxonomy (NCBI): domain Eukaryota; kingdom Metazoa; phylum Chordata; class Mammalia; order Primates; family Hominidae; genus Homo; species Homo sapiens. The sequence goes on from NC_000005.10 coordinate 45,622,933, forward strand.
GGCACTCCACTCCTTCCTGCAGCAGGAACTAGTGTCTTGTCCTTTTGCCGGGAACATATCTCCTTCCTCTTTCTCTTCTCAACTCCCCACTCATCACTCAAAACTCCACCAGCTTCATGATTACACCTAGCCAAAGATTAATTTTATTCTTCAGACTGTGTCAGTCTCCTTTCATAATACACCACTTTTCAAATACTGTCTCCTCCTTCATAGCCCAAGAATATATGTGTTTAATTTTAATGTTTTTAATATCATGTCTTATGTTAAATTGTAGGATCCATAAGAGGAGAACTGTGTCTTTCTCCTTGACACTGAACAAGCAGGCACTCAGTAAATATTCATTGCTGAATGAATGATTCCTGGAGAGAGACTAATGAGTCAGAGATGCAATCCTGCCTGCCACTAATCAGTTCCATTATTTTTAGACAAGTTCACTTTGTCTCTTCATGTCTTAGCTTCCCCTCACATCACTTCCATCTCTGAGACTTTCATAAATAGGTTATCTAATACCCTTTGTTTGATTTAGACATGAGATTCTCAAGAAACTTTAATCTCAAGTACTACAATAATAGTATCCTCAATTCTTTTCCCATCTTCTATTATTTCTGCAGCTGGGTAAAAAGGCAGTTCTTCTTTCAGGTAGAGAAACATCTCCTCGTGTTTGAAGTAAAGAATCCTAACTATTATAATTCAAAAGTGTGATGAGATCATTTAACTATTCATTCAACAAATAATGACTATAAATTTACTAACTCCTTTACGTTGTTTTAGGCAAAGAGGACAACACAATAATGAAACAAAATCTCATGTTCCTAGAGCTCTCATTCTGGAAGAGAGAGAGAGAAACAAATGTATACTACATGAAGTGATAAATGCTATGAACAAAAAATAGAACACAGCAGGATGGATGAGTAATGATGAAGAGAGGATTATTGCTTTATATAAAGTAGTCAAGGAAGATCTCAATGATAATTTGACATTTGACAGAGATTTGAAAGAAGTGAAAGATGAGAAGATACCTGGTGAAAGCATATTCCTGGCAGAGTTAAGAACTCATATAAAAACCATGAGTCAAGGGCACTCTTGGCAAGTTCCACGTAGTGCAGGGAGATAGTGTGGCTAGAGGAAATAAACAAGGACTCTGTAATACAAGGTGAGGTCATAGAGGTAGCCAAGTCAGATAATGCAGGACCTTATGGGCCTCTTGATTAGATTAGAGGCCATTGGAACATTTGAAACTGTGAGATGCTATGATTTGGCTTAGGCTCTCAAAGAAATGTTCTGGCTGCTGTATGAAACATAAGCCTAAGTATGGCAAGTGTAGAAGTAATAAAACACTTAGGAGGGTTACAATAACCCACGCAAGAGATTATGGTGGCTCCATACAATAGTAAGGGTATATAGCTGGTTAGAAGTGGTCAGACTCCAGATTTATTTTGAAAATAGAGCCAATGCATTAGAGATGGAAACAGTGAGAAAGAGTAGTTAAGTAATCAGTGGAATAGAATGGACTACAATTGACAGTGAGGATCTAGGAATGCACCTATTTCACTTGCATACCCTGAGAATGAGCAGAGGAAAAGAGAAAGTCACCACTTGCAAGGGCTACAGGTGAAGCATTGCCCCTCAAGTGTCACTGGGTTTTGGTTTAACAGGAAAAAAAAGTGAGTGGGATATTTAAAGAAGAATTGGAAGACAGAGGGATTCTATTGATAGAGACCTCAAAACCCACAGGACCTAGTGGAAAGTGTGAAGGATGGGGCTGGAGAGGGGCATTAGATGGGGTCAGAATCATGGATGTATGGAGCCATTTGGGAATGAGAAACATCTAGTAGCCTGGGCCCTCTTGTGTTTATGGAGGCAAGCAGGGATGTAGGGCACACTGGAACAAGTCTAGATGGTACCTTAGGTCAACTGTGGTAAGTAATGAGGCTGGGAATAACTCTAGGGGAAGGCAAGGCCTCTTCTTGCCATGAATCTGTGGCTTTCTGAGATAATGAGAAGGCATATGCACCCTCTTCTGTCCTCAGGCTCCTGTTCAAAATATTTCTCTTAGTTTTCCTCATAAAATTGTTTGATCTAATAGTGTGTAGCTGTTAAAGCAAGGCTACATGTTGGTATTAAAAAAATTCATCTGGCTGGGCGTAGTGGCTCATGCCTGTAACCCCAGCTCTTTGGGAGCCAACATAGTGAAACCCCATCTCTACTAAAAATACAAAAATTAGCCGGGTATGGTGGCAGGCACCTGTAGTCTCAGCTACTTGGGAGACTGAGGTGGGATAATCTCTTGAACCTTGGAGGCAGGGGTTGCAATGAGCTGAGACCATGCCATTGCACTCCAGCCTGGGTGACAGAGCAAGACTCTGTCTCAAAACAAAACAAAACAAAACAAAACAAAAAAAACTATTAATCTTCATGTACAATATGTACAATTAGTGTCAGTCTGCCATTTCCTAGAGTATTTGCAAAGATAAGGTAGGGCACCCCAGTCCCCAGGCTTGCCTCATTGTCCATATCTTCCTGATACCTCATACCAATACCAACTGTGCCTAGTACCTTCACATATTATAGATGCTATTGTTCTTGATTAGGTAAGAGATGGGAAAAAAAACATGAAGAGCTCTAATTTATATTTTAACCTATAAAATTATAGAATAAAAAGCACTCTCACCTGGGAAAGAGAAAACTTTAAAAAAAAGAAAGAAAACCCTACAGCTTTTTTTTCAAAGTCTAAAAGGGATATGAAAAACATAGAACAGTAATGTGTTAATAAAATAGATCAATTCAGTGCGAATAAAATAAAATTTCAAAATTGTAATGAGCTAAGCTTTGGCATAGGGTACTTAGTAAAATGTATTATTTTATTGCAAACACCAAAACCAAAACCAAAAAAAAAAAATTCATTGTCTTATTAGGACACTATTTTGATCATTCTCTAATATTAAATCTTTGACCTTGTTTACATAGAAGGCACATTTACAACAACATGAAGAAAATTTGGGATGATACAGGCAAAACTTTTGTGCTCACAATTCACAACAATTCTTTTATGTGCCAGGAATTGTGTTCAGGTCTTGCCTTGGACTCTTTACAGAGATACTAGCTCCTTCAGTCTTTACAACGTTCCTATGAGTTATCTATTCTTAACCCTACTGTATAGATAGGAAAATATACACTTCTCATGATGACAAAGCTCATTAGAAGCAGAAAGAAAATTTCAACCCAAATCATGTGTATGTCAATCACACCACTTTGCTGTCACTTATCAATTTTATAATTGTGAAAGACTATTAATTTCAATTACAAATAAACATCTAATAATGCTTCTTTGTTGAAAATAATTATATAACTATTTAGACCACCTCTTCTGAATATTGACGTGGAAATCACTGAAATACTACGCTCAGCAATGTGCTGCTCCTGGGAAACATCCTTCAACAATCACTCCTGAGTGCTCACCATGTGGCAGGTAATATCTAAGCACTGAGAATTGTGTACTAATCAATTATGAACCAGCCAGCATCCTACTAGAGACAGAGTAGCAAAGCAGTAAACATATAAATAAAACCATTCTAAATGCCAACAAACAAAGACTCATGATGTGAAGGTAAATGTAAAGGAGTAGCAACTTTAGCTAAAGGTGTTCAGGAAATATCTATTTGTGAAGGTTAAGATCTGAGCTAAGATTGGGGAGGCAGAGAAAACAACCAATGTAAAAATTCCTAAGGAAGGACCAAGCGTCAAAAAACAGAAATAAGTCTAATAAAGCTAGTGAATAGTCTGCAAAAGGGGAAAACAATACAAGCTGAGTTTGAAAGGGTCAGCAGGGAATCATTCAGGGCCCTGGTCAAGTTAATTCTAAGTTATCAGAAGGTTTCATTTGGAGGACGCAGAGAGTTATAAGATCCAATTAAAAATAAAAATAAAAAAACCTCACAGAGAAGGTAATAGTTTCATATACTTATATATGTATGTGACATACATATGTATATGATTACCATATATATACACGCCATATATATATATACACACATGCCATATATATATGTATATATAACATGTATATATATATATGTATGTGTGTGTACATATATATATAACTGGGTCCATTCATTTTCCTGCACTTCTGTTCCAAATATATTTCTCAAAGTCAAACTCTTAAGGGCTGATGCCAAATAAGATGACTATGCCTTCAGGCAGGAAGAAATACAATTCCGTAATTCTGGTAATTCTGATTCATCTTGTTCTTTCTGTCTAGATGACAGTTTTCTTTTTGGTAACTGACATTGAAATATAGAACCTGCAAAATCAGCCATTTATCACACCAAGTCACTAGAAGGCTTCACATCTGAATAGCAGGAATGTTGCCTCTTACTAAGTCACACATGTCATTTTTTCTCCAAAATAATCTGGATATGATTGCATGTGATCAGTTTGCATCATGTGAGAAAGATGTATAGTGTTCTCCCTCATCCTCATTATGATTTGCATTATACTGAGCCATCACTCCAAATGCTCCATTATGGACGAGGTGCAACCATGGTGATTTTATTTTTCACTGATCTGGGGAAGCAAAAGAGACTGTCATCAACAGTTGATTATGGCATCCTACATTTCTGCTGTAACACAACCCTGAAATAACAGTAGATGGCAAATTTTTAAGTCACTTTTTGTCAAAATAATACCTATCATGTCTACTTTGCACCACATATATGCTGTTAGAAGAAAATAATTTCCTTCTTTATAAAATAAAATCTAAAATCCCCATTTCAGGGTAGAGTCAAGATAAGAGTCTATCATATATAGTTTTATCTGTGAATACTATGTTTAACTTCAGGGAAAATAGACATGAATGGAAATAAACATATATTTACTTTACTTAAGTGGCAGGGCATTATCCATGAGCTTGTGTACAAGAAAAATGTCATAACATAATCATAAATGTGGCATTTATTGGAAAAATGATCACCTCCATAAGCCATTTACAACCAAAGTGTCAACAATACTCTTAGTTTCTTTGTGAAATTTTAGATAACTTTATTTAAATATATCAAATTTTATTCGTGAATTCTACAAAAGCATAGACGCAAATAAATAATAATGGATTTCCACACCAGAGTAGAGAACTCAAAAACTAGCAGCTTTTTGAACACTTCTGTCTACAGAGAGCACTGGAACATTGGTGGCATAAGCAAACAATAAATTGCCAAGCAACTTGTATTTTCATACATTGTTCTTTACTTCTCTTGGTGTGATAAAAATTGGTCCTCTCAAGGTAGAGAGTGACTGGAGTAAAAAAGTGAACACATTAGTGTCTCCCTAACATCACTATTTCACATGGCTCACATGTTCCCACACCATCAAAAGCCTAAACCTGAATAATGCAGGCCCTGGCCCTGCTTACTGAGAATACTCATTACTATTATTGTTTTATTATCTAGGTTGTAAACTCTTTCATAAAGCTCTCAAAAAATCACCTACTTAAAAAAATCACAAAGGAAAAGATAGAACAAAAACTGCTAAAAAGTTGGAAAAAACTTTTCTGAATCTTTGTAAAAACTTTGGTGAATAGAAGCATATTAATAAGTATACAATTCAGGATAAAATGCTTATTAGTAGAGAACAAAAACATTAAAATATAAATGATTTTAGTATTACAATTAAAAGGAATAGATTTTCAGGTTTGATAAATAAAAAGACTCAACTATATATTATCTACAAAAAGCTCACTTGAAACACACACATTGAAAATAAAATATAAGGCTGGGTGCAGTGGCTCACGCGTGTGATTCTAGCACCTTAGGAAGCCAAGGCGGTGGGTCACCTGTCAGGAGTTCGAGACCAGCCTGGCCAACATGGTGAAACCCTGTCTCTTCTAAAACTACAAAAAATTAGTCGGGCATGCTGGTGGGTGCCTGTAATCCCAGCTATGAGGCTGAGGCAGGGGAATCACTTCAACTCAGGAGGAGGAGGTCACAGTGAGCTAGGTGAGATCATGTCATTGTACTCCAGCCTGGGCAACAAGAGTGAAACTTCAACTCAAAATAAAAAATAAAAAAAAAAAAGAAAATAAAAGAAATTATTAAAAAACATATATTATACAATTATTAAAGTACAGTGGCAATATTAATATCCAACAAAGTAGACATCAGAGGTAAAGAGAGTCATTTTATAGGGATAAAGGCAGCAATTCACCAAGAGGACATAACAATCCTAACTATGTATGAAATTAACAGCATAGCTTCAAAGTATCTACAATAAAAACTGATAGAACTGAAAGGGGAAATGGAGAAAGGCAAAATCATTGTTTAGTATATTAATATCCTTTTCTCAAGAACTGTGAGACCAAGCAGTCATAAAATCAGTAAGGATATGGAAGATTTGAACAACATTGTTAATTGAGTAAATTTGACCTAATTGACTATTACAGAACATTCTAATAAATAATAGTAGAAAAACATATTTTCTTGAGTGAATATAGAACATTCACTGAGACAGACCATATTCTTGGCAATGAAGTGATTCTCCATAAATCAGAGTAAGGTGTAAAACTCAAAGATAATTAAATATATGATAGTAATATAATTTACTGGTAGCCAAAGAATCCTAAAGTAGTTAATTTGTAAGTACTTTCTAAGTCTGAATTCTTTAAAAAACAAAGTCCAAACAAAAGTAACACATTATAAGCAAAATGTACATATTGTGAGTAACACTTAAGATCTGGGTTTTATTGCTTGTATTTCAAGTGTTCTCAAAATTTCAAGTCAGTAAGTTTTCCTTATAAAAAAATTACTCTTATTATATCATACATTTATAAGACATGCTCCCTATTGGTTTAGACAAAAAACTAAATCTTAAGAATTGTAATTATCTTAAGTGTGAAAGTTAGGAAATTAAATTATGCTAATATTCATCCACAATTAATAAATTATTAAACTCACACTAAATCTAATGTTTTGAAACCTGAAAATTGGTACTTCCATTAATGGAGTAATGTAAATTCCTATTAAGGTTGAGTTCACTTACAAAAAGTAAGTAAAATAAAGATTAATTTATAGTTGATATACCCCAGAGGCTGCTCTGAGGGAGTCCCCCAGGGTAAGTGCCAGTTCCTGCTAATACCTAAAAGAGTGTCTATCAGCTTTCTAAGCACCTTGTGAGCTTGGGAGGGAGATCATATGGTAGCACCATCATCGGCCCCCTAATGCTTCCACTCTTGTTCAAATTATAGCACACGCCAATCAATAGGGACCCTGCCTCAAATCTTACCTGCCTCTTTTCCAAAACTAGTATATACCAGTTTCAGTCATATTTAAGCAGAGAGGGAGCAAGGTCTATTCAAGATTTTGAACAACAGAGTATGGATTTATATCCTGGCACTATAATTTACTAGCTGTGCAATATGGGGAAATTGTTAATCTCTCTGTGCCTCAATTTCTTCACTTTTTTATGGTGACAATGATACTACCTACTTCATAGAGTCACTATGGGGCCTAATCAAATTAATATTTTTAAGAGCTTAGAATAGCATGTGGCTCCACAGTAAACAATGTGTTTGCTAAAAATATCATGGTGTTGCCTAAAACCTTTCAAAGATTTCTTATTGTCCTCAGGGACAAAGTCTATACTCTTTAATTTGACTTTCAAAACACCAACTTATCTTTCAAACCTCATCTCTGTATACCTAAGCTATGAGGACTTAAGTTTCTTGAAAAATCCCTTACATGTCTTTTTACTTAAGGAATTTACCTTGGCTAGAATGTATTTCTTTGGCTTTCTTGATAAGTCCTAGTCTTCTTATAAGTCTTATTTCAGGTATCACTTTCTCCCTGGAGCCTTCCTTAGCCTCTAAAGCTGTGATACATCCTCAAAGAGAACTGTTTTTTTTAAATTTTTTATTTATTTGTCTTTTACTCATATGACTAGACTTTAGGCTATTTAAGAAATTAATTTTTGTGTATTGTTGTAATGTATATGCATAGCATATGAGTCCAATATATATTTATTAAAAAAATGAATAATCAATTAATGGGTCATACAGGAGCTATATTATAAAAACGTAGATCACATTTCCTCCACTATGACCTCATTAGCTAGCTAGATGGTTGTCTGGGACCAAAAACATCCATGAGAGAAAAACAAAGAGATCAACCTGGTTGGTGATTTTATTTTGAACAGTTACAAAGGTAATATAAGTTAGTCACAGGCCTACTTGGTGATCCGTTCAAGACATACCCTGTCTCCATCTCTCAGCAAGTCCAACTACTGAAGTAATGCTATTAAGCAAATTGCTTCAGTTCTCTGACTCCCAGTTACTTGGTAGGACTGTTCTTCTTGACTTTCTTGCAGTTGGTTGAGGCCATGTGACATTTTGGCCAAAAAGTTATAAGAAGTGAAATATATCACTTCTGAGTCTGATTGTTTAAAACCCTACAGAGCTATCTATCTCCCTGTCAAAATGACTGGCAGTGGTCATGATGGAGCTGCTTAGTCAGTCTACATCCAGGTATGAGATGACAAGAAGCAGGACCGCTAGCCCACCTATGATGGTTATGTAGTGGGAGTGACATATTATCATTTGCTGTGAGAAGCTACTAAGATATTTTTGCCTGCATGATAACATTCCCAATATTGAAAAAAAAATTGTCTTCAGGAAACTATTGACAACTCACAGACTACATACTGGAGCATGTGGATCAAGATTTCTAAAAACTCTGGGAAAACACTCCAAGGAAACTCTCTCCCAAATTCTATGAAATCTTTGTATTATTTTGTAGGCTCAAGTCTGTAACAATAACATTCTTTGCATGACAGAGCTATGAGGAAACTATTTTGATTGTTTCTTTGGAAAAAAATGAACTTTAAAAAATCATATAATTTAGGAGAATATGTTTCTAGAATAACTATTGTAAAATTTTAACAAATTTAAGTTGTAGTTCTTAAGCTGAAGCATTTGCTTTTCATGTCAAATAATAACTGAACAAAATAAATTATCATCCAGAGATTTATACTGGGTAGAAAGGAAAATAATTAATCTGATACGTTTGGTCTTGCAAGTTGAGTAAGATACTTTGCCAATTTGGAAATGTTCTATCTTGAATTTAGTCATCTCCTTAATTGCTTTTATTTTTTATACAAATGTTGTGGGTTTTTGCAGTTTTGAGAGGCAGAAAATGAATGATATAGCAATTAATAAAAACATAAAATTAATGGTTCTTCAACTAAGGGGTCGATCATACTGGTTTCCTCAACCTCAATACTCCATTCTTCAGTTCAAGGTACAATGGAATTTATAGCAGCCTGAGTCTCTGAAATAGGACTTCCTTGATCCAATGCTAATGTTCCATTGTGTGTGTGTGTGTGTGTGTGTGTCTGTTTCCTGATAAGGCAATTATATTTATTTTCTCCCAGTTATAAGAAAAATGACTAATAGATATTTTGCTGACAAACTGTTAGCAAATCTTCTGGTGAGAAATGTGACAAAAGAGGAGGATGAGGAAAAAATTCTGCTTCCATAAAGGTAAAAGTGGTTTTAAAAATTCATAGTATTAGCAAGAATTGTTTTTCTTGGAACACAGAGACAGGAATTGATTTCCTAAGAGTACGAATTACAGCTGGGATCCTTTGACCTCTCACTTATTAGAAAATAGGTATTATTATCTAACCCGAAATTCTGGTTAATTTCACTGCCTGCTATTTCTCCCCCAAACAAGAGTAACAACAGCAATGACAATAAAAACACCATCAATAAACAGTCCTACAACTGAAGAGATATTTTACAACAGCTTTTGGTGGAAAGAATGCATTGGTTTTTCAAACAGAATCTATCAATACATGGATTCTCTGACAATAGCCACAACAGACACAGGTGTTGGAAGTGACTCCATGCTGAAATAGAAGCTGGGGGGTACAAGTAAATGAATAATATACTCATGGAAAATGTGAAGACAAGTGAAGCATTTTGAATAAGGTAAGTGTTTTCAGAACTACAGGATAACTGATTTGCTGTTGGTCATGCAAGTGCCTGAATGCAGCAGTTTCTTGATAATCTGTTAGATATTTCTAATTGTTTATTTAGTAATTGTGAAAATTTCCTGGTTAAGAGTCTCCTACAAGGGCATCCATACTACAAGAAAAAGAGAGAGAGAGGAACTAGGTTCACTTTTTGTTAAGTTCTCTGACTAAATGCAGAGTTTTTAAGACTGCCTATAAAATTAAAATATATTGTTATTTCTCCCTAAAAACAACAAAAAAACCATTTAAGGATCTTTCAAAAATGTGTATGATTTGAATGCAAATGAATGTCTCATATTATATTCTAGCATAAGGAAGTTATTTTGCAATCTCAAAAGCATATTAATATTATTTTAAATATTTTTTTTAACTCAGGAAATCTCACCTTTTAGTAAAGCATGGTATGTAACAGCCCCTTTTTATTTCAATTGACTAATCAAAGGATTGTAATCATCTGGCCAAAACATCACTATTCCCCACTCCTGCTCTCTTAGAAGCCTTTCTAAATAGATAGTGGAGGTCTTTCCAGTGGAGCCAAAATGTGGCTTTAGAGCCATTCTCGAAATATTCTATTCAATAATTCACAATACATGAGAATTCATACATATTTGTTATGATCATTTATTTCCTTTTCTAATTCCTCCACAAAAATACAAATTTTCTTTTAGCAGGGGTTACTATTCATCTTTATATCAGATAGCACAGCTCAGCATATGATATACATATGGCCAATTAATATATGATTAAGTTCTATATTTGATATTATAAAGATATGAAATTTTCACATGAAAGTCTCTCATTTTTATTTCGTATAGCTAGTATATAATTACATATGCAATGTTTAACTGGTTGTATAAAATCACATATCTAAGAAATGTAGTACTAAACAGAGTTCTTCAAAAATTGCAGCATTTTACCACGACATGTGCTCACTAAAAATTTTTTTCACCTTAAGTCATAAGCTTACCTACTTTCAAGCCATTGAAAATGTCTGAAATATATGAAATAATGATTCAACTAAATGAGAAGGGTGAAGGATTTAGTTGGTTAAGTTCCCAATAACACTTAGAAACAATAAAACAATCATCTTTGACATTAGGCAAATCTGGGTAATAGGGCGGCAGGAAGACTTCAGCAAAACTGTGAATTTTTAAAAATTTTTATTGCTTACTGGTGCCCTCCTTTCTCCTCTGCCAGTCAATCTAAACTTATCACATTCTAGATGAACCTTCTGCTCATACAAATGAACATTCTCTCCCTCAGATTGTGACACTCACATTCATACACCTATCCTTTCTGTATAAAGAATTACTCTCAGCTACCTGTCAACCAACAGCCTGCTAACATGTTACCTAGTAATAGCTTAAAGTATATTTCATATCTTCTATGATACTCTTGAAGATGATAAAGATCTTGAAACATAAATTAATCATTCCCAATAGTGAAATTTTAGTTATTAATATCACAATTCCCAAGAAATGTTTGAGAGCAGAAAACTGGTCACTTAGAACTTCAAGAATCCATTACTCATAACCTAGCAGTCAAGAGAGTGAATGCATCTACTACCTTGCAATCTATACATCATCTAATATTATTCTAAAGTCAGTGTTTATGTGAGCCTAAAATATTACAAATCTAGAAGTTCTTCAATAACTCTTTCCCAACACATTGGTAATTACTGGCACTCCTTGGTAATCACTGTTATTACAAAGTTGTCTCGCTTCTACAACAAATATGTGTCAGGAGAAGAAAGAGGAGTGATCTTTACTAGATTAAAGATTATCTAGAGCTACATTTCTCTCAATTTCAGTCTAGATAAAAATGAGAAAATATGTTTTAATTGTACCAGATTGTTAAAAGCTATGAATTCGAATGCTTGTGATTCATTGCCAGTTAACTGAAAGGAGTTGTTCTGAACATTTATCCTTCTCCTTAGTATCATCCAAAATGAATATTTTCACACAATGAAGAACCACTTCCCACACTAAGAAACTGTCACACTCACAAAGCTAGTTGATCTCCCAAGCATTACTGCTAGGTACTGTTAGGTAGTTATAGTTCCTGGATTCTAAATTTAAAAGCACATTTTACCACAATCCAGATTCTACTATTTTAATCTCAGCTACGATCCAGAATATTGAGGAAGAAAAAAATTTCATTCTTTCATAGATTCTGTGAAAGAATCAGTGAATTAACTTGACAAGCTAATTATATCTTATATAAATATGCTCTTTAGACTTTCAATTTTAGAGTTCACAAAGCACTTTCATATGAATTTTCCATTTATCATTCACATTTTTTAAAAATGAGAAAAATGTCTGAAAATGACTTGCACAAGATACTCCTGATTCTCATTTCAGAATTCTGAATTCCCCCATTCTCAACTCACATCTCCACAAAAACAACAAAAAGAGCAAAATTGAAATAATTATTGTAAAAATTCCCACCTATAAACAATCTCAATGGGAAACCCTTTCTGATCCCACTACTCCTGACTTAGATAGGATTGTATCAAAATAGCTACCATTCCTTTATTTTGCAGCTGCTTCAAATTATCTGGAGCCCTGGGACCAGTCTCCAGAATCCTTCCTTACTCAACGTCTACTTTCACTTTAAAATGTAATAAGAAAAAGAATTTAGCTGTCTTAAAAAATGGTCTAAATGGCAGACTTAACTCAAAATAGCCACCAGAATTATATAACCAACCAAATGTATTTCCTTTTCACACTAAGACACGACTCATCTGATACAAAATCTAAATTGCACACATCAGCAAGACAGAAAAAGAAGTCAAAGCAGGTCTTTCTCAGCCATTACCTGTTGCAACTGAAGGGCTCTAATTTTATTTACTCTTGAGCTTTCATAATACAGTTACAGTGCCTCATAAATTGACTTTCTGTGACAATTGGTGATATACTTCAAAAAGTATGTTTATATTTAAATCAATCACTCTTTTGAAATAAAGCAGGCATAATCTTGTTTTCCAAATTTTAAATTAGTAAAAACACCTTTGACATTGAATCAGACTAAAGTGAAAGACTGGTTTATTAGAAAATGATAGTAAAAAAGCATGTATTTTCCCTTTTTCATTAGATAAGTATATTTAACATTTTCATCAGAGATTAGTTTGAGTTCACCTAGTTATTTGTAACAATAAAATATTCTTGGATGTCACTGTACCCCTTTCCAATGTCCATCATGTATCATCACACCTTTCTTATTTGTAGATAGGGGCACTATATACAAGACCAACTAAAGTGACTCGTTCAACTGAGATAATTACTAGGATAATTAAAGTAACCCATGCTTATTATAAAACACTCTGGCAATTAAACCAGACTTCAAGTTTAAACCAGAAGCACATCACAAATTTTGTCTCCAACTTTCATAAACCAATAGTATTAGCAACTTTCACTCTAATAGCACACAAATGAGTCTAAAATAGCAGTAGCCATAATATATATGGTATCTGCATGCACAGAGAAAGGAAAAACTAAGACATCTATTCGGAAACTGGACAAATGTAAGGCTAAATGTGCTTTGTCCTAAATTAGCCTGATTCATCTGCTGCTTCAGTTCTTCAGTTGGTATATTTTGGGGATAAGTAATGCATAATAAGGGTCAGGCACACTGGCTCGTGCTTGTAATTGAAGTGTTTTGGGAGGCTGAGGTGGGAGGATAGCTTGAGGCCAGGAGTTCCAGACCAGCCAGGACAATATAGCAAGACCCTGTCTGTACAAAAGAAAAATTTTTTAAATTAGCCAGGAGTGGTGGCATGCACCTGTAATCCCAATTGTGTGGGAAGATCCCTTGAGCTTAGGAGTTCAAGGTTGCAGTGAGCTATATAATCCCACCACTGCACTTTAGCCTGAGCAAAAGAGCAAGACCCTATCTCTAAAAAAAGAGTAATGCATAATAGTATTTATAATTCTTTCAATATCTGACAGGGCAATAAGCACAATAAAGGGATAACAAACTCATTTTGAGATTTTTATATTTTAAATTCATAGAAACATTCATAATATAACTTAAATTTCAATAAACTTTTTAGTTTCAAAGTGTATGTTCAACAATAACATCTCATTTGAACCTTAGATTCTATGAGATTGGACAGAAAATCATCAATATCCCCATACTGTCAATGAGGAAGTTGATTAATTTTTCCATGATTTCTAAATTCCCTTGGAAGATTTCCCAGACTTTGCCACTTGGAAGGTCATATAGTTTCACACTTAGGTATGAAAGTGGCCATATTTAGTGTGCTTTCCCTAGAACCTCTCTTCTACTCCCTACCACACACTCATATACAATACCTTTCTCTTGGCTTTGTTGTTTACACTATAAATGCTTGTAATACTGGATTCAAGACATTGTTGTTTTATTTATCGGTTTGTCTATTTACATGTTTTCTTTTCCTGCTGAATTGAAATTCCATTGAGGGAATAACTGAAATCATCTAGCAAGTACTTTAGAGCCCAGTTATTTCCCCGACACTATGCTAGGAACTGAAGATGCAGGAAAGCTATGATATCTGCCCTTTTGGAATCTAATATGTAATTGTAAAGGCACAGATTTAGAGAGATTACAAATTGATGAATGTTACAAAGCAGAAGCACAAGGAGCTATACTAGATCCATTATAGATGGAACTAATTGTGTCTGAGAGATTAGTTAATTCTACCTGAAAGAAGCAATGCGTAAATAAAATGAGATGGATAATCTGAAACTGTTGAAAGGAAAAAAGTTCTAGAAAACATGAACACATATTTTCATGAACATGAAACATAGGATTTGAAATGTGGTATTTGGCAAACTAAAGAGGTTCAACATAGTTAAAGAATATGAGCAAAGAGTTTCTCAGGTTGAGGGAGTTTGGCCAGAAACAAATTTCAAAGGGCCTTGAATATTGCATTGTATATTGACAGTAATGAAATGTTACAGAAATATTTTCAGCAGGTGGGTAATATGGTAATAGTTACTCTTCAAAACTACCACTTTTGAGTTCCTGAGAAGGCAAGCAAGGGTGAATTTTAAAATAGTTATGAATGGAGAATAGAAATCCAAATGAGACACAAATTGGCTTGGACTAGGATGGTGATAAGGGGATCAAGTGAAGAAGTTACAGGATTCCAACCACAATTGGGAAGTAGTAGAATCAGTAGGACTTGGTTATTTCTTAGAAATTAAAAGAGAAGGAGAAGAACACTTTTTAGATTTCTGACTTGAGCAACAGGAAATAAGGGAAAAGGAGATTTAAAGAAAAAATGAACCTACTGAGCTTGAGGAACTCATGAGATACCTTTGTAGATGTCACTGAGTCATGTGGACATTGAGGCAACTGGGTATATAATTTAGAAACTTGGATATCAATCTGATTATTATCAACATATAGCCATGGAATTATAGAAAAACCTGCAAAACAAGAAAACAGATTGGGACAAGGATTGGGCTAATTAAGAAGGCTGAATGTTTTAATCTTAAAATGGGAAGCATGAACATTTCAAATCAGATCTTATATTCTGACATTTAACTGAGATTTCCATGTCAAAAGCACTGAGATGATACAGATCTGCCACGGGGCGCTGACCAAAGAGCATTCATAAAATTAAGCCTTACCTCTAACATATGTATATATACACCACGCACACCCTGTTAAAACTTTTTAGTTGTCTTGGGGCTGGGCGCAGAGGCTCATGCCTGTAATCCCACCACTTTGGGAGGCCAAGGTGGGCAGATCACCTGAGGTCAGGAGTTCAAGACCAGCCTGGCCAACATGGTGAAACCCTGTCTCTACTACAAATAGAAAAATTAGCCAGGCGTGTTGGGGGCACCTGTAATCCCAGCTACTCAGGAGGCTGAGACAGGAGAATCACTTGAACTCAGGAGGCAGAGGTTGCAGTGAGCCGAGATGGAACCAACTACCCTCCAGCCTGGGCGACATAGCAGTTGCCTTGACTTAACATCTCATTTCCAAATAGAACTCATTACATTGTACATTAAAACTTCAGCATATCTGTTAAGCTATCACATTAAAAAGTAAATAATATAATATTGAAAACAATTATCTCACAATACTAATAATTGTTTAGAGACGGAACTTAAAACTCTGTTTAATTGGAGAAGAAAGTATAGTTAGAAATCATTTTACATATACGAATATCCATAGTCATCTTTTTCTTTTTTTCAAGAAATGAACTAGCCAAGCAAATAGATGATTCTAGGAGAGTGTAAATGAATAACTTCAAAGAAAACAGTCCGGCATTTTAAAAGATAGAACCTTAAAGTAACATAACCAATAGAGGACACCTAGTGGTCTTTAGCAGAATCAATATTTGCTTGCAGAAAATATCAGGCAATTCACACACATGCAATAATGTTGGTGTCAGTAGATGTGCTAATTTCAGAAAGATGTCATCATATATTTATAAATATTACAGAAATATCAGTTTAAATATTTCAGATAACTTCCATATGCTTCATTTCATTTGAACTTCACAACTGTTTGATTGTTCATGGGCATAAATAAGTCACTTTATGTGATTTTCCCTAGATTACATAGAAAATAATGTCGCAGTTGAAATATACACTAATTTCTGGTATAGAATCCATTCCATACCATCATAAAAATTGAAACCTCCAATATAATTGATATTTAAAATTGTAAAACACTGCAAATAGACTTCATAGAAGGCCTTATCATATTTCATTAACCGATACAAACATTTTTTGACAGCAAGAGTACTTGGCAAAGATAAACCTTTTTTTAGCTATCTAAAAAAGTACTGTGTTTGACACCGACTGCATACAAAAAAATGCGAGGAAGTGATAAACCTCTCTTCTAACTGGTGGTGTTAGCTCTATCCACGGTGGCCTCCAACCCCCTTCATTCTGTAGCACTCTAAAATGTAAATCCCCTGCCTAAAATGTATCAATGGCACCTTTTGATTAAGTCCATCATTAGCACAAATTCTGGTCTACATCTCCAAACTCAATCTGGGAATCTGCATCTACTGCACTAGGCTGCTTGTATCTCGTGTCTTCTGGAACACACTCTTCTCCCTGGTCCACTTGTTCAGCCTGGTAATCCATTCTCCAGATTCAAAATTCAGTTCAGTATGTTTCAAGGCCTCCTCTTGTGCAAAGCAATTGTGTTGCTCACTCCCTTATTTGTGCCACTACTTCCCACATCATCTGTGATTATTTGCTCACATCTGCTTTTCTTACAAAACTGGCATCAGTCTTCTATCCTTATTTGCAGCATCTCCACATACAGATTACTCAGTAAATGCTTGGGAGTGAAGAACGGATACTCTCTTATTATTATTTAACGGATTTAGAACATGGGAGATTGCCAGTATTTAGCGGATAAACATGCTCTGATTATTTATTGTGTTTATAACCCTGCACTAATATACAAAAAGATTCAAGGGCAAAATTTGACACTGATTCTTCCCTATGATATCTATGTCTGGCAAAAGGAAAGCAAAATGTGTGTAATAAAGCATTAGTAACCAAATTATCATGAACAAATGCATGTAGAGCCAGTAGAAATTTTCACTGGAAAGGTATTGACTGTCACGATAGAGTGTGTCAATGTAGAATACCTTCTGGAAATGAGTTGAAGTCTGATTCTTTTTTTTTTTTTTTTGACGGAGTTTCACTCTTGTCGCCCAGGCTGGAGTGCAATGGCATGATCTCAGCTCACTGCAACCTCCACCTCCCAGGTTCAAGCTGTTCTCCTGCCTCAGCCTCCTGAGAAGCTGAGATTACAGGCACCCGCCACCATGCCCAGCTACTTTTTGTATTTTTAGTAGAGACAGGGTTTCACCATGTTGGCCAGGCTGGTCTCGAACTCCTGACTTCAGGTGATCCACTGCACCCAGCCTTAACTATGATTTTTAAAGGAGTGATAGAAAAAAAAAAAAAAAAGCCTTTCCAAATCGGAGATGTAGCAGGAATAAAATTATAGAAGCAGAAAGAATCATTTCCTGCAAGCAGCACTGTAAAACTGAAACACAAACAGAAAAGAGTTGGGTGCAAATATGAAGTGACAATGGTGAGACCAGGGAACAATGTGCTGGAGAGACTTGAAGGCACAGCAAGGAAACACAGATTTGATGTGATAAGCAATAGGGAGCCTCTCTAAGTTCTAATACAGGGCAGGTTTGGGAAAACTCTGCTGTTTGCTTATGGCAAGTCTTAGAATCCTATGTGTTTTTAAAAATATAAAAGTAATTAGAATATGTATTGTATAATTATAGATAGGCAATTTATAGTAACAGTTAGTTTCTACTCTACACCAATTTGAATGCTAAAATTAACCAAAGATAGAAACTGTAATCTGCATTAGCTCCCTATGGAATAAATTTCCTTATTACTGCTCTGTTGTTATACATAATTTGTATATTAAACTATCTCTAAGCCAGTATAAAAATCTAATATTGGTTTCAAGACAAGCATTGAAATGTTCAAGACACATTATTCATCTGAAATTGCTATAGATACAAAAGATCAAAACCACAGGCCCTCTTTCCTGTCCCAAAATGTATTTAATTAATTGTAATATGTCCCAGTTCTATACAAAGGAGGTTGGGGAGATAGGAAATGATGAATAAAAAGTAAAATATTATAGTTATATATTCCAAAGCCATAGTTATTATATAATGATGCATTTCCCACTTTTTAAAATTAAGAAGAATTTATGCTTTATCTATGACATTAAGTCCTACAAAGAGATAATCATTACAGAGTAGCATTTGTATTTGCAATTAATATTTCCTAAACCTCTAAAAAATTTCGAAGGTCATCTCCTGTTGATAAAATGACTGAGATCAGCAGCTGTAAAGGAACTCTTCACCTTTACAAACTGAATAATCTCCTATTCACTAAGCCCTTAATCTACTCTTTATCTCTTCAGTGGCTTGTGATTGTCACATATTCCATTTAATTTCCAGGGATTTCCTCACCGTATGTCTCTTTTAGGAAGATCACAAGGAATTTGTTACCCTTGTGATAGGTTATGAAATAGCAGTCTGGCTTGGATCACTGTCTTTAAACACAATAACAACAACGACAATGCTGAATTCAAATAATAGTTTTTTAAAACCAAACATAAAAATTGGAAAGATTCACCTCAGCTTTCTAGCTATTACAAGAAAAGAAATTTCTGGCTTGATTTATCTAAATTGTCTCTGGTTTTTACCTCACCTGGCAATATATATAAAGTTTCAGTGTAATGTCACAGAAAGCTATTTTTACATCCCAAATCTATTGATCTTATAATTGGTTCATGAAAACAACTTCCCTCCTCACTTCTTAACACCATGTGTTTCATAAATTAGTTGCTCAAATCAGTTTTTTCCTCCTGTATTAACCACTAATTCAGCTTTAGTAATGATAATAACATAAGCACAAAAATTTAAAGCTTCTGTATCTCATTCATAATATTTTTCTAATTTATCTGGCATCAGGGCTTCTTGTTGTTTTTCAGTTGAACTAATTCAGTCCAGAAAAAAAAAAATGTATTGTTGAAGATGGAAGCAGCTTCCTATAGAAGGCAGCAGCTTTCCTCAGGAATGATTCATTTAGAACAGTGGCAGCTTCCAGACTTCACACATTACTTCCCCAAATTTGCTGAATTTAGCATTAGCCAGCTTGATACTAAAACACCCAGAACCAAAGACATGTGGGTGAACTCACATCTTCCTCTGAATTTTTATTGCAAAAGCTCACAGAGCTACTTTTTCTGATTTATTTGTTGTATTTTTACTTGTAAACACATCCTGGTGACATTTAGAAAAATCAGGTAGAGAGATTTCCAGTTTTGGAACCATTCAAGTTTCTTGGAGATTATGGTTAGAAACATGTAGGTGATGGAAAGATTAATTTGTATTAAATTCTGGATTATGACTCTGTTTCTTCCCTGTTGAACAGCATTACTAATGGGCATTAAATACCCATGATATATGATATTATATGGGGGTATCATATAATCAAGAAAACATTCTTCACCTAAATGGGCTTATGGTTCATTTATTACCAAGGTCATTTATTTATAAGAAACATGTTGCCAACCCACAACTCTAGCCTGAATGTGCTTGGTTACCAAATGTCTGTAAGTGCATATTAAATTGCATTTTACAATAATGATAGCAGTGAGCTGATGTTCCTAAATTTTATCATGGCATCTTTAAAACACATCATGTTACACAGATCTAGGTGCCTGTAATTACTGCCAGAAGCCAAAGGACATTGGTGGTAAGGAGTATACTCTTATATGACCACATGGCCTGCCATTTTATCTGATAGGATGCCATCTGTTCATCCTGCTGCCATTCTCTAGGGTAACTGGGCTAAAACCACAAGATATTAAAAATAGTCACATTGCTACTGTATTTTTAATTGACTGGATGTTTATATCAGTGACTTTCCTCTCACAGGATATTTGTTAAAATATTTTTCCATGGCCTTGTTTTAAGAGGTACTATTCAACTCTGTTGTATTGCATGGCCCACAGTCTTACTTAAGAAAAGTTCCCTATAATTCGTTAGACAATCTATAAAATGGTAGAATATTAAGATATTTATAACTAAAACATTATATATCATAGTAAGAACCTATATAGTTTTGCAGTTAAGAGCACTGGCTCCTGAGTCTGATTGCCAAGTTTGGAATCCCAGCTCCACTTCTTACTAGTTCTATGAATCTGGACGAGTTACCTTATTGTATTTAATTGTTCTCATCTGTAAAATAATGACAATAATTATATTTACATCTTTGTGTTGTTAGGAAGATTCAGTGAGCTAATATATGTAAAGAATCAAACATACTAGCTGACGTGTAATAAGCCTTCAATAAATATTAGCAATTATTAGCAAGAATCATCTTGGTTTGGTATTAATCTCAAATTAGCATAAAAAGGCTTTGAGAACTGAACATTTATTCCATTTTAGATGGAATGTGCTATATAGAGAAAAATTACAAGATGAATCTGATTTCTCAAATGTGCTTCATTTGATTTTAAATATATCCCATATCTATATTTTAAGAATGATCCATTTTTATGCCTTTTTATCAGTGTATTATGCAGTGTTTTATTATTGCATGTCATTTCCTGAAATCCTGTGAACCAAAATGTCACTGACAAGCACATACAAAAACACTGCTACCGCCTCACAGAAATCAAACAGAACTTCCATTTTATGACATATTTAAAAACATAATTTATCTTGAAAATGCTAAAAAGTATTTCTGTAGGGAGGAAAGCAATATTCTATAGCCAGTATATGACTTTATATGACTTTCATTAGTGTCGATTTAGGCATTCTACAAGTCTTTTGGACTCTTACGCTTATGCAGACTATAAAATTCAGGTTATAATTAATACAAAAAGACTTAGGAAGAAAAGGAAGTCAAAATGGTTAATATTCAGACTTTGAAGATAGGGATATGAACTCCTTTGCTTGATGATGGTTTAACTCAGATCTTTGGAAACTCCAGTTGGCTGAGCCCTCTCAGGTCCCACCCACTGCCTAACAACAGATGCTCTATTCAGCAAAATATGGGCCTGATTGGTCAGATTCACTCCATTTATTCACTATACTCTTTGTGTTTTCTATGTACTAATGTCCCTCATGAATATGTTCCTTTTTAGTATTATGAAATGAACTAATAGGGAGAAACTAAAATAAGTTACTATAGGCAAGGCATAACAATAAGCAAAATTAATATGCTAAAATCAAAGCCTTTATATATACAATTTGGAAATAAAGAAACAATCTGTTTTACCCAATCATGAATTCAATGAAACTTCAATATTAGAGGATACAAAAACCACACTATCTCACAGAGCTAATGATGTGCCAGATTAGCAATCAGACCCTACACATCTTTATCAAAATAATGGTACTTGATGTATTTATATTAGATTAAAAAAAACCAAGGTGGGAAAGGGGTTGTATTGATCAAGATAATAATTGCTGATTAAAGTGCATTTATTTAAAAATAAAATAAATTGGCATAAAACGATCACTATTTTTTTCAGTTCATTCAAATCCATTATTTGATCATATATTTTAGGGATACAAATATATCACTTATGCATGGAAAAGAGTCGTCGAATACATTTTTCTACTTGAATTTCATAAAACTCATTACACATTGCACAGTTGTTCATTGTAAAACAGCCATAATTAACAATTTCATGATATAGATTTAAAAAAGAAAAAGATGCATCTTACCTCTTCCCATTGATGTATGTATCTAATTAACCTTGAAAGTCGTAATAAACGCAAGAGACTGAGAATTTTTGTAAACCTCACAATGCGAAGTGCCCTGGCTGTCTTGTAAACTTCAGAATCCATTCCTTTTTCTACAATAAGAAAGATATAATCCACTGGGATGGATGAGATGAAGTCAACCACAAACCAGCTTTTTAAATAATTCATCTTGATCACTTTGGGGTCCAGGATGATTTCAGAACTGTCTTCATTGACAGTCCCAGTCCTAAAATTCATGATCAGGTCCAATAGGAAAACTGTATCTGATGCCACATTGAAAATAATCCATGGTGTTGTTGTTTGCTCTGTAAAGAATGTGATTCCAACTGGTATGATGACTAGATTTCCAACCATCATTATAAGCATTATTAAATCCCAGTAAAACCTACAACAAATAAAAAAATCAGATTTTAAGATATAGAAAATAACCAGCCTATCCCCCCCATGAAAAATTATTACTGATATATAGTGAGATCAATAAGTAAAAGAACAAAGAAATGATTTTATTTTTTAAAAATGTAATTCCTTAAATGGCTATATGTTTAAATCTAAGTAAAATTAATATATTCTTAAACCAAGGCATTATGATTATGGAATTCTAAAAATTATGTGATATGAAGCATTATACAAATAAAATCAAAAACATTCATACCCCCATTTATTTAGTAAAGAGGCAAAAAAAGCAACCTACCTTATACTTAATACAAAATATAGACAGAAACTAGAAAGAAGTATAAGATTAGAAGATCTGTAAGAAAGCCTTTGGGAAGGCTCTTTGAAGATGTTTTGAATTATTTTAGATGTCAATTTACCAATCATAGATTAGAAAAAAAAACCCAGAAATAAATAGGATACTCTAACAATTTTAGTTATGCAAATTTATCTCAAGGAATACAGATTAGTTTTGCCATGGAATCTAGAATACACTGGAGTTTTGCAGTACTCCAAATATTTTATGCTTTATTTTTCTTTTGCTTGAAATAAGAAAACTAATTTTGGTCTGATGCTAAAAAGAACTGAGCAAGTTCTACTCCATATTTGAAACTAGAATCTACCTAAAATTTGTGTTTTTATTACTACTCTATTGAACAACTACTTCAAATATATTGCCACTACTTTTCCATAAAAATTCTTTCTTTCTTTCTTTTTTTTTTTTTTTTTTTTGAGACGGAGTTTCATTCTTGTTGCCCAGGTTGGAGTACAATGGCACAATCTCAGCTCACTGAAACCTCCGCCTCCCAAGTTCAAGTGATTCTCCTCCCGCCTCAGCCTCCCGAGTAGCTGGCATTACAGGCGTGCCACCATGCCCAGCTAAAAAAAAATCTTTAACATTTCTAATTTAATTCTGAACATGCCTATGACTACTAAGTACCTTTTGAAATATTCTTATCTCAACTTACATTAAAATTGAGAGAAAACCAGGAACTTCATTGCTGGTTTATATAGCTTAACTAAATTAACTAAATTCACTTGACATAACTATAGTGTTATTTTTATAAGGGTTCTTTCAGTCTGTTGACACTCCTATTAATCAAATATTTATAGTTGTTACAGTATATACTTGCAAAAATGAAAAAATAAACACAACTGTATAATCATGAAATGTATCCAGAAACATGAGTTACTTTATCCTAGTCATAGGTATGTTATTTGAGGAGTTTTGTATAAACAATATAAACTTCCATGATAAAAATGTCTGTTTACCAAGATATTTTTGTTTTACATGAATACTCCTACTTAGACTATTTGAGCTACATTTTGGTGAGGTATACATGTGTATAAAGCTTTCAAAGTTACTATCATCTGTAATTAAGAATGACTCCTGAAATAAAAGTACTAGTTGAAGAAAAAACTATAATAGGCCCTATCTCCCCTGTCTCCAGCCTCAGGATGTTGTAAAGGATAAGCGTTTGTTATTTTGAAGATTTCACCAGTATTTCTGTCAAAACTTGCCTGCAATTTTTGAAACAACTGTACAAATACCCATGTCAGCCATACAACATGTACTGGCAGTTTAAATGAAATGGTTTTATATCTTCTCACAATGGAAATGCAAAATATACCATTCAACACAATAAGGACAGAGGAGAGATGTAGAGGAGGAGCAATATTGTAACAGCTATTTCACAAAGAAATGGCACCACTAAACTCTAAAATGAAACTGTGTGT
Source organism: Homo sapiens (assembly GCF_000001405.40). Lineage (NCBI taxonomy): Eukaryota > Metazoa > Chordata > Mammalia > Primates > Hominidae > Homo > Homo sapiens. The sequence goes on from NC_000005.10 coordinate 45,647,393, forward strand.
ACCCTGAGGATTTTTCACTTCTGGGCACTCCTATCAAGTCCCTTCTGTAAGCTTCTCTCTCTGCCCTCCCCTTCAAGGCTGTTGTTCCCCTGGGTGTCACACATAGCCCTTTCATCTTCTATTCTACGCATTGCCCTTGAGAAATATTATACACTTATCCATGCCTTTAATAATTAATTTGTAACTGATGACCCCAAAAGCTTTATCTTCAGTCCATTCCTATCTTCTAAGCCTCCTAATCCTCATAATCAGTAGCCCGTTAAATCTCTCTCCTGGCATATCTCACACTCATCTCAAACAGCATGCCTAAGCTCAAACTCATAATCTCCTCTCCCACATATATTCCTCACATATCCCCTATCTCAGGGAATGGAATAACTCTATGTGTGATTTGCAAGCCAGAAACCATGGAGCCATCCTAAATAACTCCTGGCCCTAAATCTGCTCAAACCCATATCCAATTGATCACCAAGGCTGTTTAGTTCTCACACCTAAATGTATGTTGTATTCATCCATTTGCACTTTACTATTCCCACTGCAGCTGTCCTCATTCAGAAAGTCTTACCAGCTGTTTTATTTAAATACAAGCCAATTAAATGATTTTATTTTACATTTTCTAACCTGTTCAAAGAAGATTATTACAGAGCCAAATATACAGGGTTTTATGGATTAAACGAGACGATATATGCTAATCCCAGGGCCTGGCATATAATTGTGGCACACAATGCCAGTGGCCTAGTCACTACCCATTTACCCTTCCTCACTTACCACAAGAAATCCAATTTTGTGGGAAGCACCCAGCAACCTAATGAAAAATACTCATTTCTACAGACATCTTTGCATTTCTGTAATTAAGATAGAAGCTTTTTTTGAAGGAAAACTAATATCCCATCCCTCAGAGCAATAGAGATGAAAAGAAAGCACCATTCATTCTTTACTACAGTAATAATGCTTATCACACTATAGCTTTTTGCTAGCAATACTTAATATGGTCTGAAGCCATTAGATATCTCAATACCAGTAGGAAACTCTGTTAAACCCCATAATATCCTTTTAAAGTAACATCGACTCTATTTTGCAGACAAAACCACAGGTGCTTTTATATGCTTACATAATATTGTCTTTAGTTAGCATGGATTCATTCCTTAGGTAACAAAAAAATACAATCATCACCTGTTCTAGAAGTGCAATATACCTTCTTTAAAAAAAGTAAATGGGTTCTTAAAAATTGACCTCATGAAAATCTCTTACCTAATTGCCCATGAGTCTTTCTTTCTAGCTCTTTACTCTCAAAATTTCTCTTAGATACCCAAGCTCCTTCTTTACCTTAACTCTCAGTTTCTATGTCTTGCACATTTTATTACCATATCATCTTTCCTATCTATCCCCTCCTTCCATTCTTATTTCTCTGGTCTGGGCAGAGCCACCTTCTGCTTGAAATTCCTCATGAGTCTCCTGCCTCTTCTCTCTAATCAAGTCCCACCACTCCCAAAGCAACTTACCTAACAATCAATTTGCTAGGTCAACAACCAGCACTGACTCTCTCAATTAAACGAAAACAACTTAGTCTGTTTGTCAAGGCACTCCAGGATATGGCCTCCTCCTGCCTTTCCATCCCCCTCTTTTAACAACTGAGGACAAGCATCCCATATCTCAGGCAAGAGGGCACTTGCTCATGCTTTGCCCTCATGCCTACCTGGGTACACATACAGGAGATATGATTACTTCCATTCCAGCTATCTTTCTACCTAACAGCCCTCAAATCCCCTCAAATCCCTTTCTACTTCTCCCTCAAATCCCATTCTGGCAATGAGTTTCTTAGTTTGTTTGTGTGTGAGTGTGTGTTTTATTTTTGTTTTAGTAGACTTTATTTTTAGAGTAGTTTTAGGTTCATGGAAAACTTTAACTGAGTGTACAGAGATTTCTTATATACCTCCTGCCCCTACACATATATAGTCCCTCCCCATTATCAACATCCCCCACCATAAAAAAAAAATTGTTACAAATGATGAACCTACACTGACATCTCATTATCAACCAGAGCCCACAGTTTACATTAGGATTCACTGTTGGTGTACATTCTATGGTTTGGGCAAATACATAGAGACATGTATATACACCAGTAGTTTCACTGCCCTAAAAATCACATGTGCTTTTCCTATTCATCCTTCTTTCACCTCATTTGTTAGTTTTTTTTTTTACAACCCTCAGAGCAGCATATATTCTCAACATGTTTCCTATTTTTGATTCTGTTACTATTTGTATGTGTTTCTTCCATCATTACTGATTCAAGTTATTTAAAGTTCAAAACTGTATCTTGTCTTCTATATATTTTCTGCTATAAGATAGATAGCATCTAAGATAGCAAATGTTAAGAATATTTATTAATTGGATTTTTAATGAAAACATACACTTTAATGGGGGATATTTAAAGAAAACCTTTTATAATAAGCCAAAGAGCCATTAACAAAGTAAATAATAATTTCTTATTTGTCTTGCATATAGATCTGGATTTTACTTATTAAGGGTTTTCATTTTTACAACAGAATATGTTAAAATAAATAAAATAGGAAACAAAGAGGTTAGAAATATGCTCTTAGGTTAGATATCTAAAAAACAAAAGAGTTGTGTATTTGAGATGTTTTTACATATCATATATCTACCTACTTCTATTCATCCTGCCCCAGAGAAAAAGTATTTGTAAAAGAACTTGCTTGGACTTTGAAGGCAGACCAGAGTTAAAATCCTAGCTCCACTAACTGGATGATTTGGAGCAAGATATTTAGCTGCCATAAACTTTCATTTTTTTCTACTACTCTTAGAGTTACTCTGTGTGAGGACTACATGCAATAGTGTATGCAAAGTGTAGCATATAGAACCTGTATGAAGAGAAGCCACGACACAAAAATGATAGCTTCGGAATTCTATCTTACACTGGAATCTCTGTGGTATCCTGAATAAGGTGCCAGTTCTCCACAAAGCCTAACGTCAACAATGATAGGACTCTTTACTTATTTCTCCTTCCTTATAATAAAACCCCATCAACTGAAGGGGATGGAGAAAGAAACTGTTACGTAGAAACTTCCTTTCTCTGAAATACCAGCAAAGCAGAGAGGACACTCACTGGAAAACTAATGATCTTTATAATTACAGCAAAATCATAATCTAGGTAACTATTTTACCTTTTTCACTGGAAATATATAGAATAGGCTAAATAAAATATTATCACTAATAAGTATAATATTAACTACTAATAAAATAATTTTCATAGGCCACTTATTTTTTATGTAGAGTGTATCTTCTCCCTATAGGTTTCTAGAAGAGATAAAGTGGCGTTGTAAAGATTAGTCCATGATACTAAATCAAGAAGAATTTCAAATTCAGTCATACTTTTTTTTCTCTACCCACATGCAACCCTTTAAGGCTTGTGGTAAGGAGAACTCCTCCTTGTTCCTAACAAGAACTTCCCACTCTTCTTAAGGTTTCCCAGCCCCAGTTGCTTACGTTATCTTCTCTACTTGAAACAGCCTGATGTCAGACATTTCTAACCTAAAGCTTTAATGAGATTTAAATAATCGTCATACTTTACTACTACTAAAGGTGCTTGTATTTACAATATTTTCTCTAAATATTGAATGAAAAATTCTTTTCTCCCCTCTCTGTGATGAAATAAATATTTGTCATTGAGCAGAATTGAATAAAAATATTTATGGTTAATTTCCTGACACGGTACCAGATTTACAGTCGCTCCTATTTTATCTACAGTTGAAGTCAAATAATGTCATAAATCTGTCCCCTCAACTCACACTTAAGATTCACTTCTAAAAGAAAGAAATAGAATTCCCAAAAGATAAATGCTTTTGATAACTTCTCATGAAATATAGCACCTCTTTGGCTGATATACAGCCATAGTGTGCTGCTTCTGTGATCTGTTACTGGTTTCAAAATTAGTGGTATTCTGGGAGACTAATTAACATCATTAGCCACAATATAAAAGTTTGGACCATTGCATTTAGAAGAATGGCCTCTTGATATCAATTATTTTATAAATATGAAACATGAATTGAGCATGTTTATAACAACTTATCAACCTGCATAAATAAACAAATAAATAAGCAAATAAATACCCAGCTAGATTTAATTTTTATAACAACAATAGTCCTCAAAATCATGTCCCAAATTTTATTTAAAACTGATTCAATTTTTAAAATCTAATAGCCTGATGATTTGGTACATATGTTTTGAAAACTAGCATAAGGTGCCTTCTCTTAAATGCTAGGTCCTCTTCCCAATCCTCTTAATACTAAGATTCACACTGGGAAAGATATTTTGTAAAATATGTGTATTTAGAAACTTCGCAAAAAAGTTTCATTGGCCAGGTTTGCTACTTGGTCTAATGCCTTGATGTCTCACAAGGCCAAATTTATTATCCATGGAGGGTGGGAAGGAAATATATTTTAAAAATCCAGACAACTCAAACATAGGCAATTTGGAGTGGAAATATGCTAACTTTCTTAAAATAGTAAACCCTTGCAAAATGATCCTATCTGAGGGAAAGTTTAGCCTAAGTAATGAATAAAACAAAGTTAGACTATATTTAAAGGCATTTAGATGTCTTCCAATAAACTAGCAATTTATCCAATGAGAATATGAGATGGGTGGGTGGTGCATTGTTTTAGCTACTCATGAAAATGGTTTATTAAATTAAGCTAATGAAATAGAAATTTAAAACCTATGAAAGTATTAAGTTGTGTACCAATCCAAGCAAAAGTAAACATGTTTTGTCTATTTCCCCCTTCTCCTGAAACTGTATTTTTTTATTGTTTGTTAACCTTCTGTCAATATTAAAAATCTTATATTGCTTCACATACTCTTGTTTGTGGGATTTTACAACTACAGCTGCTCACCTCTCCTACTTGAAACTCTCCCAAAGCTTTGATTTCTATGACTCTACATTATAATAATTCCTCACTCATATTTCTGTATTAGCATAGACTCATTTTTCTCAATTCTTATCTGACTCCTCTTCTACCATTAACAATGTGGACATTACACATGACTCAATTCTACCCAACTCTTCTTCCTTCTATTCACTCTCTCCTTCAGCCTCTCCAACCTCCACAGGTTTAACTAATATGTTAAGGTAAATGGTCCTCAAATCGATCACTAGCTTTAACCTCTACTATGAAGTTAGGCATTGCTAACTATGCAGGATATATAGTTACAAATAACTATATATCCTGTATAGTTAGTGGCTTCCAAATTTCCTGATAGAATAGTCATCTCACCAGACTTAAATCTAGACTAATTAATCTTCTAGTCTCAAAATAATTCACCTGATATTTTTATTTCTGTTTATTATAGCATAGCTTTTTTTCTTTCATCCATCCACTATGCATAAAACTTTAGAAATGTCCCTGACTCTTCTCTCTGCCCAGCTCTGGCATTTGATTACTTGCCCAGCTCTATATCTTCCCTAATACAATATTTTTCAAATTCAGCTTTTCATTTTGTTCCATTGTCATCATCCTGGATGAAGTTCTTATATCATTATTATGTTTTCTAATTTTCCTGTTTCTACCTGCCCTAGTAAATTGCCTCCTATTTATATCCACTAGACTTTCCTATTGCTTACAAAATGAAATGTAACCACTCAAAATCCTCTTAAGTATGTCCCAATTCGGTACCTGGAATTTTTTCACATACACAGTCCCAAGCTAAATTAAAAAGACTCTTTTTCAGAGTCATCATCTTTGCCATCCCCCACCCCAAAATGACAACTGGGATTTCCTTTTCCTAAACCCAAACTCAACCTCTACATTGCCTTACATTACTTCAACAGTCAAATAAATTCCAGTTCCTTCACAGAACTCCCTTTCACCTGATCTCTATCCCAGTTGGAGTTGATCTCCTCTTGTCCCAAATGCCTATCGTAATTTCTCTACATGATTTTCAGCATCTGAGCACATCTACTACTGAACAGTGAATACTCTGCCATAATATGATGTCAACAATAATTTGATAAAGACTGCTTAATAAACAGTCTCCAAAAATACTGTTTTAGCCCTTATTCCTAGCCAAATTAAATGCCAATCATCTTTATACTTAAATTGCCTAGCAAATAGTATATATACTGCTGATTTCCCAATGATCAAATTCCAAATTAGTATCTGCGTTAATGATTTTAAATTGCCTAGCAAATAGTATATATACTGCTGATTTCCCAATGATCAAATTCCAAATTAGTATCTGTGTTAATGAGGGTTTATTATAGCATTACACAATTCTAGTTAAAAATAAATACGACCATAGGTGGGATTTGAACAATGAGAACACATGGACACAGGAAGGGAAACATCACACTCTGGGGACTATTGTGGGTGGGGGGAGAGGGGACGGATAGCATTGGGAGATATATCTAATGCTAGATGACGAGTTAGTGGGTGCAGCGCACCAGCATGTCACATGTATACATATGTAACTAACCTGCACATTGTGCACATGTACCCTAAAACTTAAAAGTATAATAATAATAAATAAATAAATAAATATAATCATTTGTTCTTTTGGATGATTTCAAAATTAATCAGGTATAAGCCTTTATTTCTCCTCAAATGGTAGAATTATGATGCACGTTTTTAATAAACTATTTTAATCTTCTTGCTTTAGACAACAAGAACAAAGATATCTTTCAAGGGGACTTATATTGCATCATTCAAAATCACTTCAAATGAAGGCCACAAGTTTCACTTTGCAGAATCCAAACATCTGTTCCTCCCTAAATATAACCCATGAATTATATTTCTGTAAGTCTATAGCTTTTATTAAAGGATACAGACCGGAGCAGAACTCCCAGGGTATTAAGAACATCTATCCTGTAGCATTCTATCTTTATAATGACATGTAGATTTTCCATTTAAAAAATCCTTAATTTAAATTATTTAGAAATAATGTATAAAATAGCTCCTGGTGTTTAAATTTAGAGCTCTTCTAGAAGTTTAATCTAAAACTACTCCTTAACTTCTAAGTATTTTCATTTGATGGACCACTGAGTGGTTTTTAAATTTTATTTCCTGCTTCTAACTCTTGACAATTTATTCCTTTAAGGAAAGCAAAAATACTGTCAGTGGTCATGTCGTTCTCAACAAAAATGTATTCTAGTACCATTCACTCTAGTATACAATTCAGTAAACTGAGGTCTATGTTTTAGCTGTTTCTAAAGAAGGACAAAGAGAATACTGACATTTGGTTATCTTACCGATAAGATAGTCCTATGACACATATATTGAAGACATTTTATTTTGAAGCTCAACTGAATGACTGTGAGTTACAGACAGTTTTATATTTACTGATATACTTTCATCTAACCACTGTGAAATTATGAAAAGAAAATAGTGATTGAATTATTTTCTGTCTAATTACATGGCTAAGTTAAAGTTTATTCAAGTTTGGAGTTTTAATTTCAGATAGATTTTTCCCTCATTGCTATTGTAATCCTCCCACCACATTGCATATTTTCAAATCATCCAGTTTATTTTTCCTCTTGCTGATAATATAAGTCACCTCCCTGTGTTTTTTGTTACTCTACAGATGTCAAAGAATCTTTATGCTCTTTATTAATACATAAGATGCCAATGCCATACATATCATTTGGATTATTGTTCCAGTTTGCAGGTGTGATGGACAGCACAAAATCAAACACGTAACTGTGCCCTTCAGTCTTTAAAATGTTCACGTTTTATGGAAGCTTTGGAATGTGTTAATGATTCTGATTTCTGGATATAACAATTTGTCTTACTGAATATTAAGGAGGCGGCATTAGGGCAATAAAGTATTAAATGTTAAATAAAGTATTAACTAATAAATAAAATATTTATTAGCTAATAGACACTTTAAAGACATGGTCTTGTTTGATACTCAAACAACCAAAGAGGTACACAACCTTGTCTAAGTTTGAAAAGAGGAAAACCGAAATCATCTAGTTTAGGACGCTTCTTAATTTCTTGTAATCAGAAAATTATACAAATTGATTTTGAACCCAAGACCAATTTCTGTACTTGCACTCTCTCCACCATATTCAGATAAATAATTTAGGAATTTAAGAAAAGTCTTTTTAAAAATCGTACACTTATTAGAGAAGCAATGACAATACTTCCACCTATTCTTATCAGTCACCTATCTGAGCAGGTGGTTTACACAACTCTTTTCACAAGAGAAGGGGCATAGGCTATGATGCTATAGGTATAGCTCAATGTCTGGCCTTTGGTCTCTATGTCTTTTGATATAGAAGCCACTGAGAGTTTGCCTACATTCCCAGAGGCTCAAAGTGATAGCTCCCTTGTCCTTATGCCCATATAGTAGCATGCAACTTCTAAACAGAGGAGCTATGAGATCACCTATTTCAAAAGGGATTTCTGAATTATTTCTGCCTTAGCCCACAAAGATATCTCACTGGTGCATTGACCAAAGTCAGTTCAGATGCTCTAAATGCAAAAAAACACTTGGGAAGCAAGAGTCAAATGTAGTACCAAATACTCTCTCCAAATAGTTACATTATAATAATTTCAAAAAATATGTACACAGCAGGTATTGTTCTAAGTACTGTGAGAAATGCATACACAAACTATATGCAAATACTGCCTTCAAGGAGCCCCTCAAAAATGAAGACCTAATCTGCCTAATATGAAGAAGTTAAATATGACTAAAAGAGAATTTAAGACATGTTCGTAAATTGCACACCATAGGTACTCTGGGTTTCCAAAAGAGATAATCAATTGGTCACCTTTTAAGTAAGTTCTGGTATTAAAGAAATTTAAAGACAGCATTTGCTAAGGAGTTCCGGGGGTTGCATGGCACAAATATTAATTTGTCAACAAATATGTGCTGCTTCCTGGGCTTGCCACTATGCCTCCAAAGAGAATTAGATACAGCCTAATCCTCAAGAAAACATGAACAAATCAATAATGTCTTATAAAACAGTACAAGTTCTAGGTTAGGCTTTATAAAGGGCAGTCCTAAAAGACACAAAGGAGAGTGATCAAGTCTTCTGTGTACATGACAACACTGCAAACATTCATTGAGCAGCAAACATAGTGCTAGTCCATGGGTTGCCAGGAGGAATACCAAGAGAACTAGAAACAAGGTGGAGATAAACGGATTAAATTGCATAAAAGTTAAAAGGTCTAGTGGCATATTTACTTTTTCAGCTAATGCTTTAGATGTTATAATATAAAATAAATCCAAGGCTATCCCAAGAGTTTGCTCCTAATATATTTTCAAGTCTTTGCTTTCCCAATTAAAATGTAGGCTCATGATCAAAGACAGCCAAGAATGTGATCAAATAAAATCTCAATTTAAAAAGTGTTAAGTTCTGTTTATAAATTTCATAATATCTTTTTCCTTCAAAATGATTTTCTAAAATAATCAACCTCTACTTATTTATGTTAACAACAAATTTTTGAAGTTAAATACTACTCATTTCTACATATTTAGTGTCCTACAGGGATAAATAAGAATGCCATTTCTATCTAGTATATGTTCTTTTCCCTAAAACAGTATGTTTAAAGATGTTATTTGATATTATACTGCATTGAAGTTTTCACCCACTGGCAGCTGCGTATTATCTGATGGAGCAGAATGGGTGATGTGTCAAGGAAGAAAATGATTCTACCAGGAGCATATGTTTCCAGGTCTGTAACAAATATCGAGGGTGTGTGGGCAGACCAACATTTGCTGTGGAATATTAAAGAATTAAAGACTGAGTTTCTTTAATTTTCTGAGCAATTCACACCAATCCTACAGCATACTTTAAGCAGAACTGCCAGTATAGTGAGAAATTTTCCATCACTTACAAACGAATTCAATGAATATCCACTCCAATTCACTACAGTGCCCACAAAGAACTCATGTATGTATGTTTCTGCATAGGTATAACAAGAAATGTTTTTGTCCTATCTTCTTTCATCCTTTCCTTCATAATTTAGTGGTACTTATTAAATCTTTTTTGCTTCAACAGAAAATACACATATGGATGATATGATGTTGCTCAATAGATAACAGAATCCCATTAGTAGGCAGATGTTGCACTTGCTTTTTTTATGTAGGCCAGTAACTTAGAGGAAATTTTTAAATTATTTATAAATTTACTAAGTTCTGCAAAAAGGTTTTGTAATTTGCACATTTTGGCTCACTTTTTAAAGATATGGCTTCTACCAGAGAGTTAAATCATGAGTGAACTCCCATTTACAATTGCTTCAAAGAGAATAAAATACCTAGGAATCCAACTTACAAGGGATGTGAAGGACCTCTTTAAGGAGAACTACAAACCACTGCTCAATGAAATAAAAGAGGATACAAAGAAATGGAATAACATTCCATGCTCATGGGTAGGAAGAATCAATATCATGAAAATGGCCATACTGCCCAAGGTAATTTATAGATTCAATGCCATCCCCATCAAGCTACCAATAACTTTCTTCACAGAATTGGAAAAAACTACTTTAAAGTTCATATGGAACCAAAAAAGAGCCTGCATCGCCAAGTCAATCCTAAGCCAAAAGAACAAAGCCGGAGGCATCATGCTACCTGACTTCAAACTATACTACAAGGCTACAAGTAACCAAAACAGCATGGTACTGGTACCAAAACAGATAGATCAATGGAACAGAACAGAGCCCTCAGAAATAACGCCGCATATCTACAACTATCTGATCTTTGACAAACCTGAGAAAAACAAGCAATGGGGAAAGGATTCCTTATTTAATAAATGGTGCTGGGAAAACTGGCTAGCCATATGTAGAAAGCTGAAACTGGATCCCTTCCTTACACCTTACACAAAAATTAATTCCAGATGGATTAAAGACTTAAATGTTAGACCTAAAACCATAAAAACCCTAGAAGAAAACCTAGGCATTACCATTCAGGACATAGGCATGGGCAAGGACTTCATGTCTAAAACACCAAAAGCAATGGTAATGAAAGTCAGAATTGACAAATGGGATCTAATTAAACTAAAGAGCTTCTGCATAGCAAAAGAAACTACCATCAGAGGGGGAGGAGCCAAGATGGCCGAATAGGAACAGCTCCAGTCTACAGCTCCCAGCGTGAGCGATGAAGAAGATGGGTGATTTCTGCATTTCCATCTGAGGTAACGGGTTCATCTCACTAGGGAGTGCCAGACAGTGGGCGCAGGCCAGTGTGTGCGCGCACCGTGCGCGAGCCGAAGCAGGGCGAGGCATTGCCTCACCTGGGAAGCGCAAGGGGTCAGGGAGTTCCCTTTCCGAGTCAAAGAAAGGGGTGAGGGACGCACCTGGAAAATCGGGTCACTCCCACCCGAATATTGCACTTTTCAGACCGGCTTAAAAAACGGCGCACCACGAGACTATATCCCACACTTGGCTGAGAGGGTCCTACGCCCACGGAATCTCGCTGATTGCTAGCACAGCAGTCTGAGATCAAACTGCAAGGCGGCAACGAGGCTGGGGGAGGGGCGCCCGCCATTGCCCAGGCTTGCTTAGGTAAACAAAGCAGCCGGGAAGCTCGAACTGGGTGGAGCCCACCACAGCTCAAGGAGGCCTGCCTGCCTCTGTAGGCTCCACCTCTGGGGGCAGGGCACAGACAAACAAAAAGACAGCAGTAACCTCTGCAGACTTAAGTGTCCCTGTCTGACAGCTTTGAAGAGACCAGTGGTTCTCCCAGCACGCAGCTAGAGATCTGAGAACGGGCAGACTGCCTCCTCAAGTGGGTCCCTGACCCCTGACCCCCGAGCAGCCTAACTGGGAGGCACCCCCCAGCAGGGGCACACTGACACCTCACACGGCAGGGTATTCTAACAGACCTGCAGCTGAGGGTCCTGTCTGTTAGAAGGAAAACTAACAACCAGAAAGGACATCTACACCGAAAACCCATCTGTACATCAACATCATCAAAGACCAAAAGTAGATAAAACCACAAAGATGGGGAAAAAACAGAACAGAAAAACTGGAAACTCTAAAACGCAGAGCGCCTCTCCTCCTCCAAAGGAACGCAGTTCCTCACCAGCAACGGAACAAAGCTGGATGGAGAATGATTTTGACGAGCTGAGAGAAGAAGGCTTCAGATGATCAAATTACTCTGAGCTACGGGAGGACATTCAAACCAAAGGCAAAGAAGTTGAAAACTTTGAAAAAAAATTAGAAGAATGTAAAACTAGAATAACCAATACAGAGAAGTGCTTAAAGGAGCTGATGGAGCTGAAAACCAAGGCTCGAGAACTACGTGAAGAATGCAGAAGCCTCAGGAGCCGATGCAATCAACTGGAAGAAAGGGTATCAGCAATGGAAGATGAAATGAATGAAATGAAGCGAGAAGGGAAGTTTAGAGAAAAAAGAATAAAAAGAAATGAGCAAAGCCTCCAAGAAATATGGGACTATGTGAAAAGACCAAATCTACGTCTGATTGGTGTACCTGAAAGTGATGTGGAGAATGGAACCAAGTTGGAAAACACTCTGCAGGATATTATCCAGGAGAACTTCCCCAATCTAGCAAGGCAGGCCAACGTTCAGATTCAGGAAATACAGAGAACGCCACAAAGATACTCCTCGGGAAGAGAAACTCCAAGACACATAATTGTCAGATTCACCAAAGTTGAAATGAAGGAAAAAATGTTAAGGGCAGCAGAGAGAAAGGTCGGGTTACCCTCAAAGGAAAGCCCATCAGACTAACAGCGGATCTCTCGGCAGAAACCCTACAAGCCAGAAGAGAGTGGGGGCCAATATTCAACATTCTTAAAGAAAAGAATTTTCAACCCAGAATTTCATAGCCAGCCAAACTAAGCTTCATAAGTGAAGGAGAAATAAAATACTTTATAGACAAGCAAATGCTGAGAGATTTTGTCACCAGCAGGCCTGCCCTAAAAGAGCTCCTGAAGGAAGCGCTAAACATGGAAAGGAACAACCGGTACCAGCCGCTGCAAAATCATGCCAAAATGTAAAGACCATCGAGACTAGGAAGAAACTGCATCAACTAACGAGCAAAATCACCAGCTAACATCATAATGACAGGATCAAATTCACACATAACAATATTAACTTTAAATATAAATGGACTAAATTCTGCAATTAAAAAACACAGACTGGCAAGTTGGATAAAGAGTCAAGACCCATCAGTGTGCTGTATTCAGGAAACCCATCTCATGTGCAGAGACACACATAGGCTCAAAATAAAAGCATGGAAGAAGATCTACCAAGCCAATGGAAAACAAAAAAAGGCAGGGGTTGCAATCCTAGTCTCTGATAAAACAGACTTTAAACCAACAAAGATCAAAAGAGACAAAGAAGGCCATTACATAATGGTAAAGGGATCAATTCAACAAGAGGAGCTAACTATCCTAAATATTTATGCACCCAATACAGGAGCACCCAGATTCATAAAGCAAGTCCTGAGTGACATACAAAGAGACTTAGACTCCCACACATTAATAATGGGAGACTTTAACACCCCACTGTCAACATTAGACAGATCAACGAGACAGAAAGTCAACAAGGATACCCAGGAATTGAACTCAGCTCTGCACCAAGCGGACCTAATAGACATCTACAGAACTCTCCACCCCAAATCAACAGAATATACATTTTTTTCAGCACCACACCACACCTATTCCAAAATTGACCACATAGTTGGAAGTAAAGCTCTCCTCAGCAAATGTAAAAGAACAGAAATTATAACAAACTGTCTCTCAGACCACGGTGCAATCAAACTAGAACTCAGGATTAAGAATCTCACTCAAAGCCGCTCAACTACATGGAAACTGAACAACCTGCTCCTGAATGACTACTGGGTACATAACGAAATGAAGGCAGAAATAAAGATGTTCTTTGAAACCAACGAGAACAAAGACACCACATACCAGAATCTCTGGGACGCATTCAAAGCAGTGTGTAGAGGGAAATTTATAGCACTAAATGCCTACAAGAGAAAGCAGGAAAGATCCAAAATCGACACCCTAACATCACAATTAAAAGAACTAGAAAAGCAAGAGCAAACACATTCAAATGCTAGCAGAAGGCAAGAAATAACTAAAATCAGAGCAGAACTGAAGGAAATAGAGACACAAAAAACCCTTCAAAAAATCAATGAATCCAGGAGCTGGTTTTTTGAAAGGATCAACAAAATTGATAGACCGCTAGCAAGACTAATAAAGAAAAAAAGAGAGAAGAATCAAATAGACACAATAAAAAATGATAAAGGGGATATCACCACCGATCCCACAGAAATACAAACTACCATCAGAGAATACTACAAACACCTCTACGCAAATAAACTAGAAAATCTAGAAGAAATGGATACATTCCTCGACACATACACTCTCCCAAGACTAGACCAGGAAGAAGTTGAATCTCTGAATAGACCAATAACAGGCTCTGAAATTGTGGCAATAATCAATAGTTTACCAACCAAAAAGAGTCCAGGACCAGATGGATTCACAGCCGAATTCTACCAGAGGTACAAGGAGGAACTGGTACCATTCCTTCTGAAACTATTCCAATCAATAGAAAAAGAGGGAATCCTCCCTAACTCATTTTATGAGGCCAGCATCATTCTGATACCAAAGCCGGGCAGAGACACAACCAAAAAAGAGAATTTTAGACCAATATCCTTGATGAACATTGATGCAAAAATCCTCAATAAAATACTGGCAAAACGAATCCAGCAGCACATCAAAAAGCTTATCCACCATGATCAAGTGGGCTTCATCCCTGGGATGCAAGGCTGGTTCAATATATGCAAATCAATAAATGTAATCCAGCATATAAACAGAGCCAAAGACAAAAACCACATGATTATCTCAATAGATGCAGAAAAAGCCTTTGACAAAATTCAACAACCCTTCATGCTAAAAACTCTCAATAAATTAGGTATTGATGGGACGTATTTCAAAATAATAAGAGCTATCTATGACAAACCCACAGCCAATATCATACTGAATGGGCAAAAACTGGAAGCATTCCCTTTGAAAACTGGCACAAGACAGGGATGCCCTCTCTCACCGCTCCTATTCAACATAGTGTTGGAAGTTCTGGCCAGGGCAATCAGGCAGGAGAAGGAAATAAAGGGTATTCAATTAGGAAAAGAGGAAGTCAAATTGTCCCTGTTTGCAGACGACATGATTGTTTATCTAGAAAACCCCATCGTCTCAGCCCAAAATCTCCTTAAGCTGATAAGCAACTTCAGCAAAGTCTCAGGATACAAAATCAATGTACAAAAATCACAAGCATTCTTATACACCAACAACAGACAAACAGAGAGCCAAATCATGAGTGAACTCCCATTCACAATTGCTTCAAAGAGAATAAAATACCTAGGAATCCAACTTACAAGGGATGTGAAGGACCTCTTCAAGGAGAACTACAAACCACTGCTCAAGGAAATAAAAGAGGACACAAACAAATGGAAGAACATTCCATGCTCATGGGTAGGAAGAATCAATATTGTGAAAATGGCCATACTGCCCAAGGTAATTTACAGATTCAATGCCATCCCCATCAAGCTACCAATGACTTTCTTCACAGAATTGGAAAAAACTACTTTAAAGTTCATATGGAACCAAAAAAGAGCCCGCATCGCCAAGTCAATCCTAAGCCAAAAGAACAAAGCTGGAGGCATCACACTACCTGACTTCAAACTATATTACAAGGCTACAGTAACCAAAACAGCATGGTACTGGTACCAAAACAGAGATATAGATGAATGGAACAGAACAGAGCCCTCAGAAATAATGCCGCATATCTACAACTATCTGATCTTTGACAAACCTGAGAAAAACAAGCAATGGGGAAAGGATTCCCTATTTAATAAATGGTGCTGGGAAAACTGGCTAGCCATATGTAGAAAGCTGAAACTGGATCCCTTTCTTACACCTTATACAAAAATCAATTCAAGATGGATTAAAGATTTAAACGTTAGACCTAAAACCATAAAAACCCTAGAAGAAAACCTAGACATTACCATTCAGGACATAGGCGTGGGCAAGGACTTCATGTCCAAAACACCAAAAGCAATGGCAACAAAAGACAAAATTGACAAATGGGATCTAATTAAACTAAAGAGCTTCTGCACAGCAAAAGAAACTACCATCAGAGTGAACAGGCAACCTACAACATGGGAGAAAATTTTCGCAACCTACTCATCTGACAAAGGGCTAATATCCAGAATCTACAATGAACTCAAACAAATTTACAAGAAAAAAACAAACAACCCCATCAAAAAGTGGGTGAAGGACATGAACAGACACTTCTCAAGAGAAGACATTTATGCAGCCAAAAAACACATGAAAAAATGCTCATCATCACTGGCCATCAGAGAAATGCAAATCAAAACCACTATGAGGTATCATCTCACACCAGTTAGAATGGCAATCATTAAAAAGTCAGGAAACAACAGGTGCTGGAGAGGATGTGGAGAAATAGGAACACTTTCACACTGTTGGTGGGACTGTAAACTAGTTCAACCATTGTGGAAGTCAGTGTGGCGATTCCTCAGGGATCTAGAACTAGAAATACCATTTGACCCAGCCATCCCATTACTGGGTATATACCCAAATGACTATAAATCATGCTGCTATAAAGACACATGCACACGTATGTCTATTGCGGCATTATTCACAATAGCAAAGACTTGGAACCAACCCAAATGTCCAACAATGATAGACTGGATTAAGAAAATGTGGCACATATACACCATGGAATACTATGCAGCCATAAAAAATGATGAGTTCATGTCCTTTGTAGGGACATGGATGAAATTGGAAACCATCATTCTCAGTAAACTATCGCAAGAACAAAAAACCAAACACCGCATATTCTCACTCATAGGTGGGAATTGAACAATGAGATCACATGGACACAGGAAGGGGAATATCACACTCTGGGGACTGTGGTGGGGTCGGGGGAGGGGGAGGGATAGCATTGGGAGATATACCTAATGCTAGATGACACGTTAGTGGGTGCAGCGCACCAGCATGGCACATGTATACATATGTAACTAACCTGCACAATGTGCACATGTACCCTAAAACTTAAAGTATAATAATAATAAAAAAAAGAAAAAAAAAAAAAGAAACTACCATCAGAGTGAACAAGCAACCTACAAAATGGGAGAAAATTTTCACAACCTACTCATCTGACAAAGGGCTAATATCCAGAATCTACAATGAACTCAAACAAATTTATGAGAAAAAAACAAACAACCCCATCAAATAGTGGGCAAAGGACATGAACAGACACTTCTCAAAAGAAGACATTTATGCAGCCAAAAAACACATGAAAAAATGCTCACCATCACTGGCCATCAGAGAAATGCAAATCAAAACCACACTGAGATACCATCTCACACTAGTTAGAATGGCAATCATTAAAAAGTCAGGAAACAACAGGTGCTGGAGAGGATGTGGAGAAATAGGAACACTTTTACACTGTTGGTGGGACTGTAAACTAGTTCAACCATTGTGGAAGTCAGTGTGGCGATTCCTCAGGCATCTAGAACTAGAAATACCATTTGACCCAGCTAACCCATTACTGGGTATATACCCAAAGGACTATAAATCATGCTGCTATAAAGACACATGCACACGTATGCTATTGTGGCACTATTCACAATAGCAAAGACTTGGAACCAACCCAAATGTCCAACAATGATAGACTGGATTAAGAAAATGTGGCACATATTCACCGTGGAATACTATGTAGCCATAAAAAATGATGAGTTCATGTACTTTGTAGGGACATGGATGAAATTGGAAATCATCATTCTCAGTAAACTATCGCAAGGACTAAAAACCAAACACCACATGTTCTCACTCATAGGTGGGAATTGAACAATGAGAACACATGGACACAGGAAGGGGCACATCACACTCTGGGGACTGTTGTGGGGTGGGGGGAGGGGGGAGGGATAGCATTAGGAGATATACCTAATGCTAAATGACGAGTTAATGGGTGCAGCACACCAGCATGGCACATGTATACATATGTAACTAACCTGCACATTGTGCACATGTACCCTAAAACTTAAAGTATAATAATAATAAAATAAAAAAAAGATATGGCTTTTACCTTTGGGTAATTTAAGTGACAGGCTGTGTATCTGGTTTCTTCAACAGCTTAAAAAGCAAACAACAAAAACAGAAAACTTGTGAAGAAATAAATTCTCAGACTCTTTTTGGTACCAGAGAGATACTTGGAAAAAAAAGTAAAGACTCAAGAATGGATCTTATAAATGCATCAAAAATAGCAATTCTTAAAATAATAATTTTGTTGTGTTTGCAGATTACTAACTCAAAAGTCATTATTTCAAAACCCATATGGTGTCACATAACAGAAAAGATTAAAAGAGAAATACCAACCTATAGAATATGTTTATGAGAATTAAACTGTGCCAAAACTCTTGGCAATTTAAAATTGATGTAAATGTCTTAATTTACATTTCTACCTAATCTCTCTAATTTCTCTGACCTTTTCTCTCACTAATCCTCAACCTGATCAAGGAGCTTTAGACAAGCTAGTCTATTTACTCAGCTTCACACCTCCTTTTTAAAATGTCTTCTGCACAACCGCTCCCTGTAAGTACTTGTAATACTCTCCCCCCAAGTTCTCTTCTTGACATTCTCCATGCCCAATTGAGCTTACCAACTCCTCCAGCATAATCCCACGGTCTCTGAGCCACAGTCATTGTACTCTTTCTGCTGAACTTGTGTAGCCTATGAATCTTAGAATGTGTTAAATCTAATCCCAGGACAAGTAGTGGTGCCTCTAGAATATCTATTTAGGTGAAAATGAGGGGGTGGCAAACCGGGAATATAAAAAAGTAGTTTAGGAGGATTTGAAGTAAAACTGTTTCCTTAGCCAGCATGCTGTTTTTGCTTAGAGTTTAAATTACTAGTCAATGAAACATAGCAATGTGTCCTAAAGATATTTATTCATACTTCACATAAGATTACAAAAACATTTGTTTGGGCATAAATTCTCATAAGCTACCCCTTGATACTTCTATATTAGGCAACAACCGTGTCATTGTTCTGTTACATATAAAGAAAGGCCACAACCACAATATGTACATAATAAACCCAAATGAGCATTCATAGACTGAAGAAATTACTCTCAGACTTGGTCAGGTGGCCTAGTAATACATTCCCTGAATCATGTCTTTTCCTTCATATACATAAAATATTTTGTATTTTTGTATGTATGTGGATAATTGTTTTTAAAGGTTTATTTCTCCAACTACAGTAAATGTAACATGGCCAGGGATCACATCTATCTCTACTTCCCATTATATTATATCACCATTGTCTATCTAACACAGTGTATGCAACTACAGTGAACTCCCTAAATAAATTGAATAAATGAGTGGATAAATACCACAGCTTTAATAAATAAAGACACTGCATCATAGAATCAGTCTATATGTGTCTGTTCCTTGAATATTTTATTGTTTGGGGCACCTCAATATCATGAAAATGCAGACAAATTGGAAGATATCCAGAAAAAATCAGGGGGGTGGGAATGATTAAGGAAATGGAAAGCCTAATGTCTAAGAGAAGATTTAAAAAGTGAAATATCTAAAACTTGGCTAGATTAAAGCTATGAAAAAACATGACATATTCCACACATCCTTGAAGGTAAAGTGAGAACTTAGTTTGATCAGTATAGTAAGAGGAAGAGGAAGAGCCATGGAACTCAGGCTGGGCTCACTGGTCCTACAAACCTCACCTGCTTTCAAGAAATAAGCCACATAGGGACACAGTAAGAATGATTGTGGGCATACTTTCAACTATCAGGAGCCCCTAAAGTCACCTAGTGGTTTCTCATGGGGTCAGAGTTCAAGGATTATTCTCTGGCCTACAATCTCTCTCCAGAGACCCATGCTGGTCCTGGTGGGTAGAAGCTCCCAGTCTCATAATTGTTTGCTGCAAAACAAATATCCAAGGGAAATCTATTAGTTTCCTATACTATTCATTCTTTGAGTAAAAATTATATATCAGACTTAAAAAAAATAAAGGTATTTAAGACTTACAACCCCCATCACACTGAAAACTATAATTCCAAGAAGTTCCAAGAAAAGTAATGAGTTGAAAAACATTTTAAGTACTAGTACAGTGTCAGATGTACTATAGGTTTGGGAAAATATTAGCAAAGGCTGCTGACATTAACAAATTTACAGTGAATTTTAAAACATGCATTGAAAGAAAATCATGCCTAGGATCAATCTAAATGTCTGCAAGTTATAAACTCAAACATTCTAGAATACTTTGAATTAAAACTTGATGAAATCTTACGAATAAACACAACTAACATTAGTAAGGTGATTAAGCTTTATAGCTCTCTTGTTATGTTTCAACTTGGTTGTCAAGCTACTATGACATTGTAGTTCTTCCGACAATAGCCATGTTCCCAGTTGCTAAAAAAACAACTCCTATTCATAAAGTATTTTCACAGTATTAATTTTCATTGCATTTTCTCACCAGTTCTATGAGACATATAAAAATGTGTTGTTCATTCTATGTTTACAGATGAAAAATCTAAAACAATTAAAATGGTATGTGACTTGGCCAAGATCACTTGACTGGTTAATGGCATCTAAGATTTGGAGGCAGATTTTCTGGTAGCTAACCCAGGGCTCTTTCCTATGTAATGTCATGCATCAGATTTATATTGATTTTGTATTTTATACCTCCCAAAATCAAACTTTTTTATGCCACAAATAATAGCACAATTTCCTTATATGCCTAAGAGTAGCTTAATGAAAAATAATCTGTATTTATTATCAAAATAGATAGCTACTGATATGGTTTGGCTCTGTGTTCCCACCCAAATCTCATCTCAAATTGTAATCCCCGTGTGTGGAAGGAGGGATTCGGTGGGAGGTGATTGGATCATGGGGGCACTTTCCCCTCTGCTGTTCTCATAATAGGAAGTTCTCACAAGATCTGATGGTTTAAAAGTGTAGCACCTCCTCCCTCAATCTCTCTCTCCTGCCACCACATAAGAAGTGTTTGGCTTCCTCTTCACCTTCCGCCATGATTGTAAGTTTCCTGAAGCCTCCCTAGCCATGTGGAATTGTGAGTCAATTAAATTTCTTTTCTTCATAAATTACCCAGTCTCAGGTAGTATCTTTAAAGCAGTGTGAAAACGGACTGATACAGTCACACATGCAAAATTATATGTTTATCTCTAGCTCCACTACAGATACATATTACTGAAAATGCATAAGATTCCTATGTGATACATTCATAATTTGGATTTAGATGATAGCCATTTCTAAATTCTGACCTTTATGGATGTTAGGAGATAAGCAAGTGTTACATTCTGTGACAAGAACTTGACGTAATAAGCATGATGCTTGTTTTCCACTTTGCTATTTTCCAAATTAATTGCTCTTTCCCTTAAAACAATTTTATAAAAAAAAAATTCTGCACTTAAGCCAAAATCGTGGTCCACTAGTATCTTGTTGTCAGCTCTATTCATGTTTATTATTGACCAAAGCAAATTCTTTGGTGTTGGGGGAAAAACCACTTAAGAACAGTACTATGGCATAGTTGAAAGAAGATTAGAATGAATGTAGAAGGGCTGAACTTCTCATATTTAGTATACCTAGATCTTAAAATCTTGAGAAAATTCCTCCTGTTCTAGGTCTCTATCTCATTCCTTATAGAAAGTGAACCCAGAAAAGTTCCAATAGTTTACTCAAATCTAAAAGTTTTAGTTTGTAGAAATTAACCATGTGTCAGAGCAAGAAATTGAGAGAGTTAGAGCAACTTTAAAGAAATTTAATATAAAAAACTAACTTGGGGAAGGCAAAGAAGAAGAGATGGAGTCAGGAGTCTTTGTGAGAGAAAAATTAGTAAGATATGGAATTGCCTGTACTTGAAGAGAGGAAGTTGAAGGAGTCAAATATAACTCTCAGGTCTTATGCCAGAGAAGCTAGGAAATGATAATGTGAACATTTTGAGAGTAGATGTGGGGGAGATCATAAGTTCAATTTTGGAGATAATGACTTTAACATGTTTCACATTCACATGGCAGAAGACAGTTGGAACTGTAATATTCTAAAACTCAGAAGTGATGCCAGGACCAAGGAAACAGCTTTAGGAATTGTATAGATTTGAGAACTGAACCTATAGAGGAACATGAGTCCTCCAAAGGGGAAACTATACATAGAAAGAAGAAAAGATCCAAAATGGTGGTCATGAGCCAAGTTTGTTCCAACAGGAAGATGGAGCAGCAAATGAGACTGATTTGAAAATTTCTCTGAGAGAAATGTAGATAAAGAACAAACTTTTAGATTGATCATGCAAAGATAGGTTAGCATTATGAAAGCAATGGTAATGAGGTTGTACTGAAGAACAAATTGCAAACAGTGAACAACAGTTTGTGTGGAGATACATGATATTATAGACTGTGTTAATGAAATGGGGCTGTTAACAAATGAAAGTCAAAGATAGGAAAGTCATAGAAAACATTTTAGAATAAGTGAAATTTGATTATTCTTTTATTTATTTAGATGAGTTTATGGTGTTTCCCATCCCCCTCTGTAATTGGAATGAAGGGAGGTGTAAAGTTGTTTCCTCCTTTTCAAGATTAGGAAAAACCTGATTACATTTGAAGGCTGATAGTATGGAAACTCTTAATAAAAAATAAATATGAAGAGTAAAAATGTGGAAAATGTAGTCATAGATGAAGAGAAAAAATTATACATTCACCAAAATGGAGAAATTTGCTTTCAATCATAGATGTAATGTATCTGCCACACAGACAGAAGAAAAAGAAGGAAAGGCAAATTTAGGAACAAAGTGAAACAAACAAACAAACAAACAAAACCCAAAAAACTGCATCTCCAAATAACGCTTTACTGGAGCTTTTCATTTTTCTTCAATAATGAAAAAAGTTAATTGCCACATTCTAAATCCAACACATTTCATATGTTTTGCAGTTAAACAACTGAAGCTAGGAGAGAATTTTAATTCCAACTTCTGGCCCTATGCTTCTTTAAAATATTGCTACCAAAGGAGCCTATAAACATAGCAGTGCATTTTCCTTAAGGGATGTAGGCATTTTAGTTCCCAAGCTGGAGGTCATTAAGAATCATCCTCAATTAGAAAAATATGATATAATTTTGGACCATGCATTTTTTAACAGGAATAATTTCTTAAATTGTCATGCCCCTACACTATTTTAATCTAACGAAGTCTCAATTTACTCTGCTGTAACATGCAAACATACATTTCTCTAATATTCAATCTATATCCAACATAAACTTTATTGCTTTAGGATCTGTCTACTGGGAAAAAAGTCGTATCTTTTATAGGAAATGATTAAATCCTTCTTTCAATGCATATTTTTCAAAGGACAGGGCCAACACATAGACTAACATAATTCTACCATGCAATAAATTACAGTTAATTTATCCACAATATCATCTAAGATCAGTTTTTACTAAAAATGTGAAGCAAACAGCACATTTTACAAAACAGATTCAAACAAATATTCATAAATCTCGGTTACTTTATTATAGTTACTGATACATATGAATAACAGAAAAAAGGAATAGCCCTAAAGTACATTTTATACAATCAAATTATTTTTAATATAACACCAAGAGCTTTAATTCCTTGAAAAGTGGCAAAACACTAAATGCATTATTAATCAGTAAACTCAAATAAATTCCTCAGTTATTTTAGAGAAAACAAGTTTATTTTCCATATGCCTTCCTTAATAGCCCCATCACCCTTGCCTACTATTCTGTTATCATCGATGTTCTGTCCTGTGTGTGAAAGGCCTGTTCTCTCCAAACTCCATTACCCAAATCCCACCTGTCATTAAGGTCCAGCTCAAATGTCATATCCCTTCACTAGTTCTCCAGAACTTTCCAGCTTGAAGTAATTACTCTGTCCTATTAACCCTAATGTTTATTACCAGCAAATCATGTTCAGTATGCATTAGATTATCTGCTATTATATATTATTAAAGTACTATATATAGTACTATATATATATAGCTATAGATAATCGCTTCACCCCATCCCCACACTCCCACTAGACTGTAAGATCCTTAAGAGTAAGATTCATGCCTTACTCTTGTTTGAATCTATTTCAGCACCTAATACATGGTTACATATAGTTGCAATTCAATACTTACATTCTGAGTAAATTTTGATAAGTGAGGACTTATCACTTTGATGACTAGCAGTCCTTTGATGATTACTTGTCAGATAAAAAAATATGAAGGTAGAATTTAGAAAAAAGATCAATTTCAATAGTTGTATAACTATTTATAGTTCACTAGTAAAATGCTATGTAAAGTGTTCCAATATAAACAATAGTTAAATATTAAGACTGTATATTTTATAAGTCTGACATGGTTCTGTTCTAAGTTACCACTAATTTAAATTGAGTTAGGACTGTCAAAAATCTGTTATTGTTATATTTAAGGACTTTATCTTTACAAAGTCACTAAATGTAAGTTTGCAGATAATAGGGTTTCTTCTCAATTGGTTTAAAGTTTATAATTCACATAAGATATTTACGCCAAGAAAAGTATTAAATCCTTTAGTTAAAATCTGCATTTTGAAATTCTTTCTTTCCTGAATTTCAACAATGTCATGGGGAAACAGGGGTGGCAGAGAGGAAAGAAAGAGAGAGAGGATGTTGTGGAATATAAATTATTCAACACTGCACCTACATGTATAAATTGATTTGACTATTGCAATGCACTTGACCAGTCAAAAAACACCATGGGAACAATGGACTACTAGGCTTGTGCCTAAAGCAAAATGTGAACATGTTACTAAATCAAATATCTACTGTGCATAAACAAAGGCTGTCTTAATTATTAGCATATTTATGCAGAAAATACTAGAAATTATATTATTCTCGTACAGAATTTTGTTTTTTAAAGTTATTGTTAATAATAATAAGCTTCAAAAGCTAGAAATGATAGTAAAAGCTTCTTTAGGACTCAGTGAGCTTGAACAGACAGAAGGATGTTTTCAGATGCCACTTGTCTACGTTAAGTACTTGCTAGTATTTATAGTTGTATTACAAATGTTTATTCTCAGGCTATCAGTACATATATTATCAACCCAGTTTGCAATAAAGGAACTGAATTCTATCAAAAAATTAAAAAGTCCTTAGCGAATTAAGTAAAAAAAAAAAAAAACTAAAGTAGATTTTGCCTGAAAAGACTTGCTTGTTGTCTGTGTTTGAAACAGACGGTTGCCATATTTAATAATTCAGAAATGCAAATGATGTCATAAAAAATAAGAAAAAAATGTTATGCAAAAGATCCAATTTTTTTTAATTGGAGAGGCTTGTAGCTTTACCTATGTTCTCTGAGTCCTTGTTAATTAATTCTGCCCTGAGTCTTTCGCTGCTAAAAGGTTGTTTTATCTTTTTTTTTAAATAAACCTTTGCTTTAGAATAGTCTCACGTTTACAGAAAATAATAGAGTTCCCATATATCTCACACCTAATTTCTCTATTTTTAAATATTACATCAGTTATAAATAATGAACAAATGTTTATACATTATTATTAACTGAAGTCCATACTTTATTCACATGTTTGTACTTTTGATCTAATGTCCATTCTCTGTTCCAGCATGCTGTCCAGGGTACCACATTACAATTTAGTTAGCATGTCTCCTTAGTTCTGCTTCATATGACAGTTTTCTCAGATTATTTTTCTTCTTGATCACTTTCACAGTTTGGGGGGTACTCGTCATATACTTTGTAAAATGACCTTAAAAATTAGGATTTATCTGGTGTTTTTCTCATGATTAGACTGAGGTTATGGGTATTGCAGAGGAATAGCACAGAGGCAAAGACTACATCATGTCAAGTGTATATACTATCAACATGACTTATGACTGTTAATTTTGATCACTTAACTGTAATGTTAGTCCAGTTTCTCAAATCATTATTTGAAAGAAATTACTATTGACAGCCTACAGGTAAGGAATGCACATTAATGGCCCACTTCCCTGAGGGTATAATAGCTACACAAATTATTTGAGTCCCCCCACACCATTTATTTATTGATTCAATACTTTTTATATCAGTATGATCTCATGGATACTTACATTATACTTTGGGTTTATAACTCAATCCTAGTTTATTATTCAGTTGTTCAATTTGTTCCATCTTTGGCCACTAGAAGCTCTTTAGATTATCTTTTCAAATTCCACCCAAGCATCCCTACTCATTAGTGGCTTTTTTGAGTAATACAATTCTTTGCTTATATCAGTATCACAAGTAGGGGTTAGAGGTGATAAAGAAATGTATTTGTCTTCAAATAAAGTTTTCTATAGCTACAATTAACTGATAAGACATTTTAAAATAGACCCCTTAATCAAAGGTCACAAAATTGACCATATGCTCTCTACCAAAAGAAAGGCACAGCAGAATCATTCTAGTACTAACTTATTTCATGAATCATGATTTCAAGTATGAAATTCTAATACTAATTTATTTCATGAAACGTGATTTCAAGTATGAAATTATGTGCCCCTAAATAATTTCCCATTGTTAATTACGTATGTTAAGTGAAATCTCTTGTGTAATGTTTAAGGCAAAATAAATTTTTCTCTTTGACAAAAGACCATACCAAGGCATTAAGTGAAAACCTTTTAGTTATTATACTCAGCTTTCCATGGGATAGTTATGTTTTAAAAGTTAATATTAAAATGCTAGTTTTCATTGGCTTTTAGTTGATATATATGTATATATATAGATATATAGATATATCACATATATGCCTTAAGTTGCTTTCTATGAATTATATAAATTAGCTCTTTGGGATAAATAACTATAATCCTAAACTTTCTCTAGTTAAAACTTAATAATTTAAAACAATTTTATGAGGAGAACTTAGAAGTCTATATTTTAAGTGCCACAGAACTCTCTGAGAAGGCAGCTATCAAAATCACTAAATAAAAGGATAATGAATAAAAAGAGGAAAACATTCATTCTAGGAATCTTCTGTGATTGATCTTATACAGATCTTCTATCTACATATACACAGTATTTGTTTATAATTTTATGTTAAGCTTATGTTATGAACTCTAACAAAGTTTTGCAAGAATGAAAGAGAATATTTATTTTGTTAATTACACAAGTATTAATATAATGCCATTTATTAGATACAACTTAAGAAAATTTGTGTCCTCTTCTACAACTTACACTTAATTTAATATCAACTGTATTTTTAGTCATTATAGATAAATTGAAAGCCAATGTTATCAGTTGACAAGATTTTTCAATGTCACACATGCTGAATGTTTTATTAATACATTTTAGAGTACAATAAACAATATTTGTGGAATTTAAAATAAGAAAGTATAGAATAAATGCATTTTCAATAAGATATGCATGGGCTGGGTGTAGTGGCTCACTCGTGTAATCCTAACACTTTGGAAGGCTAAGGTAGGAGGATTGCTGGAAGGAAACCAGGAGTTCTAGGCCAGCCTGGCCAACATAACAAGACAATATCTCTATAAAAAATTTTAACTATTTAAAATAAAAATAATAAGATATGCATGCATATATAAGTACTTACTATATGTTGTATGTAGGTGGCACATAACTTCAGGATTCCCAACTATTGCTACTTAGAAAATATATATAAGTGGCAATATGGTTTCCCAGAAAATATGACTTGATGACCCTGATGGAACCAGTGTTCTCACTACTACTCTGAATTTTATCACATATATCCTGCAAGAAGCATACTGTCACATACCTACAGATAATGTGTAGAACCCATCTTATATCGAGTCTGATAGTAGCTTGGCCCCCAATTCAGATGTGGCATGAGATCAACTTTTGTCCCTTAAGATATCCTAGGCCAGCCAAGTCCTTTCTCTCATTCTGTCTGCTAGTCACATTTTATCTATTACCCATACAAACCTTTGTTGGCTGTTCCTTCCCTAAACACACTGGATCTCATAATGGGAATTATCCAGAACACTCATTCTCTAGCCCCACTGAGTCACTAGTGATCCTTGATTCAAACACATCCAAAAGCCAAAACCCAAATGTGGTTTGAGCCTATCATCTAAATTCTCTCTATACACACAGGCATGCTGAACTAGTAGAGAAAAAAATCACACAATTATGCCAAAGATAGCAAGACAAATTTATGTTCTTCAACATCTGCCCCATTTTTTCAAACTGGACAGTACCTTTTGACCATTCCCTGGACCATTCCAAAGTATTAAATCACCTTTAGCTTCACAAAGAGCCAAGTAAAGCTAATATGATTTCAAGGCCATCTCTATAGCTCCCATCACCCACTTGCATCCAAGCAGTTTGTTCATTTCCTTCCATTGTGAACAATTATGTTATACCATTAGACATAAAAACTTAAAGTATAAAAGTTCAATAAAGTCATTTCAGTGTGAATATACTTCAATCTAAATAGCATGAATAAATGGTTGATGTCAGGTCCTTTTCTGTTTTAATATAAGATAAGCTCAAGAGTGAAAAGAGAAATGCTGTAAGAAAAGGTTGGTGAGCAAACCAAGGATTATCACACTTCACAACTTTTCCAAGACTCAGTCCTGTTGGTCATTGATTAGATCAAGACAAATATGGAACTGTCCATTGCAGTTGTGTGCATGCATCCCTGCTTCACATGATTTATAAAGGATGTGAGTGCATGTATGTGTATGTATATTTTTATATGGTTGAACTTCATATAAACAAGCTTTATTCTCATATTTATTTTTGAGATATCACTTTACTTCAAATTTTCACATATACTTTGTCACTTAAGCTTTTCCAGTATGACCTGCTTTTTCATCATGAATATTGCCTATGACATCTTCAGGAAATCAACCATATTGTAATATGTGTCTTATAAGTACATAAAGAATATAGACATAACTTGCACTAGACAAATACACACATATATGCATAAGCAAATCTATATACACCTTATATTTTTATTGGTCAATCAGATACATTAGAGATCATATTAAGTAAAGTATATCCATAATTATACTATTAAAATATTTTTTATTTGTATTTCTGTACAAGAAAATCAGGAGAAAAATTTTTAACATGTTCAGAGCAAGATATGTTTGGAGCATGTCTTGGAACAAGACACTTAGGCCATTCAGATAAATGATAATGGAAGGAAACTAAATCAAAAGGAGGTAGAAGACATAAATGCTCTGGAAGGAATCTGAAATAAAATACAGGAAAGAATAGAAGGTCTAAAATAACCAGAGAATATTTGCAGTCTCAAGATAATGAGATATGAATTATAAATAAGTTCTAAGAGAATGCAAAGTAAAGGAATGGTCATTTACATGTTGAAAGATTTGTGGGAAATCTTAACCTTGAATGGAAATATATTCAAATACAATCATAACAGAGGAAAAATGGGCAAAGGTTGTGATGACACATTATAGAAGAAATGGACATGCAGTATTATCCTTGAGAGGTAGTTAATTATTACCTACCATCTGTCGATCAGCTATCATCTAGCCATCAATCTGTCTATCTACTAGCAATCCATATATCATATAATCCAACTAATACTGGTGGGAAATGATTCAAAATTTTTTTCAGCAGTTGCTTCATTATAACTTTAACTTGCCAAGTATTCAGTTCTGTCTTCACAGATGCCTGAAACATGTGGCTAATTCCTATTTGTCTTTGAATTCTAAGTTCAACTCCCACATCTTCATGGAGGCTTTCCTAACCCCTTGGATTAGATGAAACCCCTAGCTCTACCCTGCCACATATTACCCTGTAGTCTTCCTTTGTTATCAGTGATAACCTCTCATTACTTCTTTTCTGCATGTCTTCCTCACAAGATTGGAAGTTCACAAAAAAATAGAGTGATATCTGACTTCTTCACTGCTCTACTCTGGTTGAGCAGTGGCTGGCACATACTAGGTGATCAAGAACCTGTATTGAAGCAAATTGCCTATCTGTAGAGCCTTGTCTAAAGGTGAAAACTAAATGCAAAAGGGCTGGAGCCTTGGGGGAAATTTGAGAAGCAGTGTGCAGACATGTAGGAAAACAATCCAAAGAGAAAAGAAACAGAGACCTCCAAAAGGGGTATTAAGTGCCACTAAGGGGTTAAATTAAATAAATTCTAGGAAGTGTGTGTTATATTTAAAAAGAAGGAGGTTAAATGACATTTACTGTTTACTTATTTGGCTTGTTTAATTTCATTTTGTTGTTCTGTTTTGTTTATTTCTTCAAGGTAGGAATGAAAGGGTTACAGAAATGGTAATACAGGATTAAAGAGTAATGACAAGCAAGAGAGAGAAAGAGAGCGAGTAAATCTAAGTTCCCCTTTCTTAAAGTCTGGGAAGGTCAAACGTCAACCACAGAAGTAGCAAACATAACTGAGAGCCAAGGGTTTGTTTTAATTTACATTAAAATGTTTTGAGCATGTTTCTTATAGAGAAAGAATTTACATTTAAATTTACTCAAGTTAGGAGGATAAATGAAATGTATTTTTAAATTATCCATTATTACAGCATAGTCTGATCTTGAAGACTGGTGATACCTACCTCATCTTTCCAAAGATTAAACACATACACACACACATACACACACACACACACACACACACATACACACACACACTATAACGTTAAACAGAAAAGTTTTAGTAGCATTTTCCCAAATTCTCCAGTACATCTGTTTCTTTCTAATTCTGTTTGGGGTTCGGCTTCCTCGGATTATTTACATAGCTCTACAGTCCAAATAAGTGATGGCTACTTATGAAATAATTATTTTGGATGCAGTGATTCCCTTAGGTGAAATATCCTGCTATCAGACCACAAGAAACCAGAAGGAACAGTCTCAGAGGTACAACGGTACCATAGTTAATGGAGGAATTTCTTGGGCATCTGCCATCTGAAACCGTATGCATTGTTTCTTGCTTTTCTCAGTTGCCTTTTCTTTAGCAGACTCAAAGTCTAATAACAACTCTCCTAAATTTTACCAAGCAATTGTAATCCATTATTATTATAATAAACTCCAATTTATAAGCTAATACATAACATTTATATAGTGGTAGATTGCAACCTAATGACAAACACTGACCTTTTTGTATAATAACTGCGTCTCTCCTCAATATTTGTGGCTAAAGTTTTAGAGCCTCCTTCTATTTTCATGTGCCTCCCAATGACTTCATCGTGAGTACAGCTCTTCTTTGCTATTTTCATTTAAATAGTCTGTTCATTTTGGTACTTAAGCACCACCATTCAAAAGGATACAGAAACACATAATGAAAGGAAATTAAAAGTATTTCTAGGAAGAATGTTTTCATTGGTTCTTGTAGTTTTCTGGAGTATTAAACTTAAGTACAGTCTAAAGAAGTTTTGTTTCTTTTTTACATGTCTTCCTGAATAAGAACATTTCTATTTTCAAGATTTGCCCTTAACTCTTTACTGTCAAATATTTAACATTTTGCAAAAACAAATGAGCATCTGAAGTAGTTAGGTTTTAACACATAGGATCTAATCCAACATGATGAACTACAAATGAAGCTCCCAGAAAATTGTAGCCAATCTTTGACTAAAAAGGCACCATTTCCCACTGGAGAATATCACCTAAATAACTAGAATTCATATACCCAGAACAAAAAATATGTATAATTCCTAAAAGTGTATAAATTTAAAAGTCTGAGAAAATGACTAAGTCATTGGATCAGCATATGACTGAATACCTCTGGGACAAAGCATAGTGGTTAAGATATTGGGCTCTGAGCCAGGTCTCTGTGTTCAAATGTTAGTTTCTCCATTTATAAGCTATCATTATAACTGCCTAACTTTTCCATAGTTCAGTTTTCTAAGCTGAAATAGGAAACAAACAGTACCTGTCATAGGGTTGCTCTAAGGACTCAGTGAGGTAACAGAAATAAAGACACCTGGACTAGCACCTGGCACCTAGTTAGAACTTAGCAGCTAATACTGCATTTGGAACACTTTTTGTAGAATATCTCACTGACTGTGTTGCCTTTCCCGTGTGACCAGTTAAAACAACATTTCAGCAGGAAATCGTCCCCCAGCTAAATAAATGTAAAAATAACTATGATGGAGAATGCTTAAAATCTCTACTTATTTTGGGTATTTAAAACAACATAGAAGCATGCATTTCAATAAAAATGACAGTATTTCTAGTCACACAGCGTATTTTGTGAACATTCTAACTCAGGTGAAGTCATGGAACCATCTCAAGTCTAGTTATTGATTATGAAAGAATTTAAATATGTGAGTGTTGGACTGGCTTTAATTGATAAAAAATTGTACTTTCAATACAAAAAGTAGATATTTAAAAAATCACATTTAATAAAATTGTTTCTTGGGAGAAATGCTATTTTCAAATGTCACTAGCTTCTAAATATTGCCTTACATGGCTGTATTTCGTAAATGTCTATAGCAATGGGCCTGTTGTTGCTGTGACACTGATTTAAGAACACATTTTGGTCATTACTATCTCTTGCTGTTTGCCTGCAGTGAGCTCTCATAATTAGGGCTGAATACACTGCACTATTAAAATTAAACCAAGCCTCTGGGAAAGAATCATGGAACTAGATGGTTAAAGGACACCCAGGCAATTAACAAGCATGATAAAGTTAAAAATTGAAAATAGGAAAGTAGGTTAAGAGCTTTTCTCTCTCTTTCCAACATGATTTGTTGATACAGAAGGAATATATATCAGTTTTATTTTACATAGGAAAGAAATGTAAAAGCAGTGCCACATTGCAGTCAACTAAATTATTTTGCTGTTTTCCAGTGGATTTTTCTCTTTGTACACTTAGAAGACGTGCAATTCTAAAATAATTCTACATTTGACTGACTTTCAAAACAAGCCTGAAAATGCTTTACGCTTTCTGGAATCACAACAGTGTAACAATGAACAAGTAAAGAATTGCTATTTTATAAAATTTATACTAAAAAAGTATTGATTATTTATGATTTGAATTTATTAGGCTTCCTCAATTCCATTACATAATACCTCCTTTCTATTTGAACTACATGAACCAAATAATAAAAAGATTTGCATCCCAAAATGTTGGTAGCCATGAAAGTTTTCACTCTTCAGAAAAGAGGGAAAATCCATTCAAATCCAATAAAAAGAGTTAAGATTCTGATCCTTCTGAGACTATGTCTGGGATATTTTCCCTGCATAAAGTTGCATTAAGTTTTTTTGCCTCAGTATTATTAGAGTTTTGTTGGAAATACAAATAAGATCTGTGAGTAAAACAGAAAGATAAATAATAATATTGTACTGTCCTTTAATTATAGCCTTGATCTTTCCTTTTCAAAATTAAGACCTCTTCCTTTTTCCCCTTCCTTTTTATTGTGAGGCTCATTAATTAAATAGGGTTGGTAAAATTATGCTTTTCTAATTATATTATCTCTTCATGTATTAGGTGAAGGTAGGTAATCATTTTTTACATCATTATGAACTCAAATTTAAACATCTGATGGGTTTGAAATCATAGAAATTCTTACCCTTTTTGAAGCTTATCTTTGGCTTCTTCAAGTGGGATCCTGATTCTTTTTGCTATTACCCTGGTAGTCTTTGATAACCTCCTTAATATCTGGTATGTCAAGTTTTTCCAGGCTCTTCAGATACATTGCCTGCCCAAGAACTGGGATCACACATTTCTCCTCTTCAAATTAAGGCAGACCAATTGTGCAAATTCCATCCCAGTTTCAGCTGCTGTTCCATCCCATTCCTGTTGGCTGCGTGGGAGTCTCCCATATTCTCAGCTTTGTCAGACACCCTTGCTTACCACTGCTTCCTTCCTCCAACACATAGCGCAAAATCAGGTCTTGCAGTTGTTGAAGGTTTGTGTCACTTATTTTTCAGGTTGCTGGGGATAGTTTTCCTGTAAAGTTGCCCATGATTTTTTGTTTGTTTGTTTGTTTGGATTTTGATCTTGCTCTGTCTTTTATATGCAAAAACTAAGCTGACATCTTAGTTTTGCATCTTTTCAGACTCAAGTTCTTTTTGCTTTTGAAAATCATGTCAACTTCAATTTCCTTTACTAAGATCTATGATATATTTTCTATTTACACAAGGGCTAATTTAACACTGCTCACTCAGGACGTTTTTCACTGGAATATTATTTCTTCACTGTAAATTTGGTAAACACGATAAAAAAAAAATCCTGGTCACCAAAAAGTTAAAATTTAAAAAAATCCTTTTTCAAAATATTGACTCAATATTTTATTAATTAAGCCAAGAGGAACATAATGTTACCTTTCCATCCCTGTACAATAAGGTTTTAAAGGTGCACTGTTAAATCAAATAGCACAATTTGGCAAAGTGGAACAGAAAATAAATGATACATACCTAAAAGTAATGTAATTATTTCTAAATGTCATTGCCCAAAGGGATACATTCTCAACTTTATTTTGATTAAGACAGCACTGATTCTAAAGGCAATGACATTTAAATAGTTTTTATAGGGCTGTGAAAGAAGGGCCATGCCAAATACAATAGATAGAATGTTTATGTCTCCCTAAAATTCATGTGTTGAAGTCCTAACCCACATGATAGTGGTGTTGGGAGGAGGGGCCTTTGGGAGGTGATTAGGTCATGAGGATAGAGCCTTCATGAATGGGTTTGGTGCCCTCCTAAAAGAGATCCCTCACCCCTTCTACCCTGCTAGGTTATAGTGAAAAGACAGCCATTTGTGACAAGCAGACTCACACCAGATAGCAAATCAACCAGCACCTTGATCTTGCACTTTCCAGCCTACAGAACCATCAGAAATAAATTTCTGTTGTTTATAATCCACACAGTCTATGGTATTTTCTTATAGCAGCTCAAAAGAACTAAGACAACAAGATATCATATATATATATATACATATATATATATATATACACATATATATATCCCAATTTTAAAAACTACATAAAACCAAGCATTATAGTAAATAGAGCTCATAGAAATATGCATTTATTTAATTGTAATGGCTTCAACTCTTATTTCCAAATGTATGTTTCTGTGAAGGAATAAAATGCAGATTAAATGTCCACACTAAATTATTGTTTTTTATAGGGCACATAGGGAAAAAGGTTGTTGGAAATTATATATAAAAACCAAAGTTAAGCATAATATTGCTAAAAGTCTCTTTATTTTTTCAAATTTATTAAGTGCCTACTTTATACTCTGCTTACTTCTAGCTTTGGGAGCCTGGGAGTGCAGTAATTCAAACAGTAAAAAAACAAACAAACAAAAAAAAGCACCTCATCTTAGTGGGCCTTAAATTCCAGATGGAGGGGGTGATAAACAATACTCGAAGTAAAGAAACGAAACATTAAGTATGATAAATTGTGTAAATTGTGACATGTTCTATGAAAAAAAAGGCAGAGATATGAGAAATAGATGATAACCTGGAGTTTAAAATATGTTGAAATTTTAATGAGATTATATTTGTTTATAATTTTGTGCTATTATGAAAAATACCACAGGAATCATCTTTGTTCTCATGTCTTTGCAATCTTGTCATATTTTTTCTTTACAATAACTTACTACCCTATACATTTTCAATATTTGTAAAATATAAAGTATCAAGCTGACCTTTAGAAAGGTTAGAATAATTTACAGTCTTTAGTGTCATATGGTGGCAAGCTCCCCCTCCATAGCTTTATTATTAAATAATTCACTAATATTTTTCTAGGATTTCTGATTTCAGTTATTTTTACCATTTATAAATTAATTTTTTTATTTTTTTTTACCATTTATAAATTTAAACCTAACTTTGGATTTAACTTTGCTGAAAAATAATAAAAATGGATTTTACTCAATTATTTCAGTAAATCATTTTTCTAATTCCAAATTAGGGTATATAGCTTATGTTTTTAGTTTTTTTAGTCAGTGATTTTCTTTTCTTTTATAGATTCCAATCATTGTTGATATATAGGAAAGTTACTGATATATCTTAATGTATTTATCTTAGAAGCAGCCATCTTACTGAACTTAGCAGTTAACTCCATAATTTATCTGTTGGTTCAATCAACTCTTTAATGTTCACAAAAAATAATTTAGGTTCCTTTCACCCAAGTATATTTCTAGTTAGAATTGTGTGCCTTATTGTATTGCCTGACCTATCCAGAACAAGTCTCTCTTCAATTCCTGCTCACCAGGTAGCTAGCCTCAAAACTAAACCAGTTGTTTATAGAGAATTCTCTCCCTCTCAAGGAAACTCCTTCTAGCCAGTTAAATATATATATATATACACACACACACACATATGTTTTGTCTTTTTTTTTTTTGATACAGGGTTTCACTTTGTCATTTAGCCTGGATGGAGTGCAGTGGTGTCATCTTGGCTCACTGAAGCCTCAACCTGCTGGGATCAAGTGATCTTCCCACCCCAGCCTCCCAAGTTGCTGGGACTACAGGCATGCATCTCCATGCCTGCCTAATTTTTGTATATTTTGTAGAGACGGGGTCTCGCCATGTTGCCCAGGCTGGTCTGAAACTCCTGAGCTCAAGAGAGCTGCCCGCCTCAGCCTCCCAAAGTGCTAGGATTACAGGCATGAGCCACCGTGCCTGGTCCCGCTTCAGCTATAATTCTTAAGTAGCTTGCCCAAGCAAAAGTCTCTATCTTTGAATCGTCCATACACTGTTTTTAGTGTCTCTATTTCTTCATGACAATATTAGATAGTTCAGGAAGTCTTAATTTGGGTTCCAAAAATAAATGTGCTTCAAGGAAACTACAAATCTTTGAAATTACAGGCAAAATATTGTAAATAAATGCATGGGTCAGAGGGTCAATAGCTTTAATGTGATTTGTGAAGTATTTTATGAGTCTTCAAGCCTAGAATCACTAACACAAATGGCTAATCATGAATGATTAGTATAATCAGTAATTATAGCCAATAGAATTATGGGATTATTTATATTGTGCAATACTTATTCAACCATAACTTGGTGCTTCTAGCATGTATTTCTGCTTTTTATACATTAGATATATATCCAGATCACAGAAAATACAGGTGTCCAAACTTTTCATTCTAATTCACTTACATGGATATTCAGGGTAAATATCAAATTTATTGTTTAGAAAAAGAGACAACTTTTAAAAAATACTATTTAAACAAAGAATGACTATTCTATAGGAAAAATAAGGAACAGTTGTTCTCCCTTTAAAAACTAATCAAATAGGCCAGGCACGGTGGCTCACGCCTGTAAACCCAGCACTTTGGTAGGCCAAGGTGGGTGGATTGCTTGAGGTCAGGAGCTCAAGACCAGCCTGACCAACATGGTAAAACCCCATCTCTACTGAAAATACAAAAACTAGCTAGGTGTGGTTGGTGCATGCCTGTAATTCCAGTTACTCTGGAAGCTGAGGAAAGAGAATTGCTTGAACCCAGGAGGCGGAGGTTGCAGTGAGCCGTGATCATGCCACTGCACTCCACCCTGTGTAACAAAGCAAGACTCTGTCTCAAAAAACAAATAAACAAAAAACTAATCAAGTAACTTTCTATATTCATTTTTTCAGTCTCTGCTCATGTTCCTCAAACAACCTAGGTAGTGTAAATTTTAATAAGGTGCATTGTCTTTTTAATAAAATAAGGCTAAAACATTCTGCAAGGGTATAAGTGACAACTGCTCTAGAAATGATATCACAAAGATTTCTTTTAATTCTGTCAAATTTATAGATTTCTCAAATTCTTTTACGTTCCTAACTAGAAATAATTATATTTCTAAATAACAATTTTTAGACTGTTAAACATGACAATAAAAAAGAAAAGGAAAGATTTATCAGGTTATAACTCATCTTATTTGCCTCATATGTAATACTTAACTGATTTGAAATAACATCCCAAATGGTTTAACTATGCCATTTTCTGATGAAAAGAAAGATGAACAGAAAGTAGCACATGCAACCCAATGAATGCCATTATAATTTTCCCTAAAAGCTATTTCCAAATGTTCAATACGGTAGCATTCTATACCAACTAAAGAGATTAAACTGGAAAATTTTGCAGAAACAGGATATATTAAAAGTTTTCCGTCCGGAAGCAGTGTCTCATGCCTGTAACGTCAGCACTTTAGGAGGCCGAGCCGGGCGGATCACCCAAGGTCAGGAATTTGAGATCAGCCTGACCAACATGGAGAAACCCATCTCTAACAAAAATACAAAATTAGCTGGGCGTGGTGGCACATGCCTGTAATCCCAGCTACTTGGGAGGCTGAGGCAGGAGAATCGCTTAAACACAGGAGGCAGAGGTTGCGGTGAGCCAACATCGTGCCATTGCACTCCAGCCTGGGCAAAAAGAACGAAACTCCATCTCAAAAAAAAAAAAAAGTTTTCCAGTGCTAACTGCCTCATGACTAGACCAATTTCACACAGCATATATAAAATATGGCATTGCACATCAGGGCTTCTGCTGCCAGGGATTGCATGAAGGTAAAAAGGAAATAGCAGCACACCATTTACATGGCCATTCCTTCATATATTTTTTTCTTCAGAAATTATGGAAACGGTTAGAGTATGTACTTAGAGAATATTTAATTTTTCAAACAACTAACATGCCTTAATTCTGTTTTAATTTTACACTCATACAAATAACTAACTCTTAAATAGCATTAAATGCAGAGCATAACTTCTAAGCACTACATATATAGAAATGTTTATATAGCATATACAGTATATATACACACTATATATACTATATACCCCATGAATTTTACATATATATATATTTTTTTCTATTATAATTGAGAAAATTAAGGTCCAGTTACTAAGGTGGTGAAGCTCAGATTCTGACCCAAACAGTTCCTAATATTGTTACCTCAAAATAATATATGCCCAGTCTTTTTTTTTTTTAAGCAAAACAGCATCAAGGATTATAAGGAGAACATATAAGCCTCTCCCTTTTCCTTTTACCCTACATATCACTTTCCAAATTCAACCACCATAATTGTTTCTTTTAGTGTTTAGTTCATATTTCAAAGACAAATTAATTTATCAATTTTAAATACTATTCATTAGCTGCCAACTGTGGAACACAAGGACTTAGCTTTCTGACATCACCCAAACCACATTTACGTTTCTCCTGCCCTCCCACCAACCTAGAATAATTGCACCACAATCTTTATTTAAAACAGTCAACTTGTTTACATTATTATGACCAAATAACCATTAGGTACTGTTGAACCAAGCAAGGAACTGTGATTCTTTTCCCTTTTTTAGACACCTTTAGATCATTCTGGAGTTAATAAAGTTCTTTTGTTTATTTACTTGTCTCCAATGTACTCTACAAAATATGAAAGTCATCAATATATTGTTCCAAATGATCTCTGGAACACCTAGTAACATTATTTATCAAATGCTGATATCCATCTATTTGTTTTTCCTACCCTGAAGGCCTTCCTCCAGAACGCTTTGCTTTACCGCCCCAGTCTGGACTGGTTTCTTTCAAGGCTAGCTATTTTGGAGTACTCCTGGGACTTCAGGTTTCTCTGTGTTAGAGCCCATTTCCTAGCTTCTATGTCTTCATGTTGTTTGGTGTAATTTCTTGTTTTGCAGGAACATGTCATCTAATAACTTTCTAAGAAAGGGTACATGGGTAGTTAATACTAGAGTTCTTAATTTCTGAATATCTTTATTTAAATTTTGTATTATGGCAAGGTATGGATTTCTTATGGAGATTACTTTCTCTCAGAATTTTGCAGACTTTGTTACATCGTCATTTACCTTAAAGTATTATTCCCACTTCTTGATATGTAACTTTTTCTTTGAAAAGTCTTAGTCATTTGTTTGTTTGTTGCTTATTCAATGGTGTTGTAAAGCTTCTGTGTAATGATCCTTGGACAGTCTTTTTCTTTCATGATGCTAAGTATTCCATAAGTTCCTCAGAACAGACATTTCAGTTGCTGCTATCTGGAAAATTTTATCAAAAATGTCTCTATTAATTCCATATGTCCATTTTCACTTTTTTATCATTCTAGAATACCTTATGGTAGATTTTGACCTTATAAATTAGTTATTGGTTTTGCTATATTTTCTTATATTTCCTATTCCCTTTTGTCTTTTTGTTCTAATTCTAACGGGCTTCCTAGACTTTATCTGCTAACACATTTCATCCAAGAGCTGTTTTTTAAATTTCTTACTATTTTTTTCATAGCAACGTGTTCTTATTGTGCAGATAAAATATTTATGAAGATATCATTTGTGGAGTATTTTTTATAATACTGTCATTTCTCCTTATGCCATCCCTCTGGACCTTCTTTGGCTGTTTGATTTAGTCTTTCTCTGCTTGATTTAGTCTTCCCTCATGAGACTTTTCTCAAATGTCTGGTTATCTTTTGCTTTCAGTTCCATATTAACCAATGCCATACCAAAAATATAATCACAGCCTCAATGTACACATGCGGGAATTTTTGCAGAGTGATTAGGCAATAAACATGATTTTTTATCTGAAGACTTTGAAATGTCTCCCTTTGGAGGTATTTTCTCCAGTTTCCCGACTGAGAAAAATTGGCCTGGCTCCAAGCATCCTAATGTGAGCACAGGGAGTTCTGTATTCACTAAGGAAACCCTTATTTAATTCTGTTTTCAGTCTGGCTTTCCTGGAACTATTTCATAACTGGCATTTCCAAGTCCTGAATTCTTCTGGATTTCAATGGGTGAAGGATTGTGGAAGTGGAATAATTTGTCCATTAACTTCCTATTTTACAAATGTTCTTGAGATCTATATTCTCTGATGTCTCCTCTTTCTTCTACTTACCAATGTGTCTGTGCTTTTTCATATTATTTTGGAGTGACTTCAAGAGGGAGGAAGTATAAATGATTAGGTTCAATCCATCACGTTTCCCAGAAGGTTTGGAGAATTATTTATACTGGCAGCCTTGTTTCTTATTATGTAAAAGAGTTGAAGTGACAAAATTAATATTCACAAGAACTGAATTCCTGGCCCAGTTCTTACTATCTATCTATGTCACCATGTTCACGCTACATAACTTCTCTGCAGTTTCATTTATTCATCTGTGTATTGGGCAGGGAAATGTAATAGTTGGGGCACATACTTGCAGGTGCCAGTGGGAAGGAGATGCCAGGTATTACTGTAGGAAAAAATAAGAGCTTTCATTGCTTTCATCTGAATTTATTAACTCTAAGATTAAATGTTCTCATGACCTGCTTGGAGAATAATTCTTTGTCCATTCAGTCAATAAATATTTATTACAGGTCTGTTATGATGACCTAGAAATTTCACTCCAAAGAGAAATGAAAACATCTCTGTGCAAAAACTTGTACGAGAATATTCATATCAGCAGTATTTACAATAACCAAAAAGCAGAAACAACTCAGATGTCCATCAACTGATAAATGAATAAATTAAAGGTAGTATATCCATAAAATGGAATGTTATTCAGCAAGGAAATGAATAAAGTACTGACACAGGTAACAGCATGAATGAACCTTGAAAAAACATTATGCTAAGTGAAAGAAGCCAATAAAAAATACTATATATTGCATGACTTCACTGATATAAAATATTCAGAATAAGCAAAAATCTACAGAGACAGAGAGAGGATTAGTGGTTGCTTAAGGCTGAGCGGGAGGGCGGGAGAGGAGAGAAAGTGAGTGCTAATGCATATGGGGTTTCTCCTTAGGATGACAAAATATTCTAAAATTGATTGTGGTGATGGCTGCATAACTGTGAACTTACTAGAAAATATTGAATTGCTTACTTTAAATGGGTGAATTGTATGGTATATGAATTTTGTCTCAAAAAAGCTGTTAAAAATAAACCATATCTGTATGTAATAATTAGGTGATGGGATGATCTGTGCAGCAAACTACCATGGCACATGTTTACCTATTTAACAAACCTGCACATCCCACACATTTACCCCTGAAGTTAAAATAAAAGTTGAAGAAAAAAAAATGAAGCCTCTAAGAAAGTTTGGCAAGAAAAGTCTATTATGTGCATTTTTACAACATTGGGAATGTAAAACTGAGTAAGATTCATAAGGTAGCATGGTTTAAATTCCAGGGAAAGGACACATATAAAAATAATTATAAATTCTGCTGAACAGAAAGCCTAGATAGAAAAATAAGTGTGTGCACAATGATTAAATGGAAATCTAAAAGATGAGTAGAAACTAGTTATGTGGAGTGATAAAAAGTGAAAAGAGTATTTCAAGCTTGGGGGTAATGTCACATTAAAATCTTAGTTGCAGGAGAGAACTCAGGTTGTTCTAGGAGCTAAAAATTTACCCAAGTGGCTGGAACACAGAGCTGGAATGAGTGGCATGTAATGAGGCTGCATATATCGGCTGAAATTATGCAGGGTCTTGAAGCTCATAGAAAGTTTGTCCAATGTAGTCTAACAGTAATGGGAAGTTACTAAAGGTTTTAAAGAGCATAACAATATTATTAGATTTGCTTTTTAAAGATCACTCTTGTCACTCTATGTTGAATGAAATGGAGGACAGGTTACATTTTCTGTCCTAAAACAGCCTGTAAATATCATAACAGGAATGTCAACCTTGGAGAACCTACGTTATTCGTGTCATTTTAAGAAATCTGTAAACTGGAGGCAGTATTAATTGGTCAAATCAATATGTATAGAATCTCTAGAATGTTCATAGGCAGTCATTCCATTCCCTG
Organism: Homo sapiens; assembly: GCF_000001405.40. NCBI lineage: Eukaryota > Metazoa > Chordata > Mammalia > Primates > Hominidae > Homo > Homo sapiens. Next base: position 45,690,038 of record NC_000005.10, read on the forward strand.
AACTTTAGCCAAAACAATGAAGAGTAAGGTGCGAAGATGTTTGTTGCAGCACTTTTTAAAAAATACTGAATAACTGTATACAACAAAGCTGATAGTCTAAAATTTATAAATATTTACTAACTTTGTATGTATGTAAAATTAGCCTTATGTTTTTAGAGTTACAGCTAGTGACCTGAAAATAAAATTAGGTTTATATAAATAAAATTATAAGTTGTAAATTTAAAGCATGAGTAATGTTGCTTCCTTGCTTTAACTGCGTGGTCAACTATTAGACAAAATAGAAAAATACTATGAGAAAACTAACTAACATAACTTGAAAGAGTCATGAAATCAATCTTATCAAAGTTGGGTGAAATGTGTCAGATAAACACTCAACTCAAAAATAATCAACTTCTATATATATTCTTTACTTCTATATATATTCTTCTACAAAGTCCCTTGAATAGTTTCTGTAGCACATATATACAAATAGAATTAACAGAGCCATGAAGGTTTATTTTGCAAAAACATAAAATTCCAGGATGCACCAGGAATCCTGATTTTTTTTTCCTGTAAAACTAATGGTAAGTTGTACATCCAGATGCCTTCACAAAGAAAATTATTTTTAGAAGAAAAGTACTTAGAGAAAATATAATTTTCATAGTGCATGCAGACTTTTTTCTTTATTATCACTATTTCTACAACTAAAATATATAGTGTCAGCCTAATTCATAGTTTGTTACTCCTTTACACAAAATGATAAAATGAAAATTTGTCACAGACCCTGCAAATGCTCAGTACTCTTCATGTAGTGCTAATGATCTGCAATAATTTGCACTGTACTTACAAGAGACTCTATTTGAAAGTTCTTTTCCGGAGCCCAATTGTTGTTTCTAAATAATGAAGTGAATTATCTGCTAAACACAAGAATTATATTCAGAATGATAAGATTATCACCTGAAAATCATACTAAATGCATTCTGCTGGTTTCCTGCTCACTATAGGACATAGGTGCATTGAGTATAATAATGCAGAATTACAAATACTATTTATCTTGCTTTGTGGTGGTGATGTTGTTTTGGTTTGTGGTTTTTGATCAAGCAGATATAGTTGAATATAATTTTCTTAAATGAACCTATGATACAAATAATAAGTAATATATCTTTCCAGTGCATTTAAATTTCTTTCATTATTCAACAGGCACGTTCATAAACCCAAGTCCACATAATTAAATATGATTAGTAAAGTGTACCTCTTTACTGATTCTCAATTTATAATCATACCCCGAAGGAGGTTTAAAGGGAAAGTTGCTCAGAAAAAAATGAAAACTATCTTATAATATTTTAATAGTATAAATCATAATATCTACTAAATGCAACAGTGAAACATTTGCTAAAATTTAAAGTTGCATAACTTACATGTATACTAAGAAAAAGTAACTAAATAAATTCACACGTTTAAATCTTTGAAGAAATTTCATGTTGTGTCTAACAGTTGCTAGAGCCACTAAGAAAAATGTAATTGAACTTAAAGCACAAAAAGGTTCACCTAACATAGAAAAAAAATAAATTCTTATGGTTAATTTTGGCTATGTTGATATGAAAAGCAAATAAAATAAGCATTGCTGGCAGATACAGAGTGTGTTCAGCACAAAGATAACATAACAGTAGGCTAATTCGTCTTTAAACCCTAGAAGGTTGAATTGTTTTCTTGTGAGAAGCTCCTGGAAGCAAATGTTCTCTCTATTATGAACTGTATAATATGGGTGAAGCCTCCCTTCCCTAATGAACACATCAGTGATCTCTGATATCAGTACAGTTGTGGCTGCAATTCAAAGCAGAGATGGAAGAACGGATGTGACGGTATCTTCAGGAAGTAACTCCCATCTCTAGAGTCCTTGAGTACTTACAACAAAATAAGCTTTTCACACACTCATACTAATGATGAAAAGAAATTGAAAAAAATAAGAAGTCAAGATACAAAACTGCCTCCGTTATGAGGAGCAAGATGTTGGCTGGCAATACATATGGAAAGGAGCATTCTTTTTAAAAGTCCCTTTGTGTAAGCATGATGGAACAAAATAATGACAGAATCCCTAAAATGGCAAATAGTCTGGTGATAAATTCTTCCAAGATAAATTGCTTGCATAATAAAAATCATCCACAAAAGTATTCTAAATATTCTTTCAACCTATTTAAATGATTATATCATAACTATCAATTGGCTATGGAAGCACAATGCTTGCCAAGCATCACTTTTAAACCTTAGTAAAATTCTAGCTAATTAATATAAAATCACCATGAATTTTTAAAAATCATATTTAACCTCCAAATTAAATGTGTCTATGTGTTGTTCACATGAAATTCAATAAGACTAAGACCATACTGTCACTACAGAAAAATCGAGCTACATTTGTTTTTAAGTAACTATCCCTATTTTCCCTAGTTTGGGTGCTTATATACCACAGCATAAACAAAAACATGAGCTTGTTGTGTTTACTAAATTCTGTAGCTTCCACCCAGTTATTTCAAACAGTACCTATACTATTGGACTGCTTTTTACTCTCTGAAGGTTTCTATTGTCATCCTCTGCTGAGGAAAAAGGTAAATACAGCAACTCTGCCCTACTTACGCCAGGGGTAGAGAAAACTACCTGCCAGACACAGCAATAGCACTCTTGGGCTCTGGTGGGGAAAAGAGGCACTAGCTAGCTCTCTGAAAGTCTCAGTGGGAGCACAGCCTTGTCCCTTGAGGTAAGTAAAGTAGAAAGCTATCAGTCTTAAAAATTATCGTGAGCAGGGAAACTAGAAACAGTGTTAAAGTCACGACATGCCCTGGAGTAAGAACATAGTAAACTTCTCTGGCCATGTAAAGGTTTATTAAAAGTGTCAAGGAAAAGAATCCTCTGGATATCTTCATTTGTAATAACTCCCCACTCTTCATAGAAATTACTCTTAAGTGTCATTCACTCAGTTGTTAAATGATTAATGAACTTAAGTTTGACATTTTAGGAATTGTAGTAAAGCACCTCCCTGAAATAATCCTTCAGGAAAGGGCCTAAAGTAAAGGCTAGATCATGACCGCAAAAATTTCTAGTATCTGTTGAAAATTACTCACACATTCCTTTCCCTGTAGAAAAAAACTACCGCTAGAATTTTGTCTTTCCTATTTTTGTTCTTTCATTACATTATCTTGACGTTATAGATTTTAGAAAATCTTATATTGGTTTTGAGATCATACAAAAAAATGAAACAATAAGATGTAAATATATTCTGAATGTAAACAAGTACATGATTATTTTTGCAGTTTGTTTTAGAACACCAGTGTATATTGTAATTATGTTTTAAAATCTATTTTTTCAGATATCTTTCAGTTTAAAAAGATCTAAATAATGATAATTGCTTAATTTGTGCCTGCCATTTTCTTTTTTCCATTTATACAAGGGAAAAGTCAAATATTCCAAACTACTCCACACTGGAATTTAGAGTATTAGCTCAGTTTTTAATCATTTCCCATTTCTTTGAAATGGATAATAAAATTAAATCATCACCTGATTTCAATTTGTTCCTTTGTTCAGTAACAATGTTTTTATTAAAGAGATATTTTGTCTCAGAAGATTTCCTTGGGAAAATAAGGAGAATCCTGTAATTCCATTCATTCAAAAGACTTTCGCATGCTATTCTAATTCCTGAAAAGTGGCCCTATGTTTTTATTTAGCAAGTGGGAAAAAGTTTAATTACTTGATGTGTGGTATCATTTTGATAAGGGATAGTCCTTTTCACATTGCTGAAAAAATAAAAGCATCATATGTAATCATTTTATTGAGTGAAATTAAATGTTAAAAGTTCAGCATTTTTGCATGTTAATATTGAACCTGGTACATTTCTGGAAATACCACATTTATTTTTGCTATTAAGACTGGAGACTTTTTTCATGTAAGTTATTTTCATTTAAAAATTTTAAAATGAGGTGAAATATATTTCCATTGGGGACTGAGGAAAAGATAATATTCTATACTTGATTCCCACCTTTAAAATTCTAAAGAACATGACAACCTTATACATCTTAGAACAGGGTCATTTATAAGTTTGCTTCCCTATCTTCCTACTGGAGGAAACAGGTTTGATTATTTATTACATCTTTTTAATATGAACATTTTCTTTTTTTTAAAATTTTTAATGAACGTTCTTTCAATCAAACTCTTAATGTTCTCTAGACTATAAACGTCATTAGGTTTTATAAGTTCTCCTTTGGACTTTGCTGTGTGTTTTTACAAATAAGTACCTTAAAATTATACACTTTCTAAAATCCATTCACTCTTTGCATAGATCACGGAGGCTACTGATTTCTGAGACGATAAATATCTCAAAGAAGGCAAAGACCGTCACTCTGAGCCTTTGTGTGGCGGGACTGTGGATTTTTCACAGCTAATGTCATTCAGAACTGTGGACAGCTCCCGTTAAGGCATGTAGTTGGTGACAATTTCCCTTAGTTTCTAAACTAACTCCAAGGCTGCTTTACATTGCTATATTTATCCTATAAAGAATACTTAGTATATGCACATACTCCTTTAGTTGATTCTTCTTTTCTTTTCGAACGAGTTCGGCCAAATAAATAAATATCACCCTGAGTTATTAGGAGTTACTAGTTCTGGATTTTAAAATGGGAAGTCCAGCCTTGTTCAGGAGCTAAGATAATCGTGCACACGCTAATAAGAGGATCTACTACACGACCTTCATTTGACAATCTCTAAATATGCTTATCACCGAACGAATACTTGAGCGACAAGTAAGATCAGAAAACGTCTTAATTTTAATTCTCCAAAGCGGAGTTTTCCTGCTGACAGCTTTCCTGTCCTTCTTCCCGAGCTGGAGGACGTGAAAAAGATTTTTGAAATAGACTTGCAGTCAAGGTCAAGAAAGGGTGCCGCTCTATTTCAGAAAGGGGCTCTGTCAACGCCCCCTCTCTCTGTTTCAGGAACTAGAGGCTTCCTGCCACGCTCCTGCCCTGCCTGGAAGCGCCTGGCTTTGGTGAGACCTCACGTCAGGGACTATCCAAGTGCAAATTGCCCTTCTTTTGCCTGCCGGCCGCTGTTTCTGAGTAAACACAGCGAGGATAACCAGCGCCTATAAAGAAAAACAGACTAAACACACTCCCCAGGGGCGAGCGCGGCAGGAACTGCTCGGGCTTGTGAATCGCTGTCTCCGGTTACCCAGTCTTCTTCTGAGCCCCAGAAGCCTCCTTTTCCCTCCTGGTTGAGACCACACTTGAGGGAGCCGCGCGAGGAAGGGTGGCTTCCCGCTTCCTCACGCTCTCGTCTCTGAAGTAAAAGTTTCCCTTGTACAACTTCGCCTCCTCCCAGGAGGGTGACCGTGGCCTCCATCCTTCCCTGATCTGTCCCCGAAGTTCAGGAGGCCAAGGAGGAGAGCCCGTCCGGGATTCCCGGGCAACAGGAGCACATCCTCCGAGCCCCTCCTGGGTGGAAACTACCCGGAGGCGCCGAGTGGAGCCTGCTTAGCCCGAGCCGACGCCGCCGGCAGCGCCACCCCCCGCCCGCCCTCCTAGTCCCCGGGACGCCCCCCACCCAAGGGCGGGGAAGCGCGTTTCAGGGCGCGCCTGAAGGGAGGGTGGGGCGGCGACCGGGAGCCCTCACCTGAAATCACTGTAAGGGTGGATAATCCAGAAGCCTGCAGTTTTAACCCTTTCCTGCTCCTTTTCCACCGCCTTCTGGCTCCCAAACATGCGGAGGGAGAATTTGTTGACCCCGGGCTGCAGCATGGAGGTGAACTGCCTCTGCATGAAGCCGTACTGCCGCCGGGGCCCCTCGGCGTCTTCGAAGCCCCCCGCCGGCTCCTCGCCGCCGCCGCCGCCGCCGCCACCGCCGCCACCGCCGTCCACCTTGAAGCACACGGAGTTGCCGTGCTCCTTCGCGCCGGCCCCGCCGCCCCCCGGCGGGGTGCCCAGGCGCTTCTCGGCCGCGGCCGGCCCCGCGCCCGTCGCGGACGCCTTGGCGGGGAAGACGCTGTTGCCATCGTCCCGGCTGTTAGACGAAGAGTTGGGCTTGCCGCCTCCTTCCATGCCCGGAGGACGCGGCCGGCGACGGCGCGGGCTCCAGACTCGCCGGCCGCCCGGCGCCGGAGACACGTAGCCGAGAGGGTAGGGGCCCGAGCCGGCTGCCGGCGAGCCCAGCTGCCCGTCGCGGCGGCGGCGGCGGCGGCGGCGGCTGCTGCTTCCCGACCGCGCCGCTGCTAGCTGCGCGCCTGGCTCCCGCCGCCGCCGCTGCCCTTAGTGGCTGCGGTCCGGGCTCCGGTGCGGCTGGTGCTGAAGCTGAGGCTGCCGGAGCTAGGCGAGGCTCAGCTCGGCTCAGCCCTCGCGCCCCAGCGCCTCCCCTCGGCTGCCCTCTGTTGGCCAGAAAGGGTCTCTCCCCGTCCGCTCTCCACACATGCTCGTTACTCTTGCTCTACTTCTGCCCAGCGTGACATTGAACTCAAGAGCCCTCGGAGGAGACATTCATTGGTACACGTGGAGAAGGACTCGGTGTATGTTTGCATGAAAGACAGGGGAGAGAGGAGAGAGAGCAAGACTGAACTAGCGAGTGTGTGTTGGTCCAAAAGAAACAAACATCTTAAACTCATGAAGACATTGTCTGAACGCCTGTTTGAATAACGTTACAGATGGAGAAAAGGGGACAAGCTGACTATGCATGCCAACAATTCAAGTGCAAAACCAAATGTCCAAAAGAAAGTAAAGTTTGACAATGGAAAATAAATGTCCAAAGTATCAGGGAAAGTGTGCCTGTGCGTGCGCGTGCGCGTGTGTACTAGAAAGAGAGGCAGAGGGCAAAAGCTACCAGGTCTGTGTAATCCTAGGTAACCAGCTGCTTGGGGCTTTTCAGATTAAGGTTCTGCACCTGGGGACAGACAACTGACCTCCTTACACTTATCCTTGTTAATTCTTGCAGAGTTTTTTAAACAGAGGACGGGATTTCTTTCTTTCCAAGGCCATTCGTATCAATACACGTGCAAGCAGATCTATCAGCCACCAATATTGAAAGAAAAGTGTGTGAGGGAGGCCTCGCCTGAGCTGACCTATCTTTTTAGATAAGTTACATAATCAATAAAACACATTAAGGGATGTGTGTGTCGGTCAGTGTTTAACGACACCACGCTAGGAAGTTAAGACGTCTTGGAATCTCTCGTCAGAATGTCATTACCATTTCAGAAGGGGGGAACACTCTTAAGGGAAACTTACAAGTGTAGTACTGATGCTGAGGAAAGCATTATCCGTTTCCTCTTATTCCCTCTGCGTCTCTGAAACCCACTGGATTAGCTAAAGGAAGCAAAATGTGCTGCCAAACCCACCAGTCACTCAGCAGGGGAGCCCCGGCGTCTGAAGAGCTTCAAGACTCCCGAATGTCCCAAAACATCTGTTTCAGATACAAGCATTGCCTCCCTGCCCATAGCCTCTTCAAAGGAAATCTTGCCCTGCCAAGAGTCCCAGATCCCCTGGGTTCCTGTCAGCTGTAGCCACATTTTATGGAGAAGGGGCAGGCACTCAAGGAGGGAATGTGTATGTCAGGCTGGCAACTAGTGAGCTATCATGAGGAAAAAAAAAATGAGTGGGGCTAATCAAGGTGTTTTTCTGAAAAATTAAACAGTGATGAAGCCAATTAACAATGAAGGAAGCAAGGATAAAGACAAAGGAAGACAATTGGATGCCTTCCTGAGGGGTTAACAGAGGCTGAGAAAGGAAGCAGAGAACAGAGAAAATAGCAGAGGGAAGCAGAAACGAGCCATTAGGCCTAACTCAGTTGCAATTCTGTAAGATTTCCTTACCATTCTCCTTACCATAGCCTGTGCTAAATCTCCTTTTTTCACGGAGCTATGTCCTGACTCAGGCACCATCTGTTTTCAACTAATCATATACCAGAACCCTAAGAATAAATATGGATGGCCAAATTTTAATGGTAAGAGATAGGAAAAATATGAAAATATAGAGCTCTGATCTGTCAAAATAGAGACCTTTCTCTACTTTGGAAAGCCAAGAGGTCAGATAAGGATACCAGGTGCTGAGGGCAGAAGGAAGCCACGGGAATGGATAAAAACAAACATTGCCCAAAGCACAGTTCTGCCTAAGAAAGACCCGATTACTCAGGCAGCTTTTCTTTATTAGACTAAAGATGTTTCCCTACTTTTCTCCCATTCTGCATGCTTCCTCAGTCCCTCTATTTTCAGTCATGAGTGTGACAATGTATATTTTAACATAAATTTTAAATTTTATAATAATGTAAAAATATACCATCTAAAATGTTATGCTGAGTTTAAGTAAGTTTTGCTTTTCTTTTAGCCAATCTCTCTGTTTGTTCTATTGCAACTTAATCTTACTCATGACCAGGCAGTTATTTTAGTAAAAGTTTTTCTGAGTTTCAAGGTTTGTACTAAACTGATATGACAGAATCACTGAAAAACAAGATCTCAAAATAGAACTAAGAAATGTCTTAAAAAGATCACAAGTCATTGGTTGTTCCAAGTATAGCTTCTAGGCCATATTTTATTTATTCAAAATCTCAAAAAATACATTTTCTTAAAAATTTGAGAATGTGTATATTATATCAATGCATTAACTTAAAGTTGTCAGCAATATAAAAAGTCATGTTTATTTACTTTTCAGAGTGTTGATTTAAAGTTGTTTAGAATATGAAATTTAAGTTTTCTTTGGAGGAAGAATGAACTCTCAAGAAGATTGAGACAAAGTGAAAGCAATAAAAGAATGGAATCAGTGATAGAAGAAGAGACAGAGAGAATCTTGAAACTTCAGAATAATCTCTTCTTATCTTGTCTTTGTATCGGTTTGTTGATAAACTATCTCAAGCTAAAATCTAGCGAGCTAAATGCGAGTGTTTATTTCAAAGACATCTTAGAAATAAGACTACCATCATGTTGACTCTGTGTCATTAGATGTTCATGATGTCAAAATGCTTAGTATTTTACAGGAATCTGATTTCTGAGGACTCATTAGAGAATATCAATTATGAATTAATTTCAGGAGAACGTCTCATCAGTAGTTGTAATGGGTGCTATTCAATATATACAAGAATTGTGCATCTTCTGAAATGTTCCCTGTCTCCTTTAATACTCTGCTTAAGATCAAATTGCAAGGCAGCAGCAGAAGATTAATATGCATCTAAAATAAAATCTCCATGCAGCAGATACTAGCACACGTGAAATGAAAGAAAAAAGATAGATCGGTGACTTGAAGTTTGATGGTTTATTGGAAAATCTCAGTGAAACTTAAAGATTTAAGGGATAAGACATTTTGACCCTCTTAGTAGGACAGAGTAATATGTTACAAACATATTACACGTGTAAGGAAATAAAATAAGAACATCTGTTGAAGAAGGCAGTGGTAAGGAACAGTGAAAAAAAAACTTCCTCATTGACAACCTCACAGTCTTTCTGTGTCTTGTGTACAGGCAAATCTGATTATCTATCTGGAAAGCCACATCAACATCATGCTTAATATGAAACATTAAAGCTGTTAAAGTCAGAACAATACGCTCATATCCACCATTTCTGCAATGCATGGTATTTTTAATTGATAATATTGTCTCCTGAAAACCCCAAATAATCAACTGGATAATCATCATAACTAATAATAGAAGTTGGGAAGTTGGTATCAACTTTTGGTTACTTTAGTAAACATGCAAAAATTAACATTTTTCCTAAGCATCAGCAATAACCATTAAGGCAATATAGAGAACAATGATTTTTTTCACAATTGCAACTAAAAATGAAAACTACACAATAATAAATTTAACAAGAAATGTCTGAGATCCATAGTTTAAGATACTTTATTTTGATAAAAGACATAAAAAGCATTTAAATAAATTAGCTATATACTTTGTCCATAAAGTCTCAATATTATAAATATGGTGCTCCTTCCAAAATTGATTTTAAGTTTCAAACAAAATTTGGTGATTCCATGGACACAGGGAGGGAAACATTACACAACAGGGCCTGTTGAGGGTTGGAAGGCAAGGGGAGGGAGAGCATTAGGACAAATACTTAATGCATGAGGGGCTTAAAACCTAGATGACAGGTTGATAGGTGCAGCAAACCACCATGGCACATGTGTACCTACGTAACAACCTGAACCTTCTGCACATGTATCCCAGAACTTAAAGTAAAACTTAAAAAAAAGAAAAAAAAGAAAGCAAACCAAACAACTCACCAGCAATATACAGTCATTCCTGGTAACCAATAAAGCAACTTACTTACTTTAAAACGAACAACAAAAAAAAGTGTTATTAGTTTTCTCCATGCGGACAAAAGCAACAAAATGTTTTTAAAGTTTAACTGGATTAATAAATCATTTTTAACAGTTCATAAGCTATGGCTTAAAAATGAAAACAATGAAAAAATGTCCAAAGTATTAGAATTGCTTAGGGTAGCACTGAGCAGAGAAAGAGACAGATAAGGCAATGCAAAAGAGTCAAAACCAGGCCGGGTGCAGTGGCTCACGCCTGTAAATCCCAGCACTTTGGGAGGCTGAGGCAGGCAGATCACTTGAGGTCAGGAGTTCAAGACCGCCTGGCCAACATGGTGAAACCCCGTCTCTACTAAAAATACAAAAAAATGAGCCATGCGTGGTGGCATGCTCCTGTAATCCCAGCTACTCGGGGGGCTGAGGCATGAGAATAGTTTAAACCCAGTAGGCTGAGGTTGCAGTGAGCCAAGATCGCGTCACTGCATTCCAACCTGGGTGACAGAGTGAGACCCTGTCTCTAAATAAATAAATAAATACCAGAAACACACTTTAGTTTTAATCATAGCTCCAAATTGTCATTCCACATCAATGAGCAAAGGATATGTTGTATAGCAAATGGTCCTAGGATGGTTAACTATTCCAGGGAAAAGGAAGGTAGAATATAATATCATGTCATTTCCTAAAGTGAATTTAAGATGATTTAGTATTATAATGTAAATACTAAAAATCATGATAGGTAAATGTTTATAAAAGCAAACACTGGAAAAGACTATGCCACTTTAAAAGATTGATAGATATTTACTTTTCAGAATTTTTTCCATTGACCTGCCTATATAAAGACTAACAATACTATACAATTTTAATAGTTTTAATATATGGTGGCCCAATCCCAACATCTGTATTTCTCTTCATGTGTCTGCATACATACATATTAAACATGATTTTTTTTCATATACATGTAGAATTATTTTTGACAAATTTTGGCACTTGTCTTTGTAGTTAAGGCATTTCGTTTGCATTGCACATAGAGACATTTTAGGAAGAACTATCATCTTTCAATATTGAGTCTCTATTCAAAAGCAAAATAGATATTTTTTCCCTATTTCTTCCTTCTTGTATCAGCGCTAAATGATACATATTATTGTCAAACATTTGAAGAATACAAGATTTAAAAAGAAAAACCTTAAAGTAGTCCATGAACTCATCTTCATTTTGCTGGCACATGCCTATCTTTCTTGACTCTAACATGCATATATTGATTTCTATTATTTTACATAACTAATCTCTTAATATATTTATTGTACCAGCATTTGGATTTAAGGTTTCAAAGTATATCTTGAAGATATTAGCATGAGATAATTTATAGCATCCTTTTCTTTAATGCCTGCATTTGTTTTGTAGAATGGATATACCATAATTTACTTAACATCTCCTTTACTAATGCACATTTGAGGTTTTATTCTTTTGTGCTAAAACAAACTGTGTTACAATTAATATCCTTATTATATCTCTGTGTAGTTATCAATATAGATATGGAGAAAAAACATTGGAGGTAAAGATAATTACTCAATTCATGGGTAAATTTGCTTTTGGTAGTAACTATCAAATTGCCCTCCAAAGACTGTAGGAATATATATTTCTTCTAAGACCACATGAGATTACCTGTTTCATACGCTTGCCCCAAAATCAGATATTAACAACTTTTTCCAATTTAAAATGAGCAAGAAAAAAATGATAGGCCATTGGAGTTTTAATTTCATTTTCACAATTATTAATAAGAATAAACAGATTTCCCATGTTCATTGAGTTTCTTATAGTTATTCATTTGTGAGTTATCTACTTTTACTATATGATCATATATGATACATATGTATGTTTTATTTTCAATATATTTTACATATAAAACTTTCACCATGCATGTAATTTTAGAGTAATGAATTCCTTGCAAAGAATGAAAAGAAGCCATATATAAAAGACTGATAAATTTGAGTCAATGAAAGCTGACTTTACTTTCCATGTCTGTTTAAAATATTCCCACAATTATTCAACTATTCTCTCTCTCTCTTTTATTTTTTTATTTTTATCTTTTTTTAGAGATGGTGTTGCCCTGCCCTGTATTTCCCAGACTGGTCTTAAACTCCTGAGCTGAAGCAATCCTCCCACCTTGGCCTCCCAAAGTTACGGGTTTATAGGCATGAGCCACTGCACACAGCTAAAATTCTTGGATACTTTTGTTCCTATTTTCTCCTTCATATTAATTTGAGAATAAGTTTGTCAAATTATTTTAAACAATCTAGCTGGAATTTTGTTTGGAATTACATTAAATTTATGCATTAATTGATAAATAATTAACATAGTCATAACCTTAAATTAGTACATCTTAATATGTAAATCTCTCCATTTATCTGTCTCTCTACCTATCTTACCAATGTATCTAAATACAAGGTAATCTATTGCATAGTTATTTTTTGTTTATTTATTTATTTATTCTATTTTTTAATTTTTTTTTTGCAATGGAGTCTCGGTCTGTCACCCAGGCTGGAGTGCAGTTGTGCAATCTCGGCTCACTGCAAGCTCTGCCTCCCGGGTTCACGCCATTCTCTTGCCTCAGCCTCCCGAGTACCACGGGTGCCCACCACCACACCCGGCTAATTATTTGTATTTTTAGTAGAGACCTGGTTTCACCGTGTTAGCCAGGATGGTCTTGATCTCCTGACCTCGTGATCCGCCCACCGAGGCCTCCCAAAGTGCTGAGATTACAAGCATGAGCCACCATGCCCAGCCTATTGTATAGTTTTTTAATATAAGTCTTGGAAATTTTTCGTTCAGATTTGTTGCTAGGTATTTGATATGTGTTCTGACTTTTTAAAAAAGAGACATTTTATCATTGTGCTTTCCAACTGGCTATTTTTGGTTATAGAAAAATTATTTTTTTACTACTGACTTTGTCCTTGCATATAGCTGTAGTAGGGAATTATTAAACTGTATCTAATACGGTATTTTAGTTTATTCTCTTTGGTAGTGTCAGTAAATAATCATGTCATCTATCAACTATATGTTTGTTCTCTTTCTTAACAATTTTTATAATACACTTTTCTTGACATACTACTCTGGCAAACAATTTCAATTAAATGCTGAATAGTAATAGTTATAATGTTAACTGACACTGTTTTAATGATATGTAATAGTAACTCTTCTGATTTTATGGCATTTGCTATAGGTTACTAGTAAGGTAGCCTTCATCATATTAAGGTAGATTTCTTCTTGCTTGTTAAGAAGTGTTTTAATGAGAAAATAAATTGATACATATTATTAATAATTTTACATATGTCAAGATGATTGTCTTTTCTCTTTTAATCTGCTAATGTAATAGATTATAATAAACATGATTAATATTTTCTTTACAGGCATAAATCTTATATAATCACATTAGACTATCATATTAATTCGATATGTTGTTAGATGATGATAATGCTGATGGTCATATTTTTATTATTTGCTATTTTTGGCCAGCTTTGGTTATGCTGGCTTTTCACAGACTGAGATCTGAAAGCTTTATTTTCTTCTGAGCTCTATAACTGTTTATTCCATGTAAGTGATATAGCTGTCAAAGTTTATGTTTAGAAACACACAAATGTGTTCATTTGAGTATCTTTGCCAGCTTTTTGATTATTCTACAATTGTTGGGCTATCTGATAGTGCTATTGAATTGTTTGATACTGTATATTACATCAGAAAATTCCCCAATTTTCCAAGCTTTTAAACAGTGAGTGTAAATTTGTATACTATATTCTCTTTAACAGCAACAACAAAACTCCCCTCTCTTTATCTTTGTTCTTTATCTTATTCCCAATGTTGTTTCTTTTTTTAATTTTTAATTTATTTTATTTTATTTTATTTTTTATTATACTTTAAGTTCTAGGGAACATGTGCACAACGTGCAGGTTTGTTACATATGTATACATGTGCCATGTTTGTGTGCTGCATCCATTAACTCGTCATTTACATCAGGTATTATCTCCTAATGCTATCCCTCCCCCTTCCCCCCACCCCCTGACAGGCCCCAGTGTGTGATGTTCTCATTAATGAGTCCAAGTATTCTCATTGTTCAGTTCCCACCTATGAGCGAGAACATGTGGTGTTTGGTTTTTTGTCCTTGCGATAGTTTGCTGAGAATGATGGTTTCCAATGTTGTTTCTTTTCTCTTTGTCTTTTTAAAGAGAATGGAATGAGCTTATCCATTTCCTTTGTCTTTTTAAAAATAACCAATCTTTAATTTTGTTGACCAAGTCAAACATTTTTTTTGCTTTGTGTTTTATTAATTTCTCAAAGGCCCAATGAGTCCAGCTATTCTGAACCCAGTTTTCAAGTAAATGCTTTGAAAATTGCCCCAGAGTGCCTCTATGCAACTTTTTTCATCTGTTCATTGAATATGAAGTAATGTTACCCTCTGGAAAAGATTTACCTTTGCAGTGCTTTTTTCTTATAGGATTTTTCCTGTTTTTATTATTTTGTTTTTTATTACATTTTTTTTTCAAAAATTTCATAACATTTACTTTCTCTGTTCCTAGAAGGTCTTGAAATTACAGGTGCGGGGAAATTGTTATTATTTTTCTCAGGGGTTTGTACTATTTCTTTAAAATGTATCATTTCTGTTATTTTACGGAACTTAATTCTGAAGTGGTGGTGAATGAATGTTCTGTTTTCCTTCTTGATTTACCCCTTGCTATGACTTCTCATTTAATTAATTATTGTTTTATTTTTTCTTAATAGAATTTCTATTTCTTAGTAATATAACTATTAAATATTTTCTAGTTACACTATGATGCTTTCTTGAAAGTATTTTTGTATTGGTCATTATTATGAACATATTTGCATCTGGTGTAAATTCTAATTTTGTGAGGGTTATTTTTTATAAAATAAAATTTCAGGGTTTCTTTTATATTTTAGTCTTATAACTAAGTATTTTACTAAATTATCTTTATTCATTCATACTTTCTACAAATATTCGTCCTGGCGCAGTAGCTCACGCCTGTAATCCCAGCACTTTGGAAGGCCGAGGCAGGAGGATCACGAGGTCAGGAGATTAAGACCGTCCTGGCTAACACGGTGAAACCCCGTCTCTACTAAAAATATAAAAACTTTACCTGGCGTGGTGGTGGGCGCCTGTAGTCCCAGCTACTCAGGAGGCTGAGGCAGGAGCATCACTTGAACCCGGGAGGCAGAGACTGCAGTGGGCTGAAATCATGCCACTGCACTTCAGCTTGGGAGACAGAGTGAGCCAGACTCCTTCTCAAAAAAATAAAATAAAAATAAATGTTCATTGGATACCTACTATATACAGACACTCTTTAAAGCCTGCAGTTTAGCAACTGAACAGAAAAGGGGAAAAAATCTATGCTTTGCAGTATCTTATTTTTATTTTTTTTTTTGTTTAATTGATGTGTAATTCTATCATGCACAGATAAGAAATATATTTTATCTTTCTATGAATTATATATTTTTATTTTGTTATCTTCTTAAATTTTATTGGTTTACATTTGAAAAATATTAATTTGTCTTATAATGAATAGTCTCAGAATACTTCTACTATCTTAACATTAAGTATTATTCTATTTGTTTGAAGCAGAGATATTTGAAGATATAAATACAGATTATATCTTAAAGAATAGCACTATAAGAGGTAAGAAGTGTGTGCGTGTATGTGTGTGTGCATTTTCATTAAGTATAATTTTTAAGTCTTGTTGAATTCCTTTTTAACACCTGTTGCATTATTTTAATGACCATAACAGTTATAGAGCACTAGAATAAAAGATTCCCTAATGAACTTCTATCTAGCTTAACATGATTAGGCACAGATTTTAATCTCAAGGTGGAAAACTTCTCTGCATTCATTCCCCTCCCTCCAACTTCTTGCTGGGGTTTCCTTCTGGACAAACCCAATAGAAGCCCCATAGCTCAGAGGTTTGTTCATATGTCTAGGACAAGGCAAAGGATGAAGAGTGGATCTGTAGAGAAAAAAAAATATATAACTGACATGCTCTTCAATTTAACCTTCCTCACTTCCTTCTCCTCATTATGTTTTTATCTGTTTTATTTCCATTTAGTGCTTCTTTCCTAAATGAACTTGTATATTTATTTTTTACTTTTTTCTGATACAGAAGAAGGCACCACAAGAGCAATGACCTTCCCTATAGGATTTAACACTGAATCTTATAAGCCTGGAACAAAGTAGGGATTCTATAAATATTTGTTGAATGAATAAATGAATGAATGAACCTCTTCCAGGAATCCTCCAGCTTCATCTAGAATTCCCTCCTCTGTACCCCTAGAGTATATATGTATATCACTATGCATATTATTACTGCATGATTATCATAGTGAATTATAATTGTTAACATGCATCATTTACCTTAAAGTGTGAGTAAAGTTGGTTCTTATAATTATTGACTTGTGTTTTTTACCTTAGAGTGTGAGTAATATTCATTCTATAGTATCTAATGATAGCACTGTGCTGAGTCCTGTGCTCTGTGCTCCATAGATGTCTCACTTAAACCTCACCACATGTTTGTAAGGCCAATATTGTCTCCTTTTTACACTCTAGGATAGAGAGCTTATTAACACAAAAATTTTACATAGCTTTCATGTGACAGAGCTACCTCTTATCATGAGTCTCTTGGCTCCAAAGTTGCCTGTGCTCCTTACTGAAGTGCTGTATTTTCTATTTTAGTAACAAGTATACATATATTTTCAAACTCTCATTTCTTCACATCAAAAATTTTTACATGTCTGATCACCAGATCAATTAATGCATAAGCAACATGAAAAAGGGTTAATAATTTGCCAATACTGAACTGATGAATTTTAATTTCCTTCTTAAAATTGTGTCCCTTTTTAACCTTACACTTCCAAAGCCAAATCTCATGACTAGTTGTCTCAGAAAGAGGGGGAGGATATTGTCACCAACAAAGAGGCCATTATCAACTTGGAGTCTCAAAGCTGATTTTCTCCACCTCTTTAGCAAGAAATTCAGTGAAATTCTGGAAATGAAATTACACACGATTATAAATGAGATTATTATTATTATTGTCTCTGAGTGAATTAAGATGCATAAATTGGGTTAAAGGGGTTTCCTCTTTATAATTATTTTTACCGTAGCGATTTACAAAACTCCACAGTTCAAGACTTTGTTTATCTGTTGTTTTGTTTCTCCCCAGCAGTGACAATTATTGTATACTGATCCATTCTTCTTCTCTTCTTAAGACTTTTGTAAACTTTTCAAATCATAAAAACAGTTTTAAAAACCTGGAATTAGGCATAAAGGTTTTGGTCAGACAAAAAGGGAGAGAAAATCTCAAAAAAACAAATATCAAGCTTTGACTTTATTGCAATTGAGAAGTGAATTAAACAACATTCCTATATTCTGAAATATTGGTATCCATTTAGAGAAACTTACCTGATTTTTATTTGTTAATATATAAATATTTCAATGTTGCAGGAGAGAGCCTTACGTTGATTATTAAATATTATATAACCCCTTTCTTTGAAACACACTCCCTTCCTAACTAACTCCACATGATTAGAATTGGGCTCCAATTACTGGGTCCTTCCAGCACCTTCCCCTGACAAATGTGAGTCCTTGATTCAAGCCAGGTCATGAAGGTTATTCTCCCAGAATCTGAGCTTTTCAGCATAGACTAAGTGAGAAAACGGGTGGTTGCAGCTGAGTTTTCTGTGATAACAACATAGACATACAATCTGTAGTTTATTTTACTGGTATTTCATAGAGCCTTCCTCATTTGTGTTGACCTTCAGATCTTCCTTAAATTATGTGAAATTCTGTGCTATATATTCTTAATTTGTCACTGTATATTCAATTTCTACCCCTTTCTTCCCTCTTGGCTGAACTCCATGGACTGCATTACCGTGGATCTTATGTATTGTGACTACCCTAGGCCGATAGGAGGGACCAGAAAGAAACAGAAGGACAGGAGAAAAAGAACAGATTTTTTATTTCCCTTGTCCCACTTCCTCCCTTCTTCACCATGGTTCTATTCCTGGCTACTTTCCTCTATGTCCACAGCTCCTATAGTCTTCTCAATGGCTATAGCTTGTACCCCATTCAGTAATAATTTCCTCTGCCCTGCCATTACCACTCCTAAAGGCAAGGCGGAGGAAATTATTACTGAACGGGGCACCAGCTCTGGCTAGTTTCCATGTTGCTGCTTCACCATATTTGTTGGTCCCCTTAACTTTATCCATATCTCTGTAAATAGCCCTTTCATTAAAATATCTTCAATTAAATTCATTGAGTGAGCCATCTTTTTCTTGCTAGGACCTCAACTGGTACAATTTCCCAATATATGTTTAATAAATTTCTTTGTCAAAGCTGGCATCTCTTTTCCACATCAAATGATCCACAGATCAATCAATTAATTGTTTTATCTTGCTGTCTATTCATATTAATCAAAAGTATGTATTTTGTTATGTGTATGTATAAAATAGTAACTACATATATATACACAAATTTTAATGTGTTCTCTAAGAATATTATTCAGTAGCACGTGTTTTCAAAAGAATTTCTCCACTTATTTCTGGTTTTAAATTAATCATTTTAAAATATCAACTATAAATCTAATGTACGTTCTACCTGTTCAGGTAAAAAATCATGACTTTGTCTTTTATTTCTCTGCTTCATGTCTACCTTACATTCAATCTGTCAGCAATTCCTGCTTTTTCTACATTTTGAACCTGACCACTTCTCTCTACTTTGCCTCCCTATAATCTAAACTCAAACTCTATAGCTACAGTGAATCTTTTATGACAAAAGCCAGGCCAGGTCATTCCTCTTATCTCAATCCTCTAAGGGAATGATGGCCCCATTAAAAGCCACGGTCCTCACAATGTGCTAACCCCTGTGACCTCTCTGATCCCATTGACTACTTCCCCTTCCCCCAAACTCTGCTCCCACAACACAAACCTGCTTGTTTTTCTTCAAACTCAGTGAGCACATGTCAATGTCATCACATAGCACATGCTGCTCCTTCTACTTGCAGTTTTTCTCTCACCTTAAACAGGTGTGTACTTTAAGTGATCATCTCAGTTATCATTTTACATAAAAACCAACCCCTCTTATTGCTTCCTATCTCCCTTCTCTGCTTTATTTTTCTGTTCTGCACTTGACACCAAGTGACATACTCAATATTTTGCTTCATTTGTAGATTATCTGTTTCCCACAGAAGAATGTAAGTCCATAAGGCTTTATTCACTGCTGTGCTTCTAGCACTTAGAACAATGACATCTAATCACATTCAATGATTTGATTTTGAATGGATGAAATGAATGAAATGGAATTACATGAAATAAATGAAGGAATTTTCTGCCCCTCTGTGTAAGAAATTTACAAAAAAAGATAACTAATTATTTATTAGTAATTATATAATTATTCCAATTATTACTTTTAATACAACTGACTGAAGGTTTAGGGTATCTTATTAGGTTAAAAAATTCACAGAGGTTTTGTTTACTACCTTCATTTACATTTTTGATGGAAATATTACATTATAGAACCAAGCTCATGTCATGTTGTATCATAAAATATGGATGAAATTACTAATTTAATATTACAATTAAAAATGAGTAAAGTGACTTAATATAAAAGAGAAAGGGCCTTAAATGTTCTGTTTAACAATTTGATAATTTTTTTATTTTTTTTGAAAAAAAAAGGAGAAAAGAGATTAGTATATTATTTCCTGGAGACTAAATAGAATTTGGGTAAGTAAAATCATGTTTATGAGCAGTATCTTTAAAACTGTAACTTTCCCCTAGAAATTCAGTGGCATTTTATTGTGGCATGTATTAGAAGTAGATGGAATTAATGGTAGATTACATTTGGGTCATGAAATGTATAATAAATGAATGCAAGTCCTTTATTTATCAGCAGCCTGACAGGTGGGTAAAGGGTAGAAATCGGGTTATTCATCCAGGACCGTTAGTTAACTAAACTAGTCGGAAACAGCAAGGCTTTCAAATAAAGCAAATTGGTCATCCCAAGGGCAGTTCAAAGAGTCAGAACCTCACAGATTTACAGATTATCACAGCCAGAAGTAGCTTTATATAACTAGAGTCCTTGTCCTAGAGTTCAGTTGAAATAATTGGTACTATGGTTCATGAATTAATGAGAACCCCTTTTTTTGTGGGGGTGGCTGACTTCAGATGTGACAATGCAAATTGAGAGTGTTAGTAAGCAGTGTTTGGCAAATTGGTGAATGAGGCATCAGAGATCCATTTTATATGAAGACAGAGAAGCTTCTTAAAAAAACTCATTCTAAAGAAAGAATCTGGGCACCATAAATCTGAACCAGCCATAAAAGGGAATGAGATCATGTCCTTTGCAGGCACATGGATGAAACTGGAAGCCATCATCCTCAGCAAACTAACACAGGAAGAGAAAACCGAATACCACATGTTCTCACTCATAAGTGGGAGTGGAACATTGAGAACACATGGACACAGGGAGGGGAACAACACACAACAGGGCCTGTTGCGGGATGGGGGGTCTGTGGAGGGAACTTAGAGGATGGGTCGATAAGTGCAGCAGACCACCATGGCATACGCATACCCATGTAACATACCTGCATGTTCTGCACATGTATCTCGTTTTTTTGGTTTTTGTAGAAGAAATAGAGAAAAAAAAATCTGAACCACCAAATCAGCCATAGGATAAAGAAGGATACAGTGATTTTGAGGAGAGTGTGGTGCCTGTTACTGGACATCCCCTCCAACCACCTTCTCGTATGTCTGAGCCTCCAGGACAGAGAAAATGTAAGACTTGTTTCACTAACATTTATAAAACATAACCCTTATGTTTTATATGAATTCTTGGAATCTTTACAGCAAAGAATAACACTAAAGGGAAGGGGATTATTTTTTGCTAGTCTACACTGACTCACATAAACTTATATATATACACACACATATATATGATGTTTTAATGTATTTCGGCAATGGCACATGGTTGAGATTAGTAAACCTTTTCTGCCTCTAAAACCTTGGAGATACTTGGTTTCTACGCTCCCCAAGCCAGCTTCTTCCACTTTATCTTCAATGTTGTGAATTTTCTTTTTGGCTTAAGTTAGTTTCTGTAGCTTATAATAAAATATCTGGATACATCAAATGCGGCCAGAAGTGGGGTGCAAATATAGACCATCAGGGCGATGAGAAGTATTTGAAATTAATAATGTTGCCTAGACAGAGCTAAAATCGGTGGCTCACGCCTGTAATCTTAGCACTTTGGGAGGCTGAGGCAGGCGAACAACCTGAGGTTAGGAGTTTGAGACCAGTCTGGCCAACATGGTGAAACCCCACCTCTACTAAAAATACAAAAATTAGCCGCGCATGGTGGTAAGTGCCATAATCTCAGCTATTTGGGAGGCTGAGGCAGGAGAATCGCTTGAACCTGGGAAGTGGAGGTTGCAGTGAGCACGCCACTGCACTCCAGCCTGGGTGACAGAGCAAGACTTCATCTCAAAAATAAATAAATAAATAAAATGAAAGCAGCAAAATTCCATTTGTATCCTTGTAATGGAACCAAGAAACTCACAGTACCAGATGAAGTGGCGAAACAGCTAATTAAAGTGCTTGCCTGAAGTTGCTTAGAACCAATTGCCTACTGAGAGCAAGATTCTGGAGAACCAGTTAACAATTGCTATTAAACACTATAAAGGACATAAGAAATTTCTTGTTTATTGTTTTTGAAGCACTTATCCTTTTCATTTGTTAAAATCATTACTATTGGCCTTTCCCCCCCTGGAATATAAATTCCACTAGGGCAGCGACTTAGTCCATTTTTTTCACTACTCTACTCGCACTCTCCAGAGTTCCTGGTAGATGGAAATTATTGAAGAATACAGGTGTAAGGGATAAATTAACTCCAGGACAATGGAATAATATGCTTGCTACTGGCAATGTGTGATTATTAAGCTATTGTCTCAGCTTTAAACTGGCCTATATATACTTGGATCTGGGACTATGCAAATCACATTTCTATTTTTTGCAGCAAATGACTATTAGGCTCTTCCAGTAGTGGGTAATATAAGGGACAGGAAAGCTGGAGAAGGGAAAAGAACCATTTCTCCTGTTTGTTTTCTACTCCTATCACCATCACACAATAGTGGTTCTTCACCATGGCACTGGCAATATTTCTAGTAGCAGCAGTTTGTTATAGTTTGCAAATTTTCTATACCGCATAACCTTTCCAGCATGTTCTTTCAGAGATACCAGCACCAGTTGAAGAGGGTCACTTCCTCAGAGGTCCTAGTCCAGCATCTTGGAAGGGTGAGGGAGAAGGAGGAAATTTCACTTCATACTTTGTGTAATTCCAGTGTGCATGGATCTTAGTTACAAAAGCAAAACTACAGGTCTGATGAACAGAGAGCTGATTTAAGCCAACACAACAGAGAATTGGCTTTGTGTGCTATTCCCAGGCAGGAACCAGTTCACAAACCCCAAGCTTCATAAATAAAGGACTAAATTAAGGAGCTTCTTACATAGTTTGGGGCTTGACTCCCTGGGGTTATCAGCTAGTTGCCTTTCTCCTCACTCACGGAATGGTTCCTTTCTTATTTCTCTGTTTTGGCCTTCACTGGGCCTTCTTCTTCTCTCCTGCCAACATCTCCAAACAAACCCAATTTCTGGAGATTCAGATAACTCCTACTGTCAACCAGCCAGCATGGACTTGATGGTAAAGAAAGGAAGCAGATTTTTAAAATCTTGATGTGGTCCAAGCTTCAGGGCATTTAACTTGCACAGCCCTGAAAGAACCCCATCAGTGTGTCACTACTGTTTTACAATTTGTAAACGTAAAGTATTTCTATCTTCTTTTTCCCAAAGGAGGCCTTTTATATTGTATAAGCTTCTGCCTTCATAAAACCTGGGTCTGCCTTTAAAAAGGTAGTAAATGAGATTTTAAAGCAAGTCCGTTTATCAGTAGATACAACGGAAGAATGAAAATTATTTTCAGAGTTTCTATCTGTTGCCAAAAGTCTCTGTTAGCCTAAGACAGTGGCTTATACTTATTGTCCCAGTGTGCTCTTAGAGTTTGTTCTAAATTTTTCAGTTTTCAAATAAAGTATGGAGCATATTTAAAATTGGCTTTGGAATTATTTGGGAAGATTTTGGTAGATCTGCCATGGTCTCTTCTAGTAGGGTAGGAAACACATTATGCAGAAAATTGAGTTGTTACTGTAGTGCATGGGGAAGTCTGCCAGATGACCAGAAATAACTTGCATTTCTTTCTCCAGCACTTTTCAGAGATGATACATCTAACACCTTCCTTTCAAGGACAGCATAAAGGCATTCACTGATAAGACAAGTCTCCTTGAGCATGAGAGGCGAGGACACCTAACTCTTTCAAGCCTCCAGGGAGAGTGGAAGAAACCGGCAATGATGTTGCCACTACCAGGCACTTGGTGGACTGGTCAATATGCCATGCCTCCTGCTGGAGCCTACAAGATGCACAAAACCACCAAGCTGTATGTAGTTGGTGAAGTCAGAGTAACAACAAGCAAAACTTTTTTGTTATGAATATGCTGTTTAACACAAATGAAATTGAGAGTTTCAGTCATACTATAGCATATCACATTTGGCAAACTAGCAAGAAAATAATAAATCAAAAGGCATGAATCATAATAGTAATAACATTGATGAGTTTTATCTTGTAAAATATTAATTTACAAAGGTACCTTGAATAGGAGTGAAAATATAGTACCTTTGAAAATGTTAAGACAGAAATATTTACACTTTCAATTGGGAAAGTCATCCACAAAAAATCATTGCCAAAACTTTAATTATTCTACTTATAATATTTATTCTACTTATATTTAAAATTTAATGAATACAAATTTTTGATACTATATGCAGATATTTTATTTATAATTTTTACAAAGCATTATATTTTTGAAAATGAATTTGTCAGTCAAGTCAATATTCAAAAAATTAAGTAATTTAAATTTTTGGTGCCCCTTTCTCTTTTAGTTTGTGTTTTGATTATATGATTGGGTATAACCAGACCTCTTCAAGCAACAGGAAGAAGTATCTCAGTAGACTTTTGTCCTGTACAGTAAGTTCTTCTGGTAGGAAGGGTCAATTCTGGACCCTATAAACCTTTCTCCCAATCAAAATTTTAAATCAAAAAGTGCTGTATTTTTTGTCAAGTTGCAGGAATCTGTCACTGTTAAGGCTTGAAAGACACAGGACTGTTGATTCCTAGCATATCCCAATTTCACTCTAGTTGGTCCAGAGCAGCAGAAGAGTAGGTCTTGGAGAACAGCAGAAGATTATTTTAAGCTTGCCCAAGTGTAGTGATCGCAATTGCATCTCATGTTTCAGATGTGCTCCAACAGCTGGAGTAAATCATTATAGCCTCTGGCATGTGGAAGGCTACTGCTAGCCTAGGGAATCTTTTCTTTCCAGGGTTAAATTTAAAGATGTCGCCATACCTCCAAAGTAATCTGTTGCACTTTATGCCACAACATTTATCACCTATTTCACTGTGCTCTGATATAATCTTTGTTAAACAGAGCAATTGTAAATACTCACATGTATTGTGAACCAAAAAATATCAATCAGGAAGATATTATCTTAATACACCTGTAACATCAGATGCATCTATGATTTATTTGTCAACCATCCACCCTAGTATCTTCTCATAGTACTAATTTGAATCCTTGAGTATTTAACATATTTAATATGTTTTATGATACTTTTAGTTAGGTTGATTTTCTAGATTTTAAGTCATCAAGTTCTGCTCTGGATAAAATTACCTATTGTTATTCTAACTGCTATATCTTCCAATTTTCTGTCTCCCTATTTATTTTTATATTATTTCAGTGAGACAGAATGTGTGACAAGCATTTGTTTCATGCTTTTAATTAGCTTCAATACAAAAGTAGGAACAGCTGACTCAGATATTATCTTGTGAGTCTGATTTATGCTTTCAGGAAATCATAGTGTGCTAAGATGAAGACTTGTGTCCCAAATCAACAGGAATTATAGTAGTATTTGTCTTTTCAAGAGGCATCATTCAACCAAGGAAAACGGAAGGCAAGCTTCCAAAGCATTCGTGGCTGCCAGTAACCCGAAGTGCACTTCAGAGGGGTAGTTCCTGCTGAGTATTTGCTGATAAATTTGGAACTGATATACTGCATGTATCAATTCAAGTTTAGCTGCTTCAGAGATAAGAATACTTTAAAATAATACTATTCAGAAAAGAAGAAAGATCAAAAGAGACTGGAAGGATGAGGGGCATAAGGGAGTAAAAGGAGAGAAATTCTAAAAGAGTAGAACAGATTATTTTTTCTCCATCAAGACTCTCCTAATTTTTCATTTCACCATTTCATAGCATTGCCAAAATCACAGTCTTTAGACAATATGAGAATTGATGGTTATCAGTGTAACAAGAAGCCATAAAAATTGAATTTTTTCCCTAGCCTGTGTTTGGATAAAGTAGAATGCTATTAATAAAAGATACTGATTGTCTCATGAAATTTTTAACATTCATTAAATACTAGCAATGTTCTAGGTTAGGAGTGGCAAATATTTAGCAACAACAAAAAAAGAGTCACTCCTTTAACCAGTGTTTTTGGATATTACTAATGGATCATGGCAATATGCCTTATTGAATCCAGATGTGACCTCAAATTTTTTTAAACATCACTCTGAGAAGACTACTAATTGGTCATAGGTATAAACAATATAATGCTTATTTACCCTTTCTCTTCTAGGTGAAAAATTGCATGCAGATTAAAAGTGTCTCCTTTATATCTAAGCTCTTGTCCTCCTACTATCTACAATAAGTCTGTCGTTAGTTCATAACGAGAATAATAATGATACATATGAAAAGGAAAGAGAACTTTCACAAAGCTCATTTGAGCACTCTTATAATGTTAATTTCCATTTTTTAGAAATCAAGCCAGTTCATGGCAAGTAATCCTACTTTGCCACAGTGCATTGCCCCTATATTACAGGAAACTAACCATTTCTATTTCTTAGTTCCCATTCATTTAAAAAATGCTTTTCATGCTTTGAGCTTCCTATAGCAATCACAAAGAAACCAGATTAACTCAAATCATAATTTTATATTTATGAATCTGTCTCCAGAAATTTCTTCTACTGAAGAAGTCTACCTTTGCCATGGTATCTGTTGTTTCTGGCTTTTCTCAGAAGATTGAGATCTGCAAAATTGCAAAGCATTTTATTCATTCCCTTTGTATTTAATAAATTTCAGCCTTAGAAAAACCAGAGATTTTAGTGACTGAAAATGCTCAGGAGAGATGACGAAGAACAACAACATAGTCTTCTCCTTCTAGGCAAGTACATGCCAGTAAATGGAAATAAAATATTATATAAAATATGATACGTATTGAACACATTATGCACATAATACATACAAACATGCCTGAGTTATTCAAAGAAGCTAATGCTTCTAATTTTATGTTGACTGGAGAACGTTTAATAAATTACAGGCCATTAGGAGATGTTGAAATGAAATCTTCTAGAAACCTAATAGCTATCATCAGGAACAAAATTCAGAAATATTAAATTATTTCTTTCACTTCCAGTATTTCTGCCATAGGTTATTCTGTGCTAAGTTGGTTTGTTGTGGGGAAACAATCTTATCTACCCAGAGGCCTTACAGTAGATATGTAATCATGTCTGAGAGATTTTTCTGACTAATAGAAAGTTTTATAATTTAAAAATCACTTATGGTTTTATTATAAATAATGTGATAATTTAATTCTTTTAATAAATAATCTGCAAAAGAAAAATCAATTTTGTTTATATATCTTTAGGAAC
Organism: Homo sapiens; assembly: GCF_000001405.40. Classification (NCBI taxonomy): domain Eukaryota; kingdom Metazoa; phylum Chordata; class Mammalia; order Primates; family Hominidae; genus Homo; species Homo sapiens. Next base: position 45,717,136 of record NC_000005.10, read on the forward strand.
ACTTGATCCCTAAGTCAGGCAGATAATTTCTTTGTTATTTAGAGATGTTCAGATAGTTGGAATTTTGCAGATGTAAACCATCCTGAAGAATGTAAGATGGTAGTGATATAAAATCTGATTGCAAAATGTAATTAGAAACAAACTTTTAGCATATATCTTGCTTTTAAGGTCTTTTAATTTGAATATTAGCAGTATTTATTGATTCATTTATAATACTCTAATTATAAAGTATTTTCTTTTCCCCACAAAACAATAAAAATATGGGATTACTTCCCCCTGGGAAGCCTGGTCAACATTGAAATGTACCTTTACTCACCCCTGAAAAATAGTTGCACTTAACTGACACATGTCATCTAATGCATTTTTATTATCCTGTGGCTTATTAGGTCATTCAAATATTTGAAGTCTATAGATGTTTTAGATGAAACTTAATTATTTCTCAACATGAAGTGTTATAACAACACTATCTTGTTTTTGTTCTTCTATCCTTCTACCCTTTGTTTCTCTTTCCATTGTCCTTTTCCTTCTCCCTCTCAATTAATGGCTAAAAAGCAGGTACAGTAACTACCATTATGGAATGCTTAACATGTAACAACCACTGAACTTTTATATGTTTTCTCATTTAATATTCTCAATAATCTCATGTTAAAGACATGAGAATTTACTCATTTATGCCAAATTTCATGAAGTTATTGAGACAGGATTTTTAAAAAGCCCTTTCTACTTCAGGAAAGGAGTTGGTCTGGGACCATGTGATAACTGGCTTCCAGTTGTATATAGCTGTTTACTGACTTCAAGACAAGCTCATAATGCAGGCAAACTTATATTTAAGAATGCTTATGTTCCAAAAGTTTATTGGTTAAGCCATTAGTTTGTTTTATTGATTGATTGATTGTGACAGGATCTCCCTCTATTGCCCAGGCTGAAGTACAGTGGCATGATCTCAGCTCGGTGTAACCTCAACCTCCTTAGCTCAAGCAATCCCCCCATCTCAGCCTCTCAAGTAACTGGGACTACAGACACATACCACCACACCCAACTAATTTTTGTATTTTTTGTAGAGATGGGGTCTCCCCATGTTGCCTCAGCTGGTCTCAAAATCCTGGCCTCAAGCAGCCTCCCAAAGTGCTGGGATTATAGTCATAAGCCACCACGGTCAGCCAAAGCCATTAGTTTAGAACTTGGAAAATAAGATAAGGCTATGCACACCATGCCAAAAATAAATAAATAATCATAATAAATTACATTTACAATATCACAGAAGAACAGCATTAGCAGTATCCTTACTGGGCATCTCAATGGCATTTCATTCCATTCACTTAAATAGCATATCTCTGTAATTACATAGCTATTCTTCTTCGGTGGAAAAGTGCTTTGTGAATTTCTGTTCATTTTTCCTTTTCTTAACTTTAGGCCCAGAATAAATATGTTGATGCCATTGAATAAGAAGTATATACATTAATACAAAATAATGTTTGAGGCCGGGTGCAGTGGCTCATGTCTGTAATCCCAGCACTTTGGGAGGCCAAGGAGGGTGGATCATCTGAGGTCAGGAGTTCGAGACCAGCCTGGCCAACCATGGCCAACATGACGAAACCCCGTGTCTACTAAAAATACAAAAATTAGCTGGGCCTGGTGGCAGGTGCCTGTAATCCCAGCTACTCGGGAGGCTGAGGCAAGAGAATTGCTTGAACCTGGGAGGCAGAGGTTGCAGTGAGCTGAGATCGTGCTACTGGACTCCAGCCTTGGAGACAGAAGGAGACTCCATCTCAAAAATAATAATAAAAATAATAAATAATAATAATAATAATGTTTGAGATATTTGAGCATGGCAAATGTGGTAGAAACCTAGTCTTTACATTTTATGATCATGGAGGTTGATCTTGTTTATTGCTCTATTTCCCCTACTCTTTTTCCGAAGCTCGAAATCTTCTTGGTCACTGCTGCATACTAAGAACACTGCTCTTTGTCTGCACTCCCACAATGCATTCTTGCTTTCTTTCCTCCTTCCCAAAACACTCAAAAACAACTGCTCCCTTGTAGTGTATGTATTGCTTCTAAGCCAAATTTAGTAGAATTTTATAAATGCCAACAAAGCATGGGAGTGCTGGCAATCTTAACAGGAGGACCATGTGCTTCATTTTGTACAATTAGTCTTTTAGAACTTTATACATATAAATTATTTTTTCTTTTGCAATATTGCATGAAATACATTGGTGACAAATAGTTCATTTGAAATCAGAAAACATGTATTAGATTTTCATTATCTCAGTTTTACAGCTTGGCTGAGTGACTTTATTTGTTATCGTCATCTATAACTTGGGGAGATAATATGCATTTTCCAAAATTTTGATAATGATTAACTGAGAATATGTTTAAGGCATATAAATATTGTAGGTGTCCCAAAAAGTCAGTCAATAAATGAGAGCTCCATTTCCACTTTCCCACTTAACATCCTTTCCTGGTAGACTATTTTTTAAATCCTTCTATCTTCCTAGCCACTTATATATAACTACATATAATACTTCTGCAGCAACCAAAATTAGTCAGGAGCCTAAATGTATAATCTTTTATAGAAGGTTTTGTATATGTATGTTTGGTTCATAGGCATATTGATCAATATAGTGTATGGGGGGGTGAATGGAGTTAGAGGTTTTTTTTAATGGAAAGTCAGATATCCAGATATCAAGTTGTTTCTTATGAATAATAAAATAATAGCTTGAACTATGCACCAGGATATGAATGTGCTATCCTTGGCTGAGGAAGGGCTTGATGCCATTTGTCAAATTTCCCCCCTCCACCAACTACCACTTTTTTTGTTGATTTGTCTATTATCCTTTGTTGAAGTTGTCTTTCTTTAGAAATATTTTTAAAAGAATTACCTTTTAATCTTCCTCCTCTCAACTCCAAACCTCTTTTTCTCCTCCTTTGCTCTCTTATTTCCTGATGCCAATGTTCCAGAACAGCACCTGGAAAAAATTACCTTTATAGCCTGAAGTCCCCTAATATGTAACATAAAATCAATGACTTCTCACATTCTTGGGTAACAAATGGATTAGCAAATTATTCCTGTTCACCATTGCACGGAAAACAGTCATACTTTTTTGTGAAATCTTTGTGAAATTTTCCCCAAAGATAAATTTTACTGGTTGCAACAAATAAAACATGCAATGCTTGCAAAGTTCCATGGAAATGCTCTCTGACTAAAATTTAAAAAAAAAACAAAATTAGTAAAGCCTGTAGAAGGGAATCATTTCTGATTTTAGCAAATATTTAAAATTATACTGTCAGGTCACCGAAGCCAAAAACTTGAAATCAGTTGCAACTGCTCTCTTTCTCTTACCCTAGAAGTATAGTTGATAGATCCTGTTGTTACTTTCAAATTTACCAATTCTACAAACGTTTATTGTGTCAAATATTGCCCTAAGCACTGGGCAAATAGCCATGAATAAATTGACAAAAATAGTTGCCAGGATAGAGTTTAAATTCTAGTACATGTGTCTATGGTGGGGGAGGGGGTGAAAGAATGGAACAATCAAATAAATAAGTAAAATCTACAGCATGTCAGAAGGTGATAAATGCTTTGAGGAAAAATGAATCTTGAAGAAAGTGTTTAGGGACAGCCAGAAAGAATGGGGAGTATCTCACTGCTTCAAGAGCCAGATGGGGATTAGAATCCAGGGATGAAAAATGACCTGGGAGTCTCTGGGCTTCTTGTGATGAATGATGTAAATGGGGATAAAGGAAATAATGAGATTTTTTACTCACACGTGAATGGAGAGGATTTCTTGCCAGGAGCAAGAGAAAGTCTGAGGCATCTTAATAATTCTTGCCAATAGTGATGTGGAGGCCGGGGAAGGGCATTTAAGGAGGGTGTGCAGAATTCCTAGACCTTTTCTAGATTCTTGCCATTGAAGTTACTTTCTGGAAACTTTCCCTTCCTCATCATCCTTCCTTGGCCCTGTTCTAATTCAGGCTCACAACAGCTGTGCCAGGATTTCAGTTTTGCTTCCTGGAGTCCATTTTTTGACACAATCAGTGAAAACTACCGAAAACACAAATTTGGCCATGTTATTCCCCTTCTCCAAGCCTTTCGTGGTCAAAATCATGAACACAGAATCTGTCTCCTTTCTTTCACCTCATCTCCAGTAGTGCCTGTCTCGTATTTTATGTTTAAATAACACAAATCTGTTTTTAGTCCTTGTCCCAGAACACTCTGAGTAAGTCTTACGGGCTTCTCTCTGGCCACTCCCTTGATGTGAAATGATCTTTCTGTTTTCCTAACCTGACTAGACCTTTCTCATCTTTCAAGGCAGCTTCAGTGTCCTCACCTCCAATGTGCATTTCACTAAGCCACATTAACTCAGTGCTACTTCTCAGTGCTACCATTTTACTCTGGGCACACATTTTGCATGGTATTTAAAGTCTCATAGACTGTTAGCTCCACAAGGGCCATGTATTATTCATCTAGCACTTCTAGAGCATAGCAAGGTGTCTCTTAAACAAACCAATAAGAAATCTGTAGGCTACAGTGAAACCCTGTTTGCTAATGCTGATTTCTAACCTAGAATGCACTGAGAAATTATTTTGAATTGTATATATTCACTGTTTTATTTTCTCCAGTTCTCTTTTAGTCCATCAGTGCCATCAGCCCTCTGCATTGGTTCAAAGAGAAGCAGAATTGTTACAAGGGAATGAGAGGGGGAAAAAGGAAGGATTCGTGTTTGTTTTGTTAACTTCCAAGTTGCATTTTGAAGGATCAAACAAAATGTACATGAAAAATTAAGCACAGAGTTGGGGCCATAATTATAGAATAGAAAAATGATTTGAGGGGAAATAAGTGCCCCTTTTCCTGTCATTTAAAAGAATGTCAACCTGGGTCATGGTCAGAGATGGTGCTTATCTTCGGGGAGAATGGGAGACAGAGAAGAGAGTCCTGATATGTGGTGACTCAATATGCAGGATTGGGGTCAGCCTCAGGGAACTGCCAAGTATGTTAAGAAATGAGCACAAAAGAGCCAGTGCTGCAGACCACCCTTAGGATCTGAAGGAGACACAATCCCATGGAGGAAGGCTGATTCTAGAGGAGATTTCAGAGTTTATCCTGTTAAGAGGCAAGGAAACTTTTTTTTTTCATCTTGCTCTGTCTCCCAGGCTGGAGTGCAGTGGCATGATCTCAGCTCACTGCAACCTCTGCCTCCTGGGTTCAAGCAATCCTGCCTCAGCCTCCTGAGTAGCTGGGATGACAGGTGTCCTCCACCACACCAGGCTAATTTTCTTATTTTTAGTAGAGACAAGGTTTCACCATATTGGTCAGGCTGATCTCAAACTTCTGACCTCAGGTAATCCACCCACATCGGCCTCCCAAAGTGCTGGGATTGCAGGCATGAGCCACTGCACTGGGCCGAAACTGACCTTTTTTGTTCCCACATGAGTCAGTTAATGGGTGTGATGGTGGGTGGATATAAACTCTTAAGTATTTCTGGCTCTCTAATTCCAGAGACAAAGTGGCTTTAGTAGCCCAAGAGTAGTTCCCCCACAGGATACTGGGTGCTGGCCCCAAGCAGAAGCACATAGATACCTGAGGAGGTATACACAGAGGAGCGGAAGGGATCTGAGAGAATCTGGGCAAATCCCTAATAGTGTCTATGGCTACACAGTGGCTGTGCCATACACCGCCATGGACTGTGTATACCACACATCTCTAGGATCTCAGTTTAAAGCAATCGTTTTAAAATAAGCAAGTGGTATGAGACATCGTTAGCCTCCAGAGAGCTCAAGACCTTTGTCAGACCCTGAAACACAGCATTTAGTCCTGTGGACTCTTGAGTAGCATTAAGTAGAAAAGAAGGGATGCTGAAAGAGAAAAAAGAAAAGGGCCTTAATTGAATACCTACAATGTGCCAAAACTACACTAAACAATTTATTTTATATCCTTAATATCATTTAATATTTATAACAATTCTACAACGTGAGATCATCATTCCCACTTTGAAGAAGAGAATGACCAAGTCTTAGGGAGGTAAGTACATTGCCCAATATTATATAACCAGGGATGAAACACAAATCTTTGCCATCCTAGGCTCCATGTTCTTTCCATCACACTACTGCTAGCCTCCAAAAGGAGGAGAAAGAAAATGAAAAGGGTATTGAGGGAGATAAAAAGTGAACTAAGCTTCCTTCACAATTTTGCCTATGCCCAGCTTTTTCTGTTATAATACAAATTATTTTTTTCTGCAAAATCATACATTAATTCCCTCAGTTAATTACTGAATGTCTGCTATATCCTAGCTATGTCCTGAATCCAATCACTTCTAGGTCATGGGAATTGAATAATAAATAGAACTGCAAAGTTCTACCTTCACAAAATTTCTATTTTCTAGTAGAGGGAGTATGGGATTTATTATTCACAAATAATGAATAGGTAAATAAGTAAAATAGACATTATGTTAGCTATTGATAAATAAATGGCCAGAGGAGACCTGACTGGTATCAGGTTATTTGTGTAAAATTGAGAAATATTTTCAGAGAGAGGGCAAATTTCCAGAAGCAATAACATGTTTTGTATGGCTGAGAATTGCTAAGCAAAGTGAAGATGTGGGAAGGGAGGATTTGTAACAGTTGAGTTCAAAAAAATAATTGTGACATGGTTGCAGTGGGTGGAGATAAAGAAGTTGAATAAATAGCATCTCTTAAGCCATAGTCAAGTTATTGGTTTTTACTCTCAGAGGGGAAAACATTCCTTTTTTAAAAAGCAAAGGCGTGGCATGAGCTGACTTATGATTTTAAAAGAATGTTTCTTGATGCTTTATTGAGACTCTGATACATGACAGAGATGGAAGCATGAATTAATTCAGTTAGAAAGCTAAAGCAATGCTCCAGGCATGAAACAACAGAAGTTTATACCAGAATGAAATTCACAGAAGTAAAGAGGAATTATAAACTTCTAAATATTTGTTTTGAATATAGAGATAACAGGATTTTCAGAAGTGGAATGTAAGAGAAAGAGAGGAGGCAAGGATGATCCCAAGATCACTGAGCTTCATTAACTTAAAGAATGAGGTTGTCATTTAATGAGATAAACTCTAAGAAAAGAGAATTATTATGCGGAAGGGGAGGCAAAGGGAAAGTAACTTTCTTGCTAATTATTGTGGCATGGCTTTACATTTCTTTAGAAAAAGAAATCCTTGATGAGTACAAAATAAATAGGTGAAACACCTTTGTGTTCTTTTTTCTCCCCTTCCCTCCCTTCTTTCCTTCCTTCCCTCCTCTTTCCTTCCTTCCTCTCCCTCTCTCTCTCCTTCTTTGCTTCTTTTCTCACTTTCTCCCTCCTCCCTCTCTCCCTCCATCTCCATACAACTTTTCTCCGTTTTCAGACATCACTGTGGCCATCAATGTGAAAGAGAGGCTGAGGATAGCATTGGGTATAATGTCACTATTGGGAAAATACCCTGGAAGTCTCCCCTCAAAATCAAAAGCAAGATGAGAAGAGACATTGTTGGGAAGCTTTTATTCTTTTTTTTTTTTTTTTTTTTTTTTTTTTTTTTGTAACTCAGTCCATTTTCTTGCTCTGGCTAAAGAGATACTAAAAGTTTTCAAAGACTACAGTCTTTCTACACCTGTTTTCTTACACACCTCCTGATTTGTCTAAAATATTAAGTTACCCGAATGATACAGCCAATTAGTGGGAGCTATTTCCAGAAAGAAACAAAAGGGTCGCAAATTCCGTTCTTCTGAATCTCTTCTAATTATTAACAATAAACATTAGTGCATTCTATTATTAGTATGAAAATAATAACTAAATGTTATTTTTCCAATATGCATTTTAATTTTTTGATCTTTTGAATCTTTTTTGGAAACTGTTAATTTGCTATGCTATATTACTACACTTACACTGCTCCCTAAATTTAAAAATGTAAAAAGAAAATAAAAATAGCTAAAAATAATGGGTCTCATGGAAACACATAAGAGTAGAATCTTTTGAAATCTTTTTATAAAATGTGAGATGCAAAATATAAATCTTGTTTGGGCTTCTTTGGCTATCCAAGGTCAGAAGCAATGTTGGCACTCTTCCAAGCTGCCCACCCCTAGCCTTTGAGCCCTTTGGGTATCCAGTAGATCAGGACTTATGACTCCTAATGAGTAATGCAGTGGTAGTCAAGCTGTTGCAGATAGGATGGGAATAGCAAAAACCACGCCTCTCTAATTACAGGCATTAGCCCTCTGGCATTGGAATGCCTTCTAACATTTTAGGTTGGGGGTAGCTAGCTGAAAAATCACAGGAAAAATACAAATCTGCAGGAGCTGCCAAAGTTGTCCCAGATTCTAGCTTCCAGACAGTCTCTTCCCTATTCTGATGCTGGTATTGACAGTCTGCCTACCTCCTGTGGATGTCAAAGCCAAGGTTAAGGCCAACGGAAGTGAACAAGCTGTCAGCCTAGCATAAGAAAACAGGTAAGCACATTGTGAAGATGATAGGGAAGACTCCATAATTAGCAGAAATGTTGGGCAGGAGCTATAGGTCACGACATTAGTGGAAATCTATGAGATCACTCCCTCCTTAATGCTCCCACAGGAAAGCAGAAAAATCAGTACTTGATGAAACGTCAGCATTTTATGGACCAACTTCCTCTCACCTATACCTTTCAAATGTCTTTCTTTTTTTAGGCTTTACAACCTTTTTATTTTTAAGATAGGCTCTTTAATGAATGCACTTTATGAACAATGAATCTATTGGCTAGTTAGGAACTAGGCAATATATGATTTAAGTAAATGTAGCTAACTGTGTTAAACTATAATAAACTAATTGGAGAAGAAAATTAACAACTGACTGCCAGTTATATCTCATAAAGGCTGAATGACTGAAATATAGCAATAAATTTGCTAAGTGGGTTTCAATTCTGAAATACAATTAAAATGTGAAAGGATAAAGCCACAATTTAAAATAATGAGCTAAGATTATAAGTGGATTAAATTGTGTATGCAGATACCATAGACTTTACATAACAATAATAGTAACTAATAATTATTAAACTCTTCTTATGTACTAGGCACCTACACTAAACACTTTTATATAAATTATTCATTTTAGTCACAAAGCAGGCATTTCCATTAGGTGAGTATATATAACTGCTTAGAGAAGTAAGTGGTGAATGTAGGCCTCAAAATTAGATTTTTGTCTGACTGGGTAGTCACTACTCTTAATGACAGTTTTCTTAATTTCTTCACAACTGACTCTGAAAAGAGTCAAACTATTGAAGAAACATGAAGTGAAGTGATGGTTTGAGTAAAAACAGTGATAAACTGAGGAGAAGTATTTGGGTAAGTCCCTCTTCAGTTTGTAATTTGTATTCTAATTGAATTATGTTTAAAGCTCCTTTCCACAAATTTCTCACAGTTAGTTAGGAAAGAGGTGATTGAAACAAATTCTAATGCATGAGGAAGAAGATATTTTCCCTATCAATACTACAGACACACACACACACACACACACACACACACGCACACACACACTACAATAGCAAATGGGTACTAGCACATATCTTCTTTACACGATGAAAAAGCAGGCTCATTCTCAAATGAAAATAATAAAGGCTCATTTCTGCTGGATCAGAACTGAAAGCATACTAGTAATGTCAGAGTCACCTAGGTAATAAATATAGATGAACCAACTCTGAAACTATTTTAAATACGTTGTAGACTGCTCATGTGTTAATGGCTGTTGGGAGTCAGGGTTCTCACTGTGGAAGAAAACACACACATATGAAATAGAGAAAAGCAAGAGAAAAAACTTCAGGGATGGATTGGAATTGTAGGGTTCTGTGCAAACTCCTGATTTCTAAAATATGTGTGGCTATGTATATACATGTATATGTGCACATGGAAATGTATGTTTGTGTATGTATACTGTATACACTTATGGGTGGGTGTGTGTGTGGTAGAGATGGGGGTGTGTATTTTTTCCTACCTCTGGCTGCTGCAAGGGCCTAGAGGTAATGTTGCCAGAGTAAAAATAAGCATACACAGTAACCAGATTATATCTTTAATATTACTTTAATTTTTATTATTTAATATTATTTTCATTTTATTATATTTTATAATATTATTAAAAGAATCCTGGCTTCCTCAGAGACATGGCTAATTCCAGGGCTGGGGTAGGAGGGACAGAGGTAGAAGAAGGGCTTGACAGAGTGTAAGGAAATGCTCAAAAAAATTATATAGGCCCATCACAGGAGCACCAGAACCAGCTTGAATGGGCTCCCACTGAAAACATCTGGGTGTCTTTGAGCATCAAAATGATTAAGAATTGTAATAAATTATATGTTTATTTGAAAAAAAGATATATAATAGTGAGAATCAGGAAGAAGGCCTCTTCCCTACACTGAAATGTTGAGCATGAACTAGTGGGATATTAGTTTGCAATCATTGTAGTAAAGACTGATAAAGGTAAGAATCATCACCGGGGTAAAATTTGAGAAGAAGATATGTGGCTATCCAATTAAGTAGGGATATTTTAATACTCTCTTGGGTTTTTCATTTCTTTTTTGTTTGTATGTTTGTTTGTTTGTTTTTTTACACCTCATGGTTCTGTCAGTCTCAAAATCTGTGTGTATTCATTAAGAATGGATTTCTGGAGGGTAGGGATGAAAGTTAAAATCTTGTAGTTGCCCATGTATTTGAATAGCTTTAGCATCCTGTTTAGAAATATGGAACATTTTGTTATTAAATGATAATAATACTGGAAAATGACCATGTAAATTGGATATTCAAGGAAATAATTTTTAAAAATAATTTGTTTTGGATTTTCTATTTTAAAAGAAAGTAAAATTTTCAATTTGTTTATTTTGTATGTAACAAGAAATGAGTTTATGAGTTCAAATATGAGCTTATTTGAACAATGAATGGAGCAAATATTTATTTTTCTTTGTTAATAAATGAAGAAATGATTTTTCCAACACAATTTTATGATACATCAAATGTCTAGGCTTTATATCGCATTTGACTTTCATATCTAAATTACCTCTCAAAAATCACACTTTTATGCATAATAAAGATCAGTGTTTTTTTAAATCAGATATTTTGCTTCTTTGGTGATCAAAATGTCCTCTTTTGAGGTCCCAACTGTGTTCTCATACAATTTTGGCCAAAAATTTATCTTAGTAAACACACATACACACACACATTTCATTTTTTTTTCCCCTAAGAATTAGTGTTTTGTTGTATATGTGTGCCTGTTCTAACTACATTATACCCTTGCTGGGTAATAAATTGGCACTGGATTTCACCAGTTGTCTGGCATTATACTATTGATTCCATGAAATCTTGATGTTGTCAATTTCACATTGTAATCAATTCAGTCTGCACTGCATTGTCCTATTAAAAGCATTCAACATTTTGCAAAACACTGACTGTGTAACCACTAGAGAGAAGGGAAATGTGAATTCAGACTAATTTTATAAACGGTCAATTCACTAACAAATGATGTTGTCTTGTGATTACTTTTCTTTCCAATTTACATTGTAACCATGTAGACATTGAAAATGAATATTGAGAAATAAGAAGCCTCCATATGACTTCTGGTATGCACTAGTATTGCTAGCTATTTGCCTAAGGATTTTGATTCTTTTCCAGGATGCTTTTATCCAGCAATTCTAGCATAGCTGATGTAACACTCTGCTGTGCTAGATCAAATCCGGGATGAAGACCAGTAACCTAGTTAATTTGAATGGACATTTAGTTGAAATGGCCATGGCAAGCTAGGGAAGTTCCAGCCACAGGAAAGAGAATAGAATAAAGGGCCCCTATAAATTAAGGACAGATTTATACCAAATTGCCAGCTTAAATATCAATACATTCCATCTTCAAAAGAAAACAGTCATTTCTAGTTTCCAGCCCAGCATGTAAGAAACTTGGAAAATGCCACTCTATCCTAACAAGCAAATAGCTGAACCAACTGAAAAAAGTCAACAACTGTTTTTAGATCCACTAGAGAAGTAAGGTCACAGAGAAAACTGCTACCCCCACAATTGAAGAGAAAGAAAAGCAAATACAGAGAATCACAACATATCAAAAAAGAAATCCATGAGCAGAAACACTGTGGGAACCAGTGCACAGGTCAGAAACCCTAAACTGTAATTGATGAATTGCTGGAGGTTCAGTGTGAACAAATCAGCAAGTTAAAAACTCCAAGGGGGCTCACTCATGGGCAGTGTCCACACTATTGAAACTTTTCTCTCTAGGAGCTCTACCAGGTTGTCATGGTGAATTTTATAGAAAATCCATTCGTGCTTCTGGCAGGGGGAAGAAAAAGGAATCATTTTGACATATGCCAGAGCATTAAAAAGCCCTGTCCTTAAGAGAAATTATTTTACCATAGTCCAACCTGCTGGTTTATATCAGAGCCTAATCTACATGGGGGAAGAAAACTATCCAACTCAGCTGGCTCTAGCCTTCCAAGTGAAAAAAAAAAAAAAAAAAAAAGGAAATACTTAACTCCAGCTCCTTCTAGCTGTCCTCTCCCAGTGGGGTGGGAGGGTAGGGGAAGGAATACTGAGAAACATAACCAAGGGCACAAAGTCACCAAAAGACTGAATCCTAATTACAGGACTAAAGAAGTTTTCCCATCTCCCAACATCTTACCATTATAATATTAAAGTTTATTTACTGCAGTTCTTTTTACCCAACATATAATATCCACCCTCCAAGAAAAAAATCACAAGGCACACTAAAAGGCAAAAATCATCATTTGAAAAGACTAAAATAGTACCTGGACCAGAGGCAGATATGGCAGGAATGTTGGAATTGTCAGACAAGAATATTTTTTAAATGACGATCGATACTGCCCTGGACTTTAATGAAAAATGCAAGAACAGATGGATAATACAAGCAGAGAGATGGGAGTCTAACAAAGAACTAAGTGAAATACTAGAATCAAAACATTGTAATAGAAATGAAGGAGGCCATTTGTGAACTTATTAGTAGACTGGACATCACTGAGGAAAGAATCTCTGAAGTTGAGGATATCTCAGTAGAAACCTACAAAGCTAAAAAGCAAAGAGAGAAAAAAAAAACTATTCAAGAACTGTAGGACAACTACAAAAGGTATAACATATGCATATGGCAATACCAGAAGTACAAGAAAGAGAAAGAAACAAAAGCAATATCTGAAGCAATAATGACTGAGATTTTCCCCTAAATAATCAAACTACATCAAACTACAAATCCAGGAGAACCAAAGAAAACCAAACAGATAAATGCCAAAAGTACTACATCTAGGCATAACATATTCAAATTTCAAAACATCAAAAGATTAAAAAAAATCTAGACAAAAATATAGAAGAAGAAAAGAAAACCTTAACTAGCAAGGAGCAGAGATAAAAATAACATCTGATTTCTCCTTATAAACCATGCAAGGAAGAAAATAGTGCAGTAAAATATTTAGTGTTCAGAGAAAAAAACAGATGAAACAAACACCAACTTAGAATTCTTTACCCTGTGAAATTACACTTGAAAAGTGAAAGAAAATAAATATTTTTTCTCAGACAAACAAAAATTGAAGGAAATTTGTTGTCATTAGATTTACACTCCAATACATGTGAAAAGAAGCTGTGCAATACATGTGAAAAGAGAGTTGGAAATAATATATGTTAGAATCTTGAATCTATGTAAGGAAAGGAAGAGCATTGGAGAAAGAATAAGTGAAGGTAAAACAAAGTTTAAAGTTTCTTATTCCTCGGTTTGTTCAAAATAATTACAGCAACAATGTATTTGATTGTGTATGCTTATTTTATGTATATATGTACTTATATGTATATATGTGTGCTTGTTACGTATGCATTATATTATATATATATATATATATATATATATATATATATGCTTATATAAAAGTAAATGAATGACATCAAAAATACAAGGGATGGGAGGGAGGAATATAGGGCAATCTCCCCTATCCATAAGGCATACATTCCAAAATCCCCAGTGGATGCCTAAATCCACATGGCTAGCACCAAATCCTATAGATAGTATGCTTTTTTTTCCTATACATGCATGCCTATGATAAAGTTTTATTTAGAAATTAGGCACAATAAGAGGTTAATGATAATAACTAATAATAGAACAATTATAGCAATGTTCCAGCATCTTGACTCTTGTACGTTGGGGTCATTATTAGGTAAAGTAAGAGTTACTTGAACATAAGCACTATGATGCTGCAACAGTCCATATAATCACCTAGATGGTTACTAAGTGACAAAGGGGTCAGTAGCATATACAGCATGGATACGCTGGACAAAGAGGTGATTCATGTCCCGGGGGATGGAGCGGGACAGCACAAGATTTCATCACGATTCATAGTGGCCTGCAATTTAAAACATAAATTCTTTATTTCTGGAAATTTCTACTTAATATTTTCAAACTGTGATTTACCACAGATATCTAAAACCGCAGAAAGTGAAACTGCAAATAAAAGGGACTACTATATTTAAAATATATTGTTATTATAAGGTACTTGCAGTAGCCACAAAATAGTATAGTGTTATTTGAAAGACGACTAGGAATAATAGTAAATGTATATTGCAAACTTGAGGGCAACCACTGGAAAAAGTAAAAGAAAAAAAGTGTAACTGATGTACTAAGAAAGAAGAAAAAAATTAATTTCTTATAAACGCTCAATTAAAGTCACAAAGGCAGAAAAAGTATGAAATAAGAAAAATGGAACAAAGAATAGGGAAAGAAACATAAAACTAATAAATATGGTAGACAATAATACAGCTATTTCCCTAATCACATTAAGTAATAAAGCATTGAAACTATTCTGAATATGGTGGATTCATGTCATTATAAATTTGTCAAAACTCAAAGAATATTCAACTCCAAGAGTGGACCCCAATATAAACTATGAACATTGGGTGATCATGATATGTCAATGTAGGTTCATCAATTTTAATAAATGTACCTATATTGTACTGGAGGTTGTACATGTGTAGTAACAGGGTGTATACAGAAACTCCCTGTACCTTCTGCTCCATTGTTCTGTAAACTTAAAACTGCTCTAAAATAAAGCTTGTTTATCTGAAAAAGAAAATGCCATGGGCAGGTTAATGTATTCTATTAAGTTTTATTTATAGATTATTTTAATCAAAGAATATTTGGTAAATATTTCCCATTCACCAAATATTGTGATCAACAAATTAAGGGTCATAAAGAGAGAGTGTAAAAATGAAAAAGAGAGTACGAAAGAAGAAACATTGTTTACCTGCATTGTCCAATCTACATTTATAAAACACTTATGAAACTTTGATTTCACTGAGCAAATATTTGATATCCAGTGACAAAAACTTTGTTCTTAACATACGGTTACAATAAATGCGTTCAAGTGAAAAAACAATTTGGATTGTTTTAACATGTCTCAAATAAGTCATCCATTCACTGAAATTGATGTTTCATTTAATACTGTTTAACAGTTAAGAAGAGAGCCAACTGGTTAACATGCAGCAGACAAAATTGTTCCCTTGGAGAGGAAAACATTGACTTACACCACTCCAGTGTGAATTGAGGACAAACTGTAAATTGCACAAAGTCAGGATGAGCTGAATATGCACGTGATTATAAAAACAAACTTCAATTTGTAGACATCTGTCTTGCAAATACGACATAAGGAGCCATTTACTCAAAACTTCACACAGCCTAATGCACTGCATTCTTTTAGCAGCTAGAAAATAATGGCCCAACAATCAACTCCCACAAGTCACATGAAGAGTTTAGTGGTTTCAAAGCAAGTAAATACAATTATGTCTTACAAAGAGCCACCACAGCCACTAGGAAATGTTTTGATTCAGAGTTTTGAGGCCTATTTATCAGAAAAGAAAAACTGTATTTTGTTTATTTATTTATTTATTTATTTATTTATTTTTTTTTTGAGACGGAGTCTCACTCTGTCACCCAGGTTGGAGTGCAGTGGTGCGATCTCGGCTCACTGCAACCTTCCACCTCCTGGGTTCAGGCGATTCTCCTGCCTCAGCCTCCTGAGTAGCTGTGATTACAGGTGCACGCCACCATACCTGGCTAATTTTTGTATTTTTAGTAGAGATGGGGTTTCACCATGTTGGTCAGGCTGGTGTCAAGCTCCTGACCTCATCATCCACCCACCTCAGCCTCCCAAAGTGCTGGGATTACAAACGTGAGCTGCTGTGCCCAGCCAAAACTGTATCATTTTATCTGCAATTACAATCTTCAGATATTTGTAGAATCTACAAATTAAAAATTATTCTTATATTGCCAGTGCTTCTTTTCCATTTTCAGTGGAATGTTTCTTGGTGTTCATTATAGCATTTCTATTTGGGTTGCATATCAGATCTGTACTCAATTATTTTTTGTAAGTGTCTAGATAGTTTCATGAGATTGTCAGTTGGATTCCTTATGTAAGACATACTTAATATCATTAATTATTCATTTGTGAACTGTCCTGTGCTCAGCATTATTATAGGGCTAGATGACATCAAAGAGAATACATTTTTTTCCACCTTGGAGTCCATTTTGTGATGTTGTTGCAGAATACCTGAGACTGGAAATATAATGAACAAAAATTTATTGGCTCAAGGTGTTGAAGGCTGGACAGTCCAAAATCTGGGGATCAGAGTCTGTTGAGTGCCTTCCTGCTGTATTATCCCTTGGCAGAAGGCAAAAGGCCAAGAGAGAGCAAGAGAGGGCTGAACTTGTCCTTTATTTAACAGCACCCATCTCATCCATGAGGGGATTACCCTCATGACCTAATTACTTCCTAAGAGTTCCATTTCTTAATACTGTTATAATGGCCATTAAATTTCAACATGAGTTTTGGAAGGGACAAATATTCAAACTATAGCAGAGGATCACAATCTAGTGTGGAGATAGATAAAATAAAATCAGTTTATTAATTATGAACAAAGGAGAATGTTCCTTTCAGAAATACTGTAGAAAAAAGTAATCAAATCACATCTGTAAAAAAATTTACTTGTAAACAGACAGTATTGAGATTCTCTGAACTTGATTTATCTCATTATTGACCAGACCTTGGTCATCCTTGCAGCTCCAGCTACATTTTTTTTTCTGAGATTAGTATCAGTTTTCAAACTTCCTTCACATAAATTGGGAGGCGAAAACAGGCGGAATTAGGCAGTTATTAGTATAGTATGTCAAATGTTCTTCCTCTTCCTTCTTTTGTCTTTCTCACTTTTGACAATGAAGAAATTGTGATGAATTAAGAACTATGAAGCCAATTGCTACAATAAGACTATCACCAGCAGCCTTCCTGGCAAATGTCTCTGGCTCAGAGTGAGAGCAATGTTCTAAAATATCTGTCCCCACCCACTGCTGGGCACAGAGTTTGGTGTCTGCTGCCTAGGGTTTCTGTTTGAGCTGAAGATTTTACTGGTTTTCCACTGAACTGAAAAAGAGTCTAAAAGTAATAATGGATAACATGTACTGAGCACTTAGACATTGACCTTAGGAACAAATGAGCCCCCAAGCATCCTCATCTCAGATTTGAGAAATAGCTTAAGACTAGTCAACTCCTATTTAAAAAGTAGCTCAGATAACCTAACCTCTACCCATTTTATTGGATCCATAACTGACTCATAAGTCTATTATCTAATTATATATTGCTTAGACATATTAAAATAAATTCGATTTTTCATGGCGAAATTCACCATGTCTCATTTGAAAAGAGAAACATCATGTGAGTGAAAAGCACTCTAAGACTTATGAATTCCAATGTTAGCCCTTCTTTTATGAACTCAAGAGAACTGTCAGGTCACAACCTTATCTGTAATATTAATAATATGAGATAGCTGGCCAGCTTTCAGGACGTTTATGATAATACATATAAAAAGGCTTTTTTTTTTTTTTTTTGAGATGGTGTCTTGCTCTGTCGCCTAGGCTGGAGTGCAATGGTGCAATCTCGGCTCACTGAAAGCTCCGCCTCCTGGGTTCACGCCATTCTCCCGCCTCAGCCTCCCGAGTAGCTGGGACTACAGGCACCTGCCACCATGCCCGGCTAATTTTTTGTATTTTTAGTAGAGACGGGGTTCCACCGTGTTAGCCAGGATGGTCTTGATCTGACCTCGTGATCCGCCCACCTCGGCCTCCCAAAGTGCTGGGATTACAGGCGTGAGCCACCGCGCCTGGCCGTAAAAAGGCTTTTTGAAGATTTTATACACACACAAGAATACCATATAAATTTAAATATATATAAATGAAAATAGAAATTGCTTTTTATTCAGATGTCTTTATTTAGAGTAGAAATTGTATTTTACTAAATACTGTGATGCCATTTCTTTGTGAGGCTTTATTTGCAAAGCCATGTCTAGTTTCTTAACTGGGAGTAATTTGTTTCTAAACACCTGTATTACTTAAGTGTATTTTAAGTTATACTATACTAATATATGCACTGGTTAATACATGCTTAGGATCAAGGATGTCTTACCCAACTTTGAATCCCTCTTAGAACATTATGCCTTATCCTAAATTGAAACTCAGTAAATATGTTGACATATTTATTGTTTGAATTCAACTTTTCCATAGAGCCAAGGTTAACATATGTGCTAACATGACATCTTTAAATGAAAAGTTAATATATCTGACACCTAGAATGTGTAAAAAATGTATTTAGAACTTTTAAAATATTATTATTGTAATTACAATTACAACAGTTATAATAATCATCTTTTTTTAGATGGTTCTTACTCAGGTCCATCCATAGTCTCTCAACCTTGGTACATACAATGGTCCAGTCTGTGCTCCTAAAATAAAGTCTAATTATCCTAAATGAGAATTCAATTAATAACAACTTTCCTATTAGCTAAATAGTATATTTTACTAACTATTTATCTATTTGCAACTAAATTTACATTAATATCATATAATTAATAACATGTAAATTATTAATTAATTTTATATAATATCATGTAATTACCAATATATAATTAACATATAAATATTAAATGACTAGTATATTAGTTATTACATAAAGGTGTTATTATAACTTATTATTTAACTTAGATTAACTGAAGGAAAGATTCTTTTTGATAACGAGTAGAATGCAAATTGTTTATTATTCGATAAAAATTGTAGACACAAAAATTATTAACATTTTCTCTAAAACATCTAGAGGGTACATTATTTAAGATAGCCCAAGTTTCTGAATTGTTCTGGATTTCCCATGAAGCAATCTCAAGGTATTAAAACTGACCTTGTATATGTTCTCATGATAGAGGTAGAGATTCTTTTTCATTGCTAAAATGATTATACAGAAAGGAAAAAACATTCCTGAGGTGTTAAGTGGAGTGTCCAAAGGTCAGAGTAAGTCAGTGGACCCCTGACAACTGAGTCATTTTCTGGATAATCTGCATGATATGGTTGACCAGTCCTGCCCTCACACCTGGGAAAGAGGAATCTTTACTCTGGAACCGAAGACTGAGAAGATCCCACATATTACAAATAGCAATACACAAAGATGTTTTGTTGTATTTGGGGTACATAAGAAAAGTTTTGGGCTGGGTGCAGTGGCTCAGGCCTATAATCCTAACACTTTGGGAGGCCAAAACGAGAGTACTGTTTGAGGCCAGGAGTTTGAGACCAGCCTGGGTAACACAGTGAGACACCATGTCTACAAAAGTAAAACTGTGGTGATGCACACCTGTCGTTCCAGCTACTCAGGAAGCTGAAGCAGGAGGATCTCTTGGGCCTGGGAGGTGGAGGCTGCACTGAGCCAGGATCATGCCACTGCACTTCAGCTTGGGTGACTAGAGCGAGACCCTGTCTCAACAACAACAACAACAACAAGAAAAACAACAACAACAACAAAGAAATAGAAAAGTTTTTGGAGGTTTGGTAATAACTTGGGTTATGAAAATTACAGGAAAAGGACAATTGATCTGAACGGAGCCACTCATACCAGAGGGGAAGTGTGTGGAGGCTGTGTGTGTGTGTGTGTGTGTGTGTGTGTTTATGTGTGTGTGTGTATGTGTTTGTTGGAGGGTGGTGAGATGAGAAAATTACAATCTTTGTCTGGGAAAACCAGAGAGTGTTCAAGCTTCACGGTCCCAAATATCTGAAAGTGGGTGGCGTAGCTAGACCTGCCTGGAAATTCTGACTCAGAAAAGTGATGTATTGGGGGAGGAAAGTTGCTCTCTCTGGCTCGTTGGGAAGCCTGACTTGTCATAGGTCCAGGCAGGATCTGTCACCACCCAGGCTCTGCCCTGCCTTGTTACCTCAGGTCCTTATTTCCAGTTAGGCTGCTAGACAGCTAGACAGCTAGGCTGGCTGGGAAAATCGTGCCCCCTTCAGCCTCTAGATCCCATATTCTATATCTAAGGAACAGTTTTGGGTGAGAGTGGGGAATCTGCGGGGAACTAGTCTAGGCTATGAAAATAGTTTGATTTATAATCTTTAGATATTTAGAAACATGTTTATGGGTCTCTTGCCCTGGAATCTGCAAATGTTGGAAGAAGGCTTGTAGCCTTCCTCACTGCTTCACTGATCCCCATCATCTCCATCTGGAAAGAAATCTGTTTCAATAGTCTCGCCCATCTCAAGAGAACACGTTAGTATTGCTAAATATTGGAGAAAAAATTACCAATCCCCCAAGAAACTTCCAAAAAATATGATTGCTGAGTAAAACGACCACCACTAAACCAAACTTAATCTAACAAATATATTTTCCTTATGAAGTTGCATGGGTATTGGCAGATTCCTAGAAATTGATTTACTCTTTCCTGTTTTTAGATGAGAAATTTGAAGTCAAGAGGACTGAGTGAATTTTCCCTGCTGAGCTTTTTATTCAATATCCATATGATGTGCCAAGAAGGAAGGGCTAACAGGATCATTAGAAATGATTTAAGAGGATATAAAGTCACATAAGGATCCTAGTTTAGTTACAACGGTCATTTAAAATGGTGCTGGCATTTGAAGGAGAAATGAATAAAGGAGAGAAAGGGAGCCATATGAATATAGAAAAGAAGAATATTAAATGCAGAAAGAACTGGAAAACAGATCCCTGAGGTAGAAGGGAATATGTTTGTTATGTTAAGACAGTGAACGAGGGGAAAGAGCAGTGAAAAAGGTGATCCTAGAGGTAGCCAGGACCCAATCATATAGGGCTCTATGAACATAATCAGGGCTTTAAATTTTATGCAGAGTGAAATGGGCAGAACTGAAAGGCTGATACCAGGGTAATGACATACTCTGATTTACGAGGGTGGAGGATCCCCATGGCTGCTGTGTGGCAGAGACTGAAGAAGACAAGAGTGTAATGGGGAGACAGTTAGAACACAGCACATTAAAGGCAACTAGTGACCCAAAGTTCCTTCTGCACACTTTACTTCCTCCTGTGAGAGTTGACAAGTTCTTTGAAAACCACAAACTTTTTATTATCTTTAAATTTGTTATAGCTCTTTGATACTTCCTTTAAATTTACGATTTTATAGGGCAGGGTAAGCTATTCTTTCTTTCACTTCTTTCATTCCCTTTATTCCCAGTGGGGATACAAATTTTTTAAGATGATATAAAAAAGCAGTGCTTTATTTTATTTATTTATTTCTGTGTCACCCAATCTAGAGTGCAGTGGTGTGATCTCAGCTCACTGCAGCCTCAATTTCCCAGGCTCAAGCAATTCTCCCACCTCAGCCTCCTTACAGTAGCTGCGACTACAAATGCACACCACCACATCCGGCTAGTTTTCATTTTCTGTTTTTTGTAGAGATGGGATCTCACCAAATTGCCCAGGCTGGTCAACAATTCCTGGGCTCAATAGATCCTCCTGCCTTGGCTCCCAAAGTGCTGGGATTACAAGCATGAGCAAAGTGCCCTGCCAAAACATTGTTTTCTGTTGTAATAGTTATTATTAATATAAAATGCAGCAAAATTAACATATTAAAGTAAGTAATATCAATAATAATTTATCTTCTAGAATAGCCTTTGATAGTACACCTTTCTCAGCTAAACAAATTAAGCCTGAAATATATGCAAATTTATGTATGTATATTTAGTTTATTTTATATACTACTATGTGTGTGTATAAATTACGCACTATAGAGCATTATAAAAATATATATTTTAAATAATTTTAAAAGGCAGAATATAAACAGAATTGTGACTATTATATTACTGCACTCTGATAGATCATTCCACGCACCCCTGGAGCATGTGCAGTCCACTTTGGACACATCACCAAAATTGTGCAGGCTTAATTCTGATTACATAAACATTAATAGTCAGCTTGTCCATTGCAACTGGAGCGACCTATTTCTATCATTCCAGAAAAGGGTCATGCTGCCTGTGAATTTGGAGATTTTGAGGCCCATCTCCAGGACAGAGTTCAGAAGAAGACGAAAATCATGGAAAAGACTGAGTAGGTGAGACTGTATGAGAGAAGGAAGGGAGACAGAAAATACTCTGAGGTCCACCCAAGAGAGCTCTGTGCAAACTGAGAAATGATTTAAAGAGAAAAGTACAGAAATGCTCTGCTCCACCTCCCAGGTTCTGTATGTTTCTGACTAGTTTATTATGACATTATTTTCCCTCTGTATTATACTATAACTGTATACCTTTCTAGATAATATGGACATAACTCAGATTTTTTTCTTCTAGCTAACAACGTCTCCATATACTTCTAATAGCCATGTCTACATCTGTATTCATCTCCATGTTTATATCTCTAAATGGAGATATATGTGAATATTATCTGTCTATCTACCTATATATCTCTATCATTTATATACCTCTCCATATATTTGTGGAATTTTTGTTGGAATACTTCACCTAACGTATAGATGTATCAATATTTATGCAACGTGTTCTACATATGGTGTCTTGAGAGAAGGGAGGAAGGACATTCACCTGCTGAATACAAAGCATTAACTTGTATTGTCATCTCCACCTTCATTTCTCCACTACTGACTTGAAAATGAACAGAGGCATGGAATGGATGTTTAATTTGAAAAGTGACCCAATGGACTTGAGAAAAATAGAGTATTTCACAATGCCTTCAATAGGTGAAATAATTGAAATTTCCCATTATTGCATGCACAAACTAAATATAATTTTGAATAACCTTAAGATTCTGGGTGAATCGGTTGGAAAGTGCACAATTCACTAGAGCAAGTCACCATAGTATCTTGTATTTATTCTGATTCTCAAAGTAAGTAGATTCTTTTCCCCTTAATATTAGTTGTCCTCTTCCTTTATGTAGGCTTTTCTCTCCTACACTGTTGATTTTCTTCAACTATCTGATGATTCTCCATTATCAGTTCATGTTTAAGAACAAAAAAAAGACCAGGTCACCTGCTATGGTTAGCTGGTGTGGGAATCTTCTGCGATTGACTTTTTTTTTTTTCCTAACAAATCTTTCCTTTGAAGGGTAGTACTGGCTATTGCTCTATACATATGAGCAGAGTGTTTTCACAGGCCAACTTTGTCTTAGGTCACATAACCTAAAGAGCAGCCCTTCCCCTGACCTCTTGTACCACAACAACCAGAGCTTTATTTTACCATGCCAAGGCTCACAGTTGGAACTTCAGCCTTTCCTAACACATTACTAAAATTTTCACAAACAGCTCTTTCTCTTTAACTTGGAGCAAATAAACTCTGTATCATGACAGCCATTTGCTTTTAATTATAAGGGTGGGTTTGCAGGAGAAATCAATGGGGCTGACTAGATGCTCCCACTAATTATAAGTCCCTAAATAAAATACCACAAATATTCCCCAATAATCCTACTGTTGGTTCAAGATGGCAGAGTACCCTCATTTGTGAATAGAGTGCACCTATTTTGAAATTCAAGGTCTTTTGGGGTGCTCAGCTTTATGGTCTGCCAAACTCTTTTGCTGATAGGTGCTCCCTTATTTCACGTAGTTATATTTTAATGAAATAAAAAAAAACAAAATAAGCAAACAAAATCAGATTATCTGTGGAGATTTTTATTGCCTGAAAAATAGTGTACATTGCTTCCAAAAACCTGAGTAATAAATTGTTATGTCCATAAGGAGATTTTACCATCCAAGCTGCTCAGAATCACCCTCCTTCAATCAGCCCTACAGTCAACAACTATGTGAGCTTTCCGCAAGCTAACTTCCGTGCTGATAGATTGGCCGCATTCCAATGTCCCAGGGTGGGAGATTCTGCCAAATTATCTCAGGCAAAGAATGCTTTGTAGGTGACACTGATGAGACAACTCGAGAAGCCAGCTGTGATGTGGGTGGAAAATCCATGCTTCACCATCACGCAGAAGGTTGGACTTTGCTGGCTCTCAGCTGCCCTTAAATTTGGAATGGAGCATAATGGTGCTCTTCTTTTCTTGCCAGATCTCAGAAGGCATAAGGGCATTCTTGATTAGGTTTTCTACTTACTTTCAAGCAGTTATCACACATCCTGCTGCCTGGAAACAGAATAAGTCAGCAGCTAGTCCCTGAAAACATATGATTATCCTGGCAATGTTTGACCTGTTAAAACATAACTTGTACCCCAATAGTTTGCAACCTTCACAGTGGTTGTCGACACTCTAGACCAGCACCCAAAAACTTAATTAATACATAATCTGGTTGAATTAGAAGTAAAAGGAACCTGATCCACAGTCCCAAATGTAAGTAATGAGTTTTGAGATATTCTTCTCAGCCACAAAGGTAGAAGCAAACAACACAACAGCAAAATGATAAGAAAAGCATTCAGTGAGTTCTCTGCCATCACTCAGCTATTTCTTTCAAGTGTATCACTGCCCTCTCACATTCATCCTTATTATTTCAGTTAGGTTAATTTACTTTAAAAAAATTTGATTTGTATTTTCCTTACTTAAAAAATTTCAAGAATTTGTCGACAGTTTCTGTTTTCTCTTCCCAATTCTTTGAAACTCATATTTGTTTTTCTTTCCTCAGGAATAAAGATTTAATAGAAACATTCAAACAGAAGCCATGTCTGTGTCTCAGGCAGTGGTGAGACCTGCACCATTACCTGCCAGACCCAGGGATTATATACCATAGGGGAAGGGCACACTTGCTTCATAGAGAATGGGTGGGAATTTGCCTTAAAGGCAGGATTTACAGTATTTGTTCATAAGGGACAATAGATATACTGAAAATCTGAGGCACTCCTGGAACTGAGGTTAATCAGAAGCCCACATGGAAGATTAGCATTCAAGATGGAGTTGCTTTGGCTTCCACACTCCACCTCCCTAGTTTGGCTCTTACAATCTCACTTGCCTTCCTCTTCTATAATGGTCGCTGAGCCTTTAGGGAGAGTGTTTGATATGGTATAGCTTTAGCAGCAGTGTGTTGGCAATGGAAAACAGATCGGGCCAGTAGGATTCCAAATGAGGGAGAGTCACAGGCTTTGTTGGATCATCTCTAGTCTTCAGAAGAACATGACTTCAGTTTTCACAAAAGAAGTAGAACAACAAAATATATAACAGTAATAATTTGAATAGTAGAAATATAATATACACAAGGATTACAATCAAAAGAGAATTGGTATTCCAGAAGAACAGCAACAAAAAAATCTTATTCCATCAGGGAGTCAAACAAAAGCATCAAGAAGAAAAGTGAAACCCAATTCTTTTTTAGAGACTTTTTGTAAGCAGAAAATAACTCAGGGAAAAAAGTCTTTCCTTTTACTTTCTCTGTGACACCACCATTTCTTGGCAAAGTCAATTACTTCCTAGTATTTACTACTTTGGAAACATAAATTTTATGATTTTATTACTAGTAGTAGTGTTGAACATATTTTTATAATTGTGGTGGTTCCTTATGTTAAATTTTCTTTCTTTTTTTTTTTTTTTTTATCAGTTTAGAAGTTTATTTTGCCAAGGTTAAGGACATTCCTGTGCCACAGTCTTAGGAGGTCTTTTATTTTACTTTATTTTATTTTATTTTATTTTATTTTATTTTATTTTATTATTTTATTTTATTTTATGTTATTATTATTATACTTTAAGTTTTAGGGTACATGTGCACAATATGCAGGTTAGTTACATATGTATACATGTGCCATGCTGGTGTGCTGCACCCATTAACTCGTCATTTAGCATTAGGTATATCTCCTAATGCTATCCCTCCCCACTCCCGCCACCCCACAACAGTCCCCAGAGTGTGATGTTCCCCTTCTAGTGTCCATGTATTCTCATTGTTCAATTCCCACCTATGAGTGAGAACATGCAGTGTTTGGTTTTTTGTCCTTGCAATAGTTTACTGAGAATGATGATTTCCAATTTCATCCATGTCCCTACAAAGGACATGAACTCATCATTTTTTATGGCTGCATAGTATTCCATGGTGTATGTGTGCCACATTTTCTTAATCCAGTCTATCATTGTTGGACATTTGGGTTGGTTCCAAGTCTTTGCTATTGTGAATAATGCCACAATAAACATACGTGTGCATGTGTCTTTACAGCAGCATGATTTATAGTCCTTTGGGTATATACCCAGTAATGGGATGGCTGGGTCAAATGGTATTTCTAGTTCTGGATCCTTGAGGAATCGCCACACTGTCTTCCACCATGGTTGAACTAGTTTACAGTCCCACCAACAGTGTAAAAGTGTTCCTATTTCTCCACATACTCTCCAGCACCTGTGGTTTCCTGACTTTTTAATGATTGCCATTCTAACTGGTGTGAGATGGTATCTCACTGTGGTTTTGATTTGCATTTCTCTGATGGCCAGTGATGGTGAGCATTTTTTCATGTGTGTTTTGGCTGCATAAATGTCTTCTTTTGAGAAGTGTCTGTTCATGTCCTTCACCCCCTTTTTGATGGGGTTGTTTGTTTTTTTCTTGTAAATTTGTTTGAGTTCATTGTAGATTCTGGATATTAGCCCTTTGTCAGATGAGTAGGTTGCGAAAATTTTCTCCCATTTTGTAGGTTGCCTGTTCACTCTGATGGTAGTTTCTTTTGCTGTGCAGAAGCTCTTTAGTTTAATTAGATCCCATTTGTCAATTTTGGCTTTTGTTGCCATTGCTTTTGGTGTTTTAGACATGAAGTCCTTGCCCATGCCTATGTCCTGAATGGTATTGCCTAGATTTTCTTCTAGGGTTTTTATGGTTTTAGGTCTAACGTTTAAGTGTTTACTCCATCTTGAATTAATTTTTGTCTAAGGTGTAAGGAAGGGATCCAGTTTCAGCTTTCTACATACGGCTAGCCAGTTTTCCCAGCACCATTTATTAAATAGGGAATCCTTTCCCCATTGTTGTTTTTCTCAGGTTTGTCAAAGATCAGATAGTTGTAGATATGTGGCATTATTTCTGAGTGCTCTGTTCTGTTCCATTGATCTATATCTCTGTTTTGGTACCAGTACCATGCTGTTTTGGTAACTGTAGCCTTGTAGTATAGTTTGAAGTCAGGTAGTGTGATGCCTCCAGCTTTGTTCTTTTGGCTTAGGATTGACTTGGTGATGCAGGCTCTTTTTTGGTTCCATATGAACTTTAAAGTAGTTATTTCCAATTCTGTGAAGAAAGTCATTGGTAGCTTGATGGGGATGGCATTGAATCTATAAATTACCTTGGGCAGTATGGCCATTTTCACGATATTGATTCTTCCTACCCATGAGCATGGAATGTTCTTCCATTTGTTTGTATCCTCTTTTATTTCATTGAACAGTGGTTTGTAGTTCTCCTTGAAGAGGTCCTTCATGTCCCTTGTAAGTTGGATCCCTAGGTATTTCATTCTCTTTGAAGCAATTGTGAATGGGAGTTCACTCATGATTTGGCTCTCTGTCTGTTATTGGTGTATAAGAATGCTTGTGATTTTTGTACATTGATTTTGTATCCTGAGACTTTCCTGAAGTTGCTTATCAGCTTACAGAGATTTTGGGCTGAGACAATGGGGTTTTCTAGATATACAATCATGTCATCTGCAAACAGGGACAATTTGACTTCCTCTTTTCCTAATTGAATACCCTTTATTTCCTTCTCCTGCCTAATTGCCCTGGCCAGAACTTCCAACACTATGTTGAATAGGAGTGGTGAGAGAGGGCATCCCTGACTTGTGGCAGTTTTCAAAGGGAATGCTTCCAGTTTTTGCCCATTCAGTATGATATTGGCTGTGGGTTTGTCATAGATAGCTCTTATTATTTTGAGATATGTCCCATCAATACCTAATTTATTGAGAGTTTTTAGCATGAAGGCTGTTGAATTTTGTCAAAGGCCTTTTCTGCATCTATTGAGATAATCATGTAGTTTTTGTCTTTGGTTCTGTTTATATGCTGGATTATATTTATTGATTTGCGTATATTGAACCAGCCTTGCATCCCAGGGATAGAGCCCACTTGATCATGATGGATAAGCTTTTTGATGTGCTGCTGGATTCGGTTTGCTAGTATTTTATTGAGGATTTTTGCATCAATGTTCATCAAGGATATTGGTCTAAAATTCTCTTTTTTGGTTGTGTCTCTGCCAGGCTTTGGTATCAGGATGATGCTGGCCTCATAAAATGAGTTAGGGAGCATTCCCTCTTTTTCTGTTGATTGGAATAGTTTCAGAAGGAATGGTACCAGTTCCTCCTTGTACCTCTGGTAGAATTTGGCTGTGAATCCATCTGGTCCTGGACTCTTTTTGGTTGGTAAGCTATTGATTACTGCCACAATTTCAGAGCCTGTTATTGGTCTATTCAGAGATTCAATTTCTTCCTGGTTTAGCCTTGGGAGGGTGTATGTGTAGAGGAATTTTTCCATTTCTTCTAGATTTTCTAGTTTATTTGCGTAGAGGTGTTTGTAGTATTCTCTGATGGAAGTTTGTATTTCTGTGGGATTGGTGGTGATATCCCCTTTATCATTTTTTATTGCGTCTATTTGATTCTTCTCTCTTTTTTTCTTTATTAGTCTTGCTAGTGGTCTATCAGTTTTGTTGATCCTTTCAAAAAACCAACTCCTGCATTCTTTAGTTTTCTGAAGGGTTTTTTGTGTCCCTATTTCCTTCAGTTCTGCTCTGATTTTAGTTATTTCTTGCCTTCTGCTAGCTTTTGAATGTGTTTGCTCTTGCTTTTCTAGTTCTTTTAATTGTGATGTTAGGGTGTCAATCTTGGATCCTTCCTGCTTTCTCTTGTGGGCATTTAGTGCTATGAATTTCCCTCTACACACTGCTTTGAATGTGTCACAGAAATTCTGGTATGTTGTGTCTTTGTTCGCGTTGGTTTCAAAGAACATCTTTATTTCTGCCTTCATTTCGTTATGTACCCAGTAGTCATTCAGGAGCAGGTTGTTCAGTTTCCATGTAGGTGAGCGGTTTTGAGTGAGTTTCTTAATCCTGAGTTCTAGTTTGTTTGCACTGTGGTCTAAGAGACAGTTTGTTATAATTTCTGTTATTTTCAATTTGCTGAGGAGAGCTTTACTTCCAACTATGTGGTCAATTTTGGAATAGGTGTGGTGTGGTGCTGAAAAAAATGTATATTCTCTTGATTTGGGGTGGAGAGTTCTGTAGATGTCTATTAGGTCCACTTGGTGCAGAGCTGAGTTCAATTCCTGGGTATCCTTGTTAACTTTCTGTTTCATTGACCTATCTAATGTTGACAGTGAGGTGTTAAAGTCTCCCATTATTATTGTGTGGGAGTCTAAGTCTCTTTGTAGGTCACTCAGGTCTTGCTTTATGAATCTGGGTGCTCCTGTATTGGGTGCATATATATTTAGGATAGTTAGCTCCTCTTGTTGAATTGATCCCTTTACCATTATGTAATGGCCTTCTTTGTCTCTTGTGATCTTTGTTGGTTTAAAGTCTGTTTTATCAGAGACTAGGATTGCAACCCTTGCCTTTTTTTGTTTTCCATTTGCTTGGTAGATCTTCTTCCATCCTTTTATTTTGAGCCTATGTGTGTCTCTGCATGTGAGATGGGTTTCCTGAATACAGTACACTGACGGGTCTTGACTCTATCCAATTTGCCAGTCTGTGTCTTTTTATTGGGGCATTTAGTCCATTTACATTTAAAGTTCATATTGTTATGTGTGAATTTGTCCTGTCATTATAGTGTTAGCTGGTTATTTTGCTCGTTAGTTGATGCAGTTTCTTCCTAGTCTCGATGGTTTTTACATTTTGGCATGATTTTGTAGTGGCTGGTACTGGTTGTTCCTTTCCATGTTTAGTGCTTCCTTCAGGAGCTCTTTTAGGGCAGGCCTGGTGGTGACAAAATCTCTCAGCATTTGCTTGTCTGTAAAGTATTTTATGTCTTCTTCGTTTATGAAGCTTAGTTTGGCTGGCTATGAAATTCTGGGTTGAAAATTCTTTTCTTTAAGAATGTTGAATATTGGCCTCCCCCTCTCTTCTGACTTGTAGAGTTTCTGCCAAGAGATCTGCTGTTAGTCTGATGGGCTTCCCTTTGTGGGTAACCCGACCTTTCTCTCTGGCTGCCCTTAACATTTTTTCCTTCATTTCAACTTTGGTGAATCTGACAATTATGTGTCTTGGTGTTGATCTTCTCGAGGAGTATCTTTGTGGCGTTCTCTGTATTTCCTGAATCTGAATGTTGGCCTGCCTTGCTAGATTGGGGAAGTTCTCCTGGATAATATCCTGCAGAGTGTTTTCCAACTTGGTTCCATTCTCCCTGTCACTTTCAGGTACACCAATCAGATGTAGATTTTGTCTTTTCATATAGTCCCATATTTCTTGGAGGCTTTGTTCATTTGTTTTTACTGTTTTTTCTCTAAACTTCCCTTCTCGCTTCATTTCATTCATTTCATCTTCCATCACTGATAACCTTTCTTCCACTTTATTGCATCTGCTCCTGAAGCTTCTGCATTCTTCAAATAGTTCTCGAGCCTTGGCTTTGAGCTCCGTCAGCTCCTTTAAGCACTTCTCTGTATTGGTTATTCTAGTTATACATTTGTCTAAATTTTTTTCAAAGTTTTTAACTTCTTTGCCTTTGGTTTGAATTTCCTCCTGTAGCTCGGAGTAGTTTGATCATCTGAAGCCTTCTTCTCTCAACTCGTCAAAGTCATTCTCCATCCAGCTTTGTCCCGTTGCTGGTGAGGAGCTGCATTCCTTTGCAGGAGGAGAGTCACTCTGTTTTTAGAGTTTCCAGTTTTTCTGCTCTGTTTTTTCCCCATCTTTGTGGTTTTATCTCCTTTTGGTCTTTGATGATGGTGATGTACACATGGGTTTTTGGTGTGGATGTCCTGTTTGTTAGTTTTCCTTCTAACAGACATGACCCTCAGCTGCAGGTCTGTTGGAGTTTGCTAGAGGTCCACTCCAGACCTGTTTGCCTGGGTATCAGCAGCAGTGGCCGCAGAACAGAGGATTTTCATGAACCGCGAATGCTGCTGTCTGATTGTTCCTCTGGAAGTTTTGTCTCAGAGGAGTACCTGGCCGTGTGAGGTGTCAGTCTGCCCCTACTGGGGGGTGCCTCCCAGTCAGGGGCAGGGACCCACTTGAGGAGGCAGTCTGCTCCTTCTCAGATCTCCAGCTGCATGCTGGGAGAACCACTGCTCTCTTCAAAGCAGTCAGACAGGGACATTTAAGTCTGCAGAGGTTACTGCTGTCTTTTTGTCTGTGCCCTGCCCCCAGAGGTGGAGCCTACAAAGGCAGGCAGGCCTCCTTTTGCTGTGGTGAGCTCCACCCAGTTCGAGCTTCCTGGCTGCTTTGTTGACCTGAGCAAGCCTGGGCAATGGCGGGTGTCCCTCCCCCAGCTTAGCTGCCACCTTGCAGTTTGATATGAGACTGCTGTGCTAGCAATCAGTGAGACTCCGTGGGTGTACGACCCTCCAAGCCAGGTGCAGGCTATAATCTCCTGGTGTGCCATTTTTTAAGCCCATTGGAAAAGTGCAGTATTAGGGTGGGAGTGACCCGATTTTCCAGGTGCCATCTGTCACCCCTTTCTTTGACTAGGAAATGGAACTCCCTGACCCCTTGCACTTCCCGAGTGAGGCAATGCCTCGTCCTGCTTTGGCTCGCGCATGGTGCGCTGCTCCCAGTGCCCTGCGCCCACTGTCTGGCACTCCCTAGTGAGATGAACCCCGTACCTCAGATGGAAATGCAGAAATCACTCATCTTCTGTGTCACTCAGGCTGGGAGCTGTGGACCGGAGCTGTTTGTATTCGGCCATCTTGGCTGCCCTCGTCTCTCCTTATGATAAATATTCTGTGCTGTACTTAAAGGTATGTACTGTGGCTTATTTATCTTTGTATTCCCAGAACCCAAGGATCCAAATTATTTCTTCAAATTCATGATCACTCTACACAGTTTTGGAATTTCTTTACAGGTGGTATACTGAGGGGAAAACATGCTTCATGGACACAAGATTTAGAAAATATTATACTTTTTTTAACCACATAATTTTCAGTACCATTTATCAGGCAATGTGCACAGAACAGTTGCTAGATTCTAGATTGAGATGTAAACTCATTTTACAAGTTATAACTTTTTTTGTACCTATTTAGGTACCCTGAAATAGTATTCTGTAAAATACATTTAGAAACAACAAATATACAGAATCATTCTAGCTTAAAGGGCATAAATTTTCATGGATTATTTATGAATTTTCCAAAAAATGAAATTAGAAATTATTTTATTTATGATGATTTATATAATAGAAATTCTAGATTCTATTAGAAAGTCTTTCTTTTGAACTCAACTGACTGTTAGACCTTGTATTAGTCTGTTTACACACTGCTATAAGGAATGATCTGAGACTGGATAATTTATAAAGAAAAGAGGTTTAATTGACTCACAGTTCCTCATGGTTGGCGAGGGCTCAGGAAACATGGTGGAAGGCAAAGAAGAAGCAAGGCACATCTTACATAGAGGCAGTAAAGAGAGAGAGAGGGAGGCAGAAACTGTCAAACACTTTTAAACCATCAGATCTCATGAGAACTCACTTGCTATCATGAGAAGAGCATGAGGGAAACTGCCCCCATGATCCAATAACCTCTCACCATGTTCCTCCCTCAATATGTGGGGATTACAATTCAAGATGACATTTATTTGGGGACACAGAGCCAAACCATATCATTCTGCCCCTGACCCCTCCCAAATCTCATGTTCTTTTCTCATTTCAAAACCAATCATGTTTTCCCAACAGTCCCCCAAAGTCCTAATGCATTCCAACATTAACTCAAAAATCCAAGTTCAAAGTCATCTGAGACAACTCAAGTCC
Organism: Homo sapiens; assembly: GCF_000001405.40. NCBI lineage: Eukaryota > Metazoa > Chordata > Mammalia > Primates > Hominidae > Homo > Homo sapiens. The sequence goes on from NC_000005.10 coordinate 45,750,232, forward strand.
CTTCCACCTATGAGCCTGTAAAACAAAAAACAAGCATATTGGCTAACATGGTGAAACCCCATCTTTACTGAAAAAATACAAAAAAATTAGCTGGGCATGGCTGCAGGTGCCTGTAGTCCCAGCTACTCGGGAGACTGTGGCAGGAGAATGGCATGAACCTGGGAGGCAGAGCCTGCAGTGAGATGAGATCGCATCACTGCATTCCAGCCTGGGTGACAGAGCGAGACTCCATCTCAAAAAAATAAATAAAATAAAATAAAAAAAAAAGCTAGTTATTTCCAAGATACAATTGGGGTACAGGCATTGGGTAAATGTTCTCATTCCAAATGGGAGAAATTGGCCAAAACAAAGAGGCCACAGGTCCCATGCAAGAACAAAACCCAGCTGGCATTTATTAAATCTTAAAGCTCCAAAATAATCTCCTTTGACTACATGTCTAATATCCAGGGCATGCTGATGCAAGAGGTGAGTTCTCAAGGCCTTGGGCAGCTCTGCCTGTGTGGCCCTGCAGGGTAGTCCCCGCGGCTGGTTTCACAGGCTGGTGTTGAGTGCCTGCAGCTTTTCCAGGTGCACAATGCAAGTTGTCAGTGGCTCTACCATTCTGGGGTCTGGAGAACAGTGGTCCGCTTCTCACAGCTCCACCAGGCACTGCCCCAATGGGACTCTGTGTGGGAGCCCCAATCCCATATTTTTCTCTGCATTTCTCTAGCAGAGGTTCTCCATGACTCCATCACTGCAGCAGACTTCTGCCTGGGCTTTCAGGAGTTTCCATACATCCTCTGAGATCTAGGTGGAGGCTCCCAAACTGAACTCTTATCTTCTGCGCACCTGCAGACCCAACACCACATGGAAGCTGCCAAAGCTTGGGGCTTGCATCCTCTGAAGCAACAGGCTGAGGGGCCTATACGTTGGCCCCTTTTAGTCATGGCTGAAGCTGGAGTGGCAGGGATGCAGCGTGCCATGTCCTGAGACTGCACAGAACAGCAGGGCCCTGGGCTTGGCCCACAAAACCATTTTTCCCTCCTAGGTCCCTGAGCCTGTGATGGGAGGGGTTGCTGTGAAGATCTCTGACATGCTCTGGAGACATTTTCTACATTGTCTTGGCTATTAACGTTCTGCTCCGCATTACTTATGCAAATTTCTGCAGCCAGCTTGAATTTCTCCCCAGAAAATGGGTTTTTATTTTCTACCACATGGTCAGTGTGCAAATTTTCCAAATTTTACACTCTGCTTCCCTTTTAAACATAAGTTCCAATTTAATACCATCTCTTCATGAACACATAGGACTGTATGCTTCCAGAAAAGGCCAGGTCACATCTCAAAGGCTTTGCTGTTTAGAAATTTCTTCTGCTAGATACCCTAAATATTCTCTCTCAATTTAAAAGTTTCTACAGATCTCTAGGGCAGGGGCAAAATGCCACCAGTCTCTTTGCTAAAGCATAGCAAGAGTGACCTTTACTCCAGTTCCCAATAAATTCCTCCTCTCCATCTGAGACCATCTCAGCCTGGACTTCATTGTCCATTATCACTATCAGCATTTTGGTCAAAACTATTCAAAAAGTCTCTAAGAAGTTCCAAACTTTCCCACATCTTCCTGTCTTCTTCTGAGCCCTCCAACCATTCCAACTTCTGCCTGTTAGCCAGTTCCAAAGTCACTTCCACATTTTTAGGTATCATTATAGCAGTGCCCCCAAACTCCCAGTACCAATTTTCTGTTTTCATACTGCTGTCTGTTTTCATACTGCTATAAAGAGTGACCTGAGACTGGGTAATTTATAAAAGAAAGAGGTTTAATTGACTCATATTTCTTCATGGTTAGGGATGCCTCAGGAAACATCATCATGGTGGAAGGTGAAGGAGAAGCAAGGCACATCTTACATGGCACCAGCAGGGAGAGAGAGGGTGAGGCAGAAACTGTCAAATACTTTTAAACCATCAGATCTCATGAGAACTCACTTGCTATCATGAGAACAGCATGAGAGAAACTGCCCGCATGATCCAATAACCTCCTACCGGATTCCTCCCTCAACGTGTGGGGATTACAATTCAAGATGACATTTAGGTGGGGACATAGAGTCAAATCATATCAGACCTTCTTCCACTCTCTTCTATTCAGCTTGCCAAAATTTGCCACGCTATTCAATTCTAACAGGGTTTGTTTTGAAAAACTGATTAAACAATTAATTTAAATACTAATTATGAACACCCATTCTATAACTTCTGAGTATTAATATAACTAGAAAAAGATTGCTTTACATTCAAGGCATACTCAAGAATGTTAGGGGATTTATTTAGTACACTGATGATTTCTGATTTTCTCACATTCAGGAAATAACTTTAAAAGATACCTGAAGATTGATGAGAGAGAGGGATAGAGAGAGAAGGAGAAAGAGAGTGAGAATGAGATATATATATATATCATAAATATATATTTCCTCTTCCTCTTCCTTCTTTTTCTTCTTTGTTGAGAATTGACTTCCTCGGGATATTTTTGTTTCCCAAAGGTGCTATTCACTTTCAAAGTCACATCTGACTGTAGTGACAGAATGTCTATCTGATTTAATTCACAGGGCACCAGAAAGAACTTGGAGATTAGCTGCCCCAGGATGCAGGTGCCTCTCTGGAGAAATGGAAATTCTCCTTGAGTTGATGTGTTCTTAGTCTCCTCTTGGTGTCTGAGCAGTGTGGATGGTGTGAAGCATCAAGGGAGCCATGGTTTACTGCCTTGCATGACACTTTTACAAATGGTGACTATTCTCACGCCCCCTCTCACCCCCACACATGCAACAACAGGACCTCATAGGCCAGCACCTCTTCATCACCTGAAGCCAAATAAATTATTCAGCACAGTTTGTACAACATGAATATTCATTGCATTTTGCACAGTCTTGTGTGGAAAATAACATAAAAATCTGTAAACCAAATAGAGTTTGGATCATGGAGTATCCTTGAAGCACATATTAAATGAATCGAACATAAATGTTAAAAACCATTAATGCTACCCCCTATTCAGCCAGATCTTGAAGATGAAGAAAAAATATATCTTAAAGTGGAGCCACCATATTTAGCTAGGGAGTCAAAAGCATACAATGATTATTTTGATGAAAGAGATGTATTGCATGAGAAGACGGAAAGATGTATTTATTATAGAAACAAACTTTAGAGCATAAAAAAAAGGCTTTTTTCCTTTTTTTTTTTCTCAAACTCCATTAAAACACAACTATTTTCCCTGTTTATTACTGTGGCTCATACTACTTAACTTGAGATTAATAAATAGCTCCTCTACATTGAGCACTTGCAAATTTGCCAGGTAATAAGTTCAGCACTTTATAAATGTCATATTTCAAATCCTGGAAGTAATTTTTACTTTGAGCAGTACAAATGTAGCCTAAGTATGACTCCTCCATGGGAAGCAGTCGCTATTAATATCACTTTTCCAATCTGGAAGCAGGATTTAGTTCTTCTCTCTGTTCCCCAAAGAAAACCCATTCTATTAGAATGTTTCATGTGAGCTTAAGACGAATGTGTATTCAGATGTTGTTATAAGAAACAGTCTGTAGAAATCAATTATATCCAGTTGATTGAATAGCGCTGCTGAATTCAACTATATTTTTACTGATTCTTGCCTGCTTGATGGGTCCATTTATCATAGAAGGGTATTGAAATCTCCAACTATAATAGTGTGAATTTGTCTTTTTCTCCTTGTAGTTCTATCAGTTTTGCCTCATCTATTTTGATACTCTGTTTTTAGGTTGCATGCATGTTAATAATTGTTGTGTCTTCCTAGAGATTTGATCCCTTTATCATTATGTAGTGTCTTCTCTTTTTTTGTTTTTTTTTTGAGACAGAGTCTTGCTCTGTCACCCAGGCTGGAGTGCAGTGGCGCGATCTTGGCTCACTGCAAGCTCCAGCTCCTGGGTTCACGCCGTTCTCCTGCCTCAGCCTCCTGAGTAGCTGGGACTCCAGTCGCCAGCCACCACACTCAGCTAATTTTTTTGTATTTTTAGTAGAGACGGGGTTTCACTATGTTAGCTAGAATGTTCTCGATCTCCTGACCTCAGGATCTGCCCACCTCAGCCTCCCAATGTAGTGCCTTCTCTTTATCTCAAGTAACTTCCTTTGCTCTGAAGTCTGATCTGTCTGAAATTAATACTGCTACTCCTGCTTTCTTTTGATTATTTTTAGCTGATATATCTTTCTCCAGGAATTTACTTTCAGCCTATATCTATATCTCACTACCTATCAATCTATATCTGGGTATAGATTGATAGATCTTTATATTCAAAGTGGGTTTCTTATAAACAACACATAATTGAGTCTTATTTTTTGAACCACTCTGACAATGTCTGTTTTTCAACTAGTACATTTCAATTGGTACATTTAAACCAGGGGTGTCCAATGTTTTAGCTTCCCTGGGCCACACTGGAAAAAGAAGAATTATCTAAGGCCACACATAAAATATACTAACATTAATGATAGCTGATAAGCTAAAAGAAAAAAATTCGCAAAAAAATCTCATAATGTTTTAAGAAAGTTTACGAGTTTTGTGTTAGGCTGCATTCAAAGCCATCCTGGGCCTCATGCAGCCCATGGGCCATGGGTTGGACAAGCTTGATTTAAACCATTGATATTCAAATGTTGGTATCATTGGATTAAGAAATATCATATTTGTTACTGTTTTTTATTTGTTGCTCTTGTTCCTTGTTCTTATTTTTGTCTTCCACTCTTTGTATGCCTTACACGGTTTAACTTGAGCATTTTATGTTATTTCATTTTCATTCCTATTTTAGTATTTTAGTTATAATTCTTTTAAAAATTTTTTAGTTGTTGTCCTAGCATTTGCCATATACATTTACAACTAATGCAAGTCTACTTTCAAATAACACTATGCCTCTTCACAGATAGTGCAAAATAATATCATAGCAAAATAATACTAATTCCAATCTATCATCCCTTGTATCATTGTTGTCACTTATTTCGTTTGCATATCACTCATTTTCCTTCTCTCTGAGGAACTTATTTTACAATTTATTGCAAGGGAGGTCTACTGGTAATAAATTACCTTAGTTTTTGATTGTCTTAAGGAAGTCTGTGTTTCTTCTTTATTTTTTAAGGATAATTTCATCAGGTACAGATTTCTACATTTTTTTTTCTATCAACACTTAAATAATTCATTCCACTTTCTTCTTGCTTCCACGGTTTCTGCAAAGTCAGATATAAGTCTTATCTTTGCTCTTATGTAGGCAAAGTGGCATTTCCCTCTGGCTCTTTGCAAGATTTTTTCCTTATCTTGGATTTTCTGTAGTTAGAAAATATGTGTAGGTGTAGATTTTTGGCATTTATATTGCTTGGTGTTCTTTGAGCTTCCTGGATCTGTGACTTGGTATCTAAAGTTAATTTGGGGAAATTTTCAGTCCTCACTGTTTCATTTATTTCTTTTGTTTCTTTTCCCCTTTCTTCTGCTATTTGCATTAGACATATGTTACACCTTTTGTAGCTGTCCCCAAGTTTTGAAATATTCTGTTCTGGCTTTTTTTCAGTCTTTGTTCTATTTGCTTTTCAGCTTTATAGGTTTGTATTGACATCTTTCAAGCTCATAATTAGCTGATTAATAAGACCCTTAAAATTATTCTTTATTTCTGTTACAATGCTTTTGATATCTAGCATTACTTTTTAGTTCTTCCCTAATGTTTCCATCCCTCTGCTTACATGGCCCATCTGTTCTTGCATGTTGCCTACATTATTTTAGTGTCCTTACCATATTAATCACATATGTTTTTAAATTGCGGGTCTAATCATTCCAAAATCCTTGCCATGTTCTGATGTTTGTTCTGTCTTCAAATTCTGTTTATTGCCATTTATTATTTGTTCTGTAACATTTTCTTGATAGCCAAAAATAACGTACTTGGTACAAGAAGCTGCTATAAATAGGTCTTTAGTAATGGGGTGATAAAGAGTAAAGAGAAAGGAACCATTCTATGGTCCTGTGTTTAAGTCTCAGTCTTTTAGTGAGCTTATACCTCTGGACTGTGAATTCATAGGTGCTTTTCAGTTTTTATTTTCTCTAATAGGTGGTACAGAAAGCCAAGAAGGTCCAGGATTTGGGTATTTTCCTGCCTCCAGGTTATTTAGGCTCTGTGAATAACCTAGCAGAATAGGCTCTGGTTAACTTGTTTCTCCTGAGGACAGATGCTTTTTTTTAAATTTTATTATTATTGTTATTTTGAGATGGAGTTTCGTTCTTGTTGCCCAGGCTGGAGTGTAATGGCGTGGTCTTGGCTCACTGCAACCTCTGCCTCCTGGGTTCAAGTGATTCTCCTGCCTCAGCCTCCCAAGCAGCTGGGATTACAGGCACCCACCACAACACCCAGTATTTTTAGTAAAGTGGAGGTTTCACAATGTTGGCAAGGCTGGTCTCGAACTACTGACCTCAGGTGATCCGCCTGCCTCAGCCCCCCAAAGTGCTGGGATTACAGGCACGAGCCACCGTGCCTGGCTGGTCTGGCATATATTTAAATGGTTTCTTTTCCTCTTCCCTTGCCATAGCACAAAGGGATTTTTCTTCAGCGTTTATAATGGGAATCTTTTTGAGTTCCTGGAGGTAAATCTCAAAGTACTGTGGGGTCCCTCCCCCATGACTGGGGCACGGAAATTTCAACCCTCAAAATTGCCCACACCAAGCCTCTATTCATCAATCACACTTCATATTTTCCTACTCTGCATTGGTTCTTGCACCAATTTCTTTGCTTGTTTTCTTTTCTTTCTTTGTTTCTTCCTCTTTTTTTTTTTTTTTGAGGCAAATTATCACCCTGTCACCCAGGCTGAAGTGCAGTGTTGTGATCATAGCTCACTGCAGCCTTGAACTCCTGAGCTCAAGTTGACTTCCAAAGTGGTTCACGTCTAAACTTCTAAAGGAATTCTGAAGGAATTTAGAATTTTAGAGGTGAACCACTGGACCCAGCCTTCTGCTGTGATTCCTGATCATGATTCTCCCCTCCAGTAAGCTGTGACTCTCTGTATGCGGTTGCCTCTCTCTCCAGTCTTGGGGGAGGTGATGTGCCCTGCACTCCCCACTCTCTTACAGATTCAAGTAGAGTTGTTGATTTTCCAGTCTGTTCAGCATTCTATTTGTTAGGATGGAGTGAAGGGCTTCTAAGCTCTTTATATGCAGAATTGGAAACTGGAAGTTCCTCTGTGTATTTTTAAAAATTATATTTGATTCTGATGCGAGGCATACACAGCAGTTATTCAATACATGCGTTTCTGTATAAATGCTAACACAAAACTCCATTGCCATGTTCAGCTTTATACATGAAAAGGGGACAAGAACTTTGCTAGGCCTTAGCAGATGTCTCAAGACAAGGCTAATGTGCCAAGTCATTCCTGGAGCTGAGATGTTAGATTTTCTGTTGAGGCTGAAATGAAGAAGACGATGATAGTCCCAGGCAGTATGCAGAATCAAACTCTTCAACCATAGAATTTTAACTCCTCTGTGACAAGCTAGAGTGATTAAACATCTTTTAAAAAGTATCCTTAGGAAGACTTTTTCCAGTAGCATATTAATTATCAAAGTAGATGATATATCCTTTTGTTGACTCAGTTTATATTCAGTGTTAGAACTTGCAGTTTAGTCATTTGAACATAAAGAGTTAACTAACATAGCAATGTAAGACCACATGACCTAGAATTGCCATGATTTTAAAAAGAGCACTTTAGCATAAATTGTTGCTTGGGATACCATATGCTCTCAGCAGCCAGCATGCACACAAAGTAAAGAGAAAATTATGAATAATGTGACAGGTTGGAGGCAAAAGATAATGATCTTCTTCCCTTAAATTCATAGTTTCAAAGTATGGCAGCATCATTTCTTGATTTGTTCTTTCAAATTCTCAAAAAAGCAAAGTAACCCATGCACAAATGTATGATTAAAAAATGTATCTATGCCCAATATGGGTTGTACTCTGATTATTTTGTTGTTGTTGTTCTGTCTCTTTTCTAGTGTGGGCAAATATAAAGAAAACTCAACCAGTATTCACTGGTTTTCCAGAAAGAAATGGATATAGATAGAATAATTTCAAAGAAACTAGGCAGAAATGAACAAAGTGCTGTTTCATTTCCACATTTAAGAAGGTATATACTGTTTGCAAAATCCTAAATTCAAAGAACAAAATTGAGTTGGTTGTTGTTTACCAAAGATAACAATCGTTAGCTGTGTAATCAGGTAAAATCCACTTTGCTTTGCTAGACTTGCATCAAGTAATGATTTTAACATTGACTTATTATTTGGTGGCCTTATTACACAGCCTTATTACATGGTGATCATTTCTCCATTAAAAGCTAATAATTCCATATATAGAAATAGTATTGGCTGGGTGCAGTGGATCACGCCTATAATCCCAACACTTTGTGGGGCTGAGTTGGGAGGATGGCTTGAGGCCTAGAGTTGGAGACCAGTTTGGACAACATAAAGAGACCTCGTTTCTACACACACACAAAATAAGAAAATTAGCTGGACATGTTGATGTAAACCTGTTGTCCCAGCTACTTGGATGGCTGAGATGGAACATAACTTGAGCCCAGGAGTTTGAAGTTACAGCGAGCTATGATTATGCTACCACACTCTGCACTCCAAACTGGGCTAAAGGGGGTTGAGTTCTTGATTTGATTCTCAGCTTGGTCATTGTTGGTGTATAGCAGTGATACTAATTTGTGAATTTGTGTTCATTGATTTTGTATCCTGAGACTTTACTGAATTCATTTATCAGGTCTAGGAGATATTTTGGATTAGTCTTTAAGGCTTTCTAGGTTCACAATCACATCCTTGATGAACATTGACAATTAGAGTTTCTCTTTTCCAATTTGGGTGACCTTTGTTTCTTTCTCATGTCTGATTGCTCTGGCTGGAACTTCTAATACTATGCTGAGTAGAAGTAGTGAAAATGGGCATCCTTGTCTTGTTCCAGTTCTCAGGGAGAATGTTTTCAACTTTTCCCCATTCAGTATGATGTTGGCTCTGGGTTTGTCATAGATGGCTTTTATTACTTTGAGGTAAGTTCCTTCTATGCCTGTTTTGTTGAAGGTTTTAATCATAAAGGAATGCTGGATTTCTTCAAGTGCTTTTTCTGCATCTACTGAGATAATCATACAGTTTTCTTTTTTAATTCTGTTTATGTCATGTATCACATTTTTTGATCTGGGTATGTTAAATCATCTCTGCATCCCTGGTATGAAACCCATTTGAACAAGATGTATAATCTCTCTGATATGCTTTTGGAGCCACTTAGCTAGTATTTTGTTGAGAATTTTTATGTCTATGTTCATCAGGGATATTGGTCTGTAGTGTTCTCTTTTTTTATCCTTTCCTGGTTTTGATATTAGGGTGATACTGGCTTCATAGAATGATTTAGTAAAGATTCCCTCTTTCTCTATCTTTTGGAATAGTTTCAGTAGAATTGGTACCAATTCTTTAAAGGCGTGGTAGAATTCATCTGTGAATCTGTCTAATTCTGAATTTTTCTGTTGGCGATTTTTTTTAAATTACCAATTCAATCTCATTGCTTGTTATTGATCTGTTCAGGGTTTCTATTTCTTCCTGATTTAATCTAGGAGGGTTGCATATTTCCTGGAATTTATCCATTTCCTCTAGATTTTCTAGTTTGTGCATTAAAGGTGTTCTAGTAGCCTAAATTAGGTTTGTGTTTCTGTGGTATTGTTTGTCATATTTCCGGTTTCATTTCTAATTGAGTTTATTTGGGTCTTTTCCCTTCTTTTCTTGGCTAATCCCACTAATGATTATCAATTTTGTTTCTTTTCAGAAAAACAGCTTTTTAATGTTTATCTTTTCTACTTTTTGGTTGTTGTTTATTTGTTATTTCTTTTATTCTCCTGGGTTTGGGTTTAGTTTTTTCTTGTTTCTCTAGTACCATGAGGTATGAAACTAGGTTGCCTAACTAGGTTGTCAAAAAATCCTTCAGTCTTTTTTTTTTTTTTTTTTTTTGAGACAGAGTCTTGCTCTGTCACCCAGGCTGGAGTGCAGTGGCGCAATCTCAGATCACTGCAACCTCCACCTCCTGGGTTCAAGCAATTTCCTGCCTCAGCCTCCTGAGTAGTTAGGATTACAGGTGCCCACAACCATGCCTGGCTAATTTTTGTATTTTTAGTAGAGACGGGGTTTCACCATCTTGGCCAGGCTGGTCTTGAACTCCTGACCTCATGATCCACCCACCTCAGCTTCCCAAAGTGCTCAGACTTTTTGATGTAGGCATTTAATGCTATGAACTTTCCTCTTATCACCACTTTTGCTGTATCCCAGAGGTTTTCATCAGTTGTGTCACTGTTATTCATTTCAAAGAATTTTTAATTTCCATTTTCATTTTGTTGTTAACCCCAAAATCACTCAAGAGTATGTCATTTAATTTCCATGTATTTGTATACTTTTGAGAGTTTCTTTTGGAGTGGATTTCTAGTTTTATTCCACTGTGGTCTGAGAAGATACTTGGTATGATTCCAATTTTCTTAAATTTATCAAGACTTGTTTGGTGGCATATCATATGGAATCTTGGAGAATTTACCATGTGTTGAAGAGAAGAATATATATTCCGTCATAATGAAGCAGAATTTTCTGTAAATATCTGTTAAGTCCATTTGTTCTAGGGTATAGGTTACGTCCATTATTTCTTTGTTGACTTTCTGTCTTGATGATCTGTCTATTGCTGTCAGTGGAGTATTGAGGTTCCCCACTACTATTGGGTTGCATCTATCTAATTTCTTAGGTCTAGTTGTAATTGTTTTATAAATCTGGAACTCCAATGTTAGGTGCATATAAATTTAGCATTGTAATATCTTCCTATTGGACTAATCTTTTATCATTATATAATATCCTTCTTTGTCTTTTTTCTTTTACAGTTGTTGCTTTAAGGTCTGTTTTGTCTGGTATAAGAATAGGTACTCTGGTCTTGTTTAGTTTCCATTTGCGTGGAATATCTTTTTTCCACTCCTTTACCTTAAGTTTATGTGAGTTATTATGTGCTAGGTGAGTCTCTTGAAGACACAGGAGATACTTGGTTGGTGGCTTTTAATCCATTCTGCCATTCTACATCATTTAAGTGGAAATTTAGGCCACTAACATTCAACATTTATATTGAGATGTGAGGTACTGTTCTATTCATCATGGTAGTGTTACCTAGATACTTTTTTACATTGTGGTATTATTTTATAGGTCCTGTGAGATTTATGCTTTGAAGAGGTTCTATTTTGGTGCATATTAAGCTCTTGTTTCCAGATAGAACTCTTTTTGGCCTTTTATTTATTTATTTATTTATTTATTTATTTATTTATTTATTATACTTTAAGTTCTGGGATACATGTGCAGAACGTGCAGGCTTGTTACATAGGTATACACGTGCCATGGTGGTTTGCTGTGCCCATCAACCCATCATCTACATTAGGTATTTCTCCTGATTCTATCCCTCCCCTAGCCCCTCACCCCCCAACAGGCCCCAGTGTGTGATGTTCCCCTCCCTGTGTCTATGTGTTCTCATTGTTCAACTCCCACTTATGAATGAGAACATGTGGTGTTCGGTTTTCTGTTCCTGTGTTAGTTTGCTGAGAATGATGGTTTCCAGCTTCATCCATGTCCCTGCAAAGGACGTGGACTCTTCCTTTTTATGGCTGCATAGTATTCCATGGTGTATATATGCCACATTTTCTTTATCCAGTCTATCATTGATGGGCATTTGGGTTGGTTCCAAGTCTTTGCTATTGAGAATAGTGCTGCAATAAACATAAGTGTGCATGTGTTTTATAGTAGAATGATTTATAATCCTTTGGGTATATACTTAGTAATGGGATTGCTGGGTCAAATGGTATTTCTGGTTCTAGGTCCTTGAGCAATCGCCACACTGACTTCCACAATGGTTGAACTAATTTACACTTCCACCAACAGTGTAAAAGCATTCCTATTTCTCCATATCCTCTCCAGCATCTGTTGTTTCCTGACTTTTTAATGATTGCCATTCTAACTGGTGTGAGATGGTATCTAATTGTGGTTTTGATTAGCATTTCTCTAATGACTAGTGATGATGAGCTTTTTTTCATATGTTTGTTGGCTGCATAAATGTCTTCTTTTGAGACGTGTCTGTTGATATCCTTTGCCCACTGTTTGATGAAGTTTTTTGTTTTTTTTGTCTTGTAAATTTGTTTAAGTTCTTTGTAGATTCTGGATATCAGCCCTTTGTCAGATGGATAGATTACAAAAATTTTCTCCCATTTTGTAGGTTGCCTGTTCACTCTGATGATAGTTTCTTTTGCTGTGCAGGAGCTCTTTAGTTTAATTAGATTCTATTTGTCAATTTGGGCTTCTTTGCCATTGCTTTTGGTGTTTTAGTTTTTTAGTTATGACGTCTTTGCCCATGCCATTGTCCGAGTGGTATTGCCTAGGTTTTCTTCTAGGATTGTTATTGTTTTAGGTCTTACGTTTAAGTCTTTAACCCATCTTGAGTTAATTTTTATATAAGGTGTAAGGAAGGGGTCCAGTTTCAGTTTTCTGCATATGGCTAGCCAGTTTTCCCAGCACCATTTATTAAATGGGGAATCCTTTCCCCATTGCTTCTTTTTGTCAGGTTTGTCAAAGATCAGGTGGTTGTGGATGTGTGGCATTATTTCTGAGGCCTCTGTTTTGTTCCATTCTTCTATATACCTGTTTTGGTACCAGTACCATCCTCTTAGCATTTCTTGTAGTGCTGGTTTGGTAGTGGCAAAATCCCTCAGCATTTGTTTGTCTGAAAAAGACTTTATCTCTCTCTTATTTAGGAAGCTTAGTTTTGCTGGACTTTGGCTGACAATTATTTTGTTTAAGGAGGCTAAAGACTGGACCTCAATCCCTTCTGGCTTGTACGGTACCTGCTGAGAAATCTGCTGTTAGTCTAATAGGTGTCCCTTTATAGGTTAGCTGAGGCTTTTGTCTCACAGCCCTGAAAATTCTTTCCTTTGTGTTGACTTTAGGTATCATAATAACTGTTTGCCTTAGTGATTATCTTTTGCAATTAATTTCCTAGGAGTTCTTTGAGCTTCTTATATTTGTATATGTAGATCTCTAGAAAGGCCAGGGAAGTTTTACTCAATTTTTCCCTCAAATAACTGTTTCAAACTTTTGGACTTCTCTTCTCCCTCAAACACTAATTATTTTTAGGTTTTACTGTTTTAAATAATCTTATATTTCTTGGAAACTTCTGTTGTTATATTATGGTATGTTTTTGATAGTAAACATGATGTTAGTAAATATGATGTTCATTTTTTATTGTTCTTTCTTTGTCTTTGTCTGATTGGGTTAATTCAAAAGCCTTGTCTGTAAGCTCTGAAATTCTTTCTCCTACTTGTTCTAGCCTATTGTTGAAACTTTTCAATGCAATTTGTATTTACCTAAGTGTGTTTTTCATTTCCAGAAGTTCTGATTGTTTTTTTCTTTATGATATCTATCTTTCTAAACAATTTTTGCACTCATATCCTGGATTTGTTTTTTTTTTTTCAGTTGTTTTTCACCTTTCTCTGGTATCTCCTTGAGTAGATTAATAATCAACCTTCTGAATTCTTTATCTTGCATTTCAAATATTTTATCTTGTTTTGGATTCATTGCTGGAGAACTAGTGTGATCTTTTGTGGGGATATAGAACCCTGTTTTAGTGTTATAGAATTCTGTTTTGTCATATTACCAGAATTACTTTTCTGATTCCTTCTCATTGAGTAGACTATTTCTTCAAATTTTTCTTGAATTTATTTTTGATTGGACTGTATTTTTTTATTTTTTCCCTCTTAAGGATCTAATTATTATAGTTTATTATAGCCTAATTTGATTCTTAATGCTTTTAGGTGTGAAGAATCTGTATGAGTTTCTCTGTGTGCTGGTATCCCAGATGCTGGTTGTAGTAGTTATGTATTTGGTGTGTGGGTGAGTTCACTGTCTCCTGTGGGGTTGGAATGGCAGGGATCTCTTGAAACTTATCTCATTGTGTACACTTTATTTATTTGTTCAAATTTTCCCCAGTATTTTATTTATTGAATTGATGATTCAGGCTTTAGGTCAATAAGGGAGGTATCCCTGGGTAGGCACTCATTGTAGCTAGAGCAGGTGGTTAGATGTAATACCTAATGGCGAGCAGAGGTCCCAGCCTTGAAGAAGGTGGCTGGGGTAGCTCTCAATTTGATGTGCTGAGGCTTTATCACGATGGAGGATGGGAGCTTCCTCAGCTCCCCTCCTAGGCAAGCAGGACATCTGTCCACCTCACAGCCTCACTTCTGTCCCAGTGTTCTAGCTATTTGTATTAGACAGGTACCTCTTTTCATTTGCAGGAATGTTAGCGAGGATTTGTAACTGCCTCTCATACAGGCTGAATCTGAAGAGTGCTCCTCCTGTGAGGCTGCAATGTCACTGAATTGTTCCAGGAAGACTGTCTATAGGTGCATCCATTCTGTGTTCCCATGGGAGAAGCCCCAGCTGTGTTTGCAGTTGTGTATCGGAGGGAACAAAGACTCCTTCTCCAAGACTCTTCATGATCACAAGGCGCCTGCTTATTGGGGTGGAAGTGCAAACTTTCTCTACTGCACCCAGCACTGTAATTGTGTTTCTGCTGAAAGAAACTTCCCATCACTGGAAAAATCTGAGACTTATGATTTGCCATTCAGATTTTTTTGTCCCACAGGATGTCCCTTTGATATAGTGTCCTCCTCCTTCCCTTAGGAATAGAACTTCCTGAAAGCTAGACTGCAGTGATTGTTATGGCTCTTCTGGGTCTAGCCACCCAGTAGGACTACCAGACTCAGTTCTGGTTCTGAGGAATATCTGTAAGAGATCCATTGATGTGACCTGTCTTCATGTCTCCCAACAGTGGATCCTAGCACCTGCTCTTATGGAGGTGGCAGGAGAGGGACATAGACTGAGATTCCTTGGTTGTAAGTAGGCTTACTGTGCTGGCTTATTCTAGTATTGAATCTCTCCTGTGGATGGACTCAGGACCTCTGGTTAGCCATTGCGTCATGGGCAGTGGTGATAACCGATATCACACAGCCATTTTTCTCCTTCCAGGGTACAGTGTTATTCTACCTAGAGGTGCTGTAATGGCCTATGTTGGCTGGCCTCCAGCCAGGCAGTGGTGTTTGCAGAAGAGCACCAGCAGCAGTAGTAGTAGTGGGATTTGAGCTTGGCTTAAGTTTCCCAGGAGAAGTATTCTAGTTTTTCAGAGAATAGGCAGGGTCATAAAGCTCCCAAAAGTTTATGTCCTTTGTGTTAAGCTACCAGGGTGGTGGAGAAATATTACCAGGTGGGGGCAGGTTTAAGTGGGTCTAAGCTCAGACTATCCTTGGGCAGGGCAGGCCGCAGCCCCTGTGGTAGACAGGCTGGTTCTCAGGCTGCTGGGGTAATGTTCCAGAGAGGAGTATAACTGCCACTAATGCTTAGAAGAGTTTGCAAAGGGAGTGGGGAGTAGTGGGAAGCAGCAAGCCTCACTCAGCCCCCACACAGTCGGTGAGGCCAGTCTCACTCCCACAGTGCTCTGCTAAAAGCACTAGGTTTAGATCCAGGCAGCCTGAGCACAGAACTCAGATTGCCCTGGCCATAAGCTTCCCTGCAGAGAAAGCAAGCATGACTCTCAGGCCACGTCCCTCCTTGTCTGCTGCAAGGCTGGGTGCCCACCTCCTATGCTCCTGTCTGTAACACACTTTCCACTCTTTCCCAGGTTCTGTTCAAGGGAGTTTGTCACCACTTGAGATTATATCACAAAATCCAGTTGGGGGCATCTTTCACCCTGGGACCTCTCCTGGAGCTCATTGGCTGAGGGCCCCTGTGAAATACAGTCAGAGATGGCTTCCCTTGGTCCACTCTGGAGACTGGGAATGCCTATGAGGCACTTCCTATTGCTGCTGCTGCTTTTATATTTCATGCCACTCCCTAAATCCATTGCAGCTTTTGGTAGAATTAAGGGTTTCTTAAACCATGGCCTGGATTTTCAGATTCCCTGGTAGGGATGTGTGCTTGGAGGTAGGGATGCTTGTGTTTTTGGGATGTGTGCTTGTGTGCTTGGGATGTGTGCTTCCCTCTCACACTCTGGATACTTACGGTTTTTCACCTGTCTCACAAAGCAGGCTGCAGTCTGCCACTTCTTTCAAAGAGTCTGTGGATTCTTCTGGTTTTCCTTTTAAGCTCCTGTGGTGGTTCTCAGGGGAAGAAAAATCTCTACCCACTATTCTGTTCTTCCAAGTGTGAGAGGCAAACTAACACTGCCTTCTATCTGCCATCTCGGAAAAGAAAAACAATCTTTATGCATTAAGCCAAGATTTTTCCTAAGCAACATCACAAAATGTTCTTCAGCTACAGTGGCCTGAAATAATACTGTATTATGGCATTAGTCACAATTTTAAATGGATTACATTGGATAACCAGGAACAGCGGCAACAAATGCAACAGTTGTTCAAAAAAGCAGTCAAGTCTGGAACTCTCTGGCCTGTAAAACACTCTTTTGTCTAAACTCCTTCTCTGTTCATGAGGATGGAATGGGTTACCTGGTTGTCTTTGTGTTCCCCCCTTGGATACAGAAACATTGGTTATAATATTTTGTAGGTATGTAGACAAAGAAGATGGTATTTACTTTCACTTTCACCTTTATTAGGTCCTCAAAAGAGATTAAAAGAATGACACCAGTTAGTACTAACATAAATTATTTGAAACTTTCCAGTGCTTTCCATCACTGACGAAGATCTGACTTTATGGAAGAAGCCAACTTAACCTTTAAAATTGGCATTCTGAATCCTTAATCATAACTAATTCACACCACTAACATCATGTTTACTATCAAGAACATGCCATAATGTAACAACAGAAGTAAGGAATATATTTTAAAAATTAAATAGTTTAGTTTTTTCTTTTATTGATTATCCTACTTTTGACTGTTAAAAATCAGAAATGCAAAAGCAGATATAAGTTTAACTGACATAATGGTAGGATCATATCTCATATGCAACTCAGTTTTCTAAGGTTTTACTTAAGATGTTTATAACTCAAACAGTTACCAGTAAACCTGTAGGACTATTTCACTAGCTTGATAAACCTATGCATAGTATTTCAAAAAAGAGCTAGAAGTTTTCTTTGTGGTTTAGTCACTTCAGGAAGAGGGAGAAGTTTGGGTTTGGGATCAGAAAGCCACCTGTAAGGAATGTGGAATTCCTTACAATCATTGGTCCCCAAACTAAAAGGATAATAATTTCAGAACATAATATAATAAAATGGACTTACATATATCTGAAAATGGTTTTAGTGCAGTGGACATTTCTATTGTTTGAAAATATGACTGCATTAATTCTAATGATTTCTAAAATTACATTTTCTGGCAAATATAGCATTTGAATTGCCTGGATTCAAAGGGAGAAAAAGAGTTTTCAATTTGTTCATGGCAGAAAGGCTATCAAAATATTCATAGTATGCTTATGAATATTATGGCATCAAGCTCCTCTATTTTGTTCAGTTCTTAAGCTGGAATCTCAGCTAAATGTGTGAAATTATTTGACTATATCTGAGTTTCATGCACTGATGCTTACGTTCTTTTATAGTACAAAAAGGTTTTGAGGCATGGAAAGGATTAATAAAGCCAGTTATGTTTAAATTAATTATGGTTTATAGCTTGGTAATGTGTATATATCCATGCTCTTTAGAAACAAAGAGGGAGCTCAAAAAGTGCATCTTGAATCAAACGAAACAATTTTACAGCTGAAATAGCAATTTCCTACCTCTAAATGTATATAGCTATTATATCCAAGATGTTTTCTTTTTAGAGTTCCAAAGTAATATTTTGCACAATCCCTGGGAGTTTCAGTCAAAATAGCACAGTGGAGTTTCATCTGGCCAACAAATGGTCAGAGCAGTTATAATCAGAGCTAACAGCCCTCTTGAATTTGAACTGTCCCCGATATGTTTCAGTTGTTGTCATTTTAAATGTGGTGTGAATCTTTACGTTGATACTTACATATATAAGCATATTTCTTACGAACCAGGGTTTTGGCAAGATGTGAGAAAAAAAGAGAAGAGAGGGGACGTGAAAAATAACTAAAGAATAGACAAAAATAAATATATAATATCTTTATCCTTTCAAAATGCGTGAGCATACACAAATTTGTGCAAATACACCTATGCACACACTCATATATACACATATATACATTGATTTTTTTGATACTTCTCTAAAGAAAAGTATGGGGGGGAAAACAAAAACCAAAATGCATGATTTACAGCAAATACTCCTGTTTTCTCCTTGAAATTCAACTTCTTACTCGTTTGTGCTTCCTTAACCCACTCATGTTTTCCCCCCCACCATGTAAACTTCTCAATTCACTGGGAGAAATTACTTTACAACCCTAAATTTGTTGAACATTCTCTCTATACACTAACAGTTTTGTTCCCATAATAGAAACCTCTTAAAGCGTGACAGGAAAGCTCATCATATCATGCATAATTTCATAGTCAGCCAGATATTTAAATTGGAAGAGAAAATATGAGTTATTTCACATTATCCAAACCTACCCTTGCCAAGTGATAAGACATTATAGTACAAAATAATACCACTTTTAATAGCATCAATTTTTTGAGGATGACCTGTGTCAGGCATTACATTATTACTCACCACTACGTTATTAGAAATGTATTATTATTGACATTTTGCAGACAAGAAAACCAACACTTAGGAGGTTAATTACATGATTCTGACCCTGATCCAAACTCTAACCCTGATGCCAGGATAAAGAAGTCCATCATGGAATTGAGATTTGAATTTTATTGTATTTTACTCCAAATCCCTAACTTTCCCCACTACTGCCTGTCCTACATTTTCATGCATCAGCTACTATTTTAATTATATGGCAGGTATACATTTATGAAGAGAAGAGCAGCAGTACATTTATGAGAGAATAACAACATTTAGGAAATAAGACACAGAAATCCAATTACAGAACATTTTACTGCGTGGAAAATATAAACAGCACATGCGTATCTAAATTTTCTGGGCTCACTGAGATGAATTCTAACCATAACTCAAATATTTACACCAGAGGCATTTCACACTTTTTCTATCTCCCAGTTACCAGGTCATTTACACTTTCCCACAAACAAGGAATAAGAATGTTGTTAATTGGCCAGGCACTGGTGACTGATGCTAAATGCTATGAAATCTACTTTATGCCTGATCTCAATAATGTGTCAAGATACAGAAAAGCTGAAGATTCTTTTGTGTGTGTGTGTGTGTGTGTGTGCGTGTGTGTGTATGTGTATGTATAGGTCCAAATTTATTAAGTTACTTTAAGTGTATACGGTTTATCGCATGTCAATTATACCCCAATAAAGCAGTTTTTGAAAAGTTTAGAAGCATAAAAGGTGTGCTTCATGGAGAAAAGAAGCAACTAAAATATTGGCAAAAACAAAATTGTCCATTATACAACCAAAATGACAAAAGTAACAGGCCAACTTACTTGAGGGAGCTGAAAAAAGCAGGAATCTGGGTCCTGTGGAGAATACTGAACAGATACACCAACTCCGGACCTATTAACTCCTGACATCTTCTAGTGGAGGAAAATACATGACTAACAACTAATTAGTTAAGAAATTTTATATTGGTTTCTCTGTTATACGCAGCTGCTTGCAATACAGACTGATAAAAATGTTAAGTTATTATGGATAGAAGTCAGCTGAGAAATGTCAAGACAGAATCAATTTGCTTCAGAAATATGGGCTGATAAAAACAAATTGGAAGAATTAACATAGCATAGCAGTACAAGGGAAAGACAAATGATACCAGGAACCAAGAGTGATTAATAGTTATTTTAAGATAGTTGGGTCCCCTAAAAATCCTAGATATTTGGGTTCAATGGGTGATGAATGGATAGCATGGAGCTAAAACCAGAAAAGTTACAACCAGGAAGGATACAGAAGAGAAGGAGATGTCCATAAGCATGAATAATGGCACTCATGTGTTACCCATAGGTGATCTGATGATCATGGCAAAATGCAAGGCACTTTGGTCACCAAAGCAAATATAGGAACCCAAATCTAGTCATCAAGACAAAGTTCTGCATAAGAGCTTACTTTAAAAGAATCACCAATTCTTAGCAAAGCTGGTTAAACAATATTAAGGAAATGAACAGAGTGCAAGAATTGGAAAAGGCCTAGTAAGAAACAAATACCAGAATACCAGTCCAGGTAAATGTTAGGAATTCAAAGTGACAAGACCAGAGCTAACAGTATCAAGGGAAACCACATAAGAGCTGGGCCAAGAAAGCATCATTTTCATAGCAGAATGCAGCCAAAATATTTATTAATTTTGATTAAAAGCTGAGTAAGATGATATATGCAGAAACGAAGGCAAACAAATTGCTTAACACAAAATTCTGATAATGATAATTCTGATATGATAAAAGGAAATAATTAGCTATGTAATTGTTTCAGTTGCTTTTTGTATAGGAATAGTAACTTAAAACAATGCAGATATATAAAGAGCATTTTTCAAAAGTTGCTAATACCCTCATCTTTACAGCAGGATTTAATTAATTAATAATATGTATTATTATTTGTATAATATTATTATACAAATTATTATTAGCAGTATAATAGTATGAATGTATTTATTCCAATTTATCTGTGAAAATTTGGCAAAAATAATTTGAGACTTTTGTTTCACCCATTTTAAAAAATATGGTATAACTGAATCCATGAGAAATTACTTTATATTAAAGGCCAAGTAACCTAACACAAGTATCCAAGTTACAACCATAACTTTAATTATCTGGACACACAGAATAAGCTATCCTATTCAGTGGGATCAAAATTAATATGCTGGCTATTTTAAAAAATAGTTCATGGGAGATTTCATAAAATAAAGTTTGCAGTATTGTCAGGTTATTCTCAGTCAATAAATGACTTAAATGCTTAATGTAAAATTTTGAATTTTAAGTTAATAAATAGATATCATTCCTCTAAGGCTCAGTTTTATGACTTTTTTCTCACAAGTTTCAAACCAACTAAGAAATGCTTTACTAATAATCTTTTGACATAGGGCCAATGTCTTTTCTTTGAACATGTGTGGGCTGACTGAAGTAACCTGTTACCTTTCCTTAATTAGCCACGCCCATGATAAGCTATCTCCAATTGATTTCAAATTTTGCTTTCTTTAAAGTGGAATAAAGACCTAACCTAAAAACCACTTGAGAAGCAATCTAACTGCAAAGTCTTTTTTTAGTTTAATGATTTTTCCGCCCACACTTAATAGAATTTTAAAAAGCAACTCACCCTCATCAAGTTATTCCAAAGTATTCAGCAAAGTTTTAAGAGAAACAATTTTCTTTTTATTTATTTTGTATAGGTTTATATAAAATGTGTTTAAATTATGTAATTGCAAAATGTGTGCAACTGACCTAAATGGCTTTGGAAAAAAAACACAATTAACCCTAAGTCTAGTGTACAGAGAGTATGTCTTTGGGGCAATGCAGCAATATTCAACAATCTTCCTGGGTTTGAGGAATTTCCAACATTATGAGTTTAGTCTTCCCTGAAGTAGCAGCTAGAAATTTTCTTGGTCAACCTGCCTTGCTTATAAGATGTGGGCACATTAGGAAGGAGATAAATGACCTAGATTTGCTTTCTGTTCAGAAGTGTTAGCTACAGGAATTGATTTTTTAGTGGGAGTGGTGGTGAAGCTTTCCAGCATTTAAGCAGCAGAGACAGTGGTTCTGAAATTAGGTTGTCAGTTACTAACTTTGACTTTCAATAGCTCGAAGATGCCTGAGTGCATAAACTCGAAGCAACTGTTGAACTGTTTACGCCATATCCTTTCCCATGAAACAAGGATCCCTAGGACAAAAGGGAAGTGCCAACCTGAAGCATGTGCTTCTAAAACATATGTGGCAACTCAAAACCCCAACATTTCTTGGCTAATGGACTTTTTTGTTGGGCCTCTTTAAGCTTCTTGTTGGGTCAGTCCTCCCAAAGGCAGACTGCACCACAAATATGTGTATCTCCTAGGTCACAGAGATATAGGTGTAGATAATGTTTATGAGGCCCTACTTAGGTAAAATGGAGTCAAATGTAGGAAGAGAGTGAAGGTCATGTTCAGAATTGTGCATTTTGCTCCAGCCCCCAACAAATGTTAGGGCAATACTGCCTGAAAGCCAGCTATTCTAGCCTTCCAAGAGGTGCTGTGAGCTATCTGGTATTTTGGATAAATAATTTTTCTACTTAAACTGAGGCAGATAAGTAGTCAAGGAAGTGATCATGTCCTCAGGACGCAGCAACCATGGTGAGCATACAATCAACACAATAAGCCTTAGCATTCACATAGTTGGGCCCATTCAAGCAAAGCTATCTTCAGTAGGGAATTTCCCCTGTAGACAGCATGTGCACTTTGATTTTACCTGTCCTTAAAGTAACCTCCTAAAAAACACACCCTTAGGTGGAGATTTAAGATGCTAATGAGACCTGCGATGTATGAACAAGCATGTACAGCTACTGTGCAAGGGCACCCAAAGGAACACGCAGAACATGCTTACTAGCAACACCTCTTTTCACCTCCTTAAGAATAATCACGTAAGACTCCTAAAAAGGGAGTCTCCCTAGTGCCAGTCTTTGCTGTCTCATCCTTATGAGCAGCCGCCCTGAATTCTCTCTCAGGGCATGCTGTCTATTCTGCACTTAACTTTCAAAACATTCTTTTCTTTTTGCAATAGATTATTCTGTGTTACATCTCCTTTGCTCTCGTTTAAATTCTTTTAAACTAAGAAGACAAGAATTGAGGTCTCACATCAGCAACCAACAAAACTAGCTGCTTCAGTATAGGGAACTAACAACCCTGACTGACTGTTGTAAGCCTGTAAGCAACAAATAAGGGTGAAGCCTGCAGGTTTACTAGAGGGATAATTCTTTGTTGTGAATATTCAGTTTCTGAAACATGGTCTATTTGCTTTCAAGGTCAAAAGAGAGACAAAACAAACCAGTGGGTAAATTATGTGATGGTTGGTCAAGAGAGCTTCTACTGTATTTCTTATGACCAAATATTTGGACTTTAGTTGTAATTTATGTCCAAGGGTGACCCAGAGAGATAGATGGAGATGCTACAGTACTTTTGTAGGCAGATTTGTAGAATGAGAAGAGAAATTGTTGGACTAAAATATTAAATGATAATATTCTCTGTCATTCTGTCGAGTAGGCTCCAAAATAACTTCAAATCACGTAACAAAAACTAGCATCCTGGAGTTTTATTCTAAAAGATTAGTTCATTATAAAAGCCAAAAATTTACATAATTGGACAATAACAAGTGCAAGATAAATAGTAACAATACCAACATAGTAGCTATTGCATTTACTATTGTCAACATATAATAAATAAATATTATTCTAGATTTTCTAAAAGTCCAAGTCAATAGCAAGAAAAAAGAGCTTTACCATGTCATTTTAAAGCACACTAAAATTTCTTAATTAGGGCTAGTGTAAGACATTTCTTCCTTTTGCTGATCAAGCAAACACATGAATTTTTTTCTTATTTCTTTTTTTTTCTTTTTTTCTGGATATAGTATAAGAATTCTCAATAATTAAATTAATGGGAATGTATTTTTATTATAACTTTATTTCAGTTAAAGATTGCATGTGAAAAATAATGAATCACTTGTATTTAGTAAATTAAGTTTGTAATTTTTCTGTTGAAATTTATGAATTATGATTTTACAAAAGATTATCTATCATACACACTATTACTGAATTATGTCTAGGTATTGAAAAATAAGTGAATTAAAACTCTACATTAGTCAAATTTACTCTCAGTCCTTTGAGCCCAAAAGTTTTTTGACATACTTAAAATTGAGAACAATTAAAAATATTGGACATTTTTAAAGGCATTGGTGTCTACAGAAAAAAATGAGTTGAGGTTAATTTCCACATTAATAAAGCTGGAAATAGCATGTTATGAGCAGGAAATTTACTTACTGTGCTGCATCTTCAATAGACCTGTACTATCTAAATTTCCAGTAATGCACTTTAGTAACAATAACAATTTAATGGATATTAAACGAGAATCTATGCAGAATAGAGATCTGTTTTAACTGAGATAGGCATGCAAGCCTGTAAATGAGTTTCCTATATTGGATGCTATTTTCTAACTCAGGCATGTAAGAATAATTATTTTTATTTCTAAACAATTTTCAAATTGAACATAGGTAAGCCTAAGATTTTCTGTACTTAGTTTTTTGGAAAGTTGTAAAGATGGCAAAAGATTCAGGTATTTAACATTATATTTATTTTCTTCAGTGGAAAACAATGACCTCCAAACAAGGCATGGCTATTTACTTTCTAATATTGTTTAGCTAGCTTTTTCTGTTCACCAGTCTTACTAAAGTCATTAATTATCTATGTTAACACAGATTTAATGCAAATAATAAAAATACTATCGTTAACTTTAGGTAACATCAACTCATAGTTTATAACTTTACATAGAAAATAATGAAAACACCATACATGTGCTACCTCCCAGTGGTTATTGATAGGAACTGCTCTATTAATTGCAAAATAGAGATTGAAGCTGGTCATTTTTATTTTGTATTCTTGAAAATAGTTATTCAAAAGTAAATGTTCAAAAAAGTCCTAAGGTGGATTGTAGTTGATGTAATAAACTTTTCTGGGCAGGGGAATCGAGATAATGGGACCAGAAATAATTTTTAAAGTAAACTGATATTTATAGTCCAGATAATAGTGTACTTCTCTAAATGTATTATAATGAATGTTTTATCTTTATTATAGCATTGAGGTTTTGTTAATAAATCTTTGCAATAAATCTTTGTTTCCAGTACACAAATACTTATAAAATTTTTATAGCATCCAATATTATTAAGTAGATCATGCTAGGAAAGAGAAAATGGAAAAAAAAAAGACAAAAGGAAAGACTTGAAACATTTAAAAGAAATTGAAGAAATAGGCCAGGTTCAGTGGCTTACGCCTGTAATCCCAGCACCTTGGGAGGCCGAGGTGGGTGAATCACCTGAGGTCTGGAGTTCAAGACCAGCCTGACCAATATGGTGAAACCCCATCTCTACTAAAAATACAAAAAATTAGCCGGCTGTGGTGGCGGGCACCTGTAATCCCAGCTACTCGGGAGGCTGAGGCAGGAGAATCACTTGAACCCAGGAGGCAGAGGTTGCAGAGAGCCGAGATTGTGCCATTGCACACCAACCTGGGTGACAAGGGCAAAACTCAGTCTCAAAAAAAAGACAAAAAAAACTTCCCTGATGTTTTATTGAAAAAAAAACACAAACAATCTCTCTCTTTTTTAAGCCCTTCCTTTATCTATTTTAAAGATTATGCAATAAATTTTTGGAAAGTTGCTTTCTTATTATTATGAAAATATCAATGGCTATGAATAAACATTAAGACATAACATTGTGTTAGTAAAGACTTGAAACTCTGACAAGATCCTTATCTGTAGACAAGGAAGATGGCTAGAAATATGCATACCCATATACATGTACTCACAGAGACACACAAACTCACAAATACATATGGGCAACATCACAAAAGAATGAGAGTCCTTTATCAAACTGAGTTCCAACTTGAAAATATGACCAAGGTTATTGAAATAAGCCTGCATCCTAAATTCACCTATAGCTTCCAGAAAGCTATTCTACCTCTGCCCCCAATCCTCTCCATTACATTGAGCTGGATCTCTTCATGCCACCCTAATTCTATCTGACTTTGAATTTACTCTTCTGATTTGAGCTATATATCAGTCATCTGTTCTGATTCATAGGATAGTAATTTCTTAATCCCTCTTAAGAGTTTAGCTTAAATTCTTTCAGGTCTTCCCTTCACTAACACTTAAACCAGTTTCTTGCTGTAACTCATTTTTATCACATTTTGATCCTGTCTAAATTGTGTTTCTCAAATTTTTTTACGCAAAAGAATCACCTGAGCTACTTATTTTATAATGTAATTTCCTGGTTGCTACCTCTTCCCCTCCACCTTCTGGAGATTCCCAGAGGAATTAGGTCTGAGGAGGGGCCCAAAATTCTGGATTTTAATAAAACTACAACATGGCTCTTGCAAGTTTGATAAATATTTGCCTATCAATGACCTATCTAGAGCCAACTATATTCTAGCACCCTGTGATTCAGTTACAGTTTCTATAGTATTTTTATCTTTCCCCACATACAAATAAAGCTACCAAAAACTGAGACTGATCTATAGAGGTAGAAAATTGGATTGAACTCATAAAATAAGAGTGTCTTTGCCCACTAGGGGTTATTTTATACATGTGTCTTTATGCTTCTGAGATCTACCATGCAACATATCAATCTGCAGATTTGGAACCTCTCAATATTTTAGTTTAGTTAAGTCCCCAGGCAAGAGAATATCTTAAGAACATTCTTATTCAAACAGCTTGTAGCTCTGTAAGAAATTCTATTTACTTATTCAAAGTAATTACCTTATGAATTCCTATTGCCTATTTTAGCCTGGGTTCATGGCTCTTTGTTCTCTTAGCCTTTATCTTGATCATCTTTTTCCTTCTTCTCAACACCCAAAATTTGATCAATTGCCTGCCAAGACTTATACTATCTCATTGTTCTCTGTCTTAATTGATCCCACTGGAGTGGTGCACTTATTCTACAATAATTGCTATATTTCTCTACTGTATAGATGAATTCCAAGTCCTGGTCTATGTCAGTTATCCCAGTTCAGTGGTTGCCAAAGTTTTAGTTTGCCATCAAACATTTCTATCATAAATAATCATGACCTTTGCCTTCTAGTCCCTTCTGCTCCTCCCCCCATATAGGGAAATAGTTCTAGAAATTCAAAAAAGAGGCTCTGATTGCCTCCTGTATCCTTTAACCCCAATCATTACTCTCTTAAATGATATGCCACCAATTATTTGATAAGCCTCTTTCATGGAATCTTATGTGATTCTACTTAATCCCACACAGGGAATCAGACTATTAGAACCCCTGAATCAATATTTTCCCAACCTGAAGGGTGGAAAACAACATTTTGAACTTTCTGTAATTCAAACTAAAATATCAGGGTCTTCAACAGTATTTCTTAAATAACTCAAGGAGTACTGTTTTAGTTAATGTTGCCATAAAAAAAACCCTGAAACTGGATAATTTATAAAGAACAAATATTTATATCTCACAGTTCTAGAGGATGGGAAGTCCAAGATCAAGGCAAAAGGCAAAGGCATTGTGAGAGGGCATTCTTGCTGTGCCCTTACATGGCAAAGGCAGAAAGGGGCAAACCCACTCCTGCAAGTGCTTTTTATAGCAGCATTAATCCATTTGTGAAGGCAAAGCTCTCATTAGCTAAACACCACCCATTAGGCCCCAACTCACAACACCGTTGCATTGGGGATTAAGTCTCCAGCACATTAATCGGGTTGGGAGGATGCACATTGAGACCATAGCAAATACCAAAATCTTTTTTTATGAGTCAAGCGTCAACCAATGCCAACATGAGAGTAGAATTCAATGAGAGTGACCTGTAGGCCAAGAAAAAATTTCCCCGAAATCAACAAAGTAAAAAAACCTCTACACTAGTGTTAAAGTCCTTATTGACTAACTATATCAAAATAGTGGCTATGATGAAATTTTAGATCACTAAAAAAAATACTATCTGTGATAATAAGAATCAGAAGCTATACACTGAAAAATTAACACTGTCCAGATCATGAAGTAACTCACATGCCAGATATAAAACTTCAGTTTTATACAGGGAATCTGTAAAAGGTTTTCAGGCAATTGAAGATGTGATGAAAATTGTGTTTTGTACAGATTGCTTTGTGAAAATTGGTCAAAATGGATGATAGTGATAAATAGAGTCATAAAGACCAGTTTGGGGGCTGCTTTATTAGTCCCAACTAAATATTATCTGAGCTTGAATTTGGGAAGCGACAGTACATTTGAAGAGGGTATATTGATGAAATATTTAGAAAATGAAATCAATAGTGTTTGACTAAACAATTCCAATTCTAGGTGTACATTTTTTTGTGTTTACATACAATCTTCAAAAGTCATGTATAAAATGAATATGGTAACATTATCAAAAAACTAAAAAACTGGAAACAATCCATGCCAATAAAGCAGATAAATTATAGTACTTTTATATAATGGATTACTATGTAGTGATTAAAATTTAGAAAACATTGCTAAAATGCAACAATGTGAGCAAATCTCAAAAACACAATATTCAACAAAAGAAGCTGAATATAAATTGTACATTCTGTATGATTTCATTTATGTCAGGTTTACCAACAAGCAATGTGATCTATGCCATTAGAAGTCAGGTTAATGGTTACCTTTGATGAGAAATATAATGGGAAGGGGCCATGAGGCTGCTTCTGGGCTGCTGGTCATGTGCTGTTTCTAGATATATCAATATGTTCACTATGAAAATTCATCTAAGTGCATATTTATGTTTAGCATACTTTTCCCTACCTAGTTTTACTTCATTAAATATTACATTTAAAAATCAAAATGGCTGAATGATCAATCGGATATGAGGAGAAAATGAGTCATAGAAATTGGAGTTAATCTTGTAACCATGTTTCACTTATTAGGTGTTTTGAGCATCTATTATGTACAGTATGCATCACAGACATGTACATAAATGCTATGGAAGTGTTCAGATTTAGAATATTAGAAATTGCCACAATGGAGGAGATAGTATTTGAATTAAAGATTAGAGGATGGAGTAAGAATGTATCAGGTAGAGATTGCAAAGGATGACATTCCAAGCAAAAGGAAGATTATAGCATAACAGTGAACATTCAGGACAAGTTTGAATCATAAAGGGGCTTGAACAAAAGCTTTGAACTTCACTTCATAGAAATTTAAAATGTTTTTGAATGGACCAGTGTCATGAAACAAGGAGGTATATCATACATGAAATGTTTTAGGAGGGAAATCATTCGTTAAATGTTTTGAAAGGATGAGACTAGAGTCAAGAGGATTGGGGATGCTGGTACAATGGTCAAGGTGAAGAACTTTGAATGTGCATGCTGTCTTTATATCAGCAGAAATCAAAAAAGCATTGGGAATGAACATCATTGAAAAGTCAGTGTCCATAGAACTTGACGGGTGATTGGATGTGGAGGTCAAAGGAGATGTGACGCAAAAGCCCATGTTAATGCTAGTAATCTTGTTAAGTGAATGTGCTGAGATATAGATCCTAAAGTGTTATCAAACAACTATTGACATGAATGTCAGCCATGTGCCTGCTTAAAAATAACTGTCAGATCCTACCTCAGAAATCAGGCTCTCTGAGGGTAAGGTTCAAATATCATACTTATTTAAGTCTTTCCTGTGATTTTTATGAAAATTTAATTTAAAGATTTGTGCTCTTATAAGATATACTAAAAGGGAGAGAGTTGGTAAACCTGTTGTGGAAGTTACTAACCTACAAATGAAGTTTAAAATAACAAATTCCCACACTAGTTTTTAGTATAGCACAGGAAGTTCTGAAAATGTGTACAATGGAATTAGAATGACTGAATGCTTTGAATGAGAATATAATAGGACTTCAGTAAGTGCATTTCCACTAGCAAAGAACTCTGAGAGTAAAAATCTCTTGTTTCTTCAGAGCAGGCAACTGACTTTAATTTCAGCTGCAAATATGCTGTGAGTCCTTTTACATCCTGTGCCAACATGAATTATTTGCCAACTGTGAACCCTTATGAAGAGTCTCATTTTATGCAAGAAAAAGAAATATGGGCAGTTCACTGGGCTTGTATCCCTACTACATCTCAGAGAAAATTTCAGCTTCCCTGGTGAGAAAGTGAACAAACTGTATCCAGGCATGGGGCCAAACTTTGCAATTACAATCATGAAAGAAAAATATCAGCACAACTGCTGGTAAAAGTCTGAAGAATTATCAGAAACTGCCTTAGCTCCTGATTATTGATGGCTTTTAATTTTACGGTGTCCAAGCTAACCTGAAACATTTATTTAAAGCAATTACCTAAATCTCCCAATTAGCCCACTAAACTCTATCAGATATTAGTAGTTTGCCATGTCTGAAGTAAATATTACAGGATATTTAGGCAATAACTCTTGAGTGAAGGAAGTTTGCATAGGTTGTTCTAAAAGCTTTAAAAGGAACATGTAAACATTGAAAGTCACCATCCCTGGCAACATAGTGAGACCCTGACTCTATCAAAAAAACCTGTCTACAGTCATAGCGACTCAAGAGGCTAAAGTGGAAGGAGAGCTTGAGCCCAGGAATTCAAGGTTACAGTGAACTATGATCAGGCCACTGCACTCCAGCCTGGATGACAAAGCGAGATTCTGTCTCAAATAAATAAGTAAATAAATAAATAAACTGGAACTCACCTCAGAAATTATCCATAGTACACTTTGTTATAATTCTACAGTAATTCAGATTCTAGAAGTCTCAGATATGGTCTATTATTTAAAAAAAATCCAGGACTTGATCCCAGGCATCCTTGTTTCTGGAAATATGTGCTTTTCTCTATAGCAAATTGACTATCTAATGGCAGGAAACTACTTATCTCCTTTCATGCCAAGCATTGAAGTTTCTAATAAGCATGTCAAGTCATATAAAGACAAAAACATTTAACTGAACTTTAAGCTAATATTTTTTATAAAGGGATAATCAAAATGCAGTAAAATTTACCTTTCTAAAGTATAAAATTCACCTTTCTAAAGTATAAAATTCAATGAGTTTGACAAATACGTGTGGCTCTATGATCACCATCACAGTCATGTTATATGACATTTCATCACCCAAAAATGTTCCTTTGTACCCCTTTGCAGTCATTTCTCATACACCACCCCTCAATCCCTTGCCACTACTGAGATATTTTTGTCTCTGATGTTTTGCCTTTCCCAGAATGAAATATAAATGGAATTATCTATGATGTGTGTAGACTTTGTATATGGCTTCTTTAACTTAGCATAATGCTTTTGAGATTCATCATGTTGAAGTGTCATTAGTTGGTTCCTTTTCATTGCTGAATAGTATTCTTTGGATGCACCACAGTATTTGCATTCATTCAAAGCTAATGGGCATTTAGATTGTTTTCGGTTTGGAGTGCTTTTGAATGAACCTGCTACAAAGGTTTCTGTAAGGTCTTGTCTGGACCTTAGTTTTCAGTTCCCTTCAATAAATGTGTAAAAGTGGAATTGCTGTATAATAAAATAAGTGTATGCTTAATATTTTTAAAAAACTGCTATCAGATCTAAGAGTAATGTTACCCAACTTATAATATAATAAATCAGCACATTACTGTTTCACAGACGTTCATAGAGGACTGAGGTCTCTGGGTCAGACAAATAACTTTATTACACAGCAAGCAGCATGAGCGTCTGCATGTTCATACCACTTCTCCTTGCACCGTAGTAGACTTATGAAGAACTTAGGAGGATTCCTACATGGGTGGTGGATTAAATTACAGGAGAAGAACATTGCAGTTGAGGAATCCACCTCCATTATAGCAAGCAATAAGTAGGTCTGTTCTTTATCCCGGAAAATATGTTACTTCATCTCTCAGGGTTGCTCACTGTACACACAAGACATGAACAGTGAACTATTAAAAAAATGTAAAGAGTGGTCATGGCTTTGCATTTTTGGCATACTCAGCAAGAACGTGCAAAGAGCCTATGGTTGATTTCATCATCCAACAATGGCCAAACTAGTCTCAAAAATTACTTTAATTTCTTACATCCTACCATTGGTATATGAGGCTCCAATTGCTCCGTATCCATTTTGAGACTTATTTTTATTGTACTTTTCCATTTTACCAATCTAGTGGGATTCTAGTGGTATCTCATTGTGGTTTTACTTAATGACCAAAGATGGTGAGCTTGTTATCATGTGCTTATTTGACATCCATATGTCTTATTTGCTGAAGTGTCTGCTTATTTACTTGGCACATTTTTATTGGGTTGTTTTCTTTATATTCAATTGTAAAAGTTCTTCAGGTAATCTGGATACAAGTCCTTTGTAACACATGTGTTTTAAAATATTTTATCCCTATTTGTGACTTACTTCTTTTCTTAATCCATTTGAAAGAACTTAAGATTTTAATTTGAGGAAATTCAATTCATCAATTTTCTTTTATAGTTCGGGGTTTTTCTGCCTTATGAAAAAAAGCTCTGTCTTACCCAATACAACACAGACTTATCCATTGCTTCTGTATGGCTTTACAATTTTAGCTTTTATACATATGACCTTTTTTGAGTTAATTTTACATACTTTTATAAAGTAAGGGTTAATATTAACTTTTGTATATATGAATATCTAATGGTTCCACTGCAATTTGTGAGAAAGACTATCCTTTTCACCACAGTAAGGAAAAATACAAGTGGGTCTCAAGATGGGTAGGAATGGAGAATTTGTGTGAAAGTTGTGGGGGGAAAACTGTACTATTTCATCTCACCTCCCTTTCTCAGACGAGATTCATGATTTCCAATTAAATTATCTTGGCAGCTTTGTTTTCCATGCATGGGTAGTTCTACTTCTATGTCTTGTTAGGCCAATAGTACATAGTCTTGACTACAGGTAGACTAAGTCCTTCACATTTATTTCTCTCTTTTTACTTACATTTAATTTTATAATAAGTTTGTCAATTTCTGACACACAAAAAAAGAAAGAAACACATAGGTTTTGATTGGGTTTGCACTAAACCTGTAGGTAAGTTTGGAGAAATTGACATCTTAATAATATTGATCTCATCATGATCTCCCTATTTACTTAGGATTCTGTTAATTTTCTCAGAGATCTTTTTGTTTATTAAAGTTCAAATTTTATATATCTCTTATTAGATTTATTCCTAAGTATTTTGTATATATTAATTATATTTTAAATGGTATGGATTTAATTCAATTTCCAATTGATTGCTGGTTATATGTATATGTATATAATATAATATATTTAATATATTATATTTACTTATAAACAGCATATTTTATAATATATATTATATATAATATATACTGTATTACTAAGTAATACAGTATATATTATATATAATATAATTATATATAGTATATATAAAATTATATATAGTATATTATCTATAATATACTATGTATAATATACTATATTATATATACACACATACACACAAATGAATTTTGTATATTAGTGTTGTAGTCTGTGACCTTGAAGTGAACTCTTTTGTAGACTATGAGATACTTAATGGAACTAGTGTCTTTCTTAGTAGATGCTTTTAAATTTTTCTATGTAGATGGTTATGTAATCTGTGAATAAAGATATTTTTATTTCTTCTTTTCTAATTTTTTGACTTTTTTGTCACCCTTGATTTGTTCAAAGTTGTAAGCAGAAATCACTCTGTATTTGATCATTAGACATAATAGCTTTTTGTTTTACAGTGTACTTTGTCAGTTTGAAGAAATTTTCTTGTATTGTTAGATTTCTGTGGGTGTTTGCATAAATGGATGTTAAATTTTGTCAAATGCTTTTTTCTGTATTTATTTAGATTTTTTTTCCATTTTAGTCTGTTTATATGGTGAATTAAAATTGACATGTGTTTGAATGTTTCTCCAATCTTGCATAGCTAGCTTTAACTCCATTTGACCACAATATAAAGATTAACCTCTTTATATATTGTTGAATTTAATTTGCTAATATTTTCCTGAGGATTTTTCCCTCTATGTACAGGAGGAATATTGATCTATAATTTTCTTTTCTTGTTATGACCTTGCCTGGTTGTGGTATCAGGGCAGTGCAGGTTTTCTAAAATAAGTTTAGAAATGATTGCTTCTCTCTCATTTTTTTGAAAATGTATGGAATTGATATTATATTTTCCTTTATTACCTAGTACAAATTATCCATGAAGCCATCTAGATACGTCACTTTCTTGGGGAAAGTTTTTAACTAAAATTTCAATTTATTTAATACTGTTTTAAAATTTTAATTGGGAGGACATTAGGCCTACAGCACTTTGGATTCCTACATAAGCTAACAAATCAAATCCCACTGTAAACAGTAAAACAAAACTTAAGCTTCACCATCAGAAACCACCAACTAACATATAACTGTTACCAGTGGCAAATATTGGAGTCTCACCGCACCAAATATATTACCAGTGGAAGGCATGTGAGTTATCAGCAGCAAATCCATGTGGGTCTGCAGCAACTTCAATTCTTACCTCCTCGGGAAAAAAAAAAAAATTGCCCCCTCAGAAAAAAAGAATTTTTCTTCCAGAAGAACATAAGGCAGAAAAAGAGTCTGAAGCAAGTTTCAGAGAAGTAGAAGTTTATTTAAAAAGAACGGAGAGTACACTTGGAAGAGATCCAAGCAGGCAAGTGAAATTCAAGTGCAGTGTTTAATTGTGAATCTAGGAATTTATAGGACCGGCCCCCTTCCGGAGTCTTGCAACCCTTTCCCATGATTCTTCCCTTAGGGTGAGCTGCTCACATGTGCAGTTCCCTCCTTACCCTTAGGAGATGAGCAGGCACAGTGTGTTTAGGAAGTTGTAGGCACGCCCATCTGAGGCTTTTCCTCCCTTTCCTGGTGAAGTACCCCTGGAAGGTCATATTCCACCATTTTGTCTCTTAATGCACATACCCAGGAAGTTGCTTCTCCCTGGCATCTGCATTCAATTAACACTTTAGTGCAACTGGTGTGGACCATCAAGAAATAGCCTCTCCCTGGTGCTAGCTGCCAACTTATCACATTTAGAGAGGCAATGTGGTAATTGCCAAGCCATCACCCAACATTCCTAGTAGGTGGGGGAGAGTCTTCTTCTGTCCTGCTCATACATGTCTAACTACCTGTAACATATCTAGGGGTATTTCACTTTAAGCAAGCAAATATATTTTCATTTTCTTGCTTCTGTGAACATGTTATACAAGTTTCCCCTCATACCCCCTCAGTGGAGTGCTAAGCTGCTTGAGGTCTAGTGCTGCCTGATTCATGACTGTCTGCCTGCTCCAATAAACTCCTTAAAATTTTAATGTGTCTAAGTTTCTTTTAACAATACATATAGGGATATTCAAGAAATTCATTTCTTTTTAAGTGAACTGTTTCAGCTTGTGTATTTTGAGGAGTTTGTACATTTTATCTAATTGATTGAATGTATTGTCACAAGGTTTTTTGTAATATTCTTTTTTAAAATTTATTTCTGATATTGATAAATTGTTTCTTAATCAGCATTGGTAGAGTTTTGTCAAACAGCACTTATATTATTTGAGGTCTTTGACAATAGAAAATTGCCTGTGCCTCTTCTAGTGATAGCAGATCTCTGCTTTTTGTCTGTGCAAGATCCTGGACACATTTCTCATTTTCCATATCTCTCTCTAGTGCAGGTGGCTTTGCTTCTGTTCCTCCTTCAATGGTAGTGTACTTCTACTTGGATGTTTGGGCAGGAGGATTTCTTGCCCCTTAACCAGCATTAAAATTCTGTTACATAGTACAAAGTTCGTGGTGTGTCCCAGGGTTTTCCTCCCCCTCCCTCAGAGGCATACAACATTTGTTTTATCCTCCATCAAGATGTTTGCAGTTGCTTAAACCTGGATGCTGGAGGGTTCTTCCCCTCTCCTAAAAGGTAAATGACTTGCTGATTCTATTCTACCCCAGAGGGAAGATTGGGTTTTTGAAGAGCTATTAAGTGTGGGAGAGTTTTCTGCCCCTTGTCCAGTTTCTTAATGCTTTTGGTTTGTAAGAGGCAAGAGCCCAAAAAGTGGAAGGAGATTTTTATCTGTATGCCACTGGCTGTGAGGACTGGGGACAAGGGTGGGTTCTTTCAGGTGACCTGATCTGCCCCCTCCGTTTCTCGTAAGTACACATACTAGAAGCCTGTGAAGAAAATGTTTGTTCGTATGCCCAAGATTCTAAGCTGATCACTACAAACTGGTGTTTTAATAAAATGTTGAGGAGGTGGAGCCAAGATGGCCAAATAGGAACAGCTCCACTCTACAGCTCCCAGCGTAAGTGATGCAGAAGACGGTGTTTTCTACATTTCCAACTGAGGTACCAGGTTCATCTCACTGGGGAGTGCTGGACAGTGGGTGCAGGACAGTGGGTGCAGCACATCGTGCATGAGCCAAAGCAGGGCAAGTCATTGCCTCCCCCAGGAAGTGCAAGGGGTCAGGGAATTCCCTTTCCTAGTCAAAGAAAGGGGTGATAGACGGAACCTGGAAAATTGGGTCACTCCTACCCTAATACTGAGCTTTTCCAATGGGCTTAAAAAATGGCACACCAGGAGATTAAAGCCTGCACCTGGCTCAGAGGGTCCTATGCCCTCGGAGCCTAGTTCATTGCTAGCACAGCAGTCTGAGATCAAACTGCAAGGTGGCAGTGAGGCTGGGGGAGGGGTGCCAGCCATTGCCCAGGCTTGAGTAGGTAAACAAAGGGGCCAGGAACCTCGAACAAGGTGGAGCCCACCGCAGCTCAAGGAGGCCTTCCTGCCTCTGTAAGCTCGATCTCTGGGGGCAGGGCAAAGACAAAAAAAAGACAGCAATAACCTCTGCAGACTTAAATGTCCCTGTCTGACAGCTTTGAAGAGAGTAGTGGTTCTCCCAGCACACAGCTTGAGATCTGAGAACAGGCAGACAGCCTCCTCAAGTGGGTCCCTAACCCCAAGTAGCCTAACTGGGAGGCACCCCCCAGCAGGGGCAGACTGACACCTCACACGACTGGGTACTCCTCTGAGACAAAACTTCCAGAGGAATGATCAGGCAGCAGCATTTGCTGTTGACCAATATCCGCTGTTCTGCAGCCACCACTGCTGGTACCCAGGCAAACAGGGTCTGGAGTGGACTTCCAGCAAACTCCAACACACCTGCAGCTGAGGTTCCTGACTGTTAGAAGGAAAATTAACAAAGAGAAAGGACATCCACACCAAAAACCCATCTGTACATCACTATCATCAAAGACCAAAGGTAGATAAAACCACAAAGATGGGGAAAAAACAGAGAAGAAAAACCAGCAACTCTAAAAATCCGAGTGCCTTTCCTCTGCCAAAGGAATGCAGCTCCTCACCAGCAACAGAACAAAGCTGGAAGGAGAAAGATTTTGATGAGTTGAGAGAGGAAGTCTTCAGAAGATCAAACTACTCCAAGCTAAAGGAGGAAGTTCAAACAAATGGCAGAGAAGTTAAAAACTTTGAAAAAAATTAGATGAATGGATAACTAGAATAACCAATGCAGAGAAGTCCTTAAAGGACCTGAAGGAGCTGAAAACCATGGCACAAGAACTACGTGATGAATGCACAAGCCTCAGTAGATGATGCAATCAACTGGAAGAAAGGGTATCAGTGATGGAAGATGAAGTGAATGAAGTGAAGCACGAAGAGAAGTTTAGAGAAAAAAGAATAAAAACAAATGAACAAAGTCTCCAAGAAATATGGGAATATGTGAAAAGAATAAATCTATGTCTGATTGGTGTACCCAAAAGTGACGGGGAGAATGGAACCAAGTTGGAAAATGCTCTGCAGGATATTATCCAGGAGAACTTCCCCAATCTAGCAAGGCAGTCGAACATTCAAAACCAGGAAATACAGAGAATGCCACAAAGATACTCCTTGAGAAGAGCAACTCCAAGACACATAATTGTCAGATTCACCAAAGTTGAAATGAAGGAAAAAATGTTAACGGCAGCCAGAGAGAAATGTTGGGTTAACCACAAAGGGAAGCCCATCAGACTAACAGCTGATCTCTCAGCAGAAACTCCACAAGCCAGAAGAGAGTGGGGGCCAATATTCCACATTCTTAAAGAAAAGAATTTTCAACCCAGAATTTCATATCCAGCCAAACTAAGCCT
This sequence comes from Homo sapiens, assembly GCF_000001405.40. Lineage (NCBI taxonomy): Eukaryota > Metazoa > Chordata > Mammalia > Primates > Hominidae > Homo > Homo sapiens. The sequence goes on from NC_000005.10 coordinate 45,788,033, forward strand.
CATAAGTGAAGGAGAAAGGAAATACTTTACAGACAAGCAAATGCTGAGAGATTTTGTCACCACCAGGCCTGCCCTAAAAGAGCTCCTGAAGGAAGGAATAAACATGGAAAGGAACAGTCAGTACAAGCCATTGCAAAAACGTGCCAAATTGTAAAGACCTTCAAGGCTAGGAAGAAACTGCATCAACTAACGAGCAAAATAACCAGCTAACATCATAATGACAGGATCAAATTCACACATAAAAATGTTAACGTTAAATGGAAATGGGCTAAATGCTCCAATTAAAAGGCACAGACTGGCAAATTGGATAAAGAGTCAAGACCCATCAGTGTGCTGTATTCAGGAAACCCATCTCATGTGCAGAGACACACATAGGCTCAAAATAAAGGGATGGAGGAAGATCTACCAAGCAAATGGAAAATGAAAAAAGGCAGGGGTTGCAATCCTAGGCTCTGATAAAACAGACTTTAAACCAACAAAGATCAAAAGAGACAAAGAAGGCCATTACATAATGGTAAAGGGATCAATTCAACAAGAAGAACTAACTATCCTAAATATATATGCACCCAATACAGGAGAATCCAGATTCATAAAGCAAGTCCTTAGTGATCTAAAAAGAGACTTAGACTCCCACACAATAATAATGGGAGACTTTAACACCCCACTGTCAACATTAGGCAGATCAAGAGACAGAAAGTTAACAAGGATATCCAGGAATTGAACTCAGCTCTGCACCAAGCTGACCTAATAGACATGTAGAGAACTCTCCACCCCAAATCAAGAGAATATACATTTTTTTCAGCATCACACCACACCTATTCCAAAATTGACCACATAGTTGGAAGTAAAGCTCTCCTCAGCAAATGTAAAAGAACAGAAATTATACAAACGGTCTCTCAGACCACAGTGCAATCAAACTAGAACTCAGGATTAAGAAACTCACTCAAAACTGCTCAACTACATGAAAACTGAACAACCTGCTCCTGAATGACTACTGGGTACATAACAAAATGAAGGCAGAAATAAAGATCTTCTTTGAAACCAACGAGAACAAAGACACAACGTAACCGGAATCTCTGGGACACATTCAGAGCAGTGTGTATAGGGAAATTTATGGCACTAAATGCCCACAAGAGAAAGCAGGAAAGATCTAAAATTGACACCCGAACATCACAATTAAAATAACTAGAAAAGCAAGAGCAAACACATTCAAAAGCTAGCAGAAGGCAAGAAATAACTAAGATCAGAGCAGAACTGAAGGAAATAGAGACACAAAAAACCCTTCAAAAATCAATGAATCCAGGAGCTGGTTTTTGAAAAGATCAACAAAATTGATGGACCGCTAGCAAGACTAATGAAGAAGAAAAGAAAGAAGAATCAAATAGATGCAATAAAAAATGACAAAGGGGATATCACCACTGATCCTACAGAAATACAAACTACCATCAGAGAATACTATAAACACATATACGCAAATAAACTAGAAAACCTACAAGAAAAGGATAAATTCCTGGACACATACACCCTCCCAAGACTAAATCAGGAAAAAGTTGAATCTCTGAATAGACCAATAACAGGCTCTGACACTGAGGCAATAATCAATAGCTTACCAACCAAAAAAAGTCCAGGACCAGATGGATTCACAGCTGAATTCTACCAGAGGTACAAGGAAGAGCTGGTACCATTGATTCTGAAACTATTCCAATCAATAGAAACAAAGGGAATCCTCCCTAACTCATTTTATGAGGCCAGCATCATCCTGATACCAATGCCTAGCAGAGACACAACAAAAAAAGAGAATTTTAGACCAATATCCTTGATGAACATTGATGCAAAAATCCTCAATAAAATACTGGCAAACTGAATCCAGCAACACATCAAAAAGCTTATCCACCATGATCAAGTGGGCTTCATCCCTGGGATGCAACGTTGGTTCAACATACAAAAATCAATATACGTAATCCAGCATATAAGCAGAACCAAAGACAAAAGCCACATGATTATCTCAATAGATGCAGAACATGCCTTTGACAAAATTCAACAACCCTTCATGCCAAAAACTCTCAATAAATTAGGTATTGATGGGACTTATCTCAAAATAATAAGAGCTATCTATGACAAACCCACAGCCAATATCATACTGAATGGACAAAAACTGGAAGCATTCCCTTTGAAAACTGGCACAAGACAAGGATGCCCTCTCTCACCACTCCTGTTCAACACAGTGTTGGAAGTTCTGGCCAGGGCAATCAGGCAAGAGAAAGAAAGAAAGGGGATTCAATTAGGAAAAGAGGAAGTCAAATTGTCCCTGTTTGCAGATGACATGATTGTATATCTAGAAAACCCCATCGTCTCAGCCCAAAATCTCCTTAAGCTGATAAGCAACTTCAGCAAAGTCTCAGGATACAAAATTAATGTACAAAAATCACAAGCATTCTTATACACCAATAACAGACAAACAAAGAGCCAAATCATGACTGAACTCCCATTCACAATTGCTTCACAGAGAATAAAATACCTAGGAATCCAATGTACAAGGGATGTGAAGGACCTCTTCAAGGAGAACTACAAACCACTGCTCAATGAAATAAAACAGGATACAAACCAATTGAAGAACATTCCATGCTCATGGGTAGGAAGAATAATATATTGTGAAAATGGCCATACTGCCCAAGGTAATTTACAGATTCAATGCCACCCTCATCAAGCTATCAATGACTTTCTTCACAGAATTGGAAAAAACTACTTTAAAATTCGTATGGAACCATAAAAGAGCCCACATTGCCAAGTCAATCCTATGCCAAAAGAACAAAGCTGGAGGCATCACGCTGCCTGATTTCAAACTATACTACAAGGCTACAGTTACCAAAACAGCATGGTACTAGTACCAAAACAGAGATATAGAACAATGGAACAGAACAGAGCCCTCAGAAATAATGCCACATATCTACAACTATCTGATCTTTGACAAACCTGACAAAAACAAGCAATGGGGAAAGGATTCCTTATTTAATAAATGGTGCTGGGAAAGCTGGCTAGCCATAAGCAGAAAGCTGAAACTGGATCCCTTCCTTACACCTTTTACAAAAATTAATTCAAGATGGATTAAAGAATTACATGTTAGACCTAAAACCATAAAAACTCTAGAAGAAAACCTAGGCAATACCATTCAGGACATAGGCATGGGCAAGGACTTCATGTCTAAAACACCAAAAGCAATGGCAGCAAAAGCCAAAACTGACAAATGGGATCTAATTAAACTCAAGAGCTTCTGCATAGCAAAAGAAACTACCATCAGAGTGAACAGGCAACCTACAGAATGGGAGAAAATTTTTGCAATCTACTCATCTGACAAAGGGCTAATATCCAGAATCTACAATGAACTCAAACAAATTTACAAGAAAAAAACAAACAACCCCATCAAAAAGTGGGCGAAGGATATGAACAGACTTCTCTAAAGAAGACATTTATGCAGCCAAAAAACACATGAAAAAATGCTCACATCACTGGCCATCAGAGAAATGCAAATCAAAACCACAATAAGATACCATCTCAAACCAGTTAGAATGGCAATCATTAAAAAGTCAGGAAACAACAGTTGCTGGAGAGGATGTGGAGAAATAGGAACACTTTTACACTGTTGGTGGGACTGTAAACTAGTTCAACCATTGTGGAAGTCAGTGTGGTGATTCCTCAGGGATCTAGAACTAGAAATACCATTTGACCCAGCCATCCCATTACTGAGTATATACCCAAAGGATTATAAATCATGCTACTATAAAGACACATGCACTGCACATGTATGTTTATTGCTGCACTATTCACAATAGCAAAGACTTGGAACCAACCCAAATGTCCAACAATAATAGAGTGGATTAAGAAAATGTGGCACATATACACCATGGAATACTATGCAGCCATACAAAATGATGAGTTCATGTCCTTTGTAGGGACATGGATGAAGCTGGAAACCATCATTCTTAGTAAACTATCACAAGGACAAAAAACCAAACACTGCATATTCTCACTTATAGGTGGGAACTGAACAACGAGAACACATGGACACAGGAAGAGGAACATCATACTCCGGGGACTGTTGTGGGGTGGGGCGAGGGGGGAGGGATAGCATTAGGAGATATACCTAATGCTAAATGACGAGTTAATGGGTGCAGCACACCAAAATGGCACATGTATAAATATGTAACAAACCTGCACGTTGTTCACATGTACCCTAAAACTTAAAGTATAATAATAATAAAATAATAAAAGAAAAGAAAATGTTGAAATTTCAGTTGTTTTGTCTTACCAACTAGTAGGGCAGCTTCTTTATTTCTCTTGTGTTCTGCTCAAGATGAAATGGTTCATAGGCCCTTTTAAGGGATGTGTCTCCCTTTGGCCTTTAGTTCAACACATCGGCTTGAATACCCATGTCTCTGATGAGTTTCAGAAAAGTTAGGGTTTTGTAGATATTTGTATATTTTTTCTTTGTTGTCAGGATAAGAACGATGTACTCCTGCAGCTTTCTGCAACCTAGAAAGCTCCAGCAACATTTTGTAAATTATCCATTACTAAACTATATTATATCGTCACTGGAAGACTGGTCAACAATTTGTCAATATGACATTTAATTACATTTTTATACTATCAAATCAATCATTTAAAAGTAACTTGATCTATAATATTGATTTTATAAGAAGAATGACTTCTTATGTACTCAAAGAAGACAATAAGAATATATACATATGTATGTGTGTGTATATATATATATGTAAAGTTGTGAAATGTTTGTAATGAGACACTGCATTTTGGGGAGTGAGAATAAAATAGTAAATATCCACAAATTCTACAACATTGGAACTAGAAAAAACTATTAAAGTTAATGAGCAGAAAGTCAGAGTTAAACAAGATAGAAAAGATTCAACCATTTACAAAAGAAAAGGTATCAAAAGCATGTAAAGCAATTCTAGTGGAAAGGGAGAATATGAGTGATTGGGCTATTTACATAATTATGTACCACTGTGCTCAGTATGGAATTTCAAATTTAAGTACATATTAGCAAAAATAGGCATGTGAAATAACTAAACAGTTTCAAATATCTCAAGCAAAATATATATGCTATCATATGCACACAAACAAACGTAAGTAAAATTAATTTTTTTTGTTAATTAAATACTTACTGTATTTGGTTTCTTATCATTTTCAGTCTCTATTTCTGATATGTCCTATGGCAGCAGAAATGGGGTTAGAGGTGGGGATTTATATCAAAAATCTTAAGAGGCTTACTTGATAAGCAGTAAAGCACACAGAAATTGCAAATAACTTTTAGATTTCTGGTTCAAGTGATTTGCCTAAAAACTGGTGTAACTCATAGATGGGAAATGTAGATTCAATGACACTTTCAAGGATTGTATTGGCATGATCATTTCCTGTAGTTGTTAGGGTCATGTCAAGTTTGAGTAATCTCCGTATGGTCATTCCATTAAAAAAAATTTATTGAATGTTAATGTTCTCTTGAATTTCTTGCATTGCGATTGACCAACAACTGCAAAATAAAATAAGGGAAGGGGATCCTGAAAACAACATGTGAAGAAAATGAAGTTCTATTAAGCTTTATACACTGTTTTTTTTTTTTAATTTATTGAGAGACTGTTGAGCTCAGATGACTTCAGCGCCTAAGGTTCCTCCATAAACAGATCAAAACGCAACCCGAAAACAAATAAAACGAAACTTAGGCTTAACCAATACAAAACTGCCAACTAACCTCTAACTAGGGACTTTCCACTTTAACCAACCAAGTATCATTTTTTGTCTTGTTTCCACAAACACCTTATAAAAGTTTTCCCCTTGAGACCTCTCAATGAAGGCCTGAACCCCTTGGGGTCTAGCACTGCTTGATTCATGAGTCACTGTCTGCTCTAACAAACTCTAACATTTTCATGTGCCCTAGGTTTTATTTTAAATACCTAGTACCTTAAATCAGCACAATGCAGTAGAACGCATTTATTAAACAAACTAATTGTTCTCTGGGGTTTTTCTGAGGCTCAGAAGAGGAAAGGAGGACAACCATTGCCATTGTTTCCTTCTTTTATGGACAAAGCACTTTTGCTGGCAGTGGAACATGTCTGAGTCACTCAAGCACCAAAGTATGTTATCAGCAGCGAATCTGTATGAGACCACAGTAACCTCAATTCTTGCCTCCTCAGAAGAAAAAATTCAACTGAAGGGCATAAGGCAGAAGGAGAGACCAAGGCAAGTTTTAGAGTGGGAGTGAATGTTAATTGAAAGCTTTAGAGCAAAAATGAAAAGGAGGAAAATACACTTGAAAGCGAGCTGAGTAGGCGACTTGAGAGATGAAGTGCAGGTCTGACCTTTTGACTTCGGGCTTTATATGTTGTCATGCTTCTGGAGTCTTGACTTCCTTCTTCCCTGATTGTTCTCTTGGAGTGGGGTGTCCATGTGCAGTGGCCTGCCAGCACTTTGAAGGGGCTGCATGTGCTGTGTATTTACTGGAGTTGTACGCAGGCTCACTTGAGGCTTTCTTCTCTTACCCGTAGAATGTCCCTAGAAGGTCATATTCCAGTTAAACTCTGCCATTTCACCTCTTAATAAACATGCCTGAGCCCACTCACCCAGGTGCTGCAATCTTATTGGATTAATTCATATACTCCATTCTTCATTGCTGAAAAAAACCTGATCACCAGTTTTAGGTTTTTTTCTGTCTATTGGGAGACAGCCTTTCCCTGGTGCCTGCTGTCATCAATTATTATTTTAGAAGAACAGTTTAATAACTGCCTATGCATCACTTGATGGTTGTCTGACATTCCTGGTGGTGGGTTGTGGGGAGAGCCCTCTCCTACCCTGCTCATTTCTGACTAGCTATCTACTGTAACACTTTAAGTGAAAAAAAAATGCACAAATCTCTGTGGTTGGAATTTTCTGTTATTTGAATTAAAAAAACCAGAGATGTTTTCCAATATTCATGTGAGTCAAATATTTCACTGAGTGTGATGAAAACAGGCTTTATTTCCTCTCTAACTGGTAAAAATATTAAAACAAAATTTGATAGAATGAAATCTATAAACAAATTATAAAAACAAAATTTGATAGAATAAAAGCTCTCTCTTTCTTTTGTATTAGATGAAGAAACCAAAAATATGTGCTTTAACTGCCGATATATACCCTCTTTTCAGATGGGTAACCAATCTTCAGCCTGCACTCTTCTTGAGTGCATCCTGAATCCCTGAGACCCCCTTGGTCCTCAGATTCTGGAGAGAGGAAAAAATGCCTTTTCCTCCTCTGTCCTCTCTTCCAGATGGTTAAGCAATCATCTTCAGCATACACTCCTCTAGAGTGTATCCTGAATCACTGGGACTCCTTTGACCATCAGACTCTTGAGAAAAAGTGCCTCATATTTCTTTGCACATAGCCATGGCCGAATTATGTTCTGCAGAAAGGAGAAGCATGGCCTCAAGAAGGAAGCATAAATTTCAATACCATCCTGAAGCTGGACCCTCTCTGTAAACATGAAGGCAAATGATCTGAGGTTCCATATGTGCAGGCTTTCATTGTCTTGCAGGGTAATCCAGACCTTTGCCAACACTGTAGGATTGATTCAGTCCTCCTAGTGGCCATCTCAGGAGAGGCTTCAGGGAACTAGGGAAGCAAACCCCAGAGGTACTTCCAGCAGGAGATTCAACTCCCTTCACTCCTCCCTATCCAGGTCCTCTCTCAAGCTTGCCCCAGCCTAGAAATCTTTGTTTTAGGCAGGTCCCAGTCTTACTCCTTCCCCCACAACATATGCCTAGTGAATGTGGCCCCATTAAGATCTAGGTCCCCTTTTCTCTACAGGATTTAAGGAAAATTAAGGGAGATCCTGGCAAATTTTTAGACCATTCTGACAGGTATATAGAGGCTTTCCAGAATTTAACCAAAGTATTTGAACTCTCTTGGAAGGATGTTATGTTACTTTTGAATCAGACCATGACTACCACGGAAAGGCAGGCTGCCCTGCAAGCAGCAGAGACTTTCAGGAATGAGCTTTGTATCTCATAAAGTGCCAGGGAAGGGGATGAGCCTCATCCAATTGGAAGACAAGAGGTATCATTGGAGGACCATAAATGGGACCACAATGATGAAGTGAAAGAACAGAAGAGGCAACACTTTCAGGTGTGCATGCTGGAGGGCTAATTGAAGAACTAGAACTAAGTCTCTCAGTTACCCCAAACTATCCATGATACACCAGGGATTGGGTGAGAATCCCACTACCCTCCTGGAAAGGCTAACAGGGGCCTTGGTAAAGCACACCGCTCTATCTCCTGATTCAGTCAAGGGACAACTGATCCAAAAGAATAAGTTTATAACTCAGGCAGACCCTGATTATCAGGAGGACACTTCCAAAACAGTCTATAGGAGCAAACAGTACTTTAGAGAACCTCCTAAAAGTGGCCACCTCTGTTTTTACAATAGGGATTAGGAGGAAGTCCAGAAAAGAAAAGAAATACAAGAATAAGGCAGAGTCTCTAATAGCTGCCATGTAGGCTCACAAACCCCAGAGTCTCTGACATGTACCTATTATCGGCTACAAATGTGGCAAGTCAGGGTACTTTAGGAAGGACTATCCAGGCAACATGAGAAAGCCACCTTGACCCTGTCCAATTTGTAATGGGAACCACTGGAGGGTGGACTATACCCAGAGACACAGGTCACTTGGTCCAGAGCCAGTCTCCCAAATGGTCCAGCAGGACTGACTGGTCTTGGAGCTTTTCTCCCTGGCTTTGGTGGTTCAGACCACCATTACCATCCAGACGTCCCAGTTAATTCTGGGAGTTGAAGGGAGGAAGACGGACCTCCTCCTGGACACCAGAGTGGGCCTTTCAGTTCTCCTCTCCAATCCAGGCTCCCCTTCCTCTCTTAGCATGACTGTGAGGGGTGTTTCAGGAAATCCTTTACCCTGATATTTTTCCCAACCCCTTAGTTGTAGTTGGGGAGACTACTTGTTTACTCATGCCTTTTAAATCATGCCTTAAAGGCCAACTCTTTTGTTGGGCAGGGATATTTTGGCTTGTATGAGAACCACCATCCTTATGGCTCCAGGACAAACTCTTTGTCTCCCCCTAGTGGAGACCGATATTAGCCCAGAGGTTTGGGCAACTCAAGGGAAAATTGGCTTAGCCACAACTGCCACACTGGTCCAGATCCATCTTAAGGATTCTACCTCCTTCCCTAAGCAGAGACAATATCCCCTAAAACCAGAAGTTATAAAAGGACTAGAAGCCATCATTGATAACTTGAGAATGCAACATCTTCTCAAACCCTCCAACAGCCCTTCTAATACCCTGATATTCAGGGCCCAAAAACCCAATGGGGAAGGGAGACTGATCCAGGACTTCTGCCTCTTTAATGAAGCTGTGGTTTCAATTCACCCAGTGGTTCTCAATGCCTATACCCTGCTAACTCAAGTACCTGAGAGAACTAAATGGTTCACAGTCCTGGACCTAAAGGATGCCTTTTTCTGCATTCTGCTACAACCCAACTCCCAGTATTTGTCTGCATTCAAGAATCTCTCCAACAAGGCCACCCAGCTAACCTAGACAGTGTTACCTCAGGGATTCCAAGGCAGCCCCCATCTGTTTGGGCAGGCATTGTCAATAGATCTGAGTTTCTTTATCCTCAGGTTAACATTTTACAATATGTAGATGACATTCTCCTTCATGCCCCCACTGAGGAATTATCTCGGGGGGACAATAAGGCTCTTCTTAATTTTCTGGCTAACAGAGGATATAAGTTCTCAAAAGTAAAGGCTAAGCTCTGTCAGACTTCAGTGAAGTACCCAGGTATAGTCTTGTCAGAGGGTACCAGGGCACTAGGTGAGGAAAGAATCAGGCCCATCTTCTCCTTTACCCTCCCCCAACCCTCAAGCATCTGAGGGGATTCTTGGACATTACAGGATTCTCCAGACTAAGAATACCTGGGTACAGTAAAATAGCTCATCCCTTATGTCACCTAATAAAGGAAACTCAGCCAAGACACATTCCCTAACTTGGGAACCAGAGGCTTAAACGACCTTTGACCAATTAAAACAAGTCTTGCTTGAAGCACCAGCCCTCAGTCTTCTCATTGGGTAGATGTTCAATCTTTATGTCTCAGAAGGGAAGGGAATGGCCCTGGGAGTTCTAAGCCAGGTCTGAGGTCCAGCCCAGCAGCCTGTAGGCTAAGTAAGTAAGGAGCTTGATTTGGTAGCTAAAGGATGATCAGCCTGCCTCCAAGCAGTTGCAGTGGTACCAGAGGCTACTAAGTTAACCATGGGGAATAACTTAACAATTTATACCCCACATAATTTGGCCGGACTGCTGTCTTCTAAGGAGAGTCTCTGGCTAATGGACAACTGCCTCCACAAATATCAGAAGGATCTTCAATCCAGTTAAGAACTAATCCCTTTCTAAACCCAGCCATCTTCCTCCAAGAGGAAGCTGGGGATCTTAAATGTGAGTATGAACAAATAGTAGTACAAACCTATGCCATCATACAGGACCTAAAAAAAAACCTTAGAGAACTCAGACTGGACTCTTTTTATGGACAGAAATTCCTTCGTAGAGCAAGGGATCCATAAAACATAGTATGCAATAGTCACCCTGAATGACGCTATTGAGAGTGCAGCTCTCTCCTCGGCACAAATGTTCAACTAGCTGAGCTAATCGTCCTCATGAGAGTGCTTGAATTAAGCAAGGGGAAAGCAGTTAACATTTATCCTGATTCTTATTATGCTTTCCTAGTCCTCCATGCCCATGTCATTATCTGGAAAGAGAGGGACTTCCTCACAGCTAATGGGTCTCCCATTAAATACCATCAGAAAATTAACAGACTATTATTCTCAGTCTTCTTTCCACAGGAAGTGGCAGTAATACACTGTAAAAGCCACCAAAAAAGGATGGATGAAATAGCTGAGGGAAATATGTTGGCAGACAAAGCATATAAATCAGCAGTGAAAGGGCCCCAGATTTCTGATGCACTTGAGACCCCTCTGATCTGAGAGGGCTCCTTAAAAGAAATAAAACCTCAGCATTACCCTGTGGAGATAGAATGGGCTGCCTCTTGGGGATACACCCTTCAGTGTTCAGGATGGCTGTAATCAGAGGATGGCAAGCTTCATCTACCAGCTTCCAGCCAATGGAAAGTTCTTAAAATCTTCCACCAAGCCTTCCATGTAGGAACAGAATGGGAGGGACCTTACACTGCACTTCTTTCTACTCCTATGGCAGTAAAGGTCACTGGAATAGGTTCTTGGATTCATTGTGCTTGAAAAAAAGGCATAGGAAACTGACAAAATTACCTCTGCTGATTCAGGAGTGCAGTAAATAAATCATGGACCTCAAACTAAACATTATAAAAGATAAGTGCTAACAATTAACCCTCCATGGATATCCTATACTTACTGATTTCACTTTTGTTCTGTTCATCACCATAAGACATCTTTGTCAAGAACCCCTTAATCCTGAACTCCCCGGGGATTATCTACTCCCCTAAACAGTTATTTCTCTTTTAATGTTTAACTGCCCCCACACAAGATTGAGCTTATTTCACCAGGGTGAAACAGCTCCAACCACAACATTGTTTTCAGAATGATTAGTTTATTTTAATTCTTATTTCTGTTATCTTTGGCACTAGATTTTTTTTCCTTCACATACTTAACCTCCTGTAAATTGTGTTTATCTTCTTGCATAGAGGTCATTAAGCTCCAAGTGGTCATGAGACTAGAGCCTCAAACAATGGCTTCCTTCTTACCAGGGACTATTATATAGGCCTCTGAGAGAGATCTGACTGCCCCCTTCCCCAAAACAATGTGCTCTGTCAGCAGGAAGCAGTTAAGAACAGTCTTCATTTCTATCTTAATGGCAGTTAGGTGTACATCTTCAGTGGGGGGTTTGATGGCAGTGGCTGGAGTGGCTGCTGTGAAGACACCAGTTGCAGAAGGGGACATGTGGCTGGCATTGCATGCTCTGCAGAGCCGGCAGGGGTCAAGAAAATGTGAAGCCCTGCCCCCTACTGACTAGGTGGGGCAGGAGACCCATGCTCCTGGGTACAGCTGCAGCCACCCAGCACAACTCTGGACCTGGGCATCCCTGTTCTCTCAGGGACCCAGGAAGACCCTGCTACCCCCACAGGTTCTGAAGTACCTGTTCCCACTCCCTGGCCTCCCCCTGCTCCTGGTGTCTGCTCCAATAAGAGCAAAGTTGTAGCTGAGCCCAATCTGGCAAGGTGTGCACACACCCAGGGTGGTGCTGACATGCCAGACCCCTGCTGCCTCAGACTCCTCCAGACTTCAGGCACTGACAAGCATGGAAGGGAGACCAGGGGTGCTGAGGGCAGCTCGGAGTGGGCCTGAAAGCATCCCTTGGCCCAGACAGCCAGGGCCCTGCAGACAACATGTTGATGATGACAGGAGGCAGTCACATTCCTGGATGGAAAGGGGCGGCTCCCCAGTGAAACCCCTCCTTCAAGCTAGGAACAGCCTGAAGCCTGGAGGCCAGGCTGCCACTTCCAGGTGGAGTCTGAGGCCCAGAGTGAGAACTTATGGTCCTTTTTCCAGGCCCACTCATGGCTGCCTATGGACCAGTCAGCATGCACTTTCTCTTTTCTGAGCCCATAAAAACCCCAGACTCAGCCAGATTCACACAGATGTCAGAAGTTCCAGCTGCAGAAAGGAGCTAGCCAATTTGGATCTCCTTGACTCATTGGGACAACCTGCTTGGGGAAAGGAGCTACTCACAACAGGTCTCCTCTCTTCTGAGAGCTGGACATTTGTTGGGAGAACCTGCCTGCGAAAAGGAGCTACCCACTCCAGGCCTCCTCTCCGCTGAGGGCTGCACTCGTCAGGACCACCTGTCTGCAGAAAGGAGCTACCCACTTTGGATCTCATGAGACCTGTTCTGTTGTTTAATAAAACTCCTCTCCACCTTGCTCAACCTCCAGTTGTGCACATACCTCATTCTTCCTGGACACAGAACAAGAACTCGGGACCTGCTGAATGGTGGGACTGATAAAGAGCTGTAACACAAACAGGGCTGAAACAGGCATGCTCACCCCCGCTCACCAAATTCTGGGTGACAAAAAGGAGAGAAGAGCTGTGGCCCTTCAGGAAGCCCAGACCTAGGGGCTCCCCAAGCCAGGGCTTTGACACCCTCTTTGGGGCTCTGTGTTTTCTGGCATCTCCAATATTCTGGGTTCCATTGCATTCCCCTTTTCCACATGTGGGTGCCCACAGCAGAAGCTGCTTGTGGGTGCATCTGATCCAGCTTCAGGCTTGCACAGAGCTGGTGCCTCTGCCAGCACCTGGAGCTGCCTGCCCCATCACAGCAGCCAGCACGCCTGGCTCTGTGTAGTGGGTGGACTCTGCACTTGTTGCTCATGTTTCTTCACTGTTCCACACCTTGCTTGACCTTGGCGGGTGTGGAATCCAGGCCAGTAGTGTGAGCCAAACACAGCCTGCCAGGTTGAGTGGGTGAAACATGCACAGTGGCCCCTAGCAAAACTTGGGCAAAGGTGTCACTGGCCACAGAGGTTTCCAGCTGGAAAATGACACCCGAAGGATCTGGTGATACTATCTCCTATCATTCCTAATGTATCTAGAATATATTCTGTTTTTTCATTCCAAATTTATGATTGATTTTAGTCCAAATCTCATTATTTTTTGCTAGGACTATGACAACGGCTTTCTAAATGGTCTATCTCTGTTTTGGTTTTTCCAGTTTTATGTACTCTAATCATGGTCTTCATCACTTCTCTGCTAAGAACATCAATGGTTACACACTGCCTGAGTATACTATTTTAAGTTATTTAGTCTGTCAAAATGCTCCACAATCTATTGTTAATCTACTTTTCTTAGCCATTACTTTTTTCCTTCAAATATCTTATTCCTTGTCCACCCTACAATATTTCCCATGTATACCTCACCTTGTTTTCTGTGTTTCTTTGCCCACTCACTTTCCTTTTCTGAGAAAGGAATTTGCCAAGTCACTCTATTAAAAAAATCCTCTATATTTTATGAGTAGCATAGGTACTCTGTTGATATGGTTTGGCTGTGCCCCCACCCAAATCTCATCTGGAATTCCCATGTGTTGTAAGAGAGACCCAGTGGGAGGTAATTGAATCATGGGGGCAGGTCTTTTCTGTGCTGTTCTCATGATAGTGAATAAGTCTTATGAGATCTGATGGTTTTACAAGGGAGAGTTTCCCTGCACAAGTTCTCTCTTCTTTTGTCTGCTACCATGTGAGACATGACTTTCACCTTCCACCATAATTGTGAGGCCTCCCTAGCCACATGGAACTCTAACTCCAATAAACCTTTTTCTTTTGTAAATTGCCCCATCTCAGGTATGTCTTAATCAGTAGCATGAAAACAGACTAATATATCTGTAATTTATATCATTCCCTGAGTATGCCAAATCATTTCATGATTCCATATATTGATAATGCTTATTATGATTGAATGTTCTTTCTATAATTTTCTAGCCCTGTGTAAGAAACAGGTCAACTGTTTCTTCTGCAAGGAATTGTGTTTTACCCAGGTGAAACTAGCGTCATTCTTTTCTGTATTCCTAATGAAAGATTGTTTTGTTTTTTGTTTTGTCTTTCTTTTTCCTGCTTATTAGTTTTATTTATTTTTCTTGGCCTCATGCATTGTCCCAGATCTCCATGACAATATTGACAGAAGTAAGAACAACAGAAAATTATGTCTCATTTACTACTGTCAGGAAAAATATTTCAATATTTTATCACTTGATATCATATTGGCTGTAGACGTTCTAAAGATATCCTTTTATCAGATTAAGCAGTTTTCCACTTATTTATAGATTGCTAAGTGTTTATTTAAAGTACATTAAAATTTATCAGATACTTTTTCCGTCTCTATTGAGGTGATTAATTAATATAATTTTCTCCTTTATTCTGTTCAGGTAGAGGATTATATTGATTTATTTTCACATGTTAAAACAATTAGATATTTCTAGAGTGAGACTTCGCACTGGGTTCACTTAGATAATATTTTGGTAAGATTTTTGTATCTTTGTTTGTGAGAGAAACTAACATATAATTTTCATTTTTGTAATGTCCTGTTCAGATTTTAAATTTTAGGTTATACTGTTTATATAAAAAATATGAAGCAGTCTTAATCTGTTATGCTCTGTAAGGGTTTATTAAAGTTGAATGTTTTCCTTCCTTGGAAGTTTGGAAGATTCAACAATGACACTCTCTGAGTTTAAACTTTTCTGGTAAATAAATGAATTTAGACATTTAGTTTGTCTTTGATGTAATACTATTTATATCTTTTATTTTGTTTTTGATAGT